>NC_000017.11:55685980-56310980 GCF_000001405.40 Homo sapiens | reverse complement strand
TTGAACTCAGAAGCAGAGAGTAGAATGGTGGTTGCCAGGATCTGGGGGCAGGGGGAGGAAATGGGGAGACGTTGGTCAATGGTTACAAAATTTCCGTTACACAGGCTGAATAAGTTCTAGAGATCTAATGTACAGCATGGTGACTATAGTTAATAATACTGAATTGTACACTTGAAATTTGTTATTAGAGTAGATCTTCAATGTTCTACACACACACACACACACACACACAAAGTAATTGTGAGATGATGGATATGTTAATTAGCTTGCTAGTGATAATCATTTCACAATATATATCAGAACATGGAATTGTACACCTTAGCTATATCCAATTTGTAATTTTCTTTTTTTCTTTTTTTTTTTTGAGATGGAGTCTCACTCTGTTGCCTAGGCTGGAGTGCAGTGGCTCGATCTCGGCTCACTGCAAGCTCCGCCTCCCAGCTTCACGCCATTCTCCTGCCTCAGCCTCCTGAGTAGCTGGGACTACAGGCACCTGCCACCACATCTGGCTAATTTTTTGTATTTTTAGTGGAGATGGGGTTTCACCACGTTAGCCAGGATGGTCTCGATCTCCTGACCTCGTGATCCGCCCGCCTCGGCCTCCCAAAGTGCTGGGATTACAGGCGTGAGCCACTGCACCCGGCCCAATTTTTAATTTGCAAAAGCACAGCAGTCTCTCCTAATTTGTGCTTTTGCTTTCTGTGGTTTCAGTTATCCGTGGTCAACTGCAGTCTGGAAATATTAAATGGTAAATTCCAGAAATAAACAATTCATAAACTTTAAATTGTACACCATTTTGGGTAGCATGATGAAATCTTGCACCACCTCAATGTCCTGCCCAGGACGTGAATCCATCTCTTTGTCCAGCGTATCCATGTGGTATACACTACACGCCCCTAGTCATTGATTTCATCTGCTCCTGATACCTAACTACTGACATCATCATGGCTCAACGATCCAGGATCATGTGAAGCGGATGATCCTCTTTATGATGTATCATCAGAAAGTCAGGAGTAGTTTAGTGCTACATCACAACGCCCGTGCTATTCACCTCACTTCATCTCATCCTGTAGGCATTGTCTCATCTCACATCATCACAAGAAGAAAGGTGAAGAGAGTGCAATAAGATATTTTGAGAGAGAGAGAACACATTTACATAACTTTTAGTATAGAATATTGTTATAAGTATTCTATTTTATTATTAGTTATTGTTGTTAATAACTTACTGTGCCTCATTTATAAATTAAACTTTATCATAGGTATGTATGTATAAGAAAAACATAGTGTATATAGGGTTCAGTATTATCCAGGATTTTAGGCATCTGTTGGGGGTTTTGGGATGTATCCCCTGTGGATGAAAGGGCACCATTGTACCACAAGAAAGCCAAAAAAGATTTTAGAAAATTCTTCCAATCTATGAATCAAAAAAAGAGCAGAAATCTATAACATTGATAATAGAAAAACAATAGAGAAAATCAATGAAACAGAGAAAATGTCTTTTAAAAGATAAAATTGGCACCTCTATTAACTGTTGAAGAAAAAGAAAAAGAGATGCAATTTACCAATATCAGGAATTAAGTGGAGATGTCATTACCAACTGTACAGATATTAAAAGGATAATAAGGGACTATAATAAATAATTTTATAAGTATAAATTTGATACCTGTAATGAAATGGACCACTTTCTTAAAACACAGACTATCACAACTCACCCAATATGAAATGGATGATTTTAACTGTCTTTTAACCATTAAGGAAATTGAATCTATAATTTAGAAACATCAAAAAAAGTAATGTCTAGTCCAAGATTGTTTCACTGGAGAATTTTCTACCAAACGTTCCAAAAAGAATTAAAGAATTAACACAAATTCCAACCCAAAAGAGGAGGGAACACATAATATTTTGTCTTATAAACCTGATATTATCTTGGTAACAAAACTGGATAAAGACAGTGCCAAAAAAGAAAATATTACTCACAAATGTAGATGCAAAAAATCATTAACCAATATTAGCAAATAGAATTCAGAAACATATAAAAATAATTATATACCAGGACAAAGTGGTGTTTATTCAATGGATGCGAGGCTTATTCAATATTTGGACACCAATCAATGTAATTCACCATATTAACAGATAAAAGGCGCAAACTCACATAATCATATCAATTGATGCAGAAAAAGCATTAAACAAAATTCAGCATTCATTCATTCATGACAATAACGCTCAGAAAATATCAACAGAACGAACATCCTCAGCTTGATAAGGAACATCTACCAAAAATCCAACAGCTAACATGAACAGTAAATGGTAAAAGACAATGCTTCCCCCTAAGATCAAGAATAAGTCAGGCAGCTCTCATCACTCTTATTTATCATAATTTTGTGAGTTCTAGTCAGTAATAGTAAGCAAGAAAATGCAATAAAAGGCATTTTATTGAAATGCTCACTAGAAAAAAATCACTGGCATGAAAAAATAAAACCATTCCTATGTGCAGATGAAATTATTGTCTGTAGAAAATCCCAACAAATCTACAAAAAGACCACTAGAACTAATAAATGAGTTCAGCAAGGTCACAAGATACGAGATGAACATACAAAAATCAATTGTATTTATGTATACTAGTAATGACTACATGGATGCAAGTTAAAAGTGCAATACCATTTACAATTGCTCAAAAAAATTAAAATCTTTTTTTTGCACTCCCATGTTTATTTTTTTATGCTTTAACTTCTTTTTTTTTTTTATTATACTTTAAGTTGTAGGGTACATGTGCACAACGTGCATGTTAGTTACATATGTATACATGTGCTATGTTGGTGTGCTGCACCCAGTAACTCGTCATTTAACATTAGGTATATCTCCAAATGCTATCCCTCCCCACTCCCCCGATCCCACAACAGGCCCCGGTGTGTGATGTTCCCCTTCCTGCGTCCATGTGTTCTCATTGTTCAATTCCCACCTATGAGTGAGAACATGCGGTTCTCTTCATGTTTGGTTTTTTGTCCTTGCGATAGTTTGCTGAGAATGATGGATTCCAGCTTCATCCATGTCCCTATAAAGGACATGAACTCATCATTTTTTATGGCTGCACAGTATTCCATGGTGTATATGTGCCACATTTTCTTAATCCAGTCTATCATTGTTGGACATTTGGGTTGGTTCCAAGTCTTTGCTATTGTGAATAGTGCTGCAATAAACATACGTGTGCATGTGTCTTTATAGTAGCATGATTCATAATCCTTTGGGTATATACCCAGTAATGGGATGGCTGGGTCAAATGGCATTTCTAGTTCTAGATCCCCGAGGAATCGCCACACTGACTTCCACAATGGTTGAACTAGTTTACAGTCCCACCAACAGTGTAAAAGTGTTCCTATTTCTCCACATCCTCTCCAGCACCTGTTGTTTACTGACTTTTTAATGATCGCCATTCTAACTGGTGTGAGATGGTATCTCATTGTGGTTTTGATTTGCATTTCTCTGATGGCCAGTGATGATGAGCATTTTCTCATGTGTCTTTTGGCTGCATAAATGTCTTCTTTTGAGAAGTGTCTGTTCACATCCTTCGCCCACTTTTTGATGGGGTTGTTTGTTTTTTTCTTGTAAATGTGTTGGAGTTCATTGTAGATTCTGGATATTAGCCCTTTGTCAGATGAGCAGATTGCAAAAATTTTCTCCCATTCTGTAGGTTGCCTGTTCACTCTGATGGTAGTTTCTTTTGCTGTGCAGAAGTTCCTCAGTTTAATTAGATCCCATTTGTCAATTTTGGCTTTTGTTGCCATTGCTTTTGGTGTTTTAGACATGAAGTCCTTGCCCATGCCTATGTCCTGAATGGTATTGCCTAGGTTTTCTTCTAGGGTTTTTATGGTTTTAGGTCTAACATTTAGTCTTTAATCCATCTTGAATTAATTTTTGTATAAGGTGTAAGGAAGGGATCCAGTTTCAGCTTTCTACATATGGCTAGCCAGTTTTCCCAGCACCATTTATTAAATAGGGAATCGTTTCCCCATTTCTTGTTTTTGTCAGGTTTGTCAAAGATCAGATGGTTGTAGATATGCGGCATTATTTCTGAGGCCTCTGTTCTGTTCCATTGGTCTGTATCTCTGTTTTGGTACCAGTACCATGCTGTTTTGGTTACTGTAGCCTTGTAGTATAGTTTGAAGTCAGGTAGCATGATGCCTCCAGCTTTGTTCTTTTGGCTTAGGATTGACTTGGCAATGTGGGCTCTTTTTTGGTTCCATATGAACTTTAAGGCAGTTTTTTCCAATTCTGTGAAGAAAGTCATTGGTAGCTTGGTGGAGATGGCATTGAATCTATAAATTACCTTGGGCAGTATGGCCATTTTCACGATATTGATTCTTTCTACCCATGAGCATGGAATGTTCTTCCATTTGTTCATATCGTCTTTTATTTCACTGAGCAGTGGTTTGTAGTTCTCCTTGAAGAGGTCCTTCACGTCCCTTGTAAGTTGTATTCCTAGGTATTTTATTCTCTTTGAAGCAATTGCGAGTGGGAGTTCACTCATGATTTGGCTCTCTGTTTGTCTGTTATTGGTGTATAAGAATGCTTGTGATTTTTGCACATAAATCTTAAATGTAAATCTAACAAAACACATACAGGACTTGTATGCTGAAAACTACAAAATGCTAGTGGAAAAAAATCAAGATCTTAATAAATAGAACGACATACTGTGTTCATGGATTAGAAGATTCAACATAGTAAAGATGTCCATTCTCCCCAAGTTAGCATATACATTTAATACAATTCTTCTTAAACTCTCAGCAAGACGTTTTTTAGGTATGGAAAAGATTTTTCTAAAATACAGTTGAAAAGGCAAACGAACCAGAATAGCTAAAACAATTTTGAAAGACAAAAATAAATTGGGAGGAATAAGGTTACTCAATTTCAAGAGTTACTGTGTATCTATAGTAATCAAGACTGTCTGATGTTGGCAGAGAGATAGACATATAGATTAATGAAACAGAACAGAGAATCCAGAAACTAACCCATACTAATAAGCCAACTGAGTTCTGACAAAGGTGCAAAAATTATCCAACATAGAAAAGGTAGTACCGTAACAAATGATGCTGGTGCAAGTGAACATCCAGAGGCAAAAAACACCAAACCAAAAAAACAACCCTCAACTTAAGCCTCACATCTTATATATGAAATTTAATTCAAGATGGACTACAAATTTAAATATAAAATGTAAAATGATACCACTTGTAGAAAAAACATAGAAAAATATCTTCAGGGTCTAGTACTAGGAAGAGTTTTAAAACTTGGCACCAAAAGCACATCCATAACATTAAAAAATGACAAATTGGACTTTAACAACATGAACTTACTTTTTGTGAAAGATCCTGTTCAGCAGCTAAAAAGACAAGCTACAGAGTGAGCAAAAATATTTTCAAGGCATACCTCTGACAAAGAACAAGTGTCTAGAATATATAAAGATTTCTCAAAACTCAACCATAAAAACCAAATATGCCAATGAGAAAATGGGCAAAAGACATGAAGAGATATTTCACTGAAGAGGATACATAGATGGCAAAAATGAAATCAGCATTTGAAATAAATATGTGAAATTATATTCAACACCATAAGAAAAGCTGCAGAGTGAGAAAAAATATTTTCAAGCCATACGATATGGTTTGGCTGTGCCTCCACTCAAATTTCATCTTGAATTGTAGTTCTCATAATCACCATGTGTCATGGGAGGGAGCCAGTGGGAGGTAATTTAATCATGGGGGTGGTTACCCTCAGGTTGTTCTCATGATAGTGAGTGAGTTCTCACAAGATCTGATGGTTTCATAAGGGGCTTTTCCCTCTTTTGCTTGGCACTTCTTGGTGCTGCCATGTGAAGAAGGATGTGTTTGCTTCCCCTTTTGCCATGATTGTGAGTTTCCTGAGGCCTCCCAAGCCCTGCAGAACTATGAGTCAATTAAACTTCTTTCTTTTATAAATTACCTAGTCTCAGGTATGTCCTTACAGCAGGCTAAGGATGGACTAATACACCATACATCTGACAAAGAACAAGTATCTAGAATATATAATGACTTTTCAAACCTCAAGAATAAAAACCAAATATTCCAATGCGGAAATGGCCAAAAGACATGAAGAGATATTTCACTGAAGAGGTTTTATAGATGGCAAAAATGCAACAAGCATTTTAAATAAATGTGTAAAATTATACTCAACACCATTAGCCATTGAATAAGTATGTGAAATTATATTCAATATCATTAGCCATTAGGGGAATGCAAATTGAACCACAATCACATTAAACCTATCAGAATAACTAAAATAAAAAAAAAAGAAAACACCAAATGTTGGTGAGTTTGTGAAGAAACTGGATCACTCATACATTGAGTAAGAATGTGAAATTGTACAACCATTCTGGAAAACAGTTTGGGAGATTTTTTTTAAAACTAAGCATGTAATTAACATATATTCCAGCAACTGCACTACTAGGCATTTATCCCAGAGAAATAAGGACTTTGGTTTGCACAAAAATCTGTACACAAATGTTTATTAAAGCCTTATTCATATTAGCCAAAACTGAAAACAACTCAGTTGTCCTTCAACAGATGGTTAAAATAAACTGTTATTTACATCAATTCCATAGAATATTACCTAGCAATAAACAAGAACAAAATTTCGATACACATAACCACCCTGATGAGTTATCCTGAGTGAAAAAAGCCAACATTAAAACGTTACATACTATATTATTCCATCTATATAACATTTTTGAAATGTAAAATTATAGAAATAGAGAACAGATTAGTGGTTGTCAGGAGTTAAGGAGGGGGTAGGGGCAGGAGGGAAGTGGGTGTGATCATAAAATGGCAAGTTAAAGGATTTTTGTTGTGATGGGAATGTTCTGTTTCTTGACAATATCAATATTCTGGTTGTGGTACTGTTATCATTGGATGGAAGATGTTACCACTAGAAGAACCTGGGTAAAGAGTACATGGAATCTGGCCAGGTATGGTGGCTCACGCCTGTAATCCCAGCACTTTGGGAGGCCAAGGTGGACGGATCACGAGGTCAGGAGATCGAGACCATCCTGGCCAAAATGGTGAAACCCTGTCTCTACTAAAATTACAAAAAAAAAAAAAAAAAATTGGCTCAGCGTGGTGGTGTGCACCTGTAATCCCAGCTACTCGGGAGGCTGAGGCAGGAGAATCACTTGAACCCGGGAGGTGGAGGTCGCAGTGAGCTGAGATTGTGCCACTGCACTCCAGCCTGGCTGACAGAGTGAGACTCCATCTCAAAAAAAATAATAATTAAAAAAAGAGCACATGGAATCTCCGTCTATTATTTTTCTCAACAGCATGTGTGTAGAGCTACAGTTATCTCAAAATAAGAAGCTTAATTAAAAAGTTGATCCACTGTGAAAATAGCCTGCTTCAATAGTCTGGTTTAACCTCCTTTAACATACCTCCCATTAGTGGTTCCTTGGCATAAAAACTAAAGTGAGCATTGTAGAGTGGTTCTGGTGATATTATGGCTTCGTCAGCTTGGATGGCAACAATTTGGTGTTGAGCAGCAGATGAATTTTGTACATACTATTTACTCCAGTGGCCTAGAGGTATGCTACCAGATTTACCACTGTTTAACCAGGATCCAGTGCAGCACTTTGCACACGCCTGTACCCTCATCCCCAACACCAACAAATCAATAGGTATTTATTGAATGTAATAATAAATAAAAGGACACTTTCATGACTCTGCTAACTGTACTGCCTCAGAGTTGGACTGTGTTGATTTTACCTCAAGTCTAATGGAATTGTTGGCTTTTAGATTCCCTAGGGATGAAGTCCAAAAGAAAGATAAAATTACTTGTCTGAAAATTTGGTATCCAACTTACTGAGAAATCAACAACATCCCTTGGTGGAAGCCAAAGGAAGTGCCCTTGTGTAGTAGACAGAGCATGAGTTACATATTATCCTATAATTATCCATCACTAAATGTGCAATAACATATAAACAGGCAGCATACATTTCATTACAGTAGTGCCTCTAGTCACCAAAAGTTGAAATCAGTCAAACTATTTAATGGACTTTAAACCATGACAATTCTTAGAATAGAATACCATGCAGCTATTTAAAGGGATCTGGTAGGTATGTATTACTTGACACAGAAAGATATTCAAGAAGAATTTTAAAAAGCAAGTTCTAGAACAGTTCTCATTTTTGTGTAAAAAATTTATATGTATGTCTCTTGGTTTGGTAGCCTATGCGTAGAAAATATAGAAATATATACTCTGTCTTATTAACATGGTTATCTTGTGGGGGTAGGATTATGAAGAACTTTAACTTTTAACTCTGTTCTCTATCTCTTTAAGTTTGAATGGGTTTCTATTAATATCAAGAACTTTTGTTGTAATTAGACAAATACGTTTTTCTTTTTTCTTTCTTCTTTTCTCTCACTCTCTCTCTCTTTTTTTTTTTTTTTTGTAGAGGCTAGGTCTCACTCTGTTGTCCAGGCTGGAGTGCAGTGATGTGATTATGGCTCACTGCAGCTTTAAACTCCTGGGCTCAAGCAATCCTCCCACCTCAGCCTCATGATTAACTGGGACTGCCACCATGCCTGGCTAAGTTTTTAATTTTTTGTAGAGATGAGGTCGTGCTATGTTGCCCAGACTGGTCTCAAACTCCTGGTCTCAAGTGATCCTCCTGCCTCAGGCTCCCCAAGGAACGGGATTACCGGCATTTTTCTTTTAAAGAAAGAGTACAGGCTTTGGAGGTTAACAGACTTGTGTTTGAATTCCAGAAGATTACACAAATTTGGACAAGTTTTTTTAACTACGCAAATTTGGACAAGTTACTTGGTCTCCCCAGTAAGTAATTTTAGGAGCCCCAGTTTCCTCATCTGTAAAATAGGGAGAATGATACTTACCATAAAGTTCTGTAGATTCAGTAAGGTAATATATGATCCAGGACCAGGCTTAAAGTGGTTAATCTATAAAGTAAATTCCTGCCAAGGAATTCCTTTTTCAATTGCCAAGACTGTTGAAGAGTGGTAGATTTCTGATCATTGCACTTGCCTACAACATCTTAATCATGTAAAACCTTGATATCCACCTGGCCCTGTAGACTCACTGAATTTCTAAGACTGGCTACTTCCTGTCAGTTGTTTTCTATTCTCTTCCAAGATCCAAAGTCAATGTCATATGCAGTCTCAGTACCCTGGTTCGGTGTTCATGTTCTACAGACATGCTTATCAATTATTCTTCATTCAGCCATTCAGGTTCAGAGTTTCACCATTCTATCTCTATTATAAGCTAATTTAGTGATGGAGAGAAGCCCTTCAAAGCTCTGTGTCTTCATCATTCAGTAAATCCAGCTAAATGGGGCTAGGTGTAGAAGCCACCAGGACGTTCTTTGATTGGATCTCTTATTTGCAGCTTTGTTTTGGGAGACAAGTGTTCCCCTAGCTTTTGGCCCCTGGGGCAGAGAAAGCCTTAGCTTGGGCCATTGCACTACAGAGTTCTGATGCTGTGTAGTGAAAATGGGTTGAGATAAGCCAGCCAGATGATTTTAGAGCATTTCAGATTAAACCAAGCCATTATGGTTGATTAGTTCCAAACTATTACATGTCACACAATGTAAGACTCTGTGACCCTTAGTGTCCAGAAAGATTCAGCCCAATCTGGCGGTGAGCATGTTGCCAGGAAGGAGACAAATAAAGATGAATGCCAGCTGAGGGTGGAAGAGGTGACATGGCTAACAACGTGGAGCTGATGCAGGTCAAACAACTCCAGATATCCCCTCTTATGGCTGAGAGGTGGTACAAATACATGGGACATTTCTGCCTGCACTGTGGATATCTGGGACATTGTGTGAATCCTTTCAGTGACAGGAAACTCACTAACTTTGGAGGAATGTCATCTTCACCAAGCTTTGTGAGAACATTGCCTATGGCTACTAATACAAGCATGCCAAATTCTGTGTTTTCTCTCTAGGGACGATGTGGAAAGCTATCCTACAAAACAGTTACTATGTTTTGGAATTAGTGGCTACAGTTCTCTTAGACTACTTGTATGCATGAGTTTCTAATGCTGAACTTCAGGATTTGATTAAGGTGGAGGGACCCAAATTCTAAGCAACATGGAACAGATCTCTCAGTACAGAAGCACAAATAGGAGAAAGACTCTCAGGCTGGTGGGCAACCAATCAAATATCTGAGGACTCCATCACAGCACATTGCCAATGATTGACATCTGCCTAAGTGTGGAATCTATCTTCCTATCAACCTTAGGAGCAGCAGTGAAAGATGACATTTTCTCAAATGCATTGCTCCTTGAGCTTGTCTGTCTGACCCATCACTACTGACTTTGAGACTTTCAGTTCAATTCGTTTTCTTTAAAAAAAAAAAAAAAACAATTTCCTGTGTCTAAGGGAGAGAGGAAAGGCTAAAAAATATCATTATAAAGGCTCCAAAGATTTCTGGGACATCAAATTGCTCTGACAAACCATTTTTATGAGTTAAGTGTAAAGGAAACAGAAACATGTGGATTAAATTTCCCTTAAAATACACATGGGCTTAAAAATTAAGGGGGGAAAGAAGGACTTGGCAACGTGGATTTCAGGCTTTGCCAAACCCCAACTCCTGAGAAATAACTTGAGATGCTTGACAAACCCAAAAAGCAGCTGGTTTTGCCCTGTGCCCTCATCGAGCGACATCTAGAGTCCTGTGTGATTGGAACCTCTGTAACTGAAATGTGCTAATTTACAAACTCATGCTCTGATTCTTCAAATTACCCTAAGCATTCCCTGTTTATAAGATTTCTCCCTAAAGGCCTAGTCTTCTTCAGGTTTTCCTTGTACCCAGGCAGAGTCAGAGATCAGCGTTATAATTCACATTTCATGGGTGAAAACACGGAGCTCCATGAGGTCTAAACTAGAGAACTGGTGGCAGATTTCTCAAGACAGAAAATTTACCATATGCACCTCGCACTTGCCTTAAGTACAGAACATCCTTGGTTCATTAAGTTCTGTGGTGAATTTGTAGACAGATGACAAGTATAAACTTTTTGTTGAGCATTGAGAATTCAGAGGGGTGTGTATAAATTTAACTAATAGCATTCATTCATTCATTCATTTAGCCAACGAACAAATGCTTATGGAGTCCAAATGTACTATTTGAATCACAATGGAGAATAGAAATAAAAACTGCTAGCTCTTATTGGGGTTTACCATGTGCCAGCTATTGTGCTAGCCCCTTTACATGTAGTATCTCATTTAATGCTCACTGCAACTCTCAGGGGTCTCTGCTACAACTATCTCCATTCTACAGATGAGGAGGGAGACATAGAGGAATTTGATAGTTTTCCTAAGATTGGCCAGAAAGAACAGATCTGTGATTCAAAGCCCAGATTGATGTTAGAGACACCTGGATGCTGCCTTGTAGAACCTTGGGAGTCCCCTGGGCAAGCTAAGTCGTATTCAAATGTAAATATAATAAAGAGGCATAAATATCCCAAAGACATTCAGAATGTACAGGGATTACTTTCTGCTAAGATTGGGGAGGCTTTATGTAGGAGGAAGCTTTTGCAAAGAATTTTAAAGGATGGGTACAACCTGAAAACCAGGAGAGGGGTCAGAGTCCTTCCTGCTGGGGAGACTATCCAAGGGTGGGGGAGAGGATATTAAAGAGAGAAGCCCAGGGAACACTGGAAGGTATTGGAGAGATGCGGGGAGACCTCACCACATGCAGCTTTGACCCAGGCAAATGCACTTCTGTACTATCAGCCACCACAACAAAAAACAAATCCTCCAGAGTAATTTAAATAGCTCAGGCAATTTCATCTGCTATTGCCCAGAAAATGAGTATAAGATAGAAGGAATCTGTTATTTCCTCATTTGGGTTCTGACTGAGACTCTCTTGTGGTGTGAGCATCTCACAGTGCTAAAGTGATTAAAGGTGTACGTTTTTGCACAACATAGCCTCTTGCCTTGTTGGCTGGGACTCAGATGAAGTCTATTCCAAGACTGTTCCAGTCTAAGCTGGTATCACTGAGATGGGGTAAATGTGATCATATGTGATATTGGCTGTATCTTCTGATTTTAGAACTTAACTCTCCTGTATAAATGCAGATCCACTATATCTGCTTACTTTGTAAATGAACTCTTGAAATTAGAAGGGTCAAGTTGTTAAAAATGCTTTGAGAAGATGTAGCCAAAAACAGATAAATTCAAAGAAACTGTACATTGTGTGTGAAAATATATGCAAAACTTAAAATTGTTACTAATGGATGAAAATATATTAATCTCTCTCTCTCTATATATATAAAGAAATATTGTGCTTAAGGAAAAAACAACTATTTGCTTGTTTCTGACAAACAAAGCATAGAGATCTTTGATGAAAATGTTGTTTATAAATAATAGCAGGGGGCTTTAAGACTTGGGGGTGGGAAAGTCAGTAAATAAGCAGCGAAGCTGAGAAAATTCATCAAGGAAAATACAGGGAAGTTGATTTGTAAGAAAAAGAAATTGAAAAACACTGAAGATGCATGAATAAATCTTCAAGACAATCTTAATATGGTATGAGTTGACATGACACATGTGTAGCAGAAATACATGATAACTATTATTTTGACTTTTTTATCTAAATATAAAAGCAAAATATACTCATTTTTTAAAAAGTAGAATATACAGAAAAAATCTCACAAAAGATAAACAGGAAAAAGCAAAAATCATCCATAATTCTATAATAGAGAGAACTACTATATCTTTTGGTGCATTTTCTTCCATATGTATGTATTTTCCATTGATTTGGGCTCTATATCAATTGCTTTCAAAATTTAACACACATCAATTCACTTGGCTATTAAAACACGCAATTGCTCACCCTTGGAGTCTCTGACTTAGTAGTTCCAAGGTAGGGCCTGAGAATTGGCATTTTTACCAAGTTTCCAAGTTTCCAGATGCTGCTGCTTCTAGTCCATGGACCGCACTCTGAGATCCACTGCTCTACAAGGTCTTGGTTCTTGCTGTTTTCTCTGTATATTGCCGTAGGAGCATTTCCCCCCAAGCCATTAAAATTACATAAAAGTATATTTTCTAATGGTTGCAAAATGTTTTATTACATGATTTATTAACCACTCCCCAGTGTTGTACAGTTTTTCTATACTCATTAATTGGAGGTTTCATATTTCTTTACCAAAATAATTCTAAGATGACTGAGATATAACTCTAGCCTTGAGACAGAAGCACACCTAAGGTTGTGAGGCACTAGGAGACTTCTTATGGTTATTTTGCATTTTAGAGGATCAGATCACAACACTCACACCATCAATAGGAAGGTTCCTGATTAAATAATTTTAGGTGTGCAGCAAGGACCTCGTAAGCTGAGGAAAGCTGCATCTCCCATGAGGTTGCTACCAGTGACTTCTACAATGGACCAGGTGGTTCTTTTGAAGGAGATTATCAAAATGAATCTCAGAGGCTGTTGTTTTGAAGTTCAACCAGCTGAAAATCTTGTTCTGGAAGCTGCTTGATAAACCTTTGGTTCCAAAGAGACCTTTGAAGCTCTTGGTGAGCAGACTCACCACAAACAGAATCACGAGTAGATTGCTCTCACCCTCCTGCCCTTTTCTCATCCTCAGCAATGAGCAACAGAAACAGTTAAACCGCCAGCAGCTCCCAAACAGTGGTTTCCGCCCTTAGCGACTGCCAGCCCCTGCAGGCTCACCACACACAGCCTCAGAGGTCTGGCTCCGAAGCTCCTCTCTGCCCAGACGCCGTAACAATAAGGAGAAAGGAAAACTGCAGCCACCACAGAGCTTCAGAGGCCAATGATCCGAAGCAACCTCCACCCTTACCCCATGGCCTGTGCCTTTCTTCTCATCCATTACCTTTCCCCAAAAGTTCACCAAAATCAGTGACTCTCTTTCTCATTCATTGTCTCACACTGTCCCTGAAGAAAAATTCCAAAGAGATCCAATGAATCTACATTTCACAGGAAGGATTCTTTGGACACTCTGGTACTATTCACCATGGGTGAACCCAGTAAAATAACAGTAACAAGGAGACCAAGTGTTGCTTGAACAGTGATATTTACCAAGCATGCTATGTGTGGGTATTATCTAATTTAATCCTCATATGAGCCCTGGGAGTTCAGCACTATTACTTTTCCCATATTACCAATGTAGAAAGAGGACCACAGAGGCTAAACCACTTGACCAATGACACTCAGCAGTGGACTTAAGTCTGTCTGACTCCAAAGCTCATGCGCTTCACAGCCGTTTTGTTGTTGTTGTTGTTGTTGTTTGTTTGTTTGTTTTTTGAGACGGAGTCTTACTCTGTCGCCCAGGCTGGAGTGCAGTGGTGTGATCTCAGCCCACTGCAACCTCCGACTCCTGGGTTCAAGTGATTCTCCTGCCTCAGCCTCCGAAGTAGCTGGGACTACAGGCATGCGCCACCACATGTGGCTAATTTTTGTATTTTAAGTAGAGATGGGGTTTCACCATGTTGGCCAGGCTGGTCTCAAACTCCTGACCTCAGGTAATCTGCCTGCCTCGGCCTCCCAAAGTGCTAGAATTATAGGTGTGAGCCACCTCGCCTGACCCACAGCCTTTTTAATCAGCTTCTTTTACAAAGATATCTAGTATTTAATCTTCTGTTCATCAGACTCATTTAAATGCCAAAGGCCAAATGTTTCACTTTTTTTTGGAGAATCTTAAATGGTAGAGTAGATTCTTAATAATCTAGTTTAAATTAGTCAATAGAATGTTCTCTGATTTCTTAGGTTGCTGGTTCACACCCTGCCCCCTCACCTCCGTACTCAGATCACAGGGAACATGTGCAGGTTAGTGTGGAAGGGACTTAGAGTTATCACATCAAACAGCAAGAGGTTTCAATAATAGAAGCTACTACCTTAATTTGAAAAAAAAACCTGAATTTAAAAAATCCATAATTTAGTACATATACATCCATACTTTTATATATTTAATACATGTGTATCCATAGTGGTTTGAATGTGCCCCCCAAAAAGTATGTGTTGGAAAATTAATCCCCAGTGCAACAGTGTTAAGTGGTGGGACCTTTAAGAGAAAGTTGGCCCATGAGGCCTCCACCCTCATGAATGGCTTAATGCTATTATCTCAGGAGTAGGTTCATTATAAAGGATGAGTTTGGCCCCCCTCTTCTCTCTCTCATTCTCTCTTTCCCCTTCCACCATGTGGTGCATTCTGCAAGATGGCCCTTGCCAGAAGCTCGTGCCTTGATCTTGTACTTCCCAGCCTCTAGAACTGTGAGAAAAAATTCCTGTTTAATATAAATTAACCAATCTGTGGTATTCTGTTATAGCAGCACAAAACTGACTAAGACAGTAACTGAACACACACACACACACCGCCCACACACGGCTTTTTTTAATATCATGGTGGAACCCAGATTTCTTAATGAAGAGTAGAATAGTGGTTTTCATGTATCAGTGTGCATTGGAATCATCTGGAGGGATTGTTAAAAACTGCTGGGCCCCATCCCAGAGTATCTGCTTCAAGAGTCTTGGGTGAGACCCAAGCAGCTGCTGCTCTTCAAGATTCCCAGGTGATACTGATACAGGTATTACTGGTCTTGGGATCACCTTTGAGAATGATAGGAGTAGAGGATATACCAAGGCTTGACTCTGGAGAAAGGAGACTCTGCCACAATATTTTAAAGGAAATTGCCTTTCTTCCTTGAATTCATACTGCATTGCCTTTTTGCTGAAATGAGTGGTGATACAACTAGAAAGGATGACCGTCTCAAGAATTGGGCCCACTTCAAACCGAGTCTTTCATATCATGACATGGGGTTTCCCCAAGGAAGAGTTGTAGCCCTTAACTCCCAGCGGTGGTCATTTACAGATAAAAGCCAGAGGAAACCCAGTGTTTTCCAATAGGCTGGCTTAACACAGTCTCCTCTTTGTCAATAATGGGAAAAGATATTGGCTTCTTTGTTACCTGACGTAATTTCAGAGATGGTCACAAACAAACTCAGTCATTTTCTGTAGCTGTCACAGAAATTGGATTTTCCTCCTGCTGCCAGAAAGATCATGGTCTCTTGCTAGAATGGTGATTGCTTCCCATATTTGCCCATCAAAATGCCTTGTGAAAGTTCTTCCAGGACTCAATGGCTCAAGCCTTGTTCTGTATGCATTGATTCTGGAAGTTTCTTTGTGTACAGAGTACAGAAAGTTTAGAATTAGCATTTAGTAATAGTTTCATCTAAATTAATGGGTTGAGTTATGTGGCAGAAAGTTTCTGCTATTTCTGCCAGACTTGGGCTGTCCCTGAATGACACAAACAAGCAGGTCAGACCCTTGTTCCAGTTTGAACAATTCTTTGTGTCTTGAACTATTCTGGTAAAGTAGAATGGCATCCTAAGTGCTGCACTAGGCTACACATTCTGTATTACCAAACAATCAAATTCTCAAACCTCTACTCCCTCTGCTTAGGATGGAGAAAGCCAGTCTAATTTCTAAGGCTTGCAGTCTGAGAGAGAAGCAGAGAACTAGAAAATGTAAGTCTGTTTTCTTCTTTGATAAGCTTCCTTGGCAAAGTCCAATGACCTGAATTATGGTGTGGCCTGTGGCCTAAGAATCTTGAAGTCGGCTCCTGGCTTCCCCTGCCTCTAGCCTCTCTTCAGGCAGTGGTGCCTGGCCCATAGTGCTGTGGATCTATCACTTGGTTTCCAGGGGCAATCATGCATTCTCTTCTTGATTACCAGCCACTGGAGGGAAACAGGGCCACAGATAACCCTAAACAGAGCTAAACCAGAAGCCAAGTCTAGTGTTTGGTTTGAGAAGGCATTATTTGGTTTCTTTATATAGCTATTTTGCCCTTCTAGCTGATAGCAAAACAAATTTTTGCTCCCTGAGTACACAAGGTCTCACGGTGATGGAGGTGAACCAACAATTTGCTAATCAGGGAAGAAAACAGAACCCGAAATTTAACAAAGATGACTGAATATGCCCCTAAAGGATTCCTCCTTTGCGGAGAGAATCTGCCAGGTGGCTAAACCCCATGGTGAAAACGTTTATGCCTAGGTTATTAAGAAGAAAGCTTGTGGGGGCCTGCATTCCAGATCTGTTCCCTAGATCCCTGGAGAAGGGACAGAGGTGCTGGGACTATAAGAGATAATTAGGGCCCAGCTCTCTCCCTCAAGGAGCCAAGGACCAACAAATGGCCTAATACTTAGTCATTCATGTAGCGAATATTTATTGAAGACTTAGTATGTGCCAGGGAGACTGTTTTGGCAATCAAATCTCAGAGTAGAAAGTCTTTCGATTTGGGGTCACAAGTCTCCTGGGTAGCATCTGTTCTGTGCTGTCCTTCGTGGGTCATCACCTGACCTCCAACCACATCTCACTTTTGTGAGACAGCTTATCCCACTGTCCCACAGTCACCAACACTTAAAGGTTCACTTTGTACTGTCCTGAATCTGGGATCTGCCTTCTAATATCTTACCCTGCACGAAACCAGTGCATATGTGCAAGAATACATTGGAATAACTCAATAACCTTACTCACCCATCTGAAGCCTACCCTCCTCTCCCTTTAAAATGACCACAAACATAAACACACACCAAACCTGAAAAGTTGTTGGGTTTGTTTTTGCTTCTGTGCTTGGTGGTGATGGTGGCATTTGTGTGATACAATGAATTCAAAACAAGATGGGGAGAAGATTAGGATAAATATGTTTGGCCCTGTGCCTAACATGGTGCCTGGCATGCAGTAGATCTTCAGCAACGATCTGTCAAATGAATAAGCAAATGAATGAATGAATGACCAGATGAATGAATAAAATGTGAATTACTGACTAGACCATAAATTTTTAATGTTATGGACTTTGTCTCCTATATCTTCATATACCCAGTAGCTAAGACAGTACTTGGCCCATTTATAGGGGTTCAAAAATGAGTAATTTCTGAATGAATAAGTGAAGTCATAAAATTGATGACCATTGGCATATAAATGGGCATGAAATAAATGTTGTCTGAACAAATGAATGAATGAATATGCAAGGCAAGGAAAGATGCTTCACTGGTGATAGTTATTAGATTTCAGCTGGAAAGACATTGTAATTATAATGGGCAGGTGAGCAAAGTATGACTGTTTAGTAGGGCTATGGTTGCTTTTTCAGCATGAGAAACTTTTTCCTATTGTTGACTCAGCAGCCCAGGCAGTCAGGCTTCATCCTGTGCTCTTTTCTAGCATGCTAGTTTTCACCAGGTGAGATGGCAGTGGTTTTTTTTTCCCCCTAAATCAAACTGCTTTGCTTAGAGATGCTACATTTGCTTGATTCACTTCCCAGTTGCTTAAGGGAATGTGGATGTTAACTAGAAATGGTTACAGATGCTAACAGAGAAGCTTTCTGGTTTGGTATTGGAGAAAAGAAAGATATGGAGGAAATGAGCAATGCATACTGACATCTGTGCCTCTGTCCTCGTAGGACCACCTGGAGACCCAACACAGACACAAGAAAAGAGTGGACATTCCATTTCTTCCAAGAGATTTCTTCTTGATTCTGGAACACTCTTGGTAGAGCAAGTTTATTTCCCCCAGGCACGGTCCTTAGCTTCTCAGAGCCACACTCTCTGAAGAGGAGATGGCATTTTTCTTTTGATCTCATCACTTCTGGCTTCTGGAAGGCAGCCCTAAGATGATATAGGATTAAGAGTACTAAAATCTGATTTGACTTTCCTGCTGCAATTGTTAGATCCTTAACCTCTGAGTCAGTTTGGCTACACTCCCCAGGAAACCAAGTTTTACTTTGTCCTAGCAAAAATCTGACTCAGCCTCTGCCTCTTTGGAAGGCATTGTGATTTCCATGCCAGTCATGAAAAGGAAAACGAGGGAGGCACAAATGATGCCCACTACTTAGTAACAGACATTCTCACCAATCTCCTCCTTCTGAGATGCCACCTGATTGGCTCTCCTATGCTCTACTAAAATGAAGAACAAAATACTGGCAGCAGTATTTGGGAGATACGAAAGGTGCAGCCCTAAAGATAATAAAAATTTGTCATAAACTTTAGGAGAATTACATGTAGCCTAGTGGATTAAGTACCTTCCTCTCTAAGCTAACTAATTCCTGGTTCTTTGTTAAACTAGGGTCATTTGACAATTTATTTGTGAGGCAAGTATTTGGTGCTAAAAAGATACTTTAGAGAAATAAGCGAATAGGCTACGGAAGCTCAACAGATGTCCTGAACCATGTGTCAGAAGCTGTCACCCTTCCTTGCTTCAGAAGGACCCCTGAAGAATTTCTGAATGGCCCACAGGAAGAGCCAATAGCATCCTAGTTGGCTAGGCCATCTGCAGCAAAGAACTACAGGCCAAGTTCACAAGAGAAGTGAAGGTTACTCTAGGCCACTGTTATAGGCAGCTGGCCAGTGTTCAGGTCAGCCCAGCTAAATGAAGCCAGTTAAATTAGCTGGGATGAATCATAATCATCATCATAATAAATAAATAATACCATAAGGCCCCTAAATGTGTGGCTATTAGACATCTGGGTATCAGAAGGTCAGTTCTGTGCAGTAGGGTAGCACATGTCTATTGACATAGGCTTGACCCAGATTGATTTGCCCTACTTGGACATTACTTGTCATTGTAAGCAGGTATCTCCCAGTCATAGAGTGTCTTCTAAGAGTGAATCCACTCAAAATAGACAATCCCATATGTTTAGTCAATAATGAGTTAAAATACCATCCCAGACAAGGAATTTAGGGAGATATAAAAAAGATTCTGAAGAGACATAGTCCTAGAATCAAATACACATAGATTTTTGAAATGATCCAGTGACATTCTCCTGTAGATGTTTTGCCCCCTCAGAAATTACTGACAGCTTCCACAGGGGTCTATCTATTCTGATCATTTGTCAGGATAGAAGGGGCTGACTGATCCAGACTCTTCTTTTCAAACTAGAAATAATACTTTTAAGAGTTGAGGGACATGGTTTTGAGATATTGCCTTTCTTTGCCTCTCTAGGATGGAACTATTTAAATCCTCATTTATTAAGTCATTGTTCTCTAAGCATTCCAGTCCCTCATGGCTTGGAGGCTGGAGACAGGTGCTCATGAAAGCTTGTCTTCATGTCGTTAATTTTCAGAGGAGGGGAGGAAATGAGATCAGACACTGTTCCAAGAGTAATTTTGATATCAGATATTCTTTCAAACATCTGCAAATCAATAAAAATTGAGATGAGAGGGGTCACTAAGAGGCATGGTACAGTGGCTAATGAAATTAGTTACCATCTGCCTGCCTAAACTGGACTGCAAATAGAGAATTTAATACTTTCACTTTCAATTTCTGAGATATCCTTATTTACAGTACCAAATAGACTCAACTCTTCACTGGGCTCTTAAAATATTTAGTTTGCATGTTTCCCCAAGTAGAAAGGATGGTGGGGGAGAATGCCCTGGCTGCAACTCAAATGTGCCAGTTTAACATTATTCAGAATGTTAAGAGAAGGTTAAATCACTACATCAAGGTATATATAGATTCGATCTAAAGAGATAGGTTACATGTAGGTCCTATATCAATATTTCCTTGGGCTCTTCTGGCTTAAGAACCCTTACAATTCTATTTTCTTGTAAATACAAACATGATATTCTTATTTCATAGCTGGAGAAAATGAGTCACAGAAAAGCAAAGAGATTCCCTATGAGTTATTTAAGTTCCTGTTTAAATTGCTGGGTGAACGGTAAAGTTGGTGCTGTAATTCTAGAGGGTTCTTGGTCCTGCCTGAAATCCTTTGTAGAACAAGAGAGTTGAAGAGAATGAAGAGAAACATATTGAGCAGGAGGAAGAAGGTAAAAAGGGAGCAAGGAATGAGCAGAGGAAAACAGAATTGGAGAGAAAAGGGAAAGAGGAAAATTAGAAGGGTGGAAAGGAAGAGAAAGTAAAATACTCAGCCATGGCAGTGAAAGATGTAATGATCTGGGAGTTTGCATCCCAGCCCTACAACTAACTAGCAGCATGATTAAACTGTGTGAATCTCAGTTTTCTTATCTGTGAAATGGGACTAACTATATCTGCCTTGCTTTTTTTTCACAGGGCTTGCCAGACCACAGGAGACCAAGTATATGAAAGAGCTTTGGAAAACACAAAGTGCTGTTCAGCTCCTTAAGGCAGCACTATGGCAGAAACAGTTACTCCATATTAGGGATTTGGGATTTTGGTTACCCTGGAGGGTCACTTAAGACGTTTTGAACTCCCCATTGCTATTGAGTGAAGAGTGCCACACATTACAACGGGGCCAATGTGGGCTTCCTTTATAAACAGTGAGGATTCCAAAGCAATCCCGAAGGGAGGAGGGTAAGCTGCCCTGAAGCATGGGCTCCAGGCGCCAGGAGAAACGGAGCTGTCTCCCTGCTTTTGGATGCCAAGACATCAACACTTAAAGCAGCCACAGGGCAAGTTTGATTCTGAACCAGCAAAGCAGAGAAAGAACTCAATTGAGATGCCCTGCCCTGTAGGCTAGCTTCCTGCTGACGTGAATGAGAACTTCACACTGGTAAGGAGCTGAGGACTGGCTCGTAAATTTTAAGTATCCCTTGGGTTTTCTTATGAGCGAATCTGCTGTCCTTTTGGCCTTGGAAGCAGAATTAGAGGCCTTCTAGTCAGACCTAAGTGATGGGCAGAAAAAAAATGGAAAACTGTTTCTGAACACCAGCAAAATAGCTCTTTCTGAGTCTACAAAGCAACTTCTAGGACTCTAAAGTGAGGCTCTCCCCTACCCTCATGGCATAACTCTCAGGAACTATAAGCACTGATTAATTTAGCCCCTTCACTTGCCTCTCATTAATGGCAAATATCAGACTGCCTTTGTGGGTAGAACACTCAAGAACATTTTCTTGAAACAATGAGAGAAAAATGCAGGGCCTTTCCATCCCTGCATTCTTCCATAACCCCCATTTTTCACTTGGGTGAGGTTGAGTGGGTTTCTTTCCTTAGGTGACTCAGACACTACCTGTGTGGTTGTCGGTGCACACACATGGGTGATTGTGCTGAAGCTACCTGGACTGGAGACAAGAATGTGTGTCTTGCTAACCCGTGGATGATAATTAAATTCATGGAAGCAGCAGCAATGACCCAGGAGCACGTATAGCTGGAGAAGAAGGTCAGAGGTAGGGTGTGACCAGGAAATAGATTAACAAAATGGGGAGGAGGGAAAGAGGATGGTGTCACTTCATAAACCATGGTGTGGTAGAGGGGAGGCACACCGGACCTTTTTGGGGAGTCTACTACTCTAAAGGCTCTTCCTCTGGGCTAGCCCATAAGAGAAATATATTTGTTATTTCCTAGCATTTTTCCATGGTTATTGGTCTATGTGGACTCTTGTAGGGTAAGTTTTAGTTATTTATATTTGCCTATTTCCAAAATAGTGGAATCACACTACATATTGAGGTGTGTGGGATCTGCTACTATCATCATTGTCTCCAACATATACTTTTATCTTTTCTGATTGTAAGAATAATTAAGTTACAAATAATTATTTAAATAAGCAAACAAAAAAATAAAGAGACATTCACGTGGCAGAATCCAGCATAACAGATAAAAGAAAATATATACTCCTATGGGAAGTTCTCAAGATATATTGTTCAGCTAAAAAAACAAAACAAAACAAAACAAAAGCAAAGTAAAAAACATATTGTCTTTTGTATAAAGGGAGGAATAGATAATGTATATTTAACTCATCTTATTTATGCATGAATTAATTTTGAAAGCTTACACAGGAAACTAATAACAGTTTTCTGGGTGTGAAATTGGGTGCATGGAAAAGCAGGGATAGGAGAGAGACTTTTCTGTATATCTTTTTCATTTTTTGTGCTGTATGAATATATTCCTTGAAAAATTAAAATGGAAATTGTGCATTGTGGAAAAATTAGGAAATTGATTAAAGAATTTTAAAATTAAAAAAAAAAATGCAGGGCCTTTCAATGACTCTGGGTCCACCATCACAGAAACGGATACATACACAGTTACATTTAAATGGCATCTGAGGGTAACTTACTGAAGGCCTGGCAATTGTGTTAACCTTGTGCTCTGCCCAGCCATCAAAGCTTGGCCCACTCAAAGATCATTATGTAGCACCCATCCCCACACTGTGTAACAAAGCAAACCTCCCAACCCCAGCAGCCTCTATATTCAGCCTTTTGAGCTGGAGATTTAATATTGGCCTATATCCCATTCAGTAATGTCTGTTTAGAGGAGTTTGAGAATTGGTTGCCCTTTTTAAGGTTTCATTTACAAACTTATGAAAAAGAACAATATTTTGCTATGAAAAAAGATCTAAGATGATTGGCTTGCCATGTGATTTGAGGATCGTTCCCACCTATACCCAGATGCAGAATATCTTTTGTTTGTTGTGGCCCAGATCAGCGTTTACTTCTTCAAGATCTTTTTAAGAAAGCCTGGCTCTAAATGTAGTGTATCAGCTGTTAGGTCACACACCATTATTAAAATTAACTTCTTAGGTGCTGTTTGGGGGTCAAAGGTGTGTTAGGCAATGTCCTATGCACTTCACGAATATCATTTAATCTAATGGCAGGAACTAAACGCATGAGGTAGGTTGTATTGCCTTCATTCCAAGGATAAGAAAACTGAAAGTCAGGGAAGTGAAGCTCTTTGTCCAAAGCCATGATGCTGTAGAACCAGGACTCAAAGCCAGGCTTGTCCAATCCAAAGTCTGGGCTCAGACTACAGTACTGTGCTGCTTTTCCGTTCGTAGAGGTTGGTTGGTAATGGAAAGAAACCCGATGCCACATCTCACTGACTGCACTGAGTCCCAGCTCTGCGACTTTGAGTAAATTATTTACCTCTCGGTATGTCCTTTCTCACCTGTAAAATGGGGAGAATAAGGCCTGCCTTATCTGCTTCACAGAGTTGTGAAGACCAAATGCAAAGATCTTGCAACTGTAACACACCTCACAACTATAAGGGATTAAAGTATTTCTGATTAGAGAAGCCTCGCCCCCAGGTCACAATATCAGGGAACTCATCCTAGGAAAATTTTGATAGAAGAGGGTAACAAGAATGGTGACCCTTTGCCTATGGTTGGCAGAGTTCTTGGAAGGGGTGGCTGATTATATTTCCCAAATATATACATATATACACATATATGTATACATACATGTGTATGTTTCCATGTGCATATATATGTATAGATGCCATATCATATGATCATCTTACAAAAAGGAGTGTAAAGGTAGTAGTCGAATGTTCTTTGCTCTTGAATCTTGGCAGTGGGTTGCAACTTCCTTGATCAATGTAATATGGTGGAAGTCATGCTATGTGACTTGAGAGTTAAGTGAGTCTACGTCATATAAAGGATACAGACTCCACCTGGCTCAGCATACTTGCCCTGGGAGTCCTGCCGCCATGTTGTAAGGAAGCCCCAGTCACATGGAGAGGCCATGTATGGGTGTGTTCTAGGCAACAGACACAATGAGGCCCTCAGCTGACAGCCAGCATCAACCTCCAGACATGTGAGCAAATGAATTTTCAGATTATTCCAGATATTTGATATCTTCAACCTTTGAATCTTCCACCTTAGGCCCCAGGCATCATGAAACAGAGACAAGCTATCCCCAGCACGTCTGAGCTGAATTCCTGAATCACAGAAACTATAAGGGATAATAAATGACTATTGTTGTTTTAAATCACTAAGTTCAGAGTGGTTTGTTATGCAGCAATAGATACCTAATGTAGGGAAACACTAAAAATAGGGTCAGATAGACTCCAGGATAACATCATAGTTTTCTCTAAGATTCATCCTGCCAGGGGAGCTTTCCATTCGTAATGTTTGAGATGATGCTGGGAGTAAGAGATGTTGAGTCTAGGCCAATTTGGAATTATAGACTTGAAGGATGGACCAGCTGCAGACCACCAGAAAATAGTTAACCAAGCAGGCAGAGCAGGATACTGGATAGGGTAACTTTTCCACACTGAGATGCTTTATACATTTTTTTTGAAAGTGAAAGGGGGTATAATTAAAATAAAGTCACTCTGGGACTCTGGGACAACAGGTATAGATGGAGATGTCCTGGGTAAACTAAAATTTATGTTACAAAGACTAGGTCAACACTGGGGAGATCAGTAGGAGGTGATCATCATCATCATCATCATCATCATCATCATCATCATTGTCTGACAGGCTGGCCAACAACAGGAGGGGGAAATCAAGGAAGAGGATTATTTGGAAAGGGAGAGGAATCTCTTCTAATTAGACTATTTGGAGAATTGAGGAAGAGGACTATTGGGAGGAAACCGAGGAAGAGGACTATCTGGGCAGGGAAGTCTGTGTTTGCAACAGTTATGGAGTCACAAGCTGTGGGTAGAAGCAGGAGTTGAGTTATACATGGGGAGAGAGGAGCCCAGTTTTAATGACAGAAAAGCTAAGAAGGAAAACATGTCAGCATTATACTGCTCCAACACTGAGCAGTGTCTTAACTGAGAGGGTGAATTGCATCTACATCCATTTTCTTTTGAGAAACTCCTTAACAAGAAGTGGAATAAGGAGGAAAAAGGCATAAAGGAGTCATCTGGAGTTTATTATGTATGGAGAGCAGGCAGGCAAATAAGAAAAGGAGTAGAAGGAAGTTCTAGAGGGAAGATACCTTGGGCTAGGGTGCTGGTAGCTCTAGATTCTTAAATACATAAGGATGGGATGCCACCTCCAGCCCAGCAGTTCCAGGGAATAAGTCTTTAGGAGCTTGTCCAGTGTCTGCCTCATACTCTTTAGAGACTAGGAGTTTGTCTGCAAGGCAAAGACCACACACAGTCCCCAACCGCACCCCTGCTGTCACCCTAAATGACATTGGTGTGGTTCAATTAAAATTTTGTGAGAGAGGAACAGATTACAAGGACATTGTAGTTGTAGATTTCTCCATGAGGTGATTTACCGAAGTACTCAAAGATTCCTTTCTATCAAAAAATACTGTAATATTTATAGGTCACAGAAGAAATAAGATCTTGACTTGTGCCATATATTTTACATGGCTCATTCCAGGTAATTTAGGTTCTTTCTGACATGTTTCTGACACTTATGGCAATTGTTTCTCCTCTGGGGAGTTGGGGAGAATTTTCCTGCTCTTCTTTACTCATCTCACTAAGGCTGTGCTCAATGAACTAATGAAGCCTCTCTTTAGGGCTGACTGGGAATTTCCTGTTTGTTCCTGGACCTCTTGCACTTCTACACGTCGACACTCCTAAACCCCTGTTCTTATGCCAGATTTGAATTTTCTCACCTCTTTTGTGGAGTGGACATTTTGTGCCATTGCATGGTGCGGTGGCCTTCAAATGTTTCTGCCCATGACTCAGTAAATGCATACACTGCATATGTAAAGCTGAAACAAAAATTTCACAACATGTTATTGACCTCACATAGCACCCTGCTTTGTACTCTAATGGTTTCCATCACATATTGTTTTGAGCTGTGCTTTCCTATGCTGGGCGATTCTATTAGATTAAGTGAAATTCAATCACTATAAATTGGAAATCATTAGCCCTGATAGGAAACATTTTACACTTAAGAAGATTGACTATGTGTTTACTTGTGAAGAAAAAGAAAAAAAAGGAAATATCATAGGAGTATTTTCATCTCATACTTTTAAAGACAACTTTAAAAGGTGAGTTACAATTGGAAATTTTATGCTTCTCAGTATCCTAGGAATGAAATTTGTAACAATTAAGTCTATTGCTGAAATTTTACAAGCCAATTTTCCCACAGAAATTTCCCAGAGGAAATTTGAGTATGTTGTTTGTATGAAAGTAGGACAGAGCCTATAGTGGGCTTTAAGGAAAATCAATCTCTTCTCTCATACATGAACATGAGTGTTTGCCTGTGAGCATGTGTGCACACACACACACATTTTCCAAATCTCTATGAAATTCTTATCAAATACCAGCATACAGAGCATTTAATTTATCAGTCAGATGTGTCTCTGAAAGTCTATTACTAGGTGAGGAAACACACAAACCATAACCTAGTCAGTCTTTTGAAAGTGGTAAATAATATCAGATAATTTTCTATTTTTAAAGTTATTGGGTTGTGGTGGTTAAAAAAGAATAAGATTTTTTTTTAATTTATTTCCATAGGTTTTTGGGGGAACTGGTGGTATTTGGTTACATGAGTAAGTTCTTCAGTGGTGATTTGTGAGATTTTGGTGCACCCATCACCTGAGCAGTGTACACGGAACCCAATTTGTAGAGTTTTATCCCTCACCCCCCTCCCACCCTTTCCCCTGAGGTCTCCCAAGTCCATTGAATCATTCTTATGCCTTTGCATCCTCATAGCTTAGCTCACACTTATGAGTGAGAACATATGATGTTTGGTTTTCCATTCCTGAGCTACTTCACTCAGAATAATATTCTCCAGTTCTATCCAGGTTGCTGCGAATGCCATTAATTCATTCCTTTTTATGGCTGAGTAGTATTCCATCATATATATATATATCACAGTTTCTTTATCCATTTGTTGATTGATGGGCATTTTGGCTGGTTCCATATTTTTGCAATTGCAAATTGTTTATAGCGATAAACATATGTGTGCAAGTTATCTTTTTCGTATAATGACTTCTTTTCCTCTGGGTAAATACCTAGCAGTGGGATTGCTGGATCAAATGGTAGTTCTACTTTCACTTCTTTAAAGAATCTCTACACTGTTTTCCACAGTGGTTGTAGTAGTTTACATTCCCTCGAGATCATGTCCTTTGCAGCAACATGATGGAGCTGGAGACCATTATACTAAGTGAATTGAGGGAGGAATAGAAAACCAAATACTGCATGTTCTCACTTATAAGTGGGAGCTAAACACTGAGTACACATGGACACATGTATGCTTAAGGATGGAGAGTGGGAGGAGGCAGAGGATTGAAAAACTACCTATTGAGTACCATGCTTATTACCTGGGTGATGAAATAATATATACACCAAACTCCCTTGACATGCACTTTACCTATGTAGCAAACCTGCACATGTACCCCTGAACCTAAAATAAAAGTTAAAATACAAAATAAAATCATATAGGGTAGCAGTTCCTTTCCATCTGCTACCATACCTAAGGGGAAAAAAGGATGTGATTTCCAGTATGACATTTCTTATACTTTTATTTTTTTAACTTCAATTTAAAGGTACTTTACTAAAATTGCCAAGAATAACAGTTAATAAAGTGAATGTGCCAACACTTTGTCAAAGCTTAAAGTTTAGGTACAGGTAGATACAGATCACTCCTAGCACCAGGCCTTCAAAAAAAAAAGTCCTAGTTAGAGTGGGTTAAAGGGTGCTGCATTCATTTGCTAAGTTATAAAATAAACTCATTTTGTTGGATGTAATCACTTCAAATATGCAGATGAAAACTGGAAACTCAGAGCTATGTCATTGTTTAGCATTAGTTCACTATTGCAATCATTTCAAACTCATCTTTGTCATGAGAGACTTCAAAAATTAAAACACTTTATAGTACTTATATAACACTTTATAGTTCACAAAAATGGTTTTTGAAATTTTAATTTTTGGTGTATGCTTACATACAAATTTTAAGTCTGATGAGTTTTAACAAATGTTTTGATAAATGTATATACCTATGTAACCCACACCCCAATCAAGATAGGACATTTGTAGCACCCCAGAGAGGTCTAGTCTATTGCACACCCTCTTCCCTCCAACACACACACACACACACACACAAACACACACACACGGCACCTGTTGTTCTGATTTTTATTATTATATAAATGCACTCATACTGTATGCATACTTTTGTGTCTAGCTTCTTTCACTCAACATGTTTTTGAAATTCATCCATGCTGTTGTTTGTATTAGTAGTTTATTGCTTTATATTACTGAGTATGAATATACCAAAATTTATTTATCCTTATATCTGTTGATAAATATTTGGGTTGCTTTCACTTTGGGGCTATGATGAATAAGACTCCAATAAATATTCAGGTACAGGTCTTTGAATGGACATACGTTTTCCTTTATCTTAGGTAAATAGCTAAGAGTAGAATTGCTGGGTCCTAAGGTAGGGATATGTTCAATTTTATAATCAATTACCAAATAGTTTTCCAATGTAATGATTCCATTTTATACTCCCATGAACAATCTATGTGAATTCTAGTTGTCTACATCTTTACCAACATTTGGTATTGTCAGTATTTTTAGCCATTAAAATAGTGTGAGGGGTATTTCATTGTGATGTTAATTTGCATTTCCTTGATGTCTAATGAATTTCAGCACTTAAAAAATGTGCTGCTAATTATTTTTATATCTTCTGTGAAGTGTTTGTTCAAGTTTTTTGCCTGTTTTAAAAATTGGGTTGTCTTTTTGTTGTTGAGTTTTAGTAGTTCTTTATGTATTCTGAATATAAGTCCTATGTGACATGAATATATTTTTCCAGCCTGTGGCTTGCTTATTCACATATTTTTAAATGGAGTCTTTAATTTTTAATTTAGATGAAGTACTTTTTTAATGGGTAGTACTTTTTGTGTCCTGTTTGAAGTCTTTGCAAATGGTTTATCTTATATTTTCTTCTTTATAATTTTAGCTTATACATTTAGGTCTGTGATCCATATAAAATTAATTTTTGTATGAGATAGGGGTTGAGATTCTTTTTTTCCCTTCAAATTATGATCTAGTTGTTCTAGAACCATTTATTGAAAACATTTTCTTTTCCTGATTGAATGATTTTGGCACTTTGGCTGAAAAATCAATTAATTGTTTAATAAGGGTCAAGTGTTACATTATCTGTTCTCTATTGGCCTACTCATCTGTGCTTACACTAATACTATATATCTGGATTACTGCAATTTGATAGTCTTGAGGCCTCTGTATTAGTCCATTTTCATGCTGCTGATAAAGACATACCTGAGACTGGGCAATTTACAAAAGAAAGAGGCTTATTGGACTTAACAGTTCCACATGGCTGGGGAGGCCTCACAATCATGGCAGAAGGTGAAAGGCCCATCTCACACGGTGGCAGACAAGAGAAGAGAGCTTGTGCAGGGAAACTCCCCTTTTTAAAACCATCAGATCTCATGAGACTTATTCACTATTATGAAAACAGCATGAGAAAGACCTACCCCCATGATTCAATTACCTCCCACTAGGTCCCTCCCACAACATATGGGAATTCAAGATGAGATTTGGGTGGGGACATAGCCAAACCATGTTAGCCTCCAACTTTGTTCTTTTTTTGCAAGATTGCTCTGACTATTCTATATCCTTTGCATTTTTATAACATTTTGGAATCAATTTGTCAACTTCAACAAAAAAAAACTCCGTGATTTTGTATTAGCCAGGGTTCTCCACAGAAACAGAACAAATGGGATATATATAGATATATCGGAGATTTATTATGGGATTGGCTCATGCAATTATAGAGTCTGAGAAGTCCCACAATATGCCATCTGCAAGCTGGAGAACCAGAGAAGCTGGTGGTATAGAATTCAGTTCAAGTTCAAAGGCTTCAGAACCAGGGCATCCAACAGTGGACAAAGACCTGAGAACTGGAGGAAAGAGCAGGGTCATTCTGGTGTAAATCCTGGAGGTGGAAGGCCCAAGAACCAGCAACTCTGATGTTAGAAGGCAGGAGAATATGGTCATCCCAGTTTAAGAAGCAAATCGCCCTTCCTCTGCCTTTTTATTCTATGGGTTCTCAGTGGATTGGATGCTGCCCTCCCACATTAGTGAGGGTGGATCTTCTTTACTCAGTCTACTGATTCAATTGCTAATCTCTTCTGGAAAAAAGCTCACAGATACACGTAGAAATATATATATATTTCTATACATAAAAGACGAAAAATGAGCTGGGCATGGTGGCATGCACCTGTAGTCCCAGATACTCGGGAGGCCGAGGCAGGGAAATTGCTTGAACCTGGGAGGCGGAGGTTGCAGTGAGCTGAGATCGCACCACTGCACTCCAGCCTGGGCAACAAAAAGAAACTCCGTCTTGAGAAAAAAAAAAAAAAAAGACATTATGTGGCTCCCAACCTGAAATATTCTGATTTAATTGGTTTGGCAAGCAATCTGGGCATCAGGATTTTTAAAAGCTCTCCTTTTAAAAGGTGATTCTTGTGTGCAGCAAACTTTGGGAACCACTGGTTTAGTGCTCATATTTATAATGTGAGAACTGAGGCCCAGAAATGATACGCGAGTTGCCTAAACTTTCAAAACTTACAAACAGATTCACTTTAACTGTCATATGAATATTTTGTTCAATAATTGTGTGTAGACCTTAAAAATCAACAACCACTGCAGCTTCCAACCCAAGCCTAATAGTTGTCACTTTTCTGCCAGCAGACAATGTCATCTAGCTCTTTGTGTTGTACTGAGCAAAGTTCTGTATATGAATATCCTCAGGGAAGCAACAAAGAGAAAAAACAGAGAGAGGGGGAAGATTGGAAGAAAAAACACAGGCATTAGGACCAGGTGTGTTATTCTGCTCCTGGATGCCAAGTCAATAGCTGTCTTTGTGTTGTCAATTTTCGAGCTATAAAAACAAAAGACTGTCTGAAGAAGCTCTATGAAGCCTGAAGCCTTATGCTTCTTGGGTGAAAACACAGAATATCTGATAATATTACTAATTTCAATATTAGTAATTTCTATTTAAATTTCATTTAGAGAAAACTGCTTTTAGACATCACAAGAAAAAAGAACATTGCTCAGCATGAACATTTATTATTTCTCTCTGTGGGATTCCACTTCTTTCTGTTTAGAAAATGGAAATTATAGGACAATAGGTAGAAAAACTGATGTTATATAATTTTTAGTTCTTTATATTGGGTATATTAGAATTTGTAATACCATTTTTTCCAGCATAAGAGTTTTTAATCTCCTCAAAGGCAGAGGCTACACTTTCCTTAGCTGGTATATTCTCATTAGCACTGTGCATGGCACAGAGAGGGGTGTCAACAAATGTGGAACTGACATATCTTACTAAAGAAGAAAAACTAAAGGACATATTAAAATGCTTCCAGCAAAAGTCTCACAGCTTTTACTTTAAGAATCAGACACTGTTCATTTTGAAGCTTAAAAAAAAAATCCACACTAAATAGATCTTTCACCTTTAAGCTTCATGTTGTACATCTTTCAAAATAAATATCGTAGTTTCACAGTTTTTATCACTTCAAGGCATTTCAAGACAACAGAAGACTATTCTAATGTACTTGTTCAGTTCAAATGTCTAAGCTGTTAGGCTTTGTTTTTGATTATTTGTATTTGGTCATAAGGCATCTTTTAAGATGTCTTTCAAGCTGTCTCTTGGTCATCTACTCTCAGAATTATTGTTACCAATAAAAGATCCATTCTCTAGTTTTTGAAATAGAACTTAAAAAAATACTGGTGATGGGCAAGATGCATATTCAAAATCAGTCTGCATATTCCTAAAGCAATAGGAATTTTTTTGAACTGGAATTGTATGTGGGGTCCACCCTTAAAGCTGTCCTGCTTGGACTGGGGTCAAATGAAGAAAGGAGACCAGCAACATTTTGAAGTTTACTTTTGGGATAGTAGAGGATAAAATGAGACTTCAAAGAGATATTTCTTTCTGTTATTTTTATCTGCCAGATTAGAGGAGAAAATCATGATGGAATAAACATGTACTTAATTCCTAATTTGGGAATTTTGCAGAACTTAGATCCAAGAGGATGGCTGAGGAGGGGAGTGACTGAGGGAGGGTGTGTGGCAGCAGAGAAGGAATCCCTCAGGGATCCTCTTGCCAGAACCTGAATTGTATTCCCCAGTGGTTACCTTTAAGAAGGAAGAGAGATTGGCAAAGAGGCATTTAGATGAGTTAAGGCTTCATTCAATGTGAGATATAAGCTGCTTTGATCATTCTGATATTGTTGTGGATAGGTAATTCAAAGGGGCTTTTATTGGGAATTGCTTTTAACAAGTTATCAATTGATAATATAGAGCCAGTTTATCTCTTGATATTTGCTCTATAAATGTTTACCTTCCTAAGGAAGCAAGGGTTTTTCAAATGACCCTTATCGGACATTCTGACCCACAGAGTGTGTATCATGTCTTGATCTTATTCGTAGAGTCATATATTGAAAAGGTCACCTGTGATGATGCCACTGATGGTGATACCACTCTCTCATTATTCGAAATACTGTAGATCGTGTGACTCAATATTCTCCTACATAAACATATACCTATACTGCTAGCTTTCAGGCTTTGATAAAATCTCTCTTTGAGTGTACAATTTGGGGCTAAAAATATGATTTTATGGCAGTGAGTGAGCTAGATAAAACTCAAACTCTGAAGGGTTGCAAACTCAGTTCTCAAGCAGCGTACACTATGGCTAATATGGAGTTAGCCATATTTGGGTTTGATTCTGGTCCTGACATTTATTATCATGAGACTTTGTACACCAGTTTTTTAATCTTTAATGACATCCTCTGTAATGGGAACACAAATACTGACTTCTCAGGTGTACTGTGAGGATTATATAAGAAAATGTACATGAGGCATTCAAGATAGTGCCTGGCACATTGTAGGTACTCAATACAGGAGAGTGATTATTATTATTATAATTAGCATTATTATTATTATGCTACTACAGGATAACTCTGTAGGTCAATAAATGAATAAGAAATAGTTTTAAATAAAAATAAAGAGCTTACAAGATTGATGTCCTGCAAGTCAAACATGTAGAATTTGGAATTGTAAATTCCTATACTTCTCATTACCAGTTTGTCTAGGAAGTGCTTAGTCATTACTCTAGAATGAGATCAAAGTTACTTTAATTTTATTAGTGTTGATTCAAATAGGTATTTTATTCTATTGAACACTGTAGGAATAATTAACAGAAGCTGGACATACCAAACAGCTACCATTTGATAGTCATTCCCTTACATGGTAGTGGGAGCTTGGCATGAATGGCTTCTATATTTCATATCATTATTTTTTAGCTGAGATTTTAGGAGTTAGTGGGGGTAACCCATAAACACTACTACCATTGTGCATAGAGTACACTTTTGTTTAAGAAGCCTCCTTTCCCTTAAACAAACCTCAAAACGGAATTTGCCACAATTCAAAGGAAATGCAGTGAAGCTGGGGCTCCCTCAGCAAAAAAAATCATCTCATTCAAAGCATTTAAGTTATACCCTATGATGAATTGAAATACATCATGGATGAGAAAAAATTGGAGGAGAGGTAAGTTATTAAAAATAAAGGGAATGATTTGTCTGTGGGAAAAGGAATAAGAATAAACTCCCTTTCAGCTAATATCCAGAATCTACAAAGAACTTAAACAAATTTACAAGAAAAAAACAAACAACCCAATCAGAAAGTGGGCAAAGGATATGAACAGACACTTCTCAAAAGAAGACATTTATGCAGCCAACAGACACATGAAAAAATGCTCACCATCACTGGTCATCAGAGAAATGCAAATCAAAACCACAATGAGATACCATCTCACACCAGTTAGAATGGCGATCATTAAAAAGTCAGGAACCAACAGATGCTGGAGAGGATGTGGAGAAATAGGAGCACTTTTCCAGTGTTGGTGGGAGTGTAAATTAGTTCAACCATTGTGGAAGACAGTGTGGCGATTCCTCAAGGACCTAGAACTAGAAATACCATTTGACCCAGCGATCCCGTTACTGGGTATATACCCAAAGGATTATCAATCATGCTACTATAAAGACGTGTATGTCTATTGCAGCACTATTCACAATAGCAAAGACTTGGAACCAACTCAAATATCCATCAATGATAAACTGGATTAAGAAAATGTGGCACATATACGCCATGGAATACTATGCAGTATTCCATGAGCTCATGTCCTTTGCAGGACATGGATGAAGCTGGAAACCATCATTCTCAGCAAACTATCCCAAGGACAGAAAACCAAACACCGCATGTTCTCACTCATAGGTGGGAATTGAACAATGAAAACACATGGACACAGGGTGGGGAATGTCACACTCTGGGGCCTGTCATGGGGTGGGAGGCTAGGGGAGGGATAGCATCAGGAGAAATATCTAATGTAAATGACAAGTTGATTTACAGGGTGCGGCAAGCCAACATGACACATGTATACCTATGTAACAAACCTGTATGTTGTACACATGTACCCTAGAACTTAAAGTATAATAATAATAGTAATAAAAAAATACAGTGCTGATCTAGGCCCTATTCATCTCTTGCCTGGACTTCTGCAGTATGTACTCTCTGTCTTTCCTGCCTTCTGTCTTTCATTTCAACAGTTTCTCCTGCATTAGGTACTAAGTCCATTTCTTAGAAATATTCTGTGCTCCCCAATGTTTTCAAGACTAGACTTCACCCTAAAAGTCTTTAACAATTTGGGGGTCATCTGCCCAATCATTCACCTACTTTTTTTGCCCAAAACAGTCTCCTTGCTATACGTTTTAAACACTGTATTTGACACCTCCTTAATCTTTTTCTTCATTGTGTGCTTAGCCTTAATACCATCACACTTAAACTTTCAACTAAATCTTATTTTTCCTTTATGGCTCTACTGAAATTCTTCATTAAGCCTTTTCTGATCACTCTGAACAGCACAGTCTTCTCCTAATCGTCTATGGTAGTGGTTCTTACATAGAAGTATTCAGCCGAAACCTCTATTTTAATCTAAATTTTTAAAGTACAGATGCTTGGGCCCTCTGTCTGGAGGCTGTTAAAAAAAAAAAAAAGAATAAACTCCCTTTCATAATGTTCATCTCCTTGGTAATCAGCAGATACTCCAATTTTTAGCAGGGTTAAATCCTCTTCTGTGAAAGAATGGCCTTTCTTAATTTATCTGTCTCACTGTCATGCATTATGCTCAACTTTAGATATTGGATCTGGAATTGGAAGCAACCGTTTCCTGAGGAGAGGTAAGGATCAGTGATTATAGCACATGAAGGGGTGGTGATGATGCCTGTGGTGGGGCGTTGGGTCCCATCACTAGCCAGTAAAAACGAGGAGGCAAGCATGGCCCTAAACAGGTTCCATGCATTAGCTCACTTAATTCTTTTTAGGAAGAGAAGGGACCGTTATTCAGTCCATTTTACAGATGAGGAAACTGAAGCTTAGCTTAAGTGATAACCGCAAGGTACATTTTTTCAGGGATAAGATTTGAACTCAACCTGCCTGCCTCCAAATCTAATGGCCTTTAACCTTGGGTCCATTAAGCTACCAGTCAGAATAAGTGGGAGTCACCTCCTCTGGCTGAATGAATGAATACATTCAGCTTGAACAATTATAACTATGTGGAGACCACAGCTGTATGCAAAAAACCCAGGCAAATTGCCAGCCCCAAAGGGACTAGAGTTAGGTTACCCTAGGATCGCAGGTGTGAGGGCCTGGTCAAGCTTTTCAGTGCCTCTAATAGGGTGAGACAGATGGGAGCCCGTGTTTCAATCGCTCTCTGCTACTTACTAGCTGTGTGATCTTGGAGAAGTCAAATAAGCTCTCTGAGCCTCAGTTTCTGATCTAATAATGTGGTTAGCAAGAGCTTCTGCCTATAGTAGAATTATTATTATTATTATTTTTTTGAGGCGGAGTCTCGCGCTGTCGCCCAGGCTGGAGTGTAGTGGCGCGATCTCAGCTCACTGCAAGCTCCGCCTCCCGGGTTCACGCCATTCTCCTGCCTCAGCCTCCTGAGTAGCTGGGACTACAGGCGCCCGCCACCACGCCCAGCTAATTTTTTGTATTTTTACTAGAGACGGGGTTTCACCATGTTAGCCAGGATGGTCTCGATTTCCTGACCTCGTGATCCGCCTGCCTCGGCCTCCCAAAGTTGCTGGGATGTAGAATTACTTTTGCTGCTCAGCATCCATTGACTCCTCCCTTGTCAAAGAGTCCCAGATTTCTTTAGGGTTCTGCTCTCTACCCCATTCCCAGTTCCCATGCTTTGGATGCCCTTGTATGTGACTCGGATCTATCCAATAAGAATGTCCTATTACTATGGTTACAGAAATGTGACATGCTAAGAGTCAATGACATGCAATGAGATTTTGGCCCAGGCTCTTGGGGAACCTGTCATTGATGAGAATGAAGCAAACATAGAAGAAGTCAATGTCAAGAAATAGAGGGAGAGACAGTAACATTTGGGACCCTGAATCAAACTGTACCTGAAGCTAAACTTATCCCAGTCTTTTTCATTTAAATGAATAATTGCTTGGGATATTGCAACTGAAAATGTCCTAACCTTACTATATAGTTCTGAAGATGAAAGATGTTTTTGTACATAAATACTCAACAAAATTTCTGACACACATCCAATACACAATAATATTAGCTATTTTAATTTTTCTTATGTTTTAGGAACTTAAACATTTTTATACTTTTAGTTTTTTCTTTATATCTTTTTTATTTCCTTTCAGTAATATTCTTTATTCAATGAGTTGTGTTGCAGTTAGTAACATTTAAAAATGCACTAATTACATATGTGAATAAAAATAAGATTCCCTATCTGGTGAGTGTCTGTAATTGTATTGTATTCCTGGAATCTACTTGACAATATTATCAAAATCCTTAAAAATTTCCATTGTTTTTAACTTAGAAATTCAGTTCTGACACTCTTCCTTAGAAAAACTACATAAAATTCAGACAAAGATTTGTGTGTCAGCACATTATTTATAATAGTAAAAAATTGGGAAAAAAATCCAAGTGTCAAACAAAGAATGGCTAAAAAATTATGATATGAGCCAGTTATAGTACTGGGTATAGTATACCCATTAAATAAAGGTATTTACAAAGAGCTGTTTATAACAATGAAAATGAACACACTATACTGTTAAATGAAAAAGGGATACTGAAGGTACATATAAATTTAGTCATGTAAAATATTTTATCTGTCTTGTATTATGTATAAATATAAAAAAAGAAAGGAAACACCAAAGTATTTTTTAGAGAGATTCGGAGTGTCAGCCATGTGCAACATGTCCCGGAAAAGGTAGAATTTGCTGTCTTTTGTGTCAAATTGATGTCTTAGGGTGTTAAGATGCACTAACAGCTGTATCTAGAAAAAATATTTGGGCTGTTGAATCAGGGGCCCAATTCAGGCATCAACTATCAGTTTTCCCTGGCAAAAATGTAAAGGAAACAAATGGAAGAAACATTTTCCCAGACAGTCAGGGTAACTGTGGAATTAGGATCCCTTCTACTTGGTATTCTACTCACTCATTGCATTTCCCTCCTTAAACCTCCACTTCAAAATGTAACCGGTGCACCATTGGTGGGAGTGTAAAATGGTAAAACCACTACATAGTGAAAAATATTATGGTAGTTCCTCAAAAAACTTAAAAATAGAATTAATATATGATCCAGCAATTCCACTTGTGGATATACCCTCAAAAGAATTGAAAGCATGGTCTCATAGCAACCCATCTTCATAGCAACATTATCCACAATAATCAAAAGGTAGAAGCAACCAAATTGTCCATGGATGGATTAATGGATTAACAAAATATGGTATATACATACACTGGAATATTATTCAGCCTTAAAAAGGAAGGAAATCCTGACACATGCTATAATGTGGATGAACTTTGGGGACCTTATGCTAACCCTGATGATATTATCCTAAGTGAAATAAGCCAGTTACAAAAAAGACAAATATTATATATAATTCCACTTATATGAGATTCCTAGAGTAGTCAAATTCATAGAGATAGAAAATAGAATTGTGGTTCCCAGGAACTGAGGGGAGAGGAAACAAGGAGTTGTTGTTTAATGTATATAGACTGTCAGTTTTGCAAGATGAAAATAGTTCTGGAGATGAATGGAGGTGATAGTTGTACAATCATATCAATGTACTTAATGCCACTGAACGGTGCATTTGAAGTGGTTAAGATAGTACTTTCTAAAGGTATTATACCGTAATAAAAAATAGAAAAATAAATGCAATTTTTGGATTGGTTAATTTTCCAGGTCATTATTAGGACAGGTGTTCTAATATTGTCCTAATATTGTAACAAAACCATGTTTTCTGGGCTCATTATAATTAGAATGTTTGCGACTGTAGTCTCTCCAGTAACAACAGCTACTATTTATTGGGTACCCTTTTTATATCAGATCTTGTGTTTGGTACTTATACATCTGATATTATACAACATGCTGCTATCATGCCCATTTTGCAAAGAAGGAAACAGCCTCAGGGAGGGTAAACGGCTTGCTGAAAGGCAAATTGCCAGTGACTTTCAGGGGCAGGATGTAGGCCTTGGCTTACCCAGCCCCGGATGCAATCTCCCTGAGCCACTCTGGTCTCTTGCAGGTCCATGTCCCAACTTGTCTTATAGCATCAAGCCTTCTAATATTCCAAGGGTTTGGGTCAGAAGTTGGTCCTCTATAGTCACCTGTTTTAGAATCCCCTGCCCTTCCTGGTCACCCTCACAGCAGCTGACTCAATGGCCAAATACTTGAGAGCAATGCATCGATACTACCTTATCCAAGACAGAAATGGGGTTCTTCTAGGTCTGCTTGCTTCTGCTGCTCTAAGACCAGGAGACATTTATTTCCCTGGCTTCTTAAGCTTATGTATGACTCTGGGTTAAACAGTTGTCAAGGACAGTCATTCAGTCACACACTCATTTAAATATTGAGCTACTTCCCTGTGTCAGGTATTGCTCTAGACACTGAAGATTCAGTGGTATCTAAGGAAGAATGGTCCCCGACCTGGAGCTTACAGTTTGGTGGCGGCCAACAGAAATAACCATATAGGCCAGGCATGGTGTCTCACACCTGTAATTCCAGCACTTTGGGAGGCTGAGGTAGGTGAACTGAGTCCAGAAGTTCAACACCAGCCTGGGCAACATGGCAAAACCCCATCTTTACAAAACACACAAAATATTAGCTGGGTGTGGTGGTGCGCCTGAAGTCCCAGTTACTGGGGAGGCTGAGGTGGGAGGATCGCTTGAGCCCAGAAGGCAGAGGTTGCAGTGAGATGAGATCATGCCACTACACTCCAGCCTGGGTGATACAGCAAGACCCTGTCTCCAAAAAAAATAAAAATAAAAAAATAATTTTACAAACAATGGCACAATTAAAATAATTTTAGGTGGTGGTGCTAAGTGCTAAGAAGAAAATTAAACATTAAAGAGCAAGTTAGGGTGGAGGTACTACTATAGCTGGAGTGATAAGGGAAGAGGAGTATCTGAAGAAAGAAAGAAAGAATAAGATGGAGGCAGCCATATGACTGCAGGAAAAAGAACATTACAGGCTGAGGAAACAACAAAAAGACCCTGAAACTGAAATGAGCTGGACATGTTCAAGTTAGAGAACAGAAGCTCTTTCACTGCAGTAGAGTGAATGAGGAGAATCGTAAGGGCTGAGGTTGGAGGAGCCAATGAGGCTTGGTCATGATGACTACTTTGGCCGTAGTGAGGAATTTGGGTTTTACTTAAGGTGCTCCAGGAAGCCATAAGCCAGGGGAGGGCATGCTCTGATTTATGTCTGGGATGAAGGAAGTCAAGAGTGGACGCAGAGCCACCAACTAGGAGGGGGTTGCCAGGATCTAGAGGTAGGATGATGGTGATTAGGACAGCTTACCTTGCGAGCAGAACTGTCTTTCCCTGGGATGACTGTCTTCTTCTGAGCCAGCAGTTATGTAGCTTTTCTCTCTTCCTGTAGCCCTGGAGGCTGGGCAGGACAGAGAAAACCCTTTCCCTCAAGTCTGCAGCCTTGTCTGTTTCTTGCTGGGCCTTGTGGTGGTCCACATGGGCCTGGTCATGGGCAAGCTGCCCTGTCTCAAGCTTCTTCAGGCTCCCTTTGTGAAGCCCCGTGACTATGGAGCCTCGGAGACTCTGCTAACCAAAAATGTCCCTCTCAGTCTCTAAGCAGATTGGGGTGTGCCTGTCCACTAGGCTCTTTAAGTGCCCTGCTTTGTTACATGTGCTCAACTCAAGCACGAACATGCCAGTAAAAACAAAACAAAACAAAACAAAAAACAAACAAGAAATAAAAACAACTCCCAATGGCTTATTAAAAGGAAAGGAAAATATTCCAAAAGATTTTGGACACCAGATAGCTCTTCTTAAACAGAGCTTGATGAGTTAAGTGTAAATGAATCAGAAACATGTGCGTTGGATGTCTCTTTGCAGGCACTGGGGTTTAAAAATGAAACACAAGGGTTAGGGGAATGAGGGAAAACATGGCTGAGTTTTGCAAAGACCTGAATGAGAACTTCACAGAACAGAGGGCCCCAAACACGGTGCAATTTTTCCCTACTCTAATTTCTTTCATCCCCAGACTGTGAAAGCTGCTTGATGTATGTGGCATTCTGTTGCATTTTCCTTGCAGACACTATGTCCCTAGTATTCCTTGTTTCCTTGCCAAAGGCCTTGTTATGCTGCGGGTTAAAATTATGCTTCACCAAAACTATTTTGACTTAAGCATCTTAAGAAGTTCACAGACTTTTTTTCTCATGAAATCCAGGCTTTTGATGGCAAGAGCTGACTCTATCTTTTAGGCTGTGCTCAAGCCTCATGTAGTTGAGAGAGGACACTGTTTTGGCACCATTCAGAAACTTACATGAGCTCCATGACCTTGGGCAAGTCAATAATGATAATATCTCAAAGTCAGCTTTCTCATCTGTAAAATGGGTGACAACTCCTCCATTACCTGCTTCCAGAGTTGTTTGGGAGGGCTGTGTAAATTGCAGAACACATATAAATAAAATGGACGATTACAATGAATATGCCAGAAGGGTTGTGAGTGACTTTAAAATGGTACAATCACCTTATCTGGAAGAGACGTGTAGTAGAGGGGACAGTGAAATGTATTTGTCTTCTTTTATGCTGAGGAAGGGTCAGAATGAGAGAAGAGTTCAAAGTCAGCATGGCTTCTGGTTCATATTAAACAGCTATCATGACCTAGAACCCTGGAATTCTAGGGCTTGGAGAAGATCGTGTTAAACTCTTTATTTCACACTTGAGAAATCTGAGTCAAATGGGGAAACAACTGGCCCAGGTCATATAACTACCCCCAAAAAACTGCCAGGATGCCTGTACCTGATAGAATAAGGTGCATTCTTAGCAGTGGAAATGTCACAAAGAATAGGAGTCAGTTATTTGTGAAGCATTTTCTGAGCATTTTGTGTCTTTATTTATTTATCTTAAATCTCCAGGGCTTAGCATAATTCCTGGGATGACATACACATTTAATAAAAATTTAATAAAAATTTGCAGACTGAGAAAGAGGGAAGAATGTCAGGTAGGAAGAAGATGAGTTGAAAATAAAGGGAAAGCATGATTTCCATCCTGGAGAAACTTACAGTCCAGCTTACAGTCTTGTCTGTGGAAACAAGATGTATTTGGAAAAAAAAAAACTTTTATTAGTCTAACTAGCAGTTTATCAATCTTATTTATTCTTTCAAAAAACCAACCTTTGATTTTGTTAGTCTTTTGTATGGGTTTTTGCATCTCAGTTTCATTCCACTCAGTTCTGATTTTGGTTATTTCCTTTCTTCTGCCAGCCTTGGGATTGGTTTGCTCTGGTTTTTCTAGTTCCTCTAGGTATGATGTTAGGTTATTAATTTTAGATCTTTCTAACTTTTTGATATGGGTGTTTAGCACTATAAAATTTCCCCTTAAAACTGCTTTAGCTGTATCTCAGAGATTCTGGTATGTTGTGTCTTTGTTATCATTAGCGTCAAAGAATTTCTTGATTTCTGCCTTAATTTCATTATTTACCCAAAGGTCATTCAGGAGCAGATTGCTTAATTTCCACATCATCGTATGGCTTTGAGATATTTTGGTATTGATTTCTATTTTTATTGTGCTGCGGTCCAAGAGAGTGGTTGATATAATTTTAGTTTTTTTAAAAATTTGTTGAGAATTGCTTTATGGCCAAGCGTGTGGTGAGTTTTAAAGTATGTGCCATGTGTAGATGAGAAGAATGTATATTTTGTTATTGGGTGGAGTATTCTGTACATATCTATTAGGTTCATTTGGTGAAATGTTGAATATAGGTCCTGAATATCTTTGTTAGTTTTCATTCCATGCTCATGGACAGGAAGAATAAATATTGTTAAAGCAGCCATACTTCCTGAAATAATTTACAGATTCAGCGCTATTTCTATCAAAATGCCAATATTTTTCACAGAATTAGGAAAAAAAATTCTAAAAATCCTATGGAACCAAAAAAGAGCCCAAATAGCCAAAGCAATCCTAAGTGAAAAAAACAAAGCCAGAGGCATCACAAGACCTGACTTCGAATTATACTAGAAGCCTACAATAACCAACACAGCATGATACTGGTACAAAAACAGACACATAGACCAATGAAATAAGTTGGAAAACCCAGAAATAAAGCTGCACACATACAACCATCTGGTCTTTCACAAAGTTGACAATAACAAGCAATGGGGAAAGGACTTCTTACTCAGTAAATGGTGCTGGGATAACTGCTTAGCCATATGTAGAAGATTGAAACTGGACTCCTTCCTTTCACCATACACAAAAATCAACTCAAGATAGATTAAAAACTTAAATATAAAACCTAAAACTAACCTAGGAAATACTATTCTGAACAGAGGCCCTGTCAATGAGTTCATGATGAAGACTCCAAAAGCAATTGAACAAAAACTAAAATTGACGACTGGGACTTAATTAAATGAATAAGCTTCTGCACAGCAAAAGTAACTATCAACAGAATAAACAGACAACTACCAAGGGGAGAATGCACCCAACAAAGATCTGATATCCATAATCTATAAGGACATTTAAAAAATTAACAAACAAAAATCCAACAACCTCATTTAAAAAATGGGCAAAGACATGAACAGACACTTCTTACAGTAAATTATGTCCTTTGCCGCAACACACATGCAGCTGGAGGCCATTCCTAAGTGAATTAACACAGGAACAGAAAACCAAATACCACATGTTCTGACTTATAAGTGAGAGCTAGGAAGGGAGCAAGGGACACTGGGGCCTACTTGAGGGCGAGGGTGGGAGGAGGCTGAGGACGGAAAAACTACCTATTGAGTGGAGAAAAGAAGAGTCTGGATGAGTTCAGAAACTAGGATAAGGATCAATGACAACTGAGTGGAAGACTAGGCATTGAACTTCTTGGTAGCCAAGGCAGAAAAGAGGAGAGATGAATCCCTTTCCTAAATTAAAACAAAAACAAAAACAAAAACACTCCTCTAAACACTCTTGAGTTTTGTGGCTGTTAGCTACTAAACACAAACAAAATGATTAATTGAGACGGAAAAATAATTTTTGTTTTTTTAGTGATGAATCCTAAGGAAAATTGGTCACATGGTTCTTCATATAAGGGATATTGAATTACACGGTCTTTAACAGCAAATTTACAAAAGATGCAGAAACATTCTTCATATGACTGTTTCATTTATTGACATTCAACAAAAACCAAGGACATTATGCAATTATAGCTCCTTGTAGGAATGTCTACACTGGCAAACTAAGGTCATGTAGCCTGACACACTGTTTAGAAGATCTCAACTTACACAGGGATAGATAGGCTTAAGGACTCCTAGGAGGGACATTTAACAAGTTAACCCAGTGGAAACCACCAATGTGCACAGAGTAGGTTATCACCTTAGTTAATTGCTAGTGGAGAAAGATGAGAATAGGGTTTTGAATGAAAGGTATGTAGGTAGAGTGATTTTGACAGTAGAGGGAGGGAGATGGACGGGCAGGATGGAAGGGCTCAGGTTGAAGCAGCATACAGACTCATGATGATTCAACAACAATGTGTCTGGGAGGCCACAGAATTAGATTCAAAGGTAGGTAAAATTCTCACAGAATATACAGTGCTCGTGCAATGAGGCCTACCTTTGAGGCCCCAAATAAGAAATTAAAGAGACAATAAATAGCCCAGGGTTCAAATGATTGTATTTCCAAATGGAAGATATCTCCAATGCCCAGATAAACAGTGTTATTTATGATTCAAGCACTACTGAAAAATGTCAAGAAAATCAAATTTTATCATTTACAGCTTATAAAAGTTATCTACTCTGGTGTCCCAGAGAAAAGCCAGTAGCTAGATACTCTTCCAGAGACCTTTTTACATGTGTGCCTCCCCTATCAGATAATATGCCCTTTGACTGGTTACTTTGCCAATAGAGTAAGCTCTTTATATCTACAGGTTCTGCATCTGTGGATTCAACCAACTGAGGACTGAAAATACTTGAAAACAAAAAGACAGTAAAACAATAAAAAGAATACAAATAAAAACAATACAGGATAACAACAACTTATATAGCATTTGCATTGTATTAGGTATTATAAGTAATCTACAGATGATTTAAAGTAAATAAGAGGATGTGTATATGTTATATGCAAATACTATGCCATTTTATATAAGGGATTTGAGCATCCATGGATTTTGGTATCCATGGGGGTCCTGGAACCAATCCTTCTTGAATACTGAAGGCCAGCTGTACAGTCCTATACTTGGCTTCCATGCTGTGAAAGTCCTTTTCAGGCTCCCGAAATCTCTAACCACAGCCTAAAATTTTGACTTTATTAAACATTGCACATGATATGGTTTGGCTCTGTGTCCCCATTCAAATCTCATCTCAAATTGTAATCCCCACATGTCAAGGGAGGGACCTGGTGGGAAGTGATTGGATCATGGGGATGGTTTCCTCCATGGTGTTCTCAAGAGAACTGATGGTTTTAAAAGTGTTTGGCAGTTCCCTTCTTCTCTCTTTCTCGCCTGATACCTTGTGAAGAAGGTGCTTGCTTCCCCTTTGCCTTCTGCCATGATGGTAAGTTTCCTGAGTCCTCTCCAGCCTTGTGAAACTGAGTCAATTAAACTTTTTGTTTATAAATTACCCAGTCTCAGGTAGTATCTTTAGAGCAGTATGAGAATGGACTACTAGAACACTGTTTGCCCAAATCTTGAGATTGTTCTCAGAATACCTGTGATTCTTTACTTCCCACAAAACCCATGAGCCTATATCAACATTTATTATTATTTTTAAATAACATTAAACTGGCATGGAAAGGGATGTGTGGAGCAGAGAGAGTCAAGAGGGACTTTTCAGAGTGGGTATAATTTAGATGGGGTTATCACATAAAAATGTGAAAAAGTAGATGAGGATATGGCCTGAGCTAGAGGGCTGGGGAAGGGTAATGCTGTTTATGCCAAAAAAAAGAAAAAAGACCCCAAAGTATTTGTAGAGGGAAAATATAGCACTAATAAGTTTCCTGGGTCCCAAATAAGATGGACTACGAATCATGGAAAGGAATTTTGAGGTCATTGTTAACAGCCCAATGTAGTCATTTACAAATGAGAAAACTGAAGCCCAAGTAGACTGCCATTTTTCTAAGGTCAGAAAGTGGCAGAGCTAAGGTTAGAATCCAAACCTGTAGAACCCAAGGTCAGTGCTCTATGCTCACTATGCTGAAGAGCTGTGAGTATGGAAGAGCTGTCTTGTTATTCGTTATTCCTGAGAACTCATTGACTTTGAGGGGCCTGAAAAGCACAGGGAACATGAGATATGTGTGGGAAATGTTCCCAAATCAATAGAAAAGGAGGGAAAGAGAGTGTATGTAGACTGCAAACTTGAAATTTCCTTCTGATGTCTTAATGAGCTCTTGAAAACCAGAGCTGCTGAAAAATAGCGAGAATCCTGTAAGTTTGGGAGGTCTAACAGGCAGAGTAGGCTTGTGATGCACAAAAGATGCCCATGTCAGCCCAGGCAGGCATGTAGCCAGCAGACCTGGCTGTTCATATTTCAGAAAAAGGGCAAAGAGATCAATGGAATCCTTCTGCAGAGGAGAAGAGGCTCCAGCATATGAGTAAGTTACATAGCTCAGCCTCTTCAGAGACAACACAAATCCACTGTGGTCACCTGACTTTATTCTGTGGCTTTTCCACAGATTTGACCAACATTTAGCAATCCTTTTCCCAGAGTTCCATGGCATCTTTCTGTCACCTTGATTGGTGGACAGCTCCTATAGGAACTTGGGTCTCTATGTTATCTTCAGTGGGACTACAGTACTGTATTACCTGTCTGGAAAGTGAGGGGTACGGGAGTCTCACACAAAACACTTTCTCTCCTCCTTTCTTTGCTCTCTTTGATTTTTAACAAAATGTAATGTCACAATGGCAGCCTCAGAGGTCAGACTTCCATTGTTACTTGGCCCCTAGAAGGGGTCTTTAAATCTAGAACTGTTGAAAGTCCTTTGGGATGGAGGTTAAGGTACAACAGCAGGTATCAGGGGGACTATGACAAATGAGAATGGTATCAAAAGAGACTGCTCAAATAAACAGTTGGATGCTTGGAAGTATAGCCTGAAGACCTCGGATCTTTCTCTCCCCTCTGTTATTCTTTCCCCCTAAAACAGAAGATTAAGTTTGCTGTGAACATGAGCTGATGAAAAGAATTCAAATAGTGCTTTGAATAGGACTCCAGTCAGACCCACAGGAGAGCTACAAATTGCTTTTGGAGACACCAGTCTCCCTTTACAGAAAGTTAGCAGAAAGCCCACATATCTTCTTTCTATAAGGTACTAACTTGTAAATTAACCTTTAATGGTGTATAAATGATGTTCTGAAAGAACTGCTTATGCAGCTATATTTATGATCTAGAAAATTGCAAATATTTACAAGATTATAGGTGTTAATGGTCTGTCAAAAATGTTTGTATATTGTACATACATTAAACCCCAGTTTCAGACCACCCTGGTATAAAAGACCACCACTCTCTAGTCCCATATAGTGTTTCACTTTGAATCCATATATGCCAATCCCTATAATTAGCCTGCTCCCTAATATAGATCAAGTCCACTTTATAGGGAATTCTCTCGATAGCTTTCATTTAGTTTACATCCAGTACCCAGGCTGCCTATGTAAACTGTTTGCTAAATGGCCCAGGATGGCCAATCGATCTTATGTCAGCAATGGCCTGTGAACTTGTTCGTCTTGTTTCTGAGTTGGCCCCACTGTAGGGCCTAAGTGCCCTTGTTTGATTGCTTTCCGGAAATAAAATTAAGCATATATTCGTGCCTCTGTGACTCAACCTTTCCGCTAACGTTTGGTCATTCGAGCACAAATGTACATAAGCCACAGACATAATTCAGTTCCAAGAGCTGCTTAATGTTACAAAAGCACCTTAACAATGGTGCTTGACAATGGGAAAGGGCATAGACAAAGGGGGGAAAAGTCTTCTTTCTTCCGTAGTTGTTACTCCTTTTGTGGCTCGTCTCTCTAACTATCTTGCTGTGTTACTGCTCTGTGAGGGGGTATGGCAGGAAAAAAATAAAAAAGGTCACAGGTTGTTTTGAAATGGTTCTTCCATCCTCATTTATTATCTCATTTGCACATTTTCATTAATGTCAAACTGTTTCTATGGCTGTCTCAAGATGATCGTTCTCCCGAGGCATTTGCCAGAGCTATGTCTGCTTCGTAGGAATTTATAGAGCAAACTTATTTTCAAATGCTACAAAAGAAACTGCCTTCCCACCTACTCTGATAAAAAAACATGCAGGAATACGGTTGCTGAAAGTCTTGACTTGAAATGGGTAACTTTTGAATTTCCATATAAATCTCCAAATAATCCCTCCAACACTCCTCCCCCATCTCACCCTTAAAAACAGAGCAGGGAAACAATAAAATCAAATTTCTCTTAATCCCTTTAACGAGCCTTGACGACATATACTTAATTTTCTTGAAAATAAAATAGGTGTTTGGGTGGCTGCGACGGATTGAAACCATTGAAGTTACTGCAGAAGTCTTAAATGGAACAGGCCAACTGGCTTCAGACTCCAAATGAGGAGCAGGATGCCCCAGATGGAAGGAAGAGGCTGGTGACTGCCCTGAGGCATCAGAAACTCTGTGTTGGGGAGAGGGTCGTAGAGCCTTCAATCCTCTCTAGCTTCTCTCTGAGATGATTCTCAGAGCTACCAAGTCTTTCAACCTGCCTAGTATTTGGGAAAGATTTGTTAAAATTATATCAGAATTCTTGGAGGGCTCGGACCTAGAGAATTCCACTGGAGCTGGTCTGGAAATCTCTCCACGTTGATCTTGAAATGCCTTTCAGATCCCTTAGGCTAATGATTCTCCATCTAGAATCATGGCCCTTGGGGACCTGGGCAGGGAGAAATGGTCTTCTCTATGAGATATTCCCAACATGTCTGTGATGGTTAATATTGAGTGTCAACTTGATTGGATTGAAGGATGCAAAGTATTGTTCCTGGGTATGTCTGTGAGGGTGTTGCCAAAGGAGATTAACATTTGAGTCAGTGGACGGGGAGATGCAGACCCACTCTCAGTCCGGGTGGGCACCATCTAATCAGCTGCCAGCATGGCTACAATAAAAGCAGGCAGAAGAACGTGGAAGGACTAGACTGGCTGAGTCTTCCAGCCTTTATCTTTCTCCCATGCTGGATGCTTCCTGCCCTTGAACATGGGACTCCAAGTTCTTCAGCTTTGGGACTCTTAGACAGTTGACCACAGACTGGAGGCTGCACTGTTGGCTTCCCTACTTTTGAGGTTTTGGGACTTGGACTGGCTTCCTTGCTCCTCAGCTTGCAGATGGCCTATTGTGGGACTTCACCTTGTGATTGTGTGAGACAATACTCCTTAATAAACTCCCTTTCATATATACATTTATCCTATTAGTCCTGTCCCTCTAGAGAACCCTAATACAATGTCAGAAACACTCACTGGAGTTATAGAGCTACCCAGGTTCAACTGCAAAGGGGAACTAACACATATTTTCTTTCTGTTAACTCAAATGCTAGCAACTCAATGTGTTTCATGTTGGTCTTCTAACAATGGCAGTTTTTGATTAATAAGAAAATGAGAAAATTATTTCTCAATAACAGCATCTGGTGTGTAGACAATATTGTTCAAAATATAGTATCTGGGAGGAAAGGAAGATAACAAGGTCCGTACAGGTGACAAGTGGGGTGCCACTGGCTTAGGGGTGGGACTCTGCACAGGCTGCTAAGCACCAGGTCACTGCTTTTTAATTTAGGTGCCAAATGAGGAAGCCAAAAAGCAAATGCAAGATGCAGAACCCATTTAGGGACAGATTCCGATCTCTGTTCAATTACCTTGTATGTTTATCTAGGAGAACAAATGGCTGAACAGTCTACTGTATTTGCATGCTCTCAAAAGAGGAGTAAGTTAACTCTCTCTGTCATTTGGGAATTAATCCTCTTTCATGTAGAAAATGTGCATATTAAAATTAGGAAGCCACCCAGGCACTAAGCAGGTGACATCGTTTGGACCTGGCTGTTCCCTAGTGTTGTTTAAAGGAGAGGTAACTGGAGTGATCACCCAAACAGCCATGCTTCTACTGTGCCTGGTGAGGCTGGCAGGGCCTGGGAGGGATTCATCAATTGTTTCAAACTATTTTTTTTGAACATTATGGGTTTGGCAAAACCCCAGACATACTTTACCGAGTACTTTTTTCCTTCATTTTTAAACCCCATGTGTATTTCAAATGCAATCCGTATGTTACTGATTCATTTGCACTTAACTCATCAAAAATGCTGGTTGGGATGAATTAGTTGATGCCCAAGGAGAAGTATGGCCTCCTTTTAAAGGAGATGTTAGAAACCTTGTCCCCACCCGCCCCTATTTGCCAAAGGCGGTGCAAAGTGAATCAGCACCCCTACCCCGCCCCACCACCACCACCACCGATTTTTAATAACATTAGAAAAGGCAATTCCAAGGAGCACTAAATTTGGGGAAATTCTTTATTCCACTCTCCCTCATTTAAAAATCTTGTGCATTTTAAGGGAAATCTAATCCATATGCCTCTGATTCATTTACACTTAAATCATTAAAATGTTGTTTTGAACAAGCCACTTGGTGAACAGAAATGAATATGAGCTTTCTTTTATTATTATTTCTTCCAGCTCTTTTCTGCAAAACAGGAAGTCACATTGGGAAAGCTGAATATCCTCCAAAAGTTTAAATTTGGTACGATAATTCTTAGGCCACCATGGTTTAGATAAATCTATTTTTGCCTATCCTTGCATGGAACCCAGTGCAGCTCTCTGCTTGGATGGCAGATGTATGCTTATAATTGCATGTAATCAGCTAAATTGCATGTGCAAGTATGTTACTTCCTTTTAGTAATTTGAAAAGAGTGTGTGTGTGTGTGTGTGTGTGTGTGTGTGTGTGTGTTTGGAGGTGGGGTGGGGGAGTGATACCAACTCTTTTGGATCCTATATATACCTGGTAGAATGGGACTGAAAAAGAAACTGTATGCTGAAAACAGAAGAGAATTTACTTGAAACTGTTTATATATTTGCCACAAGCATTAACAGGAAACACATTAGATACAGTTTTCATTAACTACGGAGTCATTGAACTAGTAGTATTATCAAGCTCACTGGCAAACTAGAAAATTTTTAGTCTCCTTTTTCTCCATCCTCTGTGATGCGAGATGCCAGTGAACTTCACTCTCTTTTTTATCATTTTATTTCCCATTCCTGAATCTCATAGTAGCTTATGGTCATTCTACTGGGAACACCTCCCTACCCCAACCTTTTCATTTTATGGAGGAGGAAACAGAAGTCTAAGAGTAAGTGACAAAACAGGGACAATCCATAGAAAATTGGGCTCCTGAAGTCAGGGAGTTTCACCACTTTGCCCTAGTAGTACTTACCAAAAACCAAATGCCTATATACAGATATTTGGCATATCATATACATTAATCTCTTCCAATCCTTAAAGCAGTCCTAACGTAGCAGCCACTGCTACTCTCCTTTTTCAGATGTGGAAATGGCAATTTTGAGCAATATTACAGAGTTTGTAAATAGAAGAGTCAGGATCTCACATGATCTCCCACAGAGGCAGCCTAGCATGGTGACTAAAAAGGAGGTCTGTGAAGTGTGTTTGAGTACTGGCTTCACCATTCAATAGCTGATGATTTTAGGCCTGTTACTTCACCTTTCTGCATCTTTGTTCCCTCAAAAATGGAGATAATAGTACCTATACGACAGAGCTGTTGTGAAGATTACATAAGATACTCCACGTCACAGTGTCTAGATATAATAAGCACTCAAGTCACATGGACACTTTATATCTCTAATACTTTGGAAATTTCATGAGCGCAAAGGAACACCTGTACCATTTAATTCCATTTATTTATTTATTTATTTATTTACTTATTTATTTTTCGAGACGGAGTCTCACTCTGTCACCCAGGCCAGAGTGCAGTGGCCCGATCTTGGCTCACTGCAAGCTCCGCCTCCCGGGTTCACGCCATTCTCCTGCCTCAGCCTCCCGAGTAGCTGGGACTACAGGCGCCCGCCACCATGCCCGGCTAATTTTTTTGGTATTTTTATAGAGACGGGGTTTCACCGTGTTAGCCAGGATGGTCTCGATCTCCTGACCTCGTGATCCGCCCGCCTCGGCCTCCCAAAGTGCTGGGATTACAGGCATGAGCCACCGCGCCTGACCTCTACCATCTTATTAATAAAGATGCCAGTACTAGATGCTGTGGGCCAGTTAATTTGTATGTATCCTGAAGTATTGCGTCTCTACCAGCCCCTTATTCCAAATTCTGCCCAGTGGTAAACAGGCTCCAGGTGCACACAGGTCTGTGGCAGAAAGTGCGTGTTGTCACCATCTTCCCAACGTGGAACCCAGCATCAAACCCTCACACCTTATGGGAATGTGAAAGCAAAATTGACATAATTTAGAGGAAAAAAATAGCATCATAGCAACCATTTTACAATATTGTCTTTATTTTCACATGAAGAGCCTAGTGCTGTCTTTAAAATACAATTTTTAAGCTAGAGTAGAGGGCGAACATTTCTAGTTTAGACCATGGGTCATGAAAGTTCCTAAAAGTTCACCTAACAGGTAAAGCCATCAGAAGCCCATTTAAATTGTGGAATGAAGATTTCATGGCAAATAAAAATGCTATATCACTTTAATAAAATCATCATGTGCAAGTGAACATGGAAAGAAGAAGGAACTGAATTTGTAAGTCCTTATCCAGCTCTTCTTACTCTGGCTGAAATTGAAAACCTCCAAGAGAAGAGCCTGTTAGCAGCCACGTCATCAATCTGCTGAAGAAGCTGGTGTTAGTGTCGAGATCTTTCTCATATTCTAAGTGGAGTAATGACAGTGAGGCTTCCAGGGCAGCATCTGAATAGGGACAGAGCGAGCAGCTGACAACGTGCTCTTAGAAGGTGGAGGGGTTAGAGAGAGGGAAGAGGACTTCGCCAGGTAAGAAACCAACATGTTTCCCCTTTGGTTCCAAAATCCTCTCCTGGAGCTCCAAATACTGCTTGAGAAAACCTATGGCAACCTGTTTTCTAGATCGAGGGTGTCACACCCTTTAATAATAATTTCTCGAATTGTCCAAAGGAAACTATGGCTGTCTGTTTCCACTGTGCTAAACACCTGGATGAAGGCTGCTGAGAGGGAGTCCCTTGAACAGGCCCCGTGTCCTCATTTCCCCGTAGCCTGGAGGGTCGGTGACTGTGAGTAAACTGGCAAGGGTTCTGAGAGGGCACCGTCCTGGGAGAGAAGCTAAGTTTGGTGTGGAGAATGTTGGAAAATGCTCCCACCACCATATCATCTGGGTGTCTGCAGGGCCTGAGCCTGTGAGATTTGCCCTCTTTTTCCAGATGTATGAGCAAGACAGAGACTGTTAATGTTGAAGGGCCAGTGAATAACCAGATGCATAGCACATCACATTAATGTGGCTCTATTGTTTGCAGTTCCATCTGCAGCCAAAGGCAAGGAACAGTGACTCCTATAGATGCTTATGGGCTCCAGGATTCTAGGATCTCTGATCATTAACTTAGCCCTCTAGTGTCGGTTTTTCTTAGTAGAGAAATGACATCTCTACTCCAAGTACCACTGCATTATCATCATTGTCATCACCACCACCATTGACATAAAAACTATTGAGTTCTTACTATACCAGGCACCAAACCAAGGACTTCAAATGATCATTTCACTAATCTACTGTAACACTTTGAAGTTGGTCCCATCACAATATTGCTATTTTAAATCAATAACCCACAGTTAAGTGAGTTAAGTGACTTCACTAAGGTCACCAGGATAGCGAGTGATAGGTCTAAGACTTGACAAAGCCTGTGATGTTGCTGTTAGGCAATCTGGGACTAATATGAATGAATCAATGAATGGGTAGACAAATAATTATAAAGATCCATTCTCACCTGACTTCCTTTAGTGACTCTTGATAATATCAGGGGATAGTAGTATTTGGTAAGAGAGCTAGGCTTGGGTTTGAATTCCAGATGAGTCACTTTCTAGATGTATGGCCTTAGGCTGGTAATTATATATGTGAACTTAATTTTCTATCTGTAAAATGGAGGATATTAGCCACTCTGTAGATTTGTTATAAATATTCTTGTGTATAATAGATAAAGGGCTTGTTTCATAATTGGTCCTTAATATGGGGTACATACTATTTTCTAACATTTTAAATGTTTATTTTAATTAATCATTGCATGTGACCTAAAGCTATCATTCAGAAAAAGAAAACTGTCAGCTAGCAGTCTCATTTTCTGCCCCCTCACTTCCTACAATTCTTACACCTTCAAAATGTGAGACTCTTCTTCTTCTGTTCTTTACTCCAGGTTTCACAACCCCAAATAATTCTCCACCATGAAAAAGCAAAGCCCGCACACTGGAGCCTCCTTTTATGAGGACAGAGAACTAGACAAGAATAGGCTTTTGTCTGCCATGAGGAAAATGCCTGAGTTTTGAGAGACTGAAAGAAATATTACATTGTTCTTATTCCACAATTTGCAAATAATTATTTCCTTCCAAGCTCACAAACAAGGGATTAAAATAAATACTTTCCCATTTCCCAATAAAATGGCTTGACTTGAGTTTTTGAAAATGTTTTCATTAATCTTTCCTAACTCCTTCACAGCTGTTCTCAGACTAACTCTAGCACTGGTGATGTACATTGCTAGAAAATGAAGGAATTCAGAGTGGAAATGGCCACTCTTGGGGCAGGGTTCAGCTCATGATACATTCTTTCTTCAGGCAAAATTACTATCTCTATATTTTATTTATTTATTAAAATTAAAATAGATATAGAGTTTTGCCAGGTTGCCCAGGCTGGTCTGGAACTCCCGGTCTCAAGCAATCCTCTTGCCTTGGCCTCCCAAAGTGCTGAGATTACAGGCATGAGCCACTGCACCCAGCCCCAAATTTCTATCTCTAATGAGTTTTCTCCATGGTAATTTTCCAGTTCCTACATAAATTCCTAATATTAGATTATGGATGCTTAACAAGTAATGATAAAATATAATCACGGTACCCAAACGTTTTAAACTTGATGGTCTTGAATGTCTAACATTTAACAAGCGTGTGTAAATGCTGTGCGATATATAATAGCCCAGTGAAAAGTTGACTCATTTACAAAGCATGATTGGGTTACACTGCCACACTGACCTTCTTGCTTTGTAAACAGGCCACATTTTCATAGGGTAACATGTAGATAAAATTTCCATTAAAAAATAACCACTTCTAAATGTATGCCATTAACTGTGACTTCTTTATGGGGCCAAGGAAAAGATGGAAATGCAGTATTTTCATTTTCATTTTTCCAGTCTGTTTCTCACAAGGAATATCCCTCCCACACTGCCTGAGTCTAAAGAGAGTAATGATTGTCTTTTGTGGGGGCAAACCTCTGTGGTTAGGGGATTGTGCTGGCAGAGAGGGATAAATCCTACTCCTAGGTGTTGGGACCTGCGCTATGCCTCAAAATAGGGAGGAATCTGAGAAAAGCTGAGACTTACTTCTGACTCTATCCCCTCTGCATCCCAAGCCACCAATCTTCCCTCCAGTATATTTGAGGGCCCCTGGTTCAAGGACTGTGGAGATACAACCAACAGTACCATCTTCTCCAAAACACCATCAACACAGGGCTGGCATAAAAGGGAATCGTCCAAGAGTTGCAAGGCCATGGTCAAGGCTGGTTTAGAATGGAGGAATTCCTTCCATGGCTACCTTTGTCCCCACCCTCAGTCCTTTCTATAAGGGTTTGTTGTCTCATTGCTCACTCTTTCTCTTTTGGACCTTCTCTGACAGCAGTCATTTAAGTCTAGTGTTAATGGATTTCAGAGGCCAGACTGGTCTGATGGCTGGAGGCAGGATGTGCAGAAAGGGGTGAAAGAGCAGGGTTCTTTGTGTCTGGGGGTTGCCATATATTTGCAGCCATGGCTACAGAATTACATTCCTCCCTTCTAGAGCACAGGTCCTTCACTCCTTCATCAGCCTCCCTCCTCACTATCCCTTCTTTCCAGGGATCTGGGGCCCATGTTCATGGTGTCCTCTCCTGGTCTCTGCTGTACCTCTGTCTTGTGAAAGTTCCATCCAAGAGTGGCTGAGGTCAATGCAACCTGGATGGAGGGCTTTTTCAAAGCTTCCCTGGTGATTCTGATGTGCACTAGGGGTTGAGAATCTCTGCTATAAAGGAATCAGAAAGAGGACCCTTGTTTCTTTCAGAGAATCAGCATGAATGCTAGGGAAATTAGACTGCTGGAAATGCCAGAGGAAAGCAGATATGGAGCTAGAACCAAGGGAAAGGACATACTGGGACATCCTGGCTATGGAAAGGAAGCACAGTCATTCACAAAATCTGGTAAGTACAACTAACCACCCTTAGATAATGAAAGGTACACTCAGACAATGTCAACAGGGCAGCTTTGTTGTAACTTTCAATGCATAAAACCACAGTGGTTCATTTACACTTAGGCTCCCGTTGGCCATGTAGCACTATCTCATTGTTATAACTTTAAAATTGGTAAAAACATTCACACTTCTCACTCTCTTGGCATTGCAGTGCTCCAGAATAGTATAAATTACCAATTACCTGGGATAATGGTGAGAATGGGGCAGTGGTTCAGAAATCCAGTGTGCTGAAGGATTGTTTTATTTGCCTTTGCTCCTCTAAGCATTTTCTGACGCATGTTCTGTTCTGGTAAAACATTAATTTTCATAAAAGGCTATTGGGGTCAGCATTAGAAAAATTTCAGCAATACTGAATATTTGTTCCCCAAATTCTTGACAGAATATATGACCTTTATAACCTTGAATGTTCCATCTCACAGTCGTTGTTAAAAACTCAGTTTAAAGAGATAATAAATAGGGCTTACACAGAAGATATGAAGATACATATGTAAATACCCAAAATACAATGTCTGGGCACACTCCAATAGTCCAATCAAAGCAAATCCTTTATTATTGCTCTAGGTGGTGTAAGTGTTATCCCGGATAGCCCTGAATAAAGCTGGGACCTCAGTGAGCTGTACACCTGGACTCATAATGTTCTGGCCTTTTTATTTTTATTTTTTTGAGACAAGATCTTACTCTGTCGTCCAGACTGGAGTGCAGCGGGGTGATCTCGGCTCACTGCAATCTCTGCCTCCCAGGTTCAAGTGATTCTCTCGTGCCTTGGCCTCCTAAATAGCCGGGATATAGGTGCATGCCACCATGCCCTGCTAATTTTTGTATGTTTAGTAGAGATGGGGTTTCACCATATTGGCCAGGTTGGTCTCAAACTCCTGACCTCAAATGATCTGTTTGCCTTGGCCTCCCAAAGTGCTGGGATTATGGGTGTGAACCATTGCGCCCGGCCTGGCTTCTTGTCCAGATGTTTTCATTGTCCTGGGCATTGTACACCCACTGGCCTTCAGAATGGCTCAGGAAACAACCTGTCAGAATTCACTGCTGAATTAATAGAAGCAATGTCTTTTCTGAGGCCCTAATGGAGAAATTTCATAGAGGCTTTAGGGTGAGAGCAGTTGTATTTCTTCTGAGAGTCTAGACTCTTTTGATTTGATGCCAACCAAAATTTATGTTTTCTTCCTTTCTCTGCTGCTAGGAAGTACAGCATTAATTGGTAGCCCATTTTTAGCAACTGTGTAGAACTTTTTCAGTGCATTTAGTTTACTAAAGCTACCTATTGCTTCACTTGATTTTCCTCACTCTTCTTTCTCACTCTAGATTACATCAATTATTATTATTATTTGAAGACAAGGTCTCGCTCTGTCACCCAGGTTGGATGCAGTGACACAAACATAGCTCACTAACAGCCTCAAACTTCTGGGCTAAAGCAATCCCCCCACCTCACCCTCGTGAGTAGCCAGGACTACAGGCATGCACCACCCTACCCAGCTAATTTTTAAAAATTACTTGTAGAGATGGGGTCTCACTATGTTGCCCAGTCTAGTCTCAAACTCTTGGCCTCAAGTGATCCTCCCTCGTGGGGCTCCAAGAGTGGTGGGATTACACGTGTGAGCCACCATACCTGGTCCATCAATTATTATTTTTATCTTATTATACTGTAAGTATTTTTATCTTATTATACTGTAAGTATTTCAATTATCTTATTATACTGCAATCCCCCCACCTCACTCTCCTTAGTAGCCAGGACTACAGGCATGCACCACCCTGCCCAGCTAATTTTAAAAAATTACTTGTGGAGATGGTGTCTCACTACGTTGCCCAGTCTAGTCTCAAACTCTTGACCTCAAGTGATCCTCCCTCATGGGACTCCCAAGAGTGGTAGGATTACATGTGTGAGCCACCATACCTGGTCCATCAATTATTATTTTTATCATATTACACTGTAAGTATTTAAAATTTAAAAGAAGAAACTTGTAAGAAGTAGGAGGAAACCAAACAAGCAAACAAATAAATGCAACTGGACTAGAAATACATTTAAATAATTATGTTGCAGATTTTATGCCCTCATTTTCTCTGTAGTGAAAAGAGCATATTACCAAGAATTCTAGTCTTGGTTCCATCATTGGTTAGCTGTGTAACTTGAACAAATCACTTTATTACCTCCAGGTCTTCTGTTTCTTCAGCTATAGAATGAAGAAGTGGAAATACATGATGAAAGTTACTTTCAGTAGTCACAACCTTAGATTTATAAAGGAATTTGCATTCTCTGAGCAGATATAATCAACTCACAAAGGCTCTGAATAGCAAATGGAAGCTAGCTTATGATCCTCCATTATTCCGTGGTTAAGCCAGAGTCTGTAATTCACAAATAAATATCTGACAGTTAATTGCCTTGAGCCAGCTTGGCACCTTCTAGGGAGTTTATATTCTAACAGATATCTCTGCAATTCATCCTTCTCCATATCCTAAGGAGAGTAGGCATGCAGTAAGCATTTACTAAATAGATAGAAGGATGAATGAGTGGATGAATACATTCTTGAATAGCTTTTCAAATTTAGGATTCTTTTGTAGGGTCTCAGAGATCTCTTTTTACAGAGGCTAGGAGTATTGGTAACTTTTTTTCTCTTCTTTTAACTCTCCTGATAGAACATGCATTTCCATGTTAGCTTTCAAATTTCACCTGGAGTGGGAATCAAAACAAATGAGATGAGGTCAAATGCTTGGTTGTTACCATCAAAACAAGTAAGTAAAAATAAACACTGTGCAGTTCTGAGGTGGATGCCTAATCTGGAACCTTGGACAATGGGGACAAACCTTTTGAGTAGGGAGAGATTCACATACTCTGCTAGCTGCTTCACAAAAGTCTCTCCTGATCTATGTGCAATTAAGTCAAATGTTGGCTTATTTAGAAAAAAACCTGCCCCAAACAGAGGCTTCATTTTTAAGAAAACCAATTGCATGCACTTTAATAAGATTTCATTTATTACTTTACTCTTTGGGTCAGATATTGTGTTGTCAGAGTCTCACTCTATTGCCCAGGCTGGAGTGCAGTGGTGTGATCTCAGCTCACTGCAACCTCTGACTCCTGAGTTCAAGTGATTCTCATCCCTCAGCCTCTCTAGTAGCTGGGATGACAGGCATGTGCCACCATGCCTGGCTAATGTTTTGTATTTTTAGTGGAGACAGAGGTTTCACCATGTTGGTCAGGCTGGTCTCGAACTCCTGGACTCAAATGATCTGCCCACCTTGGCCTCCCAAAGTGCTGGGTTTATAGGCATGAGCCACTGTGGTCAGCCTTCAGAAGCACTTTTTCTATGTGACAGCTGAAACATTATTTTATGCCATTGCAAAGCTATGCATAGCTCTCATGTTAAAGGAAACCAGTTAAAGAAATACTGACTAAATACAATTTAGCTTTCTTTGGGAAAAAAAAAATTACCAATCTTTATTTTGCTGTTAACGAGATTATATCTGGCTCTGTGGTAAGCAGTTTCAACTTGTTTCTGGAAAGAGTTGAAGTATAAATACACTCAATAAATAAAATGATGTGATGGGTTTAGCTTGTCCTCCAACTTTCCTGCATGGGAAAAATTGTCCAAATTGTTAAAAAGTAATAAAGCTTCAGATGATAATCAATGATAGTTATACCATTTTAAAAAATGGTCATACATAATGGTCTATTGTACTGAGAAGGGAAACCTTGGGCTGAACACCATATTTCCTAATCAACTGTTGGCTTGCTCAAGGCAATTAACTCTTGAGGGTACCCTTTTCCCATCACTTAAGAAGAGCTGTGATATGATGTATAGATCTAGTTTGTGTGGCATAGATGCTTTAAGAAAAAATACTCTGTGTGCAGAAATTGATAGTGATTTACTATTTTCAATATTAATATCAAGCTCCCTGGGTTAATGATGTAATAATCATGTTTTTATTTTTGGATAGGAACATGTCAGTTAAAGAAGGATAAATTCTTGGCAAGTATGCCATCACCTTCCCCTAGTGTGCCTATGGCAGACATGACTCTGCCCTTCTTTTTCAATAGCTGCGCTGTGGCTTTAGGATCATTTGAACCACTGTTGCAGTGGATTGTAGTGCTCATGTAAGATGAAGCCTTACTTGCCATGCATTTTGAAGTGGACAAAATATACGAGAGGAGGGTCCATGGAATGTTTTAAATAGGTGTATCTCAACACTGGATTCTAAATGAAGAGTAAAACTGGGTTTTTTGGACTCCAAGTTTCCAAAGGAAATACAGAAGGGAGTATCCTTGGGTTATTGTTGTCTTTTCTGCTCCATTTTTTAATGAGAAAATGGGCCTCTGTTCCTATGGATATGCTGGGGGTGGGTGTATCAAGGGGAAGCTAAGCAAGTGGGGCTCCAACGTCTTTACCTTTGTTTCAACCACTGTATAAATGTGTACAGTAACACCATTCCACAGAAGTTTGTTTTTTCCTTGGAAATAATGCTAACAATGGTGCAGCAGAAAATCCAGAAGCCCTGGAAACTGCCCCAGTGACTACATCTCCATCAGTGAGGTGGGGCAGTTGGCTTTCTATATGGGAAAAAGTAAAATCCTCTCCTAATTTACCTCCTTACAAAAAACCAACAGATCCACAGCACTGAACAATCTACCATTCCCCACTGATGTCTCATGACCTCCACTTTTGTTTACCAGGGCCCTCTATGGGTCCATGTCTGAGATCTCTATCCTAGTCCAGCATCCCTGGGACAATACATACTACCTTAATGGCTGCAACTTGGTAAGTCTAGCTGTCTATTCATAGAAAGTTTGCCTAACCTTTATTTTATTTTTTAAATTGTCTTGGCTATTCTGGGACTTTTGTTCTTCCATATGGAGTTTCAAATGAGTTTATCAAGTCCTATGAATAATCCTGTTGGGATTTTTATTAGATTTCCTTTGAATTTGCAGATGAGAAATTAATTTGACTTTTTTTTTTTTATTTTTTTGAGACAGAGTCTTGCTCTGTCATCCAGGCTGGAGCACAGTGGGGCGATCTTGGCTTACTGCAATCTCTGCCTCCCAAGTTCAAGCGATTCTCCTGCTTCAGCCTCCCAAGTATCTGGGATTACAGGCACCTGCCACCATGCCCGGCTATTTTTTGTGCTTTTAGTAGAGATGAAGTTTCACCATGTTGCCAGGCTGGTCTCGAACTCCTGACCTCAGGTGATCTGCCCACCTCGGCCTCCCAAAGTGCTGGGATTGCAGGCATACTTCAGAGTTTCTTTTATGTCTTTCAACAACATTCTCTTAGGAAAATTTCAAAGGTTAGGATGATCTTCACTATAGGTAAATTACTTGCTGAATGATACCCCGAGCTGTTCTAACCAAACTGTAGGTGACCTGGAATTTTTCAGCGCTATTCTAAGCTGTTTCCACATGACAGTGTTCTCCTCACCACCTCCCCTGTGCAATTGGTCCTAGTCACTCCAGCCGGATTAAGTTTGGTTGCTCACAATGTGAATTTGTTGGATAATGGACCTTTTTGGCTGTCTTCCCTTTTGTCACTCACTTCCCTACTCTCTTACTCATGTTTCCTGGGATCACCTCCTAATAAACCACATGTACTTTCATCCTTCCCCTAGGATCTGCTTCTGGGGAAACCATGACAAGTGTTAAATAGATTTCCAAACCAAATGTAATAAAATCTAATTCTCAGAGCCTAGAAGCAAAATCTCCATTAAGAGTAATCTCTGCGTAGAGTCATTCCTGGGCAGAGGATAGGCTTTGGGGTCTGGTAGATGCTTAAATTCCAGATCCTCTACTCACACTGCATGGCCTCGATTCACCTCTGCCTTCCACCTATGTGAAAATAGTAATGTAAGCCTCATAATATTGTTCTGATCATTAAATGATGTATAAAGTCTTATATTCATTCAACAAATATTTATCCAGACATAATATACATTAGGAACATAGTCAAGTAACTGGCACAGACTGTTGTACAATAAATGGAAACTATGAGATTGTGTATACTAATGAATGAGAAGCAGAACAAACTTTGGGGGAACATGAGACAACAGCAATATTTGGTAGTAGAGGGACACACATCTGCCAGAGAAGAGGTCTATTACCTCTTCTTCTCTCTGCAGGTGCATGCACCAAGGCTTCTCATACTCTGTATCATGAGGTGAGCCTCTAAGGGCAGAGGCTGGGTTCAAGTACCCAGTGTGTTAACTTGATCTTGTTAACTTCTCTAAGACCATCTGTGGGATGGTAATCATGATATCTACCTAAAAGATTATGGTGAAGAGTCAATGATGTAATGGACCAAAAGGCCAGGCTCCAGCAATGTTACTTCTTTTAATCTGTCTTCCTGAAGACCTCATGGTTGCTGACGACTAAGTAAATTGCATCATTTTCTTCTGAAATGACAATGTGTTGCATTCAAATGTTGTTTAGACAAGTCTGATTGGAAGACACTGCTCTGTCCAAGTCTTCTCCAGAATTAACAGTAGTTAAAACAATATTGCTTTTTATACATTTGATATAGGCAACAAACAGGACCCTGCTAACCATTGTCTAAGAAATTTTCTAGAATGGGGCTTTGAAGAAAACATACCAAGGTGAAGTTAGAAGTCTGGGGAAATGTAACAATTTTATTTAGTTTTAATAGACAATCTTAAGAAGGAGGCAAGTCAGTGTGGAAGAAAGCATGGGTTTTGGTCTCAGACTTGATTTTGATTCTAGTTCTTCCATTTTCTAGTTACATGTGATCTTGGGCAAAATGATTCCTCTTTGACCTTCAATTTCTTCTATAAAATGTAATCCTTATTTTGTGGTGTTATTGATAGGATTAAATCAGGTAATTAGGAAAAATCACTGGTATAAAATACTCATTTTAATGCCTGGCACCTAATAAATGCTCAAAACAATAAATTTCTACTATGTAGCTACTTGCATCACTCTGAAGTATTTATCTTCGTTTTGTTTGTTGATTTGTTTGTTTGTTTTTACCTAGGGTTGTTAGCCCAAGGCCTGAAATATCTGTGAAAAGTCTGTGTCTTACTTCCAATACATGTGGTGCTCAAGTTTTAAAAGTTTAACTTTCAAATGACCTGTATTTTTGTATACTATACATTTAAATCCCTAAATTTCCTTTCCTGTGTCAAATTCAGACTTGTGCCTTAGCTTATCAAAGAACCATTTCAAGTTTTCTTTATGTGGTGCTGCTTGCCAATCAGATTTCACGGCAATGCCAATGTTTTCTGCAAAGCAGCGTTTATTTGTCAATTATCTGAGTAGCTTATTGTATTTTTGTTGTTATTTTATAAAAATGAATGGAAAATGAAAAAATGATAGATAGGATTCTAGTAATAAGCACAGATTTAAGAAGGAAACCATTCTACATGTTGAAAGCAACAGATCTTTAACTTCAGCTTGATGTTCTTTTGACATAAGCTAGTTAACTGTGTTTTCTGGTAAAGAAAAATTAAACAGAACTCTGGGATAAGTAATTGATGCTTGAAGCTTGTACATAAAAGGGAAGATGTAACTGGGAATTTTATAATGCTTTTTCAGTTTCTCTGAATAGAAACTCCCCTACAACATGTATGTCTACCCTTTAACATTCACGTACCAGATTACATCATAATTATTAGTTATGTATTACATATATCAAAGGAAATGGCCTGCGTTTTTTTTTTAAATCTAATTGAAAATGTGAAGTTTCTTTGTTTTTTTATGGAATTGTAACAACTCACATATGACATCAGCCAAATCAAAGTTCTGATTGGCAATTTCCAGTTTTGATTAATAAAAATTATAACATTTATTGTTAATTAACTATTTACTTAGTAGGCTAAGTCCTTCAAGGCATGTGCTCCACCAGGGAAAAAAAATTGCACAAGGAGTTTGTAAAGAAAATACTAAGAAAAGGCTAGAAACCAAATAGGTCCAACACGCATAGCCTGAGCTGTAGCCATTAACTTTAGTTACAAAAGCGGGTCAATGGCTAATATTATAATGTATCTGTTAGGGACTTGATATCTTTGAACATATTATTTTCTTTCTTTTTTATTCACAGAAGGGAATAGAGCAGATTATTTTCTTAGGAGATGAACAGATAAAAGTTCTCGGTTCAACCCTCACTAAGCCGCTGCCCATGATACTACACTTGATCATAGCCAAAAGGCCAAGAAGTGATTGCCCATGATACTGTGAATGAGTCAGACTTGCTCCAAACAAGCAAATTAGGAAGAAGACCTCTGAGTATCCCAAGTTATATTTCGGTTGCAGTTTGGAATCACATTGTAACTCCTACTGACTCATCTGATTAGAGGCAGTGGTGGTGTGGAACTATAGAAAGGAGGAACTTTGATTGCAGGTGCCTGTTTCTGGAAAAATTATATATATGTGTCTATAAAGAGATGCTATCTTCTGATAGGCAGGACCATTTTAACTTGATTCAGGGGAAGAGGTCCATCTGCTTTTTTCTCTTTGACCTTTTGGTAGATTGATGCTACCTGTCTTTGTCTTCTTTTTTAATACATTGTAACAAAGCTCTCCTATTAAAAGAGTCCATAAAACATGACTTAGTGCTATAACAAAGCTACAAAAACCAATTACCAGCAGGGCTCCTGAAGGTCTGTGTTGAAATGTCAAAGTAGGACTCTCTGGTTTCCTCAGAAAAGTGCTTTTCCCTTGATAGTGTCTCCTAGCTTCCACTTCTGTTTCTTCTTCATTTTAATGACATAATTAAAGAGGACTAGAATGTTTCTACTTTAAAACGTTATAAATGAATTTTTATCCAGATAAAACAGTATTACTATAAGTGTTTGCTATCAGCTTTAAAATATTACTGATGAAATTTTAGAATTGCTATCAAGTCACAGTTCATATGGGATTTAGGGTTTAAAGTTAGCATGTAAGGTAAAAATAATCAATTGTCAAAACTAGCAGTGAAATTTCATTAAATCACCCATAAAGTACACTACAGAACCATCTTTCAAGAAGTCCAGCAGAAGTGTGGCAGGAAGGATCACTGGTGAGAACCAGATAAAGTAGTTGTCTTCTGTTGAGGTGCCATGATGTTAGAACAAACAAACAAAGGAAAAAACCCTCTAAATACTAGATTCACTGTCTACCTGACAAGCTCTTTATGAGAGTTATAAAGGGCAGGGAATCAATTACATGAGGAACCACAGGTTCAGATCCTCCACTGATTCCTGTGCCTGGTAAAGGATCATTGTGTGGAAAGGCATATAACATTTCTCACATGATTTAGCTGTTTTTATTTTCCAGAATGACACACAGTTAAATTTGTCTATTACAGAAATAGACTACTGAATATAAAGAATTTGAAATAAAAATAGGGTTTTTTGGAGTTACATCCAAAAAATGTGGAGCAAATTTCAAGGGGCTACAGACAAGTAAGCAATGTATGGTTCATATATTCAATATTATTGAAAGCCTCTTTTGGGAAACATATGTTGAAATTAGAAAAACCTTAATTACAAAGACTAAGGAAATGTGTTGAAATTTGAATGGAACAAAAAAAATGGCCATCTGAGTGATACTTGTCTAAATTAAACCCTTCCAAACACAAAGCGGTGGCTTAAATTCTCTATTTTACTGAGGAGCAAATTGGGACAAGCTTCAGAGAGCCACAATGGGAATTCTAGGAAGCTTGGTCTCTTTACGCTCTATACCCTGCTGGTACTCTTAGTAAGTACAGCTCTAACTGCTCTGCTGAGGTTGTCTGGAACCAGCAATGCTCATTCCTTACCTGCTGGCTATATGCAGCCTGCCTGGATTCATGAAATGACTCAGCATATAGTTTCAAGCACAAAAATCCAAAAAACATAAAGATGAATGGTAACATCACTCACTCATTCAGATTTCTCATATCTTGGTATTGAGAAAACCCTTCTAAGCTGAGTAATTTCATTCTCTCCTTTGGCTGCTGGACCCTGAGAGTTGAAGATTGAGAAGTTCATGATGTGATCACTTTGAGTCATGGAACCTAGTCCTGTCTTCTAGGCATGTGACTTTGGGTACCAGCACACAGGGAATGCTATGTCAAATCTTACTGAGGAAATATTCCCTTACAGCTATTCTGCCCTATCTTCACTTTACCTTTTCCACTGGAATATAAGCTCCTTAAGGGAATAGGCATTGTCTTGTCTTTTTTTATTGACTTCACCTAGCACAGTGTCTGACAAATAGTACATGTTGATACATATTTTTGAAATTAATGTATTGAAGTTTACAAGATATGAGTAGAGAAAGAAAGCTCATCACTTACACAGTATTTTATAGTCACCACTCCTTTTCTGCCACATGCCACATTCTATGTATGCCACTCAGAACTTCTCTCCAAACAGCACCCTATCTCCACCTTCCTGCTTTCATAGTGACCCCCTCCACTCCCCACCCCTGATAGTTCCTGAGGGTCTGTGGCTAAACTAGGGCTAACTGGCTTCTCCACCCCAATACAATGAAGTTTCATTTAACTAAAAATGTCTTCAAAGGCCCAGAACTACAGAACATGATAATTACATAGATTTCTAATTTTAATTAAAAACCTAACATTCTTGAAACACTCCTTAGTTCATTTGGAGATTAAACCTAATTCCAGATTTAAAATGCATGCCTGTATGTGTGTATGTGTGCGTGTATACATCATTCTACAGATCATAAGTTAAACCGAAAACTAAGGAGATAAACAGGGGATGGGATGGGGGTGAAGGTGAAGCCCTTAGCCACCTGGGCTTCCATCTGGAATCAGGGCTAGGAAGGACTAGAATTAGGGAGGGCTAGGAGTTTAGCAACTGTAGTTTACTACAAAGTAAAAATGCTTCATATTAAGTAGGTATCTGAAGATGGGCTTACTACTTGAAACCAGGAGTTAATGTAGGTCTTCTCAGTTTCTCAAAGGAGGCAGAAAAAGTTCGCTGTCCTTGGGACTATTGAGTTGTGGCCCAGGAAGGCTGGAAACACTGGCTTCACCTTACAGGCAGCAACTGAGCCAAACTATCACTAGCTTGGAGGCTTGGCTCTTGGATATTCCCAATATCACCATGGAGCAGGAGCATAATCCCCTATTAAAGGTATTGTTGGACTGGCAGTCTTGGGTGAGGCCCTCAGTAGAGGCAACAGCAAAATCTTTAGATAAGGAGGGCTAAGGAGAGTGAGATGGAGGGAGGAAGAGAAAGAGAGGAAAGTCTCAAAGAAAGTAAGATATTCATAAAATTCCCAAAGCACAAAGAAATTCAATGCTAAATAAGTGTAAAAAAGAACATAATGACAACCACAACAACAAAAGAAAATTATAGACTATTCTTACAAGTGAACATAAATGAGAAAAATTGAATGGAACATTTGCAAATTGTATAGCAATACATTTTAAAAAAGCATTACCAAGTAGAGTTTATGCCAAGAATGCAATAATAGTTTAACGTCAGAAAATCTATGAATATTTCACATGAAAGGAACACAGAACAAAATCATAGCATCATCTCCATAGAGGCAGAAAAAGATTTGATAAAATTAAATACACAATCATGTTTTTTTAAAAAAATCCTAGTAAACAAGGAATGAGAAGACTTTTTCTTAACCTAATAGAAGTCATTTAACAAAAAACATACAGCACACATTATTCCTAACTGTGAAATTTTAAATAAATTCTTACTAAAGTCCGAGACAAGTCAAGAATGGCTGTCATTATCCTGGTATTCAACATGAATTAAAGACCCAAGGCAATGCAATAAAACCAACAAAATCAGAGGCTCAAAGAATTTTAGAAAGCATGATACAAAATTATTCTTATTTGTAGAGTATATGATTGTAGACAATCTTTGAATAATCTACAGATACATTAAAAATTAGAGAGATTAGTAGTGTTGCTGCATTAAAAATCAAACATGAAAATCAATTGTATTCCTAGATAGCAAAATAACTATTTTTAAAAGTATAGAATAAAGATCATTCACATAAAAACCTATACTAATAAATATATCAAAAGATGTTTCAGAGTTTTGTAGAGAATACTATAAAACATTTTTAAAGTTTATAAAAGATTAAGTATATTATACAATATGTTATACCCATGGACGGAATAGTACAGTATAACAAAGATGCCAATTCTCCTGAATATAAATTCTATATAATTTCATCAAAATTCTTATAGAGATTTTTGTGGAAATTGACAGACCAATCTTAAAAGTCACACAAGAAATTAAAAGACAGAGAAGATATAGGTAATAGTGAAGAAAAAGATCTAGGTACAGAATCTTGTCCTATCAGCTATGAAAAATTACAGCAGCCCTACCTTACTCACAGTTTCATTTTCTGTGGTTTAAGTTAACAGCGGTCAAACAGTATACCAAGAGTATTAAGTGAAAAATTCCAGAAATAAATAACTGTTCATTTTAAATGGTACACCATTCTGAGTACGGTGATGAAGTCTCACACCATCCCACTTTGTCCCAGCCTGGCATGAATCCTCTCTCTGTCCAGCATATCCACACTGAATATGCTACCTGCCCCTTAATCACTTAATAGCCATCTTGGTTATGAAATTCATTGTCTGAGTATCCATGGTATTGCAGTGCTTATGTTTATAAGTAATCCTTATTTTACTTAATAATGGCCCCAAAGCAGAAGACTAGTGATAGTGGCATATTGTTTTAATTGTTCTATTTTACTATTGTTATTAATCTCTTACTGTACCTAAGTTTTAAATTAAACTTTATCATAGGTACACTCGCATAGGAAAAGACATAGTATATATAGTATGGGTTTTGGTACTTTTTGCAGTTTCAACCATCCACTAGGGGTCTTGCAACTTACTCCTCATGGATAAGGGGAGATTGCTGTAATTTAATGCTACAGTATTTTAAGAGAATGTGCCTTTGGGTCAGACAATGATCAATAGACTATTTGAACAGAGTAGATCCCTCAGAAAAAGATCCAGACATATGGAAAGCAAGTTCATGATAGAGATAGCATAGCAATTCCATGGGGAAATCATGGACTATTTATTTGTTACATCATGCTGGATGAGTTGATTTTCTGCAAGAAAAATATAAAGTTAGACCCCCTACTTCACAGCATACAAAATGTAACTTTCTTTTTTTTGTTGTTTTATTTGTTTGTTTGTTTGTTTTAGAACAGGGTCTCACTCTGTTGGTCAAGCTGGAGTGCAGTGGCACAATCATAGCTCACTGCAGACTTGAACTCTTAGGCTCAAGTGATCCTCCTGCCTCAGCCTCCAGAAAATGTAACTTTCATATAGATAAAAAACACAAATGTGAAATCAAAACTTTAAAACTTACATAACAGTGTACAGAAGCATATCTTTACATCATCAAAGTAGGAAATTAAAAAGTCTTAAATGAAAATCTTAAAAATATAGATTATGTTAGAATGTCAATGTCTCTATAATTAAAATTATTCTACAAAAAGTTAAAAAAAACAGGCCAAAAACAGAGTTGGAAAATGTATTTGCATATAACATACAATAGATTACTAAATGGAAGAGATAATTCACTTATACAAAACCATAAAAATAAAATAGTAACTCATTAAAAAATAGTAAAATATGTGAATAAGCAATTCACAAAAATATGACCAAGAAACATATTAAAAGATGCTCAATTTCACTAGAAATTTGGGAATTGAAAACTGGAAAAATGACACACCATTTTACTCCCATCATATTGAAGAAAAATTTTGAGGTCTGAAAATAACCCATGTTGGCAAAGATTTGGAGAAACCGAAACTTACATGACCTGCTCATAGGAATGTAAACTGGTCAACCCTAGGAGGGTAATTTGGCATTATCTGGTAATATTAATGAGATATATACCTTATAATCCAATAAGTTTACATCTTGGTATCCTGGAGAAAATTCTGCCCAGGTACATGAGGCTACAAGGATAATCATTGCAGTATTTTTTTATAGCAAAAATTGGCAACAACCTAATTTTTCACCAATAGAATGAATGAATGAATGAAAATAGCAATATATTCATGCAATGGAATACTACCTAGAGATAAAATAGCAAATCATACCCACATGTTCAGTTGGATAAATCTCAAAAACATAATGTTGACTGACAAAAAATACAGAATGGCACATATGGCTTGGTATCATTTATGAAAACTTAAAAATTATGAAGCAATGACGGATATTGCTCACTGATAGAGAAAAACAAGGATAAGCATACAGGATTGTGATTTTTTTGTGGGAGAATGATAGAGCAGAATCAGACCAGGAAAGGGGGCATATGAAGACTTAATTATATTTAAAGTAATTTATTTCTTTAAAATCTATAAAAATCTGAACCAAAAATTGATGTACTCAAATTAGTTAAATGTGCATGACAAAACATAGTTACTCATTATATTATTTTCCTCTATGTTTGAAATATTTCATAATGCTTCTTCTTTTTAATGAAAAAGCCTATGAATACTATGCTAAAAATGTCAATCATTATGTTTTTCTATTCACAGCTCCCGAATGTGTAAGCTGTCCTTGCCCATAGTCCTGGATGTTCCTCTGACCCTATCCCTTCCCACAACTCTGCTAGAGTCACATCTAATGGAACCAGAAGTGTTTCAATCTGAGGAACCCCATTTGTATGCTGACCAGTAGCCTGCCAAAGAAAAAAGACTTGAACCATGTGAATTTTTTTTCTTCGGAGTTTAGAAATCCTTGTGGGTTTCCCAAGTGGAAAGAGGAGCGAAAATGTCTAATCCTTGATGCCTGTAGCTGCCATTTTGGGACATATGCAATCTGGAGAGTAAATAGATTGGCCTGGTCAACAGAGGTAGGTGATACCATGAGGCCCCAGAGAGAAGAGAGCAGCTCTGATTCCTTTTAAAAAATATGTATTTTAGCTTTTAAAAAGTGGATACATTTAAAAAGTTGCACACATTTATGGAGTGAAAGTGATATTTTGATACATGCATACAATGTTGTAATGATCACATCAGGGTAACTGGGATATCCATCATCTCAAACATTTGTCCTTTGTGTTGGGAACACTTCAATTGTTAGCTTATGGCTATGTTGAACTATTGCACCATATTATTGTGAACTACCTTTCTCTACTTCACTATTGAACACTAGATCTTTTCCCTTCTATCTAACTGTATTTTTGTAGCCATTAACCAACCTCTCTCCATTTCTTATGGAGCTCTGCAGTTCAGATTAATATGATGCAACTAAACATTTTTTTCTATTTGTGGATTTCATTAAATATCTATATCTTACAATCCTCTCCTCCCCATTCTCTTTAACTTGTGATTCTTGTAGTCTAAAAAATTATTTAGAAAAGATAGAATGATGAAATCTTTGAATCATAATCAATACTAAAGATGAAAACATTTTCATGGCAAGGATGGTAGAAACTGCCTGCTGAAGACTTAGGAGATTGTCTCTGATCTTGGCAAAAGTCTAAAACAGATTTTTTAAAAATTGTAACTTGAGAAAAAAAATCAACTTAATATTCACAATCGTATCCCAATCTCTTCTTCCCACTTCCTACCCTCACTGCTCTCTAAAGAGGAAGGACCAGTGTTATGCTAGATTTGTACCAGTTTGCCGGGGAGCAATTGTCAGATTTTCAAGAATTTGTAAGCTATTCGTTAAACACAATAATTGTTACAAATTAAATTATTCAAACTTACAGTTAAACAACTTGCATTAAATACAAGGGACTCATGGTATGCTGTCTTCATGAGACCCATCTCACATATAATGACACCCATAGGCTCAAAATAAAGGGATGGAGGAAATCTGCCAAGCATATGGAAATTAGTAAAAAAGCAGGGGTTGCTACCCTAATTTCAGACAAAACAGACTTTAAACCAACAAAGATCACAAAGGACAAAGAAGGGCATTACATAATAGTAAAGGGTTCAATTCAATAAGAAGGTCTAACTATCCTAAATATATATATACTCAACACAGGAGCACCTTGATTCGTAAAGCAAGTTCTTAGAGACTTAGTCTACAAAGAGACTTAGATTCGCACACAATAATAGTGGGAAACTCCAACACTCCACTGACAGTATTTTTGAGGACAGATCATTGAGGCAGAAAATTGACAAAAATGTTCAGGACCTGAACTCAACATTGGACCAAATGGATCTGATAGACCTCAACAGAACTCTGTCCCCAACAACAGAATATACATTCTCCTCATTACCACATGGCACATACTTTAAAATCGACCACACAATTAGACATAAAACAATGAGCATATGCAAAAGAACTGAAATCATATCAAACATACTCTTGGACCACAGCACAGTAAAAATAGAAGTCAAGACTACAAAAATTGCTCAAAGTCATGCAATTACATGGAAATTAAACAACATGCTCCTGTATGACTTTTGGGTAAGTAATGAAATTAAGGCAGATACCAAGAAGTTCTTTGAAACTAATGAGAACAATGATAAAACATACCAGAATCTCTGGGACACAGTTCAATCAGCCTTCAGTGGGAAATTTATAGCACTAAACTCCCACATCAAAAAGTTAGAAAGATTTCAAATTAACAACCTAACATCACAACAGAACGAATTAGAGAAGCAAGAGAAAGCCAACACCAAAGCTAGCAGAAGACAAGAAATAACCAAAATCAGAGCTGAACTGAAAGAAATTGAGACACAAAAAAAAACCATTCCAAAAGATCCAGGAGTTGGTTTGTTATAAAAATTAATGATATATAAGCTACTAGCTAGACTAATGAAGAAGAAAAGAGAGAAGATCCAAATAAACACAATTAGAAATGACAAAGAGGATGTTACCACTGACCCCAGAGAAATAAAAATAACTATCGGAAACTACCATGAATACCTGTATGCACAGAAACTAGAAAACCTAGAAGAGATGGATAAATTCCTGACATATACACCCTCCCAAGACTGAACCAGGAAGAAATTGATTCCCTGAACAGACCAATAATGAGCTCCAAAATTGAATCAGTAATAAATAGCCTACCGATTAAAGAAAGGGCAGGACTAGATGAATTCACAGCAGAATTCTACCAGATGTACAAAGAGATGTAAAAGATGTGGGTGTTTAGAGCTGGTACAATTCCTACTGAAACTGTTCCAAAAATTGAAGAGGGAACTAATTCTTCCCCACCTCATTCTATGAGGCCAGCATCATCCTGATACTAAAACTTGGTAGAGACACAACAACAACAAAAACTTCAGGCCAATATCCTTTATGAACATTGATGCAAACGTCCTTAATAGAATACTTGCAAACCAAATCCAGCAGCATATTAAAAAGCTAACCCACAACAATCAAGTAGGCTTCATCCCTGGTATGCAAGGTTGGCTCGACATATGTAAATTAATAAATGGTATTCATCACATAAACAGAACTAAAGACAAAAACAACATGATTATCTCAATAGATGCAGAAATGGCTTTCAATAAAATTCAACATCAGTTCATGTTGAAAACTCTCAGTGAAGGAACATAGCTCAAAATAGTAAGAGCCATCCATGACAAACCCACAGAGAACATCATACTTAAAGGGCAAAAGCTGGAAGCATTTCCCTTGAAAACTGGCACAAGTCAAGGATGCCCTCTCTCACTCCTCATAGTCAATGTATTAGGTTGGTGCAAAAGTAATTGCAGTTTTTGCCATTATAGTAAATGTAAAAGCCACAGTTACTTTTGCACCAACCTAATAGTATTGGAAGTCCTGGCCAGAGCAATCAGGCAACAGAAAGAAATAAAGGGCATCCAAATAGGAGGAGAGGAAGTCAAACTACCCTTGTTTGCAGACCACCTGATTCCGTATCTAGAAAACCCCATAGTCTTGGCCTAAAAACTCCTTCAGCTAATAAACAACTTCGGCAAAGTTTCAGGATACAAAATTATGTTCAAAAACCACTAGTATTCCTATACACCAACAACAGACAAGCCAAGATTCAAATCAGGAATGCAATCCCATTCACAATTGCCACGAAAAGAATAAAATATCTAGGAATACAGCTAACTAGGGAGGTGAAAGATATCTACAATGAGAACTACAAAGCATTGTTCAAAGAAATCAGGGCCAGGCGCGGTGGCTCACTCCTGTAATCCCAGTACTTTAGGAGGCCGAGGCAGGCAGATCATGAGGTCAGGAGTTCGAGACCATCCTGGCTAACATGGTGAAACCACGTCTCTACTAAAAATACAAAAAAGTAGCCGGGGGTGGTCGCACATGCCTGTAGTCCCAGCTACTCAGGAGGCTGGGGCAGAAGAATCGCTTGAACCTGGGAGGCAGAGGTTGCAGTGAGCCAAGATCATGCCACTGCACTCCAGCCTGGGTGACAGAGTGAGACTCCATCTCAAAAAAAAGAAAGAAAGAAAGAAAAGAAAAGAAAAGAAAAAGAAATCAGAGATGACACAAATAAATGGAAAAACATTCCATGCTCATGGATCATGGATAGGAAGAATCAATATGATTAAAATGGCCATACTGCCTAAAGTGATTTGCAGATTCAGTGCTATTTTTATCCAACTACCAAAGACATTTTTCACAGAATTAGAAAAAATGATTTCAAAATTCATATGGAACCAAAAAAGAGTCTGAATAGCTACAGCAATCCTAAGCAGAAAGAACAAAGCTGGAGTCATCACCTTAGCCAACTTCAAACTATAATACAGGGCTGCGGTAACCAAAATAGCATGGTACTGGCACAAAAATAGACACATAGGCCAATGGAACAGAATAAGGAGCCTAGAAATAAGGCTGCACACCTACAACCATCTGATCTTTGACAAAGCTGACAAAAACCGTCAGTGAGGAAAGGACTCCCTTTTCAAGAAATGGTGCTGGGGTAACAGGCTAGCCATATGCAGAAGATTGAAACGGGACCCTTTCCTTACACCATGTACAAAAATCAACTAAAGATAGATTAAAGAATTAAATGTAAAACCCAAAACTATAAAAACTCTGGAAGACAACCTAGGCAATACCATTGTGGACATAGGAATGGACAAAAATGGCCTGATGAAGATGCCAAAAGTAATTGCAACGCAAGCAAAAGTTGACAAATGGGATCTAATCAAATGTAAAAGCTTCTGCACAGCAAAAGAAACTATGAACAGAATAAACAGACAATCTACAGCATGGGAGAAAATATTTGCCACCTATGCATCTCGCAAAGGTCTAATATCCAGCATCTGTAAGGAACTTAAACAAGTTTATAAGAAACAACAACAACAACAAACATTAAAAAGTGGGCAATGGACATGAACAGACACTGCAAAAGAAGACATACATGTGGCTGACAGGCATATGAAAAAAAGTCAAATATCACCGAACATTAGAGAAATGCAAATGAAAACCACTGTGAGATACCATCTCATACCAGTCAGAATGGCTGTTAATAAAAAGTAAAAAAATAACAGATCCTGGCAAGGTTGCAGAGAAGAGGGAACACTTAGACACTCTTGGTGGGACTGTAAATTAATTCAACCATTATGGAAAGCAGTGTGGTGATTCCTCAAGGAGCTAAAAACAGGACTACCATTCAACGCAGCAATCCCAATACTGGGTACATACCCAGAGGAATGTAAATCAGTCTACCATAAAGACACATGTATGTGAATGTTCATTGCAACACCTGTCACAATAGTAATTATATGGAATCAACCTAAATGCCCATGAATGACAGATTGGATAAAGAAAATGTGGTACATATATACCATGGAATACTATGCAGCCATAAAAAAGAATGAGATGATGTCTTTTGTGGGAACATGGATGGAGCTGAAGATTATTATCCTTAGCAGACTAATGCAGGAACAGAAAACCAAATACTGCATGTTCTCACTTATTAGTAGCAGCTAAATGATGAGAACTTATGGACACAAAGAGGGGAACAACAGACACCGGGACCTACTTGAGGGTGGAGGGTGGGAGGAAGAAAAGGATCAGAAAAAATAACTATTGGGTACTAGTCTTAGTACCTGGGTGATAAAATAATCTGTACAACAAATTCCTGTAACATAATTTTACCTATATAACAAACCTGCACATGTACCTGTTAACCTAAAATAAAAGCTAAAAAAAAAAACCCCAAAGGAAATAAATGCTAAAAACTCATCACTTCTTAATTATTTTGCTGCATTTTAAATTACCTATGCTTTTTAGTTTATTTGAATGCTTTGTATCCGTATGGTGTGAATACCATATAAAGGTGTGTTACTGCACATCTTCCTAATTACACATTTAGTGACATCATGTTGGTAACTTGAAAATGGCCATGGCAGCAGCATTTACACCACAGAAATTGGCAAATGCTACCAACCAGGTCTTGATTTATTGTTTTGTTGATTGTCTACGTTTAAGAAAGTGATGAGAATGTTAATGATGCAGATTAAACAAAAAGGAATGTTCTGTCTATAGCTGTCATATTGTGAGTAACATGGAAATTTGAGGAAATATTCAACTGTATTCAAAACTCTTATCCAGTTAAGCAAAGAAGTTGTTCACATTTATTGATGAAGAGTGGACCTGTGAGGTATACCTTTTCTGTTTCATTTTTGTCTTACTCATTAACATATATATAAATATCAACCACATTTACATGGAAACTATATTCATTCATCAATCATAAATTTTGTTACACATCTATTTTATCAGTGAAAGTCATAATATATTTTATATATTAGGTATATAATATATAATGTACACACACGTACACACAGGCAAACATACACATCTTTTCACATGCCACCTGGAAGGGCCACATAAAATTATATAGGGAATGGAGGAGTTGTAGACAGAAAAGATTAGGCTAGTAATTTAGTAGTTCTGGAGAACTGGACATGATTAGGAGAGAAGAGGTAAGTGAGAAAAAAACAAGAACAAAACAGCACATTTTGTTTTTATAAAGCACAGACAGAAAGGTAAAATGTTTGAGTTGTTACTCAAAATGAGAAATTTGGGTTAAGAAGATCTTTAGAATATTTTGCTGTGGAATGTAACATAATTCCCCTTTGAAGGACTTCAGCAAAAATGTACATTGTTGTCATCTTTTTAGATGTTTTGATTTTCCATTTTCGAATGCATGTCTGAGCTTAAATGGCCCATGAAGCAGTCGGTTATATTCAGATCACACTAGCATTTTGATAATAAAATTATTAGTTGAAGTCAATATGGGTTTAATATGAACAAGTTCTATCAAAGTTGTTTTTTGTTTCTCTTAGGATTGGGTGGCTCTATTAGCATATATTGAAAATAATAACAAAAGCAACAACAATACAACTATTACTACTATTATTATTTTTATATTACCAGAATTTTTTCTATATTCTTTACATGTAATTTGAGCTTGCATTTACATGCCTCACAAACACCTTATGACGCAGATACAAATAATTTATTACTATATTTTATTTGTCAGGAACAGACAAGGTAATCTAATTTGCTCTAAAGCACATAACCAGTAAAGTCTAGCAAGATTAGAATTCAGACTATCTAGCCCTTGAGGTGGCATTATTAATTAACTCTACAATGCTACAAAATTGCCAAGCATTAGCAGTATAATGTATTTTAAGTATTTATCTTAGTTTCTACAGGGCACAGATATCAGCCTAAAGATAGGTCCCAGTCTGGGTGTTGGAAAGCTACTTTGTATTTGATTCTGTTGATTGAGTTAATGTAAGCATTTACTGAGCATCTGGTTGTTTAAGAGAATATCACAGACATTTCAGGAGAGACAAAGATGAATAAAACATGGTTCCACCTTTGAGGAGCTTAAAATCCAGATATTCACTGTCTCTACCAATCTCTTGAATGAAGCCAAGAGGCAGATCAAACTGACAAAGGATTTAAAATAATTTAAATTCAAAAAACTCCTAATAGTTTTACTTATATTCTGAAATTACTACGTGTTGCATGGATAAATATATTTTGCATCATATTCAAAACCAAGTGCAAAGATACATGACTGAAAAATCTGTTTTAGTAGCAGCTTTTGTATCTAGGGGTTTTAGATTAGCCTCAGGACTAAAGTGCTATTAAAATTTTTGATGTGCTCTTAGTTATTGTAATAAAACTAACACACCAGAACGAGAATTTCTTTTTGTTTTTGTTTTTTTCTAGAAGCTCTGTACTGGTCAGCCATCTCAGCAGTATTCTTTTCAGTTCAGGCTGTAACATTTTAAAAGGAGCATTGAAAAATGCAACTTGGATAAATGGAAAAGGATAACTAAACCAAGTCGTGTGAAGAATGGCTGAAGAAATTGAGGATGTTTAGCCTGGACAAGGAAGACTCAGAGAGTATACGGGATCAGATTCCAAAATATTTGGAGGGTTGTCATGTGGGGAAGGAGTCAGCTTCTTCTGAGCTGCTCCAGAAGGGATAAACTAGCACAAATGACCCAAAGTCAGAGGGAGGTTATCTCAGGTTAGCGAAAGAAAGTTTGAATACTGAGCTATTAAAAAACGGATTAGGCTACCATATGAGATAGAGGAAGGGCTTCGAGAGAAGATGTTGTGAGGACAGCTAGGGGTGGGCTGTTGAACTGCATCATATTGAAAGCATCTTCCAAAATTAAAGTTCCATGATTTATGATTCCATAACAGAAGTAATTCCCTAAATGTTTACAACACACACACAGTAAAATCATATTTTCCCGAAATACGTGAAATTTGGGGGATTGTAATTAACATATGAGTAGCAATTACCTTTATTGTCCTTTTAGAAGTACAAGAAGCAGTGACATTTAGGTCATGACAAGAGAAGAAATACGTGGCCTTTGTGCATGGAAAGCCCAAGAACGATGGGCATAGGCCCTGGGAATCCACTCCTTTGGAAACAGAGGACTGTTTTGATATAAAAAAGTGAACAGAGAAAGAATACAAGGTTAACACTGGATGCAACTTTAAATCCTTCAGCACAGTGCCTAGCAGCCATAAAAAAGCAAACAAAAGTCTGCAAACCCTTTCCAGAGGCGATGAATAGAAACAGAACAAATCACTCTTGCCTACATAAATGCTACATCCCTGTACTGCTTTGCTGGCCATAGACCTCCTCTGCAAAGGGCATTAAAGCCATAGGGAAGGGGAAGAAAAGGCACCCAGAATGAGGGCAAAAAGTTCTGATGCATAGATCTTGAGCTAAATTACACAAACCAAGTTAATGTAATTGGCAAATGGATACTTAGAGATGGAATACTTAAAGAAAATCCCTCTAGAAGAGGCCAAGGAACCAGTGAAAGAGACTGCTCTAGGCTTGTTGAATACAGGAAAAAAAATGAAGAAAAAAGATTGACATTGTAACCCAAACAAAGCTCAGTGGAGAGGCAAGAAGAATTAAGAGAACAGGTCTTTGCCCAGACAATGAAAGCCTCAGCTAAAATCCTAGCCACACCATGCAATTTATTAAAAGTTGTTTCTTCCCCCAAAACCAACCAGCTTCCACTAGTCTCTAGCGTTCTTTTCTGACTTATTTCATTAACATTTCCTTCTTTTTCTGGAGCAGTCAGGGCCCCAGGGAATCTTTCTTTTTCCCCACCTCACCCCCACCAATGGGGCATTGAATGAGAGCCAGGGTGTTGTCTGTGAAAAGAGAAATTGCAAAACCACAAATTGCAGAAAATGGTTCCTGCCAAAAATCGAAAGGAACACACGATATCACCAAGCCTCTTAAAAAGCAATTGCGCATTTTACAGGCCTCTAGATAATTCAGGTTTCTTTGGCAACTTTCTCACCCATACCACCCAGAAGATAATTCTCTTCCACCAGAGGCAGTGGTCCTAAAGAATATGAGCGGTTGAAAAGAAAAGAAAGAATGTGGGTGCAAGTCTTTCCAGAGCAGTGACCTGGCCCAGTAGTGTTCTATTTTCTTCTATTGTGTAGCATTAATTTGAAGGCCCAAAGCTTGCCACCAGAATCCCAAGGACTCCCACTAAAACAGGGAGGGTCTCCAATAATTTAATAAGATTATTGGTAATACAAAGCATTTTCAGATGGTAAAATTTTTCCAAAACATTATATCATGTGATTATCACAACAACCCTTTGAAGGGGTCAGGAGAAAATGTCTTCCTTCCTCTCTCCTTCCCCAAAAAGATACTTTGAAACCGAAGGGTTAAGTAACATACTCCAAATTATACTACTGAAGGAGTGAACTGGGACTTAGCCATTAGCCTTTTGATTTTTGCTCCTGAGTTCCTTCCATCGCCCAGCCTTATTCCTCTATGGAGGCATATTTTCCTGACTTGGCTAAAGCTGTCCTCCATCCGTGGGTTGGGATTTTATGTGTTGCATATACATTTCCAGGACCTTTACTTGGAAAGTCTCCTGTCATTCACTATAGATCTAAGTCTTGTCTGAATGGAACGTTGATTAGGTCGTTTTCCATTTGTATTGGTTGAATAATACAATCATCATTAGGACAAAAAGTCAACTCCAGAGGGGCTGGTTCAATGTAGCTGCCAAAAAGAACCCAGGTCAAGATTGCCTGGTGATTTTAATATGTTTCCGTGACTCCATGGGTCAGACCAACCTTTCCCCGGTTGCTCAGAGATTGCTTGGGGAGCTGGGTAGACCCATTTTGTCTGGATTGTTTATAATCCCAGTGCAAGCTTCCTTCTCAAAATGTTTACTAATGAAATAGGTCACTAAGCACCCTGTATGTGTCTGAGAAAAAAAAAATGTGAAAAGAAAACAAACAGTCACAAACTGAGACCTCTAAAGTAAAATAGCCACCCCCCAACCCCCCTTTTTTTTTTTTTTTTTTTTTTTTTTTGCAATCTGAAAGGTAACGGGTGCTTTCAACTGAAATTTTGATAAAGAGATCCTGCGGTAACACGTGGGTGTTTAAATTTACATATAGTGACTTAAAATGCGGCCTTAAATTGCCCTTCATCAAATTTTCACGATTAATATATACCAAGTATCTTTCGGTATTTAACATTAACTGATTTAAAATACTAGTAAACCTAAATAGGCAGTAACAGTATGGTAAAGAGCTACCAAATATGAATATGCAAGAAAGTAAACATAGGCAATTTCCCCTGAACAGCTTTCTGTGTTCAAAAGAAATAATACAGTCAAAAGTTAACATTTGTACAAACAATATACTCATGACAGCACACGAAAAGGAGACTACTCATAAAATCTAACGTGACTTTCTTGGTAAAAGCTGCTTAAAACATTCATAGCATGCAGGTGTCTTGATAATGCAATAAAGACTAAAGCAAGATAATACAGAGACTGACATTTTAAAAAATATCAGTGAATGCGTAATACGTTGACATTAAATCTGAATGTTTTGAGGGTGAATGTCTTTTGTGCTAACGCTTGAGTATTTGATGTACAGCAGTGGGATCAATTTATTCTAGAGAGCAAACAAAAAACCAACCCCTAGGGAAATCAGTAAAAACTAAGTTTCTCCTGCAGTTCAGCTGAACACATAATCTTCTCAGGAACTGAATGATTCAAAAGAGAATTTATTAGAACATGTATAATATATATAATTCAACTGTACTCTTTGGATTCTGATAGGTACTAGAATGTCTAATTAAATGCTTCAGTGACTACTGAGATGTATTCTCTGCTGGAAATTCTACATGAATTAGAAGTTGATGTATCCTCCATGAGGGTACATGACTCAACCATCTACCTTATAGTTGTTGATTACTTGCTTAGTGACAAGCAACTTACTACATTTTGAGCTACTTTTGAACAGCTAGGGTCTTTATACTAAAGCTAAATCTACCTCCTGCTTTTGTAAATTGGATATTATTAAATTACACCAGAGACATATGAAACTTTCTTTTTTTCCTTTGTTAAAATTATTCTTACCTTCATTTCATTAAAAAAGAAAAAAAAAATCACCCTAATTCCAAAGACAAAACTCAGAACTCCCAGTTCAGATCTGCTAAAATTTTCTTTGGTCTTTCAGAATAGAGGGGATTTGTAATTTGGGTATAGACACTGGAAGTACTAAGAATAAAGAAACATAATACACAGGAGATTAGTTCTGGAGAGAATACGGGTTTACAGAGTGGCCATAACGCAGTACACACAGGAAGGAATTATTAAGGTTACCACCATGCCGTTAAACAAGAAACAGTCTGTGACCACACGGTGAGGAGCAACTGGGAAAAGAATAATAAATTAGTCATTTGAGAGAACTGAATATTTAAATGTTTAGTGTCACATGGTCATAATATATAAATGAATATTGCCTATTTTTTTACTCCTCACTTTTATCTACCTTTAGACGTAATATTGTCACAACCACAATTAAGTTCAATCTGCTTCCAAATTGGTTTCTGAAATGTTCCATGATGTTATACAAATCAATAGTATGAAATGTTAGATTGGCTGTGTGTGCTGAGCTAGACTTTAAAAATGCAGCAATGTGAGATGGGAGCCTTAAAGATTAGGAGGCTTTAGGAATTACAGCTGAGAAGTAGATACCATTTCAAGGAGGAAATGTACTTACATTTTGCTGCAAGTAAAATGCCTGTCTTTAAAGAGTAGCCTCTGAAACAAAGAAAGAAAAAAAGAATGTTAAAAAATTGTACAGTAATCAATTCAAAATGAAAAAGGAGTCACGTTTGAAGCCACTGATTGAAAAAAAAAAGAGAGAGAAGCCTAGCCTACAGATGAATATATATTTATTGGGAGACTTTTCTTGGGGATACAGGAGGCTGTAGCCCAGAAAGAAAAAACATTCATGCTAGCTGCTGTATCTCATCACATGCTCAGCTCCCTGCTCCTTAGTATCCTAGAATTTCAAGACTACTTGATGCTCACTTTGTCTCCCAGGTCCAATCTTGGAGACAGAAAACATGGTAAGTCTGGCTGGCTCATTCAGTGGCTTAGACGCTCATCATTCTCTTGCTTCTGGTTCACACTGACATTGTACCTTGTTCTTGTTGGCCAAGTTCTGACACATTGTTCCTTTAAATGAAACTTCTCCTAAAGATTATGGTTTTCTCAACTCATACTTATTAGGATAAATGGACAGTTTTCTTTTCCAAGAAATAGAAAGCTTTTGTGGGAGATGCGAGGAGGGGGATTGAAACCAATGCCAAGTTTCTATTTATTCAAGATGTTGGTAAAAGGGGAGGGACAATTAGACTGTGCCTATGCTTGGAAGGCCAATTGTGCAGGCAATTTGTTCAGTGTGGCAGCCCACCAGACAATTCAGCTTGCTTCCAAATCCATAATTTATTGGACCTATTGTGGTTATATTGAAAGGGGTACTTTTTAGTGTAGTAGGTTTAATAGGAAATGGCAGGAAAGTCCCTATGATTGATATGAACTATTTGCATTCTGAGATTCAAGTGATTCCAGATCATCTCTAAGACTAAGCACTCAAATCATGGTGTCCTCAGACCTACAGAAAGATCTTTCCACACCACCCACACTGATCTGGATAGGTCAGATTAGTTACTTCAGTGACCGATGTTTTTCCAAGCTCTACCATTTCTTAATAATAGTGTGATTTGGGCAAATTGGTTCAATGCTCTGAGATTGATAGAAATATTACTAGTGGCTATTTCAAAGAATTGCCATAAAGGTTAAATAAAATAATATATATAAAATAGTTAGATAAAGTCCTCCTAATGTCAGCGTGAACCAGAAGCAAGAAAATGATGAAAGTCTTAAGCCATTGAACTAGCCAACCAGACTTATTGTATTTCCTCTCTCCAGCACTCTCTCCAATTCCACCTGGTGTTGTTACTGCTGTTATTATTACTATCAGAAGGCCAAGTTGTAAAACCAAATTAAGAACATATGATAAATCCATGAAATGGGAGCTGGGAAGGTAGCTATGGAGGTTTTGCTTGGGTAAGATGTCTCCATTTGTGACAGTCAAAGCTATATCCTTGTCCCAAATTCCTCATCCAGATTGCTTTTCTCCAATTTTCATTCCTCCAACTACTCAATATCTCCAATCAACATCCTTATTAAAAAATCTCTACGTGTTTTAGCAAGCCACCTAATTCCTCATTTACTATCTGTGAAGGTGGTTAGGAGTGGGGCTCATGGATTGACAAATTGTTAAATTATTAAATTTCTGGGCCCATAAATAATACAGATAATTCCTCTTTATACAGGTAAGAGGTTGATACATTTTTATTGGACTGAATTTCTTAGATGGATTCTATAGTTTGACCCGACAAGATCTCACATGTGTCACTAACTGGAAGAAGTTATTATTATTAGTTGTTAGTTATTATTCTATAGTTTGACCCAACAAGATCTCACATGTGGCACTAACTGGAACACTGTTCTGATCACAACCTGACACACATTTCCTCCCACCCCTTGCCCTTCCAAACAAAAAAAAAGTCCACTGAAAATTCTTCTGAAATTGTGTACCCTTCAGCTCCTTTGAAGAACCTGTTGCTAGGAAACAAATTTGGAACATTCTCACCTACTGAGAAAAGTTTTTACTGCTGCCTCACATAATGCGTTCTTTGGCCACAAAAGTATTCACAAAGAAAATTATCTGTCTATTACTTCACAGATTCATTGGACAAGAACTCTTCATTTGGGCAACATTTTCACAGCAATATCATTGATTACTTTGAAAACTATTCAGGGATGTCCTTGAGACTGCATTATGTATCTATTCAATTCAATGTTACTGATCATTTTTCTTGAGGTACAAAATAAATCAAGCTGTTAAGCATACTGTGGCAGTGTGCTTTTTCAGACCAGAGAGTTACATAAAAACTCACCTCTGCTTTTTTAAAGCTTATTTCCACAACAGACAAAGAAAAACCTGAATTCTTAAAGGAGAAAGAGAGGCCTTCAAATTATTAACTCCTTCACTGAATGCTTATTGAGTGCCTACTATGTGCAAGGCACTGTGTTGGGCCCTAATAACACATCCCCTCCCCTCGTGATTAACCTCTGTCTGGTTGGAGGGACAATTGGACAGTTTAGAGGGATCACATCACAATATAACACAAAGTTACAACAGTGGCCAGTGAGGAGGCAAGATGGAATTGGGTAATCAATCCAGATAGAAAGGTCCAGGAAGTCTAATTTGGGGAAGCATTGAAATAGCATCTGGTAAAAAATTCATATTTAATAATAATAGTTAATAATATGGAGTGCTTAATGCATCAAGAACCTCCTAATGTACTGAGCAGTTAATTCCTCATAATAACCCTAGGGAGATATTATTCTTACGCTAGAGCAGGACATAAGAAGGCAGATGGGGAATGTGGAGCAGACCAAGCAAGGGAACATCACTGAGTGCAAGACCCTGGGCAGGAGGAACTGGCTCACTTGAGGGACCACCATTTGTATTATTTGCATATACTTTGGCAGAGACCATTCTCTCACCACACAAGGGTCTTTAAGAGATCATAAATGGGGATCTTCTTATGTGGATCCTAGAAGACTTTAGCTAGGGAAGCCTAGTCTCTCTGCTCCCACCTCAGGGGAGATGTGAGGTACATCCCGGCTCTGCCCTGTGCTATGCCCACCTCAGAAGATCTGCATGGCCAGCAGGTTACCCTCCTCGGATCACAGTAGGACATGTGCCTGATTCAGTAGCAAGGTTCATACAGAACAGACTTTGACCGAAGCCCTTGGACACATTCTTTGGTCTCTTTGCTGGAATCCACTTTCATATGAACTGTGCTGAACACTGAGGATACATCTCTGTCTGTGATCTCTTCTGAGAACATCTTATCTTTAAACCAAGTGCTCAACCAGGGGATTCTTCATACCATTCATTGATCTCAACTTCTCACCCTGGTTCCTGTGGTTGATCCCATCTGGTTGTCATCTGTAACCTACAATTGACACTCATTAGAAAATAAGATCACTTAGAAATTTCTGAGTGTTCTATGCTGATTAGGCTATCTGGCTTGAGTTGTCAGTTATTTAAAATGTTTATGGTTTGTAAAAAGTTGCATCAATGCGAGTATAATTGTATAATGTAACCTATGGAGTAAAATCTTCTATATACCTATTCCTCTTTATGATACACAATAATCTAGCTCCTATATGTTCAAGATTATGAATGTTGAGATGAGGTGGCTACTGTACTCTTATTCTGAATTTTGAATTAATTCTATTTTATGTTAATTTTACTTACTTAATGCTATGGTAGGACTACCTATTCTCTATCCCACTGATTCTCAGGAGTATAGGTAACCACGTAAATTACCTGTGAAATTAATTTAAGAATGAAGGTTTTATTTAAGATAGAATATGCCAGTGATCAGACAATAAAAATAATTTATGAATAGTGTATCTCCTCTTTGCTTTGATCAAGTGTTCTTTAAAAGCCAAGACTATGTGATGAAGGCATAGGGATGTGATGTCAAGAGTTGTAGGGGCTCTGCCCATGACCCCCACTCTGGGGGCAGAAGCAAGGTCAGAGGGCCAGGAGTTCAAGTCTCGATTCTTCCACCAACCTCCAGTGTGACCTCTGACCAGTTACTTAATCTGTCTAAGTCTCAAGGCCTTCAACTGTAAAATAGAAATAAGAGTAGCACTGTACTTCTCCTAAGATTGTTGTGCTTATTGGAGGATATACATATAAAGCATTTGGAAGAGAACGTGCCCAATCCTAGTGCTTACTATGTGACAGTTATGTTGTCTTCATTAAGTCCAAATTGAAAACTTATTGTACAAAGAACGGTACCATCCATTGGATTAAAATATTCTGTACTAGTTCCTTAAATGGTTATAATCGGGGGACATGACCTCTTTTGTCTCTGTGGGTTCTGATTTGACCCACAATGAGCTCAACTTTAAAAAGTGATATCAGATTGTTTTTCATGACTTCTAATAATTTTTCTCACAGTTGCTTTTTAATCCCTTGGCCTCACTCGTATTTTACTGATTTTATAAACACTGCCAATGGCTTCTCCTACGGTATTGGAATTTTGCTGTTTTTTGTTTTTTCCTAGCCTTGACTCTGTGCCTTTGCTGAGGCCTTGGTGAACCATTCCACTGACTTAGCGTGTTTATTTATAAATGACTCCTTGTGTTTTGATTTCTTTATACCTTTTTAACAGTTAAAAATATTTGTAATCGAAATAAGCAATTTTCATTATCAAACATTTAGAAAATATTTAAAAACCCACTTAAATAAAGTAAAAGAACTCAGAACTGCACAGATTTATTTTGAAGCACACAAAGAAGTGAACGCTTTGCCCAACACCCCCGTTTTCCAGAAGTAATTCTATCAACAGCATGTGAGGTTATCCTTCTAAATATTTTTATGCTTATGAAAGCATAAGCATATAAACTTTTATCCATAGATATGTATGTCATGAAAATTTTTATAACAAAAACAAGCTCATGCTAGATAATTTTCTATAATATGCTTTTATCCTCTTAATGGTATTTTTGTGGACACAGATTCCAAGTCAGTATATAGAGATCTCCTTATTCTTGTTAGTGGCTAAGTAGGATTCCATTTATGGACATGTCCTAACAAATCCCATATTCATAGACATTTAGGTTGTTAGTAATTTTTTGCAATTACAGTGGGCTTGTAATGACCAAGCATTTTGAACATTTACTTTTAGACGTGTGGTCTTATACTCTAAAGTAGTTCTTAGAATTGCAAGTACTTTATACTAGGGTAGATGCAGCTTACTATTAGATGGGTTGTGCAAATCACTCTTCAAGAAGGTTGAAACTATTCACCCTCTATCAACAATAAGATGTGTCCTCTATGTGTATTTTTCACTTAGCATGCATAACTTCCATTTCTTCAAGTTTTTCTTCTCTGTGTGCTAATCTTCCACCTGAACTTCAAGATACCTTATTCAGTTTTCAGCAATATTTTTGAGTTTCAAGAACTCTCTTTTTCTCCGATCATTCCTTTGTAATAATTTCCCTAGTCTCCCTAGGAATTTGCATTATACTCTTTTAGTGTCCTTTGTCTTTCTTTCTTTAAGACTATCTCACAGACAGCCACCTGTTCTGATTGTGTTGTTCTTTCCTCCTTCAAACTGCTGAGTCATCTTCAATGCCTTGTGCATTTTTTCTCCTCACTGTTACTTGTCTGCAAACATCCAGATCTTTCTGACCCATTACAGTGAAATAAGTCCTCAGCACACATGTAGGCAGGCTTTTGGGGTCTCCTAACTAGTAGTGGGTCTGCAAGTTGTGAGAGGCAAAGGAGGAATATTTTCCTGGTGAACAGCCTGGTAGGCTAGAACCCCTCAACTGAGGGTGTAGGGGAAGCCTCCAAGTTCTCAGGATCCTCCAGGCAAGTGCAGAGCGTGGCAAGTCTCTTCGTGTTACACAAAAAGAGTCTTTTGGGCTCCTCCTCAGCCATACATCTAAAACAAGCAGTCCTGCTGAGAACAGCCACTGAGGCCAGTGCTCCTTATACTTGAATGTGTCCACAGATCACCTGAGACCCTGATAAAAAGCAGATTCTGATTTGGAAGGTCTGGGGTGGGGACTGGAATTCTGCATTTCTTACAAGTTTCCACACAGGGCAGTAGGCTCTATGGGGTGGGCCCCTTGGACTGAAGAGAAAAAGAGCCTGTGTTCCCTGTTTCCTGGGAGGCAGGCATTTTCCCAGGCTTCAGTGCCCTCACCTTCCCCAGCCCTGTAAATGATGGTGTCCAGAAGATGCCCACCAATGGCTGAATCTGACCACCACTTCCAAAACCTGCAAGCCAGGGTGTTGGGGACTCCTGTACTGCAAACAAATGTAGGCCGAGCTTCAGCTTTTCCCATCTACAGATAACTGTGTTCGAAATCGCTTTGTCACATCTGCAGAATGCTGGGAGAGAGTTTCTTCAGGTAAAGTTCATCCATGTTTCCAACCACTTCAAATTATATTTGGACTTCTGTATATCTTGATTGCTATAAGAATATTTGAATGTATTTTTAACCATTTAAAATTGTTCTTGGTATACACTTATATCTGGCTATCACTGAACTTCTTAAAAAAAGTATTAATTTCTTGTACATCGTATAAGGCTCTGTTTGATTCTAATGTTTATTGACATTTAATTTTCCTTATAAATTTTCATAATTTGGTCACCTTTCATCTACTTCAGGCCCTTCATCAATAGGCATATATACAAGCAGATGTATAAATATGGCATATATTTATATATTTGATATAGTTTGGATGTGTGCCCCACTCAAATCTCATGTTTAAATGTAATCTCCAGTGTTGCAGATGCAGCCTGGTGGGAGGTGACTGGATCATGGAAGTGGATTTCCCATGAATGGTTTAGTACCATCTCTTGGTACTGTCCTCACGGTAGTGAGTTCTCATGAGTTCTGGTCATTTAAAAGTGTGTGGCATCTTTATGCTCTCTCTCTCTTGCTCTTGCTCTGGCCATGTGACCTGCCTGCTTCCCCCTTCACCTTCTGCCATGATTCTAAGTTTCCTTAGGTCTCTCCAGAAGCTGAGCAGATGCCAACATCATGATCCTGTGCAGCCTGCAGAACCATGAGCCAATTAAACCTCTTTTCTTTATAAATTACCCAGTCTCAGGTCTGTCTTTCTTTCGTTCGTTCGTTCCTCCCTCCCCCACTCCCTTCCTTCCTTCCTTCCTCCCTCCCTCCCTCCCTCCCTTCCTTCCTTCCTTCCTTCCTCCCTCCCTCCCTTCCTCCCTTCCTTCCTTCCTTCCTTCCTCCCTCCCTCCCTTCCTCCCTTCCTTCCTGACTTCCTCCCTCCCTCCTTTCCTTCCTTCCTCCCTCTTCCCTTTCCCTTTTCCTTTTCCGTTTCCCTTTCCCTTTCCCTTTCCTTTCCTTTCTTTTCCTCCCTTCCTCTTTCTTTCTTTCTTTTTAGATAGAGTCTCTGTCACCCAGGCTGTATTGCAGTGGTGAAATCATAGCTCACTGCAGCCTCAACCTCCCTGGTCTAGGTGATTCTCCCACCTTGGCCTCCCAAGTAGCTGGGACTACAGACATGCCCCACCACACCCAGCTAATTTTTGTATTTTTTTTAATAAAGATGGGGCTTTGCCATGTTACCCAGGCTGGTCTTGAATTCCTATATTCAAGCCATCCACCTGCCAAGTTGGCCTCCCAAAGTGCTAAAATTACAGGCGTGAGCCACCGCATCCAGAAGCTATTTCTTTATAATAATGGGAGACTGGACTAGTACAATATTTAAATGTGTTTTGTTTTTGTTCCCATTGCATTAACATAGCTTCAGGGCTACTGTTTTATCATTTTATTATCTGCATTAATTAATTCAATATTTATGAATATCTCTTTTTCCAGGTATTGTATTAAGCATGAGAGTGATCAATAAGTGATGACCTCCCCCTTTGAGGGGCTTGCATTTCATTTGGGAGTGCCTTGTTGAATGCTTTCAAGCTTACACAGTTTTTCCATAGATCATCTCATGTAATTCTCACATCACCTTCGGAAGACAGAGAATAAGTTTACCAGCATACTAAGTTACTGGAGGAAACAAGAATCAGTGAGATTTAATGATCCTCTCCAAATCATGCTGCAAGTGATTTGAACTAGAATACAGATTTTCTGACTTCAATGTTACTGCATTTTAAGGTCATTTTGGATTTGAGCTTAATATTAAAAAGCCAAGGGCCTCCTAATACCTTTAATGAAACTGCTCTGACAGTTTGTACTGGTTTCAGTAGCCGCCATTGGAGCAGAAAATGACCCCAAATAACTCACAGTTGAGTTGTGGTCTTCTTAAAAAACAAAACACAAAACAACAGCAACAAATTCAAAACTGACTCCCAAAACAATAAAAAGATTTCCATGCCAATCCCAGATTAAGAAGCCAGACCAAGCATAAACCCTTATCTTCAGGATAGAGACACTAAGAAATTCACTTAAACATGGCATTCTCAGAAAGCATGTCAATATCATAAATTACATTCTATCTTGAATATTAAAATATTTTATCAAAACAATTATATTGATTGGCCACAGTGGCTCATGCCTGTAACTCCAGTACTTTGGGAGGCCAAGGTGGGTTCATCAACTAAGGTCAGGAGTTTGAGACCAGCCTGGCCAACATGGTAAAATCCCATCTCTACTAAAAATGCAAAAATTAGCCAGGCATGGTGGTGCACACCTGTAGTCCCAGCTACTTGGGAGGTTGAGGCAGGAGAATCACTTGCTCCCAGGAGGCGGAGGTTGCAGTGAGCTGAAATCACACCACTGAACTCCAGCCTGGGTGACGGAGTGAGACTCTGTATCAAAAAAAAAAATAAACAAACAAAAACAAATAATCAAAAAATGCACCTACTCTTTAACATAGGTGAATTATTAATAGTAATGAACTATATTGTCCTTTGTCCAATAATGTATTTATTTATCAAATATTTATCAGATATCTAAAATGTGTTCTAGGTATTGGATGTATAATGCTGATAAAAACACGGTGATTATTTTATTATTGAGGCATTTGTAGTCAGTCTATTGTATATGAGACCTATTAGAAAATGACTCTGCAATTACAGGGATGTGTGAAAAGTACTGTAATAGACCTATGCCTGGGGTACCTATAGGAGCAAAGGAAGTTCTTCCTAAATCAGATGAAGGCAAAATTTTCCAAAAAAAGATGATAATAGGTTTGCAGAAAAAATAAGTTAAATGTTCAAGTAAGTTTGGGAAACATTGGATCAAAGATCAAGAAATCTTTTTATGGCAGTCTTTTTTCAGAACTTGTAATATTCTAATATTGGGTATGAATTCCAGGGAGAGGGACTGTCACAAATTTATGTGATGAAAGTACCCTTTATTCCAAGGGAATTTGAGGGAAACACATGGTGAAGGATGGCTCTGGTGATCCAGAGACACTCTCCCAGAGCAGTGATGTTCATGGCAGAGCTGAGATTTCAAGATGATTAGGTGTTGGGCAAGAAGAAAAGGTGGAAAAGAGTATTCTTTGCTGAAAACAACATGTGTGAAGTCCCCGAGACAGGGCATGTGCTGAAGTACAAAGTAGCTCAAAAAAGTTAGACCAAAGAATTCCACATGGAAGAGTGAAAAGAGATGGGACAGAGACAAGCAAGAGTTAGATCATCTCAGCCAGGTAAAGGGTTGAACATTATTCTGAAAGCCAAGAAATGTATTTAAAATTTCCTAAAATAGGGAAGAAGTATGAATGGATTTGTACAGCATGGATTTATAAAGGTCAGCTTGGAAAAAGGAATAGTCAGAAGGAGTTATTTAATTAACCCAGATATTTGTGTTGAGGAACTGAATCAGAGGAGTAACATAGGGGAGGGAAGAGGGGAGGGAGGGAGGGTGGGGAAGAGAGAGAGAGAGAGAGAGAAGGGGCTAAGGAGAAACAGGTTGCGGGACCAGGTGATCTATTGGATGTGGATAGGGGATTAGGTGATGCCTGGAGAATGGGGTGGTTGATATGGTTAGCCACAGAAATGAGCAATATGAGAGAAGATTTTGTTGGAATCTAATGACTCACTAGGAGGTAGAATGCAGGTGAGAAAGGATGAAGTTCTAAGCTATAGCTGTGGCCAAAGTAGTTTTAGACACGTTGAATTTGTGGAGCCACTGGGACATGTAACTGTTGAGATCCTAGCAAGTAAATCTATTAGAGATAATAGTGCTAGAAATCTAGAAGTCACTAATTATTCTTCAGGGAACACAGACATCATTTAAAAGTTCTATACCCAAAACCCCTTAACTGGGGAAAGACAAGTACAAATTATTTTTAAACATAGTATGCTGAAAAAAATTATTATTCAAAAGCTAAACTGACTAGCTTCCTTTGCCTTTGAAGGGGAGATGAACTTACTCATAACAGTGGGAAAATAAATTTCTATATTGGTTTCTCAACCTTAGTACTATGGACATTTGGGGCCTGATTGATTCTGTGTTGTGGAGGCTGTTCTGTGCATTGTAGGATATTTGGCAGTGTCCATGGCCTCTATCTGCCACATGCCAGTATTATCCTCTTCGCCATTTGTGACAACAAAAATGTCACAAAACATTGTCAAATGTTGCTGGAGGGGCACAATTGCTGGGCCCTTCCTCCTCAATTAAGAACCACTGCTCTATGCATTCTGTTCAACACAATGCGGTGGAATTTTGAAGAACTCTGCTAACACTTTGGAGTCACTAAAAGTGAAACCATGAGGAAATGGTCTTTGACTTAGCAAATGCACAGTTGGTCTAGATCTTGAATTGGTGGTCTAGGAGCCAAATGCTGCTACAGAAGACAGTGAGAGGGATGAAATTCCTAAAGTCAGCTAGGGGGAGTTTGTTGAACAGTAGAGAGGTGAGATCTCTGGAGAAGAGAGGGCAGTGTGAAATTTTTGCTGGCTGGAAGGATGGAGGGAGGTCCTTTAATGACAGGGATGCTTCGTATTCAATCCTCAATTATTCACTGTTCTGTAGAGTAAGATTCCTCCCTTGTCCTAAAGTCCTGATGTGGGTGAGAGAATGTTATCTCCCAGGATTTTGCAGAGATTTTAAGTGTGGGGTTTAAGCTTATAAGCTTTGACTGCACCATTGTCATCTTCTCTTTCTTTTTATATTTTTCTTTTTCTTCCTTTTATTTCACATCCTACAATAGAAGCTTTCCTTGTTTGAGCATTATTTCTCTGACTAGAATTCCCAGTAAGCTTAATTATCCCATGGGTTGCTGAATTTGAGGTGTAGGAGGCCAGAAAGGCCCTTTAGGCTGATCTGGGCAGAGTTTCACCTAAAGAGCGGCATCATTAACAATGTGGGGTCCTCCACCTGAGGCTTTGCTTTACAGATAGGTAAACTGAGGCACAGAGGAGTGTGCCTTGTTTAAAAAATAGAAATTAGGTCTTTTGGCTCCCATTTTTATGCTTTTTCTAGCAGAGCACATCATCTATGGAAATCACCCTTCTCCGATTAACTGACATCAACATTTAGAAAGGTCTTTGATTTCTGCACTAGCCACTTCAATGTAATAACCCTGTTAGAATAAAAAGGCAGAGTAAGAGCTGTTTGACTGAAGACTCTCCAATGATGCCTTGAAGTTCCATTTATATTCAAATCTTTTCTACATGACATCATTATGATCCGACTCTGAATATTTTCAACTTTCAGACATTTCAAATCTCTAACTCCAAGTTGTCAGCTGACAATACAGACTCACAGAAATCTTTCATGTCTCGTAGGCTACTGTCCAAATGTTATAATTAAATAATAAATTTCCAAGGATTAGTTATTCCAATATCAAAGCAGTAGTTTTTGGCAAGGAATAAAGGATCCGCTTTCAAAACTGCTGTGGATAATATGAAAGCTGATCAATGAGCAGTGTTTACATATTTAGCTATCAATTTTAATAGAACATTTTCTTTGAGGCCACTTACAAAATATTATGAAGGCTTCATACATAAAATTTGGGGGAAAAAAGCCCCACTGAAGTTCTTTCTCACAAAAGGTGACCTCAATTGATGCTGCTCTAAAACCCTTCTAACAGGAGAGTAAATGGCTTGAATTCCTTATGAATCGGAGCATAAACTCAGGCAACTGTTTACTCATCTTTTTATCCTCCATGGTGTCTAGCATATTCAACATGTCATGGCTATTCAATAGAGTGCAGTGAGGTGAATGAACCTCTAGGCTTCTCCGGCAACACAATTCTGTCTGCCCAGCAGCCTCCCACCCACGCTGCCTCTGGCACCGATACCTGTGCCCGGGACCAGGTACTTCATTTGTGGGGCTCTGTGAAAAAATGAAAAAATGGTGCCCCATGTTATAAAATTATTAAGAATTTCAAGACAGTGACAGCAGAGCATTAAACTGAGCACAGGGTCCTGTGTGGCTTCACTGAGTGCAAGCCCATGGAGCTGGCCCTATCTGTGCCCAACTAGTTTTGCAGTTTTCTGATTCCTTCATCTACATGAATCGCACCTCCTCTGCCAAGTGAAAAACCTATGCTTGGGCTACCCTGAGCTCCTTCTTTCCTGTCTCAATCAGATTCTTTCTTCTCGGGCCCATGCCCCTCCATCTTCCTGTTCTTGTCCCTTTCATTGTGTTTTCTGGACCCCTATTCTAAGTTGAGAAAACTCACCTCTGTCTCAGCCTTCTCAGTGTGTCTGCTCACCTTATTGGTAATGGGCTTTCTCACACAATAACCCTGTAGGGTAGGTGCTATTCTCATCCCAATTTACAGATGAGGAAACTGGGTGTGGTGAAGGTCAGACAGAGAAGTTAAATACAATGCCCAAAGTCACAGCTGGTAAGCGATAGATTCTGGATCTGGACTCATGCAGTGTGGTGCTCTCACACTTAAGCACGGTGCTCTGCTGCTCCAGGATCATCCCCAGTCAGGGCTAAAGTACACAGCTTCCTTGTACAGAGCCCAAATTACTTGGCCACAAAAGATGACTCTATACCAGAGGCAGGAGTTTGGAGACGAGGATGATAGATAACCATAAGTGAACATAAGCATCATGCAGGAAATCTTCAGAGATATTGGAAAAGTGAGTGGATTTCCTCCAGTTATGTGGATGGGGACTTATTTATTTAACTTGGTTATGAAAGGAAAGGGTTACTGCCCCAAAAGCTAGAGGCCTTGGGGCAATTGGGTTATACATATCAGTACACATTGCTATACATCCTTATTTTTAATAGCTGTATATTATTTGTTTGCATGTTAGCCCATTTTTTTCCACAGAGGACAACAACAGCAGATAATGGAAACCATTAGGAGAAATAGACTCAAATGGGCTGAAGAGGACAAGTGGGTTAAATATTCCAGAGGTCTGAGAGAATGAGGGCTGACTAGTAGCCTTTGGGATTAGTGATGGAAAGGTCAGGGGAAATCTTAGAGAAAGATATTTTGCAGAGTTGAAGGAGTGGAAACCAGGTTAGAGAGAATGAGGAGTTAGTGGGACCTGCAGTTGAAGAAAGAATGACGGGGGAGACACTAGCATTCTTTTTCGCTAACCATGTATGTATGAGGCATATGCATTATCTAATTTGAATCTCCAAATCACCTGTGCAATAGGGAGCATCATCCCATTTTTTAATACAAGAAAGATGTAATCTCAGAGATGTAACTATCTCAGGCCACACTCCTGGCTTATCTATTTTCAAAACTTGCTTTTCCTACTCTTTGACAAATTTTGGCTTAGAAAGGCAGCAGCCCCTCTGCGAAGCTTTTCTTGATGTCCTCCACCCTCAAGCTTCACCATCTCAGACAGAGATCATCACTGTGTATCTTGGATGTATTCTTATTAACGCACATTTGGTTCCTCTAAACGTTTTCTACTAAAAGAGCTCTACAACAGAGGTGAGTTAAAGGCACATCCCTAGAGGTTTCAGGATATGACAAAGAGACCTCCCCACATTTTTGTGAAGTCTGATGTATTCTCTTAATAAATACAGGCTAATTGTGCTTCTGCTCCCAAATACATTCTAGTTTGTGTTAATACTAAAATGTTTTAAATTAATTGCCACTGAGGTCACTCAATCCATCTTTTATACCTACATCTGGAGTAAGAGACACCCTAGTTTTAAACTTTCTGCCATACTACTCTCTTGCTTCCTGGGGCACAAGAATGTCCATTTGGGATGTGTGGATATATGTTAAGAACAAGTCTTCAGGACTGTCCTCCCATCCTTTGCCTCCCTGGGCACAGTACGATCCCTAACATATGAAATGTTTAAGTGAACTGAAGTGAACTCAAAGGGATTTCAGCATATATTAAATAGCCATGTGCTTATTGCTTTAAGAACAGCTTTTGGGGTAAGAGTTATGTGGACTGAAATCCCAAATTACTTCATCCTCAATTTCCTTTGTAAACCAGAGATCATATTAGTCTTCCCCCAAGATTGTTAGAAAGTTGAAATGTGTTACTCTATGGGCAGCACTTAGGATGGCACCTGGTACATAGCAAAGCTTTCTTAAATCAGGGGAAAGGTGTAGATAGCTTAAATAGATAAGAGGGAGAAATGTTTCTCCTTCCTCCTGCCTCCCTCTGTTTTCCTTGAGGTGGAGGCTTCCACACTCCCACATATGAATGAGGGATGTGAAGTGAGAATGACTGACTTCTCTCTTCACCCTTTTACTTTCTCCTCTGTCTAGGAGGAGATTGTCTTACTAGACTGTGAAAAACCAGGCATCCAGCGTGGGCCATGTTTCTATAGGGGGTAGGCTTGTTGGTTACAGCCACCGCTCGTGTGCACAGAGACCGGGGTTCCTGTGTTAATGCTGCAAGTCAGGGGCCTGCTGTCTTGGGGCCAGCTTTTCAGCCTGTGACGGGATGGTTGAGTCACATTGCTCTGGTGCCAGCTCCAGCCTCTTCAATTCAGAGAAGGGTAGTTAGAAACCCTGGTCTGGCTTCTTTAGTCAAGCGTCCCAGCTGCTCTGTATGTTAAAGTTACTGGATACTCCCTGGCTATCAATAAAGTTGATACTTTGATACCATTTAGTGAAGAAGAGGGGGTGAAGGATTAGCATCTCAATCCTAATAAGTTAGTGCACTGCCTGGAATAAATACAAAGAACTTCAGATGTGAGGCTGCTGCTCTTGGTACAGCTATTGTGAACAGCTTTAGCATGAATGGGCAATGCCAGTCTTAGTTTCTGGCTTGCTTTGGTAGCAATGACTTGTAGTAAATGTGCTGCTGAGACCAACGTTGTGTTATTTGGACCAAGTAGCAAAAAAAACACCAGCTAAATTCCATGCAAGGTAAAGAACTAGAGCGAGTGGTTTGCGCCTTTGGGTGTAGTGCTAGGCACTGGAACTACTAGCTCAGCTGATCCAGCTTGGGTTCCTTTTTCTTTTGTATGGAGTTGCATAGGCTCAAGGAGGACTGCGGAAAAACTAACCTTCTCATTCATGTAGCCTGCCCACAGGCTCCTGGTCTCAAACTGGATTTCTTCATACAGCTTATTTCTTATCCTATTGGCACTATTCCAAAAGAGAGAAAGAGATAATCCTCCCTAAATTACTGTATGAAACCGGTATCACCCTAATATCAAAACCAGAAAATAACATAGCAAAAAGAGAAAACTACAGACCAATATCCCTGTTGAACATAAATGCAAAAATCCTCAACAAAATCCTAGCTAACAGAACCCCACAGCACATCAAAATGATAATCCACCATGATCAGGTAGGTTTCATACCAGGGATGCAGGGATGGTTTCACATCTGCAAGTCAATAAATGTGATACACCACACAAACAGAATTAAAAACAAAAAGTACATGGTGATCTCAATAGACACAGAAAAAGCATTTGACAAAATCCAGCATCTCTTTATAATTAAAACCCTCAGCAAAATCATCATAGAAGGGACATACCTTAAGGTAATAAAAGCCTTCTATGACAAACCCACAGCCAATATTATACTAAATGGGGAAAAATTGAAAGCATTCCCCCGAGAACTGGAACAAGACAAGGATGCCCACTCTCGCTGCTTCTATTCAACATAGTACTGAGGGAGTCAAACTGTCACTGTTTGCTGATGATATGATCATATACCTAGAAAACCCTAAAGACTCATCCAGAAAGCTCCTAGAACTGGTAAGTGAATTCAGAAAAGTTTCAGGATACAAAATTAATGTACACATATCAGTAGTTCTGCTATACACCAAGAGCGACCAAGCCGAGAATCAAATCAAGAACTCAACCCCTTTTATAATAGCTGCAAAAAAATTAAAATACTTAGAATTTACTTAACCAAGGAGGTGAAATACCTCTACAGGGAAAACTACAAAACACTGCAGCAAGAAATCATGGATGACACAAATGGAAACACATCACATGCTCATGGATTGGTAGAATCAATATTGTGAAAATAACCATACTGCCAAAAGCAATCTACAAATTTAATGCAATTCCCATCAAAATGCCACCATCGTTCTTCACAGAACTAGACAAATCAATCCTAAAATTCATATGGAACCAAAAAAAGCCTGCATAGCCAAAGCAAGACTAAACAAAAAGAACAAGTCTGGAGATATTACATTACCTGACTTCAAACTATAGTATAAAGCCATAGTCACCAAAACAGCATGGTATTGGTACAAAAAAAATAGGCATATAGACCAATGGAACAGAATTGAGAAGCCAGAAATAAAGCTAAATACTTACGTTCACCAGATCTTTGACAAAACAAACAAAAATATAAAGTAGGGAAAGGATACCCTATTCAACAAATGGTGCTGGGATAATTGGCAAGCCACATGTAGAAGAATGAAACTGGATCCTCATCTCTCACCCTATACAAAAATCAACTCAAGATGGATTAAAGACTAAAATCTAAGACCTGAAATCGTAAAAATTCTAGAAGACAACTTTGGAAAAACCCTTCTAGACATTGGCTTAGGCAAAGACTTCATAATCAAGAACCCAAAATCAAATGCAACAAAAACAAAGATAAATAGATGGGACCTAATTAAGCTAAAAAGCTTCTGCACAGCAAAAGAAATAATCAGCAGAGTAAACAGAAAACCCACAGAGTGGGATAAAATCTTTGCAATCTATACATCTGACAAAGTACTAATATCCAGAATCTATAAGTGATATGGTTTGGCTCTGTGTCCCCACCCAAATCTCATCTTGAATTGTAATCCCCATTATCACCATGTATCATAGGAGGGACCCGATGGGAGGTAATTGAATCAAGGGGGCGGTTTCCCCCATGCTGTTCTTGTGATGGTGAATTCTTATGAGATCTGATGGGTTTATAAGTGTCTGGCATTTCCCTTGCTGGCTCTCATTCTCTCTCCTGCTACCCTGTGAAGAGGTGCCTTCCGCCATGATTGTAGATTTCCTGAGGCCTCTCCAGACATGCAGAACTCTGAGTCAATTAACCTCTTTTCTTTATAAATTACCTAATCTCAGATATTTCTTCATAGCAGCATGAGAATGGACTAATACAACAAATAATTCAAACAAATCAGCAAGAAAAAAACAATCCTATCCAAAAGTGGGCTAAGGACATAAATCGACATTTGTCAAAAGAAGATATACAAATGGCCAACAAACATATGAAAAAAATGCTTAACATCATGAATTATCAGGGAAATGTAAATCAAAACCACAATGTGATACCACCCCACTTCTTCAAGAATGGCCATAATCAACAAATCAAAAAATAATAGATGTTGGCATGGATGTGGTGAAAAGGGAACACATTTACACTGTTGGTGGGAATGTAAATTAGTGCAATCACCATGGAAAAGTGTAGAGATTCCTTAAAGAACTAAAAGTCAATAAACCATCCCGATCCAGCAATCCCACTCCTAGGTATCTACCCAGAGGAAGTCATTATGCAAAAAAGATACTTGTACATGCATGTTTATAGCAGCACCATTCGCAATTGCAAAAATATAGAACAAGTCCAAATGTCCATCAGTCAACAAGTGGATAAAGAAAATGTGATGCATACATTATCTATCTATCTATCTATCTATCTATCTATCTATCTATCTATCTATGTATCTATCTATCTATCTATAATATACATATCATGGAATACTACTCAGTCATGAAAAGGAATGAATTAACGGCATTTGCAGCAACCTGGATGGAACTGGAGACCATTATTCTAAGTGAAGTAACTCAGGAATGGAAAACCAAACATTGTATATTCTCACTCATAAGTGGGGAGCTAAGCTATGAGGACACGAGGCATAAGAATGATACAATGGACTTTGGGCACTCAGGGGAAAAGGTGGGAGAGGGGTGAGGGATAAAAGACTACACATTGGGTACAGTGTACACTGCTTGGCTGATGGTGCACCAAAATCTCAGAAATCACCACTAAAGAACTTATTCATATAACCAAACACCACCTGTTCCCCAAAAGCCTATTGAAATAATAAAAAAAGTCACTCTCCTAAAAACAATACAGCTTATTTCTTATATAAGATATTATTTATTAAATGCATATCTGGTTATGACCTCTGATTTAGGAGACTCTGTTTCAGATAATGGTTAAAGAGAATTGGGGCTCCTGGTTTGTTATCTTCAGGCATTCAGCCAAGAAGTATATTTAAAAGGCTGTTTTCTTGACAATCTGTCTCTTTGACACTAGGGTAATTCCATTCTTCCTTAACCTTCTAAGTAAGTTTACCCTAGTGCTGTTATCCTATTGATATCCTATCATCAGGGATATTGATCTGTAGTTTTCTTTTTTTGTTAAATCCTTTCCTGGTTTTGGTATTTGGGTGATATTGGCTTCATAGAACAATTTATAAAGGATTTCCTCTTTCTCTATCTTTTGAAATAGTGTCAATAGGATAAGAGCACTAGGGTAAATTTGCTCAGAGAGGTAAGGAAGAATGGAATTGTTTAAACCACAGGCTTTGATCTTGTATTTAGAACACGAGCCGGTGGAAATGAAAGAAAAATGATGGAAGATGCTTTGATGAATGGAAGAAAAGGAGTTACTTCTTTAGGAAAAATGTTGTTATTTTAGAGACTAGGTTGGAGGATATAAACCTGAAAAGTTTTAAATGCTCTTAAAGTCATGTGCCTGTAGTCCCAGCTAACTCGGGAGGCCTAGGCAGGAGAATGGGTTGAATCCAGGAGGCGGAGGTTGCAGTTAGCTGAGATCGTGCTACTCTAGCCTGGTGACAGAGCGAGACTCTGTCTTAAAAAAAAATAATAATAATAATAAAATAAAAGAGGCATCATGACTGGTGCCTAAACATCCAACAAGCAAAGAAAGAAAAGAAAGGAGACCTCTGTCCCGAAAGATTGTCCAGATGTGGGGGACTACTAGGAGATGTACTCTTAAAGCTGCTGCATTGAGGAATAGGACAGCCACACTGAATAGGGATGTAAAATTTGTATTGGACTATAAAGGATGACCAGGAAGATCAGAGTGAAATTTTTCAGGGATTATTTCACTAGTGCCAAGATGACACAGCTATTATAGCAGTAAGGCAGGATCAGCGGATATCATGAGGAACTGCATGCAGGTAATCTTCTAATGGAAGGTTCAGGGAGAATGAGATAGACAGACTAAGGCACTGGCTTTACCCCTAGGAGATTTTGCACCTTATCCCCGGGGGACAGCTGCCAATGTCTGGAGACATTTTTTGATAATCAGGATTTTGAGGGGCAGGGAGGGGGTGAAGTTACTGCCTGCTAAAAATCCTATAATGCACATACAACAAAGAATTATCTAGTCCAAAACGTCAGTAGTGCTGAGATTGAGAAACCTTGTCTAACGGCCGGGTATGGTGGCTGATGCCTGTAATCCCAGCACTTTGGGAGGCCAAGGCAGGTGGATCACCTGAGGTCAGGAGTTTAAGACCAGCCTGGTGTTGGTCAGGTAACATGGTGAAACCCCATCTCTACTAAAAATATAAAAAATCAGCCAGGCTTGGCGGCATGTGCCTGTAGACTCAGCTATTCTGGAGGCTGAGGCAGGAGAATTGCTTGAGCCCGGGAGGTGGAGGTTGCAGCAAGCCAAAATCGCTCCACAGCACTCCAGTCTGGGTGCAGAGCAAGTGAGACTCTGTCTCAAATAAGAAAAAATAGAAATCTTGACTAAGGAAAGCCAGTCTGGGCTACAATATTTGGGTCCAGATGGAGTCAGATTTTGCGCTGATGGGTACAAGTATCCTGCTTGGAGAGTTAGACGTGGACAAGATTTGCTTAAACTATGGATATTTTGGCAGCTTCTGAAGTTACTGGCTTCACATCTATTATTAAGGAGGATCTAAAAGGACAAAATCTGGAATAGTGTCATGATGAAAACAAATGAATGGGGATGAAAAGCAAAGAGAAAGAGAAAGAAAAAGGAGAGAGGTGCTATGATCCAGCGAGGGTATTAGCACCATATATGGAAAAGGGAGGGAGCCAAATTAGGAAGAATATTACACCTTTACAAACAGCTGAGTTTGTCTGAAAAGAGTGGAGAATGAGAAGACAAATGAAACAGCAGAGGCATTTGCCACTGCAATAGGAATGAAGGTGGCAGAGATGAATGTTCTGGCTATCAATGAAGTAGCATAATTCAATCAAGGCCTGGAGATTTAAGGACCAAGGAAAGGAAAAGCACATGGTAGAGGATGGAATGCCTACCTAAGCAAGCCAGCTGCAGCTGCATCCGTAAGAGCTTCAGTTGGAAGATCTGTTGAGATAACTACACCAGCAGAGGAGGTGCATCACTCAAAGACATGACTACAGCAGTGGTTCTCAAACACAGTGTGCATTAGGATCACCTGAAGAGCTTGTCAAAATCCAGATTGCTGGGCCCCAGCTTCAGAGTATCTGATACAATAGGTCTGCAAGCAGTTTGAGAATCTGCTTTTCTAATGAACTCCCAGGTGATGCTGATGCTGCTGTTCAGGGGACACATTTTGAGAAGCACTAGTCTACAGAATTCCAGTGTAGGAAGCAAAGACAATAGATACTGCCTCCTGTGATTCTGCTGCAGATGGAGAAATATAAAAAGTAGAACAAGATTGAAACTCTGGGGAAGGCACAACCATGCACCTTGCTTAGACAGGGGCCTCTCCCTCTTGGGGCACTCTGCTCTGAGAGGTAGAGGATGCTGGGCTATTGTAAAAACCTACCCTTGATTGAGCATTGAGGAGGGGGCAACATGTAGGGCTCAAACCTGGAATGGAAATTAAAAACATTAAAATGTATAGCATAGAACTGAGTCACAAGAAGACCCAGAGACACAGGCCACCTTTGAAATTTCTTAACTTTGCAAGTAGAGAGGAGTGTCTCAAAGGCCAGTCTGGGAGAAAGGAAACAGGATGCATGGGCCCATCCCCATCTCTTGCCAAAGGATATGGGAAGCACGGGGATAGTATTAATTTCTTCATATCGCTTGGCACAAAATTTCTATGTTCAATTATTTATGCTCCCAGGTCACGAATGCTAGACCAGCATTCTTACGAAACTGAAACCAAAAACATTTTCTCTTTTTTCCAGGTGTTTCTGCCAACCCTTCTCACCCAGATAACACTGTGATCCATAGCTGATAACCACAGTGTGGGCCCGGTACTTTCCATCCCATTGTCTTCTTTGCCGTTCTTCATGCATATTTCCTACCAGCAGAAAGAGGGGGTTGAATAGTTAGATTCAGGCAACAAACTCCATCCTGTGCTTCTCAAATCTAGTAAGAGACTGCTCAACTAAACTGTATACATCCATCTACTAAGGGACTATCATGTAATCATGGGCCATGGGGAGGGGAGAACTTTATGAACAGTTGTAATTACTTGGAGGAAAAGCTCATGATATAATGGAAAATAAAGCAGAAGAAAATTGAATAGATAATAATATGACAATTACACGAAAACATAGCAAATAAAATACTATATACAGACAAAACTATAAATGGAAATACACTGAAATATATACTAGGGCTATTGGTAAGTGGTGGGCATTTTCTCCAAAATTTTTTATCATGAATTTAAATTTAATATATAATAGGAATAATAAACTTCATCAGCTTTAAGTATTTTAATGCAAATGTTAACATTATAAAGTCATGAGGATCTTTATTTCTCAAAGACAGGAAAAGCAGAAAAATAAATTTCAAAATGGCAGGGAAAATGTGGATGGAAGCATGCTTTGAGGTGATGAAGAGACTTGTGATCTGATAGAGGATGTATGAAGAGGAAAGGGTGATTACTTCTCCTGTAGGGGAGGGATTATTAACCAAGAGATTCTGACATTTCTTGATATTTCAGGACTAGTGTAGATTTGATGCACAATAAAAGATGTCAAGCAAAGCGGCCTAATATTGCTAACCAATTGCAGAAGTGTGAAAGAAATTTTAACACTCTATAGATATAATGAAAATCAACAAAGTTGAGAATGACTTAATGAATACCACATGGAAAAATAGAATGAATTGGCTATGAAAAAAAAATCAGAAATTTCTCCTTGAAGGGATGGCTATAGTATCACTTTTCGTTATAAATGAGGAATATAAACACACTGCCAAAAATACACATTGTCAAATGAATTCAAACAAAAATATTTTAGCTTTCTGTCAGTTGAGTAGAATAAGTTTAGGTTTTAATTTAAGTATCAAGAGAAAGGATCTAACGGCTTATGAGTAACTTTGCAGAGAGCAGGAGCAATAAAAATTGCAAACAGATGATATGTAAATAAATATTTGCATCAACTTTTATAAATATTTAGAAGTGCTGACAACTCCCAATTATTTTGTTTTAATTGGTTCACACAAAAACTAATTTTTGACAATTGTACCCGCTAATTAATACTTCAGTAGCTCAGCTAATGTCTTTGATCTGAAGAGTGCTTTGGGGAACAAGACTGGGTAGTCACCCCTTTGTACCACGGAGAAATAAACTCTTCATTCAGTCCTGAAATCACAGTGATTTGCAAGCCTCCTTCTGCAGCCAAGGAAATCTTGATTTAGGAGAATGGAGCCAAGAAGGGTATAATACAAAGTTTTTGTTTTGTTTTGTTTTGTTTTGTTTTTGAGACGGAGTCCCGCTCTGTCGCCCATGCTGGAGTTGCAGTGGTGCAGTCTTGGCTCACTGCTAGCTCCGCCTCCCGGGTTCACACCATTCCCCTGCCTCAGCCTCCCGAGTAGCTGGGACTACAGGCACCCGCCACCACGCCTGGCTAATTATTTTGTGTTTTTAGTAGAGACGGGGTTTCACCGTGTTAGCCAGGATGGTCTCGATCTCCTGACCTCGTGATCCGCCCACCTCGGCCTCACAAAGTGCTGGGATTACGGGCGTGAGCCACCGCGCCCAGCCAGTACAAAGTTTTTAAAACCAGTGGTGCTGGGATTACGGATGGGGAGGAGGTACAGGGGCAAAGCTCACAAAAAGGGTTTGACATTGATTTTGAAATGTCTATATTATGACAGTGGTTTCCAATCCGTAATGTATGATCATAAACAGTGCCTGAGCCAGGCACAGTGACTTGTGCCTGTAATCCCAGCACTTCGGGAGGCCGAGGTGGGCAGATCACTTGAGGTCAGTAGTTCGAGACCAACCTGGCCAACATGGCGAAACCCCAGCTCTACTAAAAACACAAAAATTAGCTGGGCGTGGTAGTGGGCGCCTGTAATCCCGGCTACTCTGGAGGCTGAGACAGGAGAATTACTTGAACCTAGGAGGCAGAAGTTGCAGTGAATTGAGATCATGCCACTTCACTCCAGCCTGGGCGACAGAGCAAAACTCTGTCTCAAAAATAAAAATAGGCTGGGCGTGGTGGCTCATGCCTGTAATCCCAGCACTTGGGAGGCCGAGGCGGGCAGATCACCTGAGATCAGAAGTTCGAGACGAACCTGGCCAACATGGTGAAACCCCAGGTATACTAAAAATACAAAAACTAGCCAGGTGTGGTGGCGGGCACCTGTAATCCCAGCTACTCAGGAGGCTGAGGCAGGAGGATCACTTGAACCCAGGAGACAGAGGTTGCGGTGAGCCGAGATCGTGCCATTGCACTTCAGCCTGAGCAACAGAGTGAGACTCTGTCTCTAAAAAATTAATTAATTAATTAATTTAATATAAACAAACAAACAAACAAACAGTGCCTGATTTCCTAAGGGGGACCATTAAGATATCATTTCAGGGAAAAAGCAGGCATAGTCTGAAAGTTTGCCCATTTCTTGCCCCTCTTCCTCCCAATTTATATCCCACTACGAGCTTCCTTTGCTAGTTATATCTTTTTTTAATAAAAATAGATGCCCCGGGCTAGATTATGCCTAACTTGTATTTTAAACCAATATCCAACTTTTATTGAGCCTCATAATAGTTACTTACATTCTTTGCCAACATTTCTGTCTCTCCAGCTTCTAGGTACACGGAGAGCTGACTTCCTGACTCGTTTGTACATGAATGAAATCACATGACTAGTTCTAGCCAATGAGTAAAGAGCAAACACGAAGAGCAGGAAGTTACTTCCTTGACAGCTCATTCATTTGCTGAGGCAAGACTCTGGAAACTGTTTGCCCTCTGGCATGGCAACCAGTCCGGCTCAAGATGGTGGGCATTCCCTCAGTCCCTGAGGTCATGTTTTAGGAAAATGAAGCTGAACACAGTATGATGGGCAGTTTGGAGACTGGCCACGGAGATCAAAGTCCTAGAGATCAGGAATGAATATTGAGGGCCTAGACTTGGCTAGGGCAGTCGGAAAAGCACCATGAGGGGAGCATCACCTGACGATGGATGTGAATGGGCACAGGAGATGGACGGGGAAAGGAGATGTCTTCATTATGTCCCTTATTAAAAGTGTGGGATGTGTGCACTACAATTTGAGGCACTGGGGATGAAAAGGCCTAAGATGTATGTATGTCCCGTGGAGATCTTAGATATTTAGGGAGACCTTCAGAATGATGATATATTCATAAAAATAAAAAATGTCCCTGGAAACTTACAGTAGATTACCTATATCATGGTATGAATTAAGAGAGAGAGTATTCATCAAAGTCTGAAATGGCCTGTGTGTATCCAAAGTCCATGTTCATCGTATCTTTTATTTATTTTCCTTCATAATAAAAGCAGAGCAGTTACAGAAAGTTTAGATACCACAGAAATCTAAAAAGACAACAGTGATAGTAACTCAAAATTCCCTGACCCCAAAATAATAAGGGTTATTTTAGCTAACATTTCTCATTAGTATTTTATGTGTGTATGCATGTGTATGTATTTTAAAAAAGTATAAATACAGTTTTGATTTTTTACTTTTTACAGTTGGATGATAATGAGCATTCTTTCGCATCATTATATTTTTTTCAAAACCTTTTTGAACAGTTCCAGAATATTCTAATATATGGACACTTCATGGTATCTACCCCCTATTATAAAGGACAATCTACAAATCCCTATACAAATCCATGTTCTTCCATTATGAATCACTTCATCTGAGCTGATGAAATCAAGGATATCTTCTTGGAGGAGGCAGAATATTTATTGGTCCCCAAAAGATGAATAGGTGAATGGTGAAAAGGGTGTGGAGGGGGGAAATGGAACAGGAAGAGCATGGGTGATGTATGGGCTTCTTTGGTTCATCATACATAGGTTAATTGGAGAGGAGAGTAGGGGCAGACTGGAAGGCTAGCAATGCTAGGATAAGAAGTTTCCTCAATATTCCACAAACTGTGGAGAACCTAAGAAGGCCCCCACTAGTGTCCTCTCTGTGCATACAAGTATTTTAGGAAGATTATGCTGGTAACCATACAAAAGCCACCCAGACTGGAGGCATGGAGATGAGTTAGGAAAGCCCTGCTCTAGGCTAGGCTGAGGAGGAGAAAGTCTTTGACTCTTACTAATCACTTAGGTACTAATTCAGTAACTCTTGGATGTGATACTATTGCTGATTATATAATTTACTCTGGGTACCATGAGGGTTAACTGTTTCTTTGAGCTCACATCCATTTCCAACTCTCCCGCTGCTCTGTTGTATATCAAGTGTAATCGCTTCCCAGGCTACTTTGCCTTCTGGCCTCTGGAAAAGGGTTGGAAAAGATTAAAGGACTGGATGAATGGGGAAGATAGGACATTTCTGCCCTTTGCACTTTGCCTCCAGAAGCATCTCTGGCAGAAGCAGTTTTTCCTCTGTGCTCTGGCTCCCATGGACATATCCTCCCACCATGGTCTCAGTGCCCACTGGATGGACCTAGTTTATTTCTTCTTCCAGTGCAGGGGTAGTGGTAGTTTTCTGCTATTGCTAATTTGCGAGTTGCCTTATGGTCTCCTATTTAGTTTTTCAGTGGTTTTACCCCTGTGAAAATACTTTATTAAATTTTCTGTGTTAAAAACGCTAGAGTAGTCTTTCCCCACTTGTGGCTGGTATGAATAAAACATTAAGTCACAACGATTACAGATATATAGAGAATTAGATATACTGAATAGCTAATTTTTTTTTTTTTCACAAATAACATTCGATCAGCTAAAGCACTCCTTAGTTCTTAACTCTTGTGGCAAATCTTTGTAAAAGGTATGAACACATTTTTCTATCTCATAAGTAATTTAATCAATAAGTATTTATTAAGGATACATTATATGTCAGACACTGTGCTGCTGGATTCTTATGGGGTTTACAGTTTATAGTTTTGTAAAGAAGATAGACATTAATCAAACAATCATATGAACAAGCATGGATATACAATGATAACAAGTGATTGTGAGGATATGGGCCACTATGACAGTGTACAATAAGGCAGTCTACTTACAGCTGAGAAAGGAGCGCTCAAACAAAGGTCTGCTGGATGAGTTGGTGTTAACTTGGAAAAGAGAGGAGGGAATAGTTTTCTAGGTAGAAGAACAGCGATGTAAAGGCTTGATGGTGGGAGGAACTATGGTGGGTTTGAGGAGGAGCATCCTGGCTAGAGAGAGAGTGCTTGAGAGGTATCCAGGACTGGGTGAGTTTCACTGAAGGCTGTTCATTTTATATTAAGAGCAATGAAAGGCAACAGTAATGGTGGGAAGGCTGCAATGTGTGTGACATGATGGGGTGGTCATTTAGAAAGGGTCACTCTTGAGGAGGCAAAGAGATTGGACTGTGAGGGCTCCACCATTAGAAGATGATTGCAGTAGTCCTACCCACTGGGGCTATTCTGGAGAGATGCAAGGAGAAATCTAGCATACCACAGAAATTAATCCTTTTATGCAATGCTTCAGAATCTTCTGATGACCTTGATCATCGCTATGACTAACTATTTTCATTAAATGAGACTGTAGCTATAGAGGATTGGGATGACTTCAGACTAATAGATTGCCTCTGCTTCATCAAAGAGGAATCAAGAGTAGATATCAAGCACTGGTTACTTGAGATGTTACTCTCTATATATCTATATGCCTATATCTTCTCAGGTAATCTGTACCTGATTATTATACTACAGTAACATGTACATATGTCAAAGCAGATTGGGACGCTGGTCTTGAAGACTGTACAGCCCAAGGGTGTCCAATGTTCTACAGAGTTCCTTAAGGGGCCACTCCGAAGGGCAAGAGGGAGTTGAGCTGGGGGACCTTGGACGTGCTGCATCTTCTTCAAATAGAATTGCTCTCTTTTATCTGCATTAGATGTTGAGGTTCTGTGTAATATTTCATTTCTAAGGACCTCACCGCTAAAACAATGCTTGATAACCACTCCTATTCCAATGGTCTTGTTTTATGGATGAAGCAACTAAAACCAGGAAGTTGAAGTGACTTGTGCATGGCCAAATAGCCAATTCATGGCAGAGTCAGAATTAGATTCTGGGTCTCTTGATTCCATTTCAGTGCTCATGGTTCTTTCTAATAATAAAACGATGAAGTGATATACTCACTTATCTTCTGAATTTAAATAAAATTCCACTTTTGAAAATTTTAAAAACTGGCTGTACTTTTCTCTTTTTCTTGGATTCTTTGGCAGTTAGTAAACTCATTCACACCTGTTTGTTCCTCTACTTAAGCCTCAAAACATTTTACAGTTTATGTGTTCCAGTAATACTCAAGAGTTGATGATCTGCTTGCCATCATTCATGCATTTTGAAAATTCATTTAACAACCAAATGCCTAGGATACATCAGCTGCCAGTAGCTTCGTAGGATATGAAGTAGCAAATGAACATATCATTATAGCAGAATATTAACAAAATGATAATAGACAAATGTGCATAGAGATGTGTGATCCCAGATGTGAACTTGGCTTAGGAACTGGAACTGGCACTAGGGTTGCCAGATTTACCAAAGAAAAACACAGGATTCCCAGTGAAATCTAAATTTCAGATAAACAACAAATAGGTTTTTAGTATAAATGTGTTCCAAAGATTGCATGGGACACATTTATACTAAAAGCGTATTTGTTGTTTATCGAAAATTCAGATTTCACTGGGTGTCCTCAATTTTATCTGGCGACCCTGCCTGGTACACCTCGACAGACTAGAGGATGAAGTTCATGGGGTGAGTGTTAGAAAAGGGAGCTCTTTTCCAAGACACAGAGAGATGCTGGAATGCACTAAGTGGAGTCAAATCAAATGCCAGGAAAAGGAGGATATTTAGGGGCTGGGCTGGGGAGAGAGAAACATCAAAGTTGGGAGATCAAAATTGATTTTGTGATTTCATATTGTTCTGGAAGTTCAGGCCAATGTAATGAAAACCAGAGCAGAAATGAAGAGCATGACCTTTGCGTATTGGAAAAGAGAAAAGAAAATCATTATTTTCAGAAAATATCTTCTTAAAAATCCCATAAGAATTGACTGAAAAAAATGTTGGAATAGAAGAGAGTTCAGTAAGGTCATAAAGTATGAAATAAACATTTAAAAGTCTGTGTCTTTTTTTTTTTTTTTTTGTAACAGCAATAACGAGCTAGAAAACGTAATGGGAAAAATTGTATTTGGATTATCAACAAAAAACATAAAGCAACTATAGGTAAACTACAAAACCACAAAATGTGCAGGACTTATAGGAAAAAATTTAGCAGAGACGTAAAAGCAGATGAAAAGATGGGGGCCATGCCATATTCTCATATGAGCAGAGCAAATATTGTAAAGACATAAATTTTCTCAAAATTTATTTTTTAGTATTAATGAAATTTCAACCAAGATCTCAGTGGAATATATCCAGAACTCCTAAATGATTCTAACATTTATCTGCAAGAACAAGTTACCAAGAAGAGCTAAATAATTATTAAGAAGAAGGATTAGAGAAGGTGGTAGCGATCCCTACCTGACATTAAAACATTCCCAAAGCTACATTCCTTACATCAGAGTTGTGTTTGGGAAGGAATAGGCAGGAAGACAACAGAATGGAGCTGAGAGCCCAGAAACAGACCCAGGTGTCTGAAACATCTCCTTACACAACATGGGAGAAAATACAGATCAGCGGGGAAGGAAAGGATCACCTAAGAAAAGGCGTTATAAATAGTTGAATATTGGGAGAAAAAATGGTAATTTTTACCTCATAGAAAACACTAATTTTCAGATACACTAAAGAGTGAAATGTGGAAATAAAACCAAAAAGAAGAAAATAAGGACAAATGTTTAGCTCAGGGGTCCCCAACCCCCAGGCTGCAGACTGGTACCTGTTGGTGGGTGGTCTATTAGGAATGGGGCCACACGGCAGGAGGTGAGCAGTGGGTGAGCAAGCAAAGCTTCATCTATTTATAGTCACTCCCCATCACTCATATTACTGCCTGAGCTCTTCCTCCTGTCACATCAGCAGCGGCATTAGATTCTCACAGGAGCGCCAACCCTACTGTGAACAGTGCATGTGAGAGATCGAGGTCATGAGGTGGAACAGTTTCATCCTGAAACTGTCCAATGGTTTGTAAAAGGGTAGTTTTAGTAAAACCTATTTTTATTATTCCCATATACGAGACCTCCCCACAATTCAGGTATTTTAACCTCTGTGCCTAGCACAATCAAATTCAGTGTTTCCTAACTTCTATGTTTTGTCTTCTCAGTCTCTGGAAACACAGTACAACTAAGTTCCACTGTAATCATCCTGAAACTGCTTCACCTCAGATCATCAGGCATTAGACTCTCATAAGGAATGTGCAACTTAGATCCCTCACATGCACAGTTCACATTAGGGTTGTTTTGTCTTTTCTGAGACAGTCTCCTTCTGTTGCCCAGGCTGGAGTGCAGTGGCACGATCATGGTTCACTGTAGCCTCGACCTCTTGGGCTCGACCACTCTTCCCACCTCAGCCTCCTGAGTAGCTGGAACTACAGGCACATATCACAGGCATCCTCTGCCTTCCCACACCCCTGTGCATGGAAAAATTGTCTTCCACGAAACTGGTCCCTGGTGCAAGAAAGGTTGGGGACTGCTGGTTTAGCTGATCTTTGGATGTAAATTATTTTCCACTTGGTTTAAAAGTCTTTGAAGGATATAAATCCAGGTAGTCAGAAGACAAAGTGTTTTTAAGGGGATTTGTCCTTTTCAGAGCATTTGCTAACTGAGGAGAGAGTTCCTGCAGTCAGCAGGTTAGTTAGAAGACCATTGGAATAATCATCCAGAGACGCCAGGAGCCTAACTAAAGTTTAGCAGTGAGGAAAATGCAGAAGAAAATGGAAACTAACAGCAGCCTCCCTAGGAATTTGCTGTGTGTACTATGTGTCTAGACACAAAGGAATACACTAGGGACACCTCCATCCGATGGTTTGTAAAAGGGTAGTTTTTAGTAAAACCTATTTTTATTATTCCCACATACAAGACCTCCCCACAATTCAGGTCTTTTAAACTCCACGCCTAGCATAATCAAATTCAGTGTTTCCTACTTTCTATGTTTTCTTTTCTCAGTCTCTGGAAACATGATATAACTAAGTTCCACTGTAATCGATAAAATATTGTACAGTGTGTGCAGAATCAGATAGGTCTGTGTTTTTATAAATGTACATTAGAGAGGGACAGGAATGGAACAGAACAAGGCTGACTTGTTCATGCTTTTTAATATAGATACGCTGTACTAAACAGCATGATATGTCATAAAATGAAACCTAATATTCGAAAATGAGATTGCAGCCTCTACATGTTTAAATGGTTTTCCTGGGAGACAAATCTTCTTTCATTTGAACAAGCACAAAAGTGTTTTTTATGAAGTACTAGGAAATATCCAATAGTAAAGTTGTGTCAGTGAAGTAAATACCGACACAATTCAAATCAAGACACACTTAGACCTGCTCACATTAGGATTTCAAATTGCCAGGTTAGAAAGGGTCATTTGCATGACACAATGTGCATGACCTTTCTGATGGGCCATAACTTCTTCCCAAGTCCTTAATATTCTATCAGGCACCAGAACAGCTATGGCAGCTCAAAATGAAAAAGAGCATCAGGGAATCTTCCTTCTCAGGATTTTTTGTTTTTTTCTTTGTGACAGGGTCTTGCTCTGTCACCCAGGCTGGAGTGGAGTCATGCATTAATAGTTCACTGCAACCTCAAACTCCTGGCCTCAGGCAGTCCTCCCACCTCAGCCTCCTGAGTAGCCAGGACTACAGGGTATGTGGTGCCATGCTCTGCTAAATTTTTTTTTAAAAATTTTGTAGTGACAGGGGTCTCATTATGTTTCCCAGACTGGTCTAGAATTCCTGGCTTCATGCGATCTTCCTGCCTTGGTGTCCCAAAGTGCTAGGATTACAGATGTGAGCCACCACGCCTGGCCCTTTCTCAGGATTGAAAGGCACTTGATCCAGTCCTCCTGGCTGCAACTCTGATTAAACCTTCAATTCTCATACTTGATTCCCTAGTAGAATTACTTGACTGAGTACCTGGAGGAAACAATAATTCTTTATATCTACATGTCCCCTAAATGGTGTCATGACTTCACTTTTGTTGTGGTGGTGGTGGTTGTTTTGCCTTTTTTGAGACAGGGTTCTGTTGCCTAAGCTGGAGCACAGTGGTGCAATCATGGATAACTGCAGCCTCAACCTCTTGGGCTCAAGTCAATCCTCCCAAGTAGCTGGGACTACAGGCACGAGCCACCATACTTGGTTAATTTTTGTATTGTTTTGCAGAGATGTGGTTTTGCCATGTTGTCCAGGCTGGTCTCAAACTCCTGGTCTCAAGCGATCCTCCTGCCTCAGCCTTCCAAGGTGAGAAGGCCCATAACTTCACATTTTGAATGCTTTACTTGATATCATCTTTTCTCTTAAGTATCCCTTTTTATGTTAATAAGTAGTGTTAAAATATTTGAGGGAGGAACTAATTATGCTGTAATGTGGCATATATATATACTATGCCTGAGCTTTTTTATTTTTTCTCCTTATTTTATTTTTTCTTCTTATTTAAGTACATGGGAACATCATCAATAAAGATACATGCCCTGTTATGGAATGGAAGCTGAAAAGCTGTAGGAACTCGCAGAGCAAAGAGAATAATACGCTGAGTGATACTTTAAGTCATTTGCCCTCAGTCTGGCTGCTGTCATAGACCCTTGAGAGTTTACTTGATGAGGAGAAGGAAATGGGCTCAGAGTTATTCTTTTTGCTTTGAGTATATAAGCATCTACTTCCTTCTGGGTCCTGGGTTTTCCTACAGAGCTAGTTGTTTAAGTAAAGATTGGCTGTTTGACACCAGGGTTAGAGACAATGACATGGAGGAAATAAGGCAATTAGAGATGGAGGCCAAGAAAGGGGAACCAGTAAGAACTGAATTTGCCTCTGGACCTGTGATTGTGTAAAATAAAATCCTCTATAACGCACTCGTCCCATATACATTTACCAAGGACTTGCCTGCAGGAGCTAGGTAGACCCTTGAATAGGCAGAGATGAATTAAACACAGTCTTCGAGAAGCATAGAGTCTAGAGAGGGAGAAAACATGATTTCTGGATTACAAGTTAGTTTTTAACATTCAAAATGGTAAATGTTCTATTTGTATTGTGTGCAAAGTGCATGGGAGCACCAAAAAAGCCATTCAACTTCCGAAAGGGCCAAGGAAGATGCCAATCTAGATGGAGGAGTTTGAAGGCCAAAGGAATATTAATGCTCTTAGGGTGAACTGTTCAAATAGGTTGATCAAATATTCATTGTAATGCAAAAAAGGGAGCTAAGAGATGCAACTCATGTGCCTGCTCCTAAGGTGTCTTCTGTTTCTTCTCCCCTCTTTCGTTCATGAAACATCTTCAGTTGTCTACATGAGTCATAGAGAACAGAGATGAATGATAGGAAGGAGGGAAAGGATGGCTCATCTATATTGTTGTTTTTTGTTTTAAATAGATTTTTATCTTTTAGAGTAGTTTTAGATTCACAGCAAAATTGATAGATGGTACAGGGATTTCCCAAATATCCTCTGCCCACACACCTGCCTAGCCCCCCTCACCAGAGTGGTGCATTTGTTACAATTGATGAACATTGACACATCATTATCACCCAAAGTTTACAGTTTACATTAGGGTTAACTCTCAGTGTTGTATATTCTGTGGGTTTAAGACACATGTATTAATGTGTATCCAACACTATAGTATCATACAGAGTATTACTACCTAAAAATCCTCTGTGCTCTGCTTAATCATCCTTCCCACCCTGCTAACCACTGGCAACCACTGATCTTTTTACTGTCTTCATAGTTCGGCCTTTTCCAGAAAGTCATATAGTTGGAATCATACAATATGTTGCCTTTTTCTTACTTAGTAATAAATATTTAGGTTTCCCCATGTCTTTTCATGACTTGTGAGCTCATTTCTTTTAGTATTAAATAATACCCCATTGCCTGATGTACCACAGTTTTTCCACTCACAAACTAAAGGATGTCTTGGTTTCTTTCAACCTTTGGCAATTATAAATAAAGCTGCTATAAAAATCAATGTGCAGGTTTTTGTGTGGATATAAGTTTCCAACTCCTTAGGATAAATACCAAGAAGTGTGATTGCTGGGTAGTACAGCAAAAGTATGTTCGGTCTTGTAAGAAATCACCAAACTGTCTTCCACGATGGCTTGCATTGCTGTCAGCAATGAATAGAGTTCCTATTGCTCCACATCCCCACAAGCATTTGATGTTCTCAGCATTCTGGATTTTGGCCATTCTAAATAGGTGTACAGTGGTATATCATTGCTTTAATTTTCGTTCCCTAGTGACAAAAGACATGGAGTACCTCTGCATGTGCTCACTTGCCATCTGTATATCTTCTTTGGTGAGGTATCTGTTAAGATCTTTGCCTCATTTTTTAAATAAACTTGTATGTTTTCTTCTCATTGGGTTTTAAGATTTCTTTATTTCAGATGACAATCCTTTATCAGATATGTCTTTTGCAAATATTTTCTCCAAGTCTGTGGCTTGTCTTTTCATTCTTTTGACAGTATCTTTTGCAGAGCAGAAATTTTTAATTTTAATGAAGTCTGGCTTATCAATATTTTCTTTCATGAATTGTGCCTTTGGTATTGCATTTAAAAAGTCATTGTGAAATCAAAGACCATCCACATTTTTGCCTATGCATCTTCTGGGAGTGTTATGCTTTTTATTTGGGTCTGTGATCCATCTTGAGTTAATTTTTGTGAAATGTGTAAGGTCTGTGTCTAGATTCTTTTTTTTTTTTTTAAAACGCTACAAATAAATTATGCACTTTTACATTATACTAGCTGTATTTTTTTTTAAAACGCTACAAATAAATTATGCACTTTTACATTATACTAGCTGTATTTTTTTTGTTTTTTTTTAAAAACGCTACAAATAAATTATGCACTTTTACATTATACTAGCTGTATTTTTTTTTTTAATTATACTTTAAGTTTTAGGGTACATGTGCACATTGTGCAGGTTAGTTACATATGTATACATGTGCCATGCTGGTGCGCTGCACCCACTAACTCGTCATCTAGCATTAGGTATATCTCCCAGTGCTATCCCTCCCCCCTCCCCCCTCCCCACCACAGTCCCCAGAGTGTGATATTCCCCTTCCTGTGTCCATGTGATCTCATTGTTCAATTCCCACCTATGAGTGAGAATATGCGGTGTTTGGTTTTTTGTTCTTGCGATAGTTTACTGAGAATGATGGTTTCCAATTTCATCCATGTCCCTACAAAGGACATGAACTCATCATTTTTTATGGCTGCATAGCATTCCATGGTGTATATGTGCCACATTTTCTTAATCCAGTCTATCATTTTTGGACATTTGGGTTGGTTCCAAGTCTTTGCTATTGTGAATAATGCCACAATAAACATATGTGTGCATGTGTCTTTATAGCAGCATGATTTATAGTCATTTGGGTATATACCCAGTAATGGGATGGCTGGGTCAAATGGTATTTCTAGTTCTAGATCCCTGAGGAATCGCCACACTGACTTCCACAATGGTTGAACTAGTTTACAGTCCCACCAACAGTGTAAAAGTGTTCCTATTTCTCCACATCCTCTCCAGCACCTGTTGTTTCCTGACTTTTTAATGACTGCCATTCTAACTGGTGTGAGATGATATCTCATAGTGGTTTTGATTTGCATTTCTCTGATGGCCAGTGATGATGAGCATTTTTTCATGTGTTTTTTGGCTGCATAAATGTCTTCTTTTGAGAAGTGTCTGTTCATGTCCTTCGCCCACTTTTTGATGGGGTTGTTTGTTTTTTTCTTGTAAATTTGTTTGAGTTCATTGTAGATTCTGGATATTAGCCCTTTGTCAGATGAGTAGGTTGCGAAAATTTTCTCCCATGTTGTAGGTTGCCTGTTCACTCTGATGGTAGTTTCTTTTGCTGTGCAGAAGCTCTTTAGTTTAATTAGATCCCATTTGTCAATTTTGGCTTTTGTTGCCATTGCTTTTGGTGTTTTGGACATGAAGTCCTTGCCCACGCCTATGTCCTGAATGGTAATGCCTAGGTTTTCTTCTAGGGTTTTTATGGTTTTAGGTCTAACATTTAAATCTTTAATCCATCTTGAATTAATTTTTGTATAAGGTGTAAGGAAGGGATCCAGTTTCAGCTTTCTACATATGGCTAGCCAGTTTTCCCAGCACCATTTATTAAATAGGGAATCCTTTCCCCATTGCTTGTTTTTCTCAGGTTTGTCAAAGATCAGATAGTTGTAGGTAAGCAGCGTTATTTCTGAGGGCTCTGTTCTGTTGCATTGAGCTGAAAACCAAGGCTCGAGAACTACGTGAAGAATGCAGAAGCCTCAGGAGCCGATGCGATCAACTGGAAGAAAGGGTATCAGCAATGGAAGATGAAATGAATGAAATGAAGCGAGAAGGGAAGTATAGAGAAAAAAGAATAAAAAGAAATGAGCAAAGCCTCCAAGAAATATGGGACTATGTGAAAAGACCAAATCTACGTCTGATTGGTGTACCTGAAAGTGATGCGGAGAATGGAACCAAGTTGGAAAACACTCTGCAGGATATTATCCAGGAGAACTTCCCCAATCTAGCAAGGCAGGCCAACATTCAGATTCAGGAAATACAGAGAACGCCACAAAGATGCTCCTCGAGAAGAGCAACTCCAAGACACATAATTGTCAGATTCACCAAAGTTGAAATGAAGGAAAAAATGTTAAGGGCAGCCAGAGAGAAAGGTCGGGTTACCCTCAAAGGGAAGCCCATCAGACTAACAGCGGATCTCTCGGCAGAAACCCTACAAGCCAGAAGAGAGTGGGGGCCAATATTCAACATTCTTAAAGAAAAGAATTTTCAACCCAGAATTTCATATCCAGCCAAACTAAGCTTCATAAGTGAAGGAGAAATAAAATACTTTACAGACAAGCAAATGCTGACCGATTTTGTCACCATCAGGCCTGCCCTAAAATAGCTCCTGAAGGAAGCGCTAAACATGGAAAGGAACAACCGGTACCAGCCACTGCAAAATCATGCCAAAATGTAAAGACCATCGAGACTAGGAAGAAACTGCATCAACTAACGAGCAAAATCACCAGCTAACATCATAATGACAGGATCAAATTCACACATAACAATATTAACTTTAAATGTAAATGGACTAAATGCTCCAATTAAAAGACACAGACTGGCAAGTTGGATAAAGAGTCAAGACCCATCAGTGTGCTGTATTCAGGAAACCCATCTCACGTGCAGAGACACACATAGGCTCAAAATAAAAGGATGGAGGAAGATCTACCAAGCAAATGGAAAACAAAAAAAGGCAGGGGTTGCAATCCTAGTCTCTGATAAAACAGACTTTAAACCAACAAAGATCAAAAGAGACAAAGAAGGCCATTACATAATGGTAAAGGGATCAATTCAACAAGAGGAGCTAACTATCCTAAATATATATGCACCCAATACAGGAGCACCCAGATTCATAAAGCAAGTCCTGAGTGACCTACAAAGAGACTTAGACTCCCAAACATTAATAATGGGAGACTTTAACACCCCACTGTCAACATTAGACAGATCAACGAGACAGAAAGTCAACAAAGATACCCAGGAATTGAACTCAGCTCTGCACCAAGCGGACCTAATAGACATCTACAGAACTCTCCACCCCAAATCAACAGAATATACATTTTTTTCAGCACCACACCACACCTATTCCAAAATTGACCACATACTTGGAAGTAAAGCTCTCCTCAGCAAATGTAAAAGAACAGAAATTATAACAAACTATCTCTCAGACCACAGTGCAATCAAACTAGAACTCAGGATTAAGAATCTCACTCAAAGCCGCTCGACTACATGGAAACTGAACAACCTGCTCCTGAATGACTACTGGGTACATAACGAAATGAAGGCAGAAATAAAGATGTTCTTTGAAACCAACGAGAACAAAGACACAACATACCAGAATCTCTGGGACGCATTCAAAGCAGTGTGTAGAGGGAAATTTATAGCACTAAATGCCCACAAGAGAAAGCAGGAAAGATCCAAAATTGACACCCTAACATCACAATTAGAAGAACTAGAAAAGCAAGAGCAAACACATTCAAAAGCTAGCAGAAGGCAAGAAATAACTAAAATCAGAGCAGAACTGAAGGAAATAGAGACACAAAAAAACCCTTCAAAAAATCAATGAATCCAGGAGCTGGTTTTTTGAAAGGATCAACAAAATTGATAGACCGCTAGCAAGACTAATAAAGAAAAAAAGAGAGAAGAATCAAATAGACACAATAAAAAATGATAAAGGGGATATCACCACCGATCCCACAGAAATACAAACTACCATCAGAGAATACTTTTTTTTTTTTTTGCACATGGATGTCCAGTTGTCCCAGCATCATTTGTTGAAAGGGCTGTCTTTTTGTCATGATAATGCCTTTGCTTCTTGGTCAAAGATCAGTTGACTATATTTATGTGGGTTGACTTCCGTGCTCTCTATTTTGTTCCATTGAAACCACAAGCCTTAGAATTGTATTTATGAATGATAGAGCAGAATTACAAGTTCAGACTGAAGTTTTGTTTATTCCAGCTGGGGTAGGCTGAATCATAGCCCCCTCAAAGATGTCCAAGTCCTAATATCTGAAACCTGTGAATGTGCAACATTATATGATAAAAGGGACTTTGCAGATAGTGTTTTTGGAGCTGTTTATCAATCATAAGCTGGCATTAGATCCCACAGTTAAAGGGTTCAGTCCCATGAGACTGTATCCAACTTCAGATCCCAAAAGTCCCAGGTTATCACCTGCACTTCTGACCAACTGGCTATAAAGTGAGGGTCCCTGCATCCCCTTCCTCACATTTGATACTTTGCTATAATGGCTCACAAAAAGTCAGGGCAGGCCGGGCGCGGTGGCTCACGCCTGTAATCCCAGCACTTTGGGAGGCCGAGGCGGGCGGATCACGAGGTCAGGAGATCGAGACCATCCTGGCTAAAACGGTGAAACCCCGTCTCTACTAAAAATACAAAAAATTAGCCAGGCGTAGTGGCGGGCGCCTGTAGTCCCAGCTACTTGGGAGGCTGAGGCAGGAGAATGGCGTGAACCCGGGAGGCGGAGCTTGCAGTGAGCCGAGATCCCGCCACTGCACTCCAGCCTGGGCGACAGAGCGAGACTCCGTCTCAAAAAAAAAAAAAAAAAAGTCAGGGCAACATTTACTTACTTAGGTTTACTAGTTGATTATAAAGAATACAACTCAGGAACAGCCAGATGGAAGAGATGCAAAGGGCCAGGTATAGGGAAGAGGTGTGGGGTTTTTATGTTGCCTCGAGATGCACCACCCTCCCAGTACCCCTATGTGTTCACCAACCCAGAAGCTGTAGTTCAGGGATATTTACAGAGGCTTCACCACATAGGCAGGATTGATTAACTCTGTCTCCAGTCCCTATGCTCTCCTTAGAGGATGGGGAAATGGGACTGAAAATTTTGAGCTTCTAATCAAGGTTTGGTCTTTCTGGTGACTAGCCCCCATCCTGAAGCCATCTAGGAGCTCATCAAGAGTTGCCTCATTAGGGCAAAAGACACTCCTATCACCCAGGATATTCTGAGGGATTTAGGAGTTCTGTGTCAAAGACCAGGTCAGAGACCAAATATTAGCACAAAAGATGATTCTAATACCCCTGTCACTCAGAAAAGCATACGTGTTTCAAGAGCTCTGTGTAAATAACTGGGAGCAGAGACCAATATGGATATTTCATATATATATATATATATATATATATATATATATACACACACACACACACACATACACACACACACACACATATACATCTTATTTTATTTCTTATATATAATAAGAAATGCATATGCATACACATATTTAAGAAACATATACTTATTTAATACTTAAAATAATTATTATCTCTTATTATTTCATAAGCAGCCTCTAGAAGCTGAAAAAGGCAAGGAAGAGGAACATCTTTTAAACCCCCTAGAAGGAAGAAGATTTTAAGAGAGATTCCTCTTCCTTGCCTTTTTCAAAATCAATGACATTTTGATTTTAGACTTCTGGTTCCAGAACTGTGAGAATAAATTTACGTTGTTTAAAGCCATTAAGTTTTGGATAACTTGTTACAGAAACACTGGGAAATTAACCCACCAGCTCCTCATTAATATAGATAGAAAAAGCTACCTCAAAGCCAGTGAGTTCTCAGGCAATATCAAAAGGCACAGTAACTTACATTAGCCTCATGCAATGTATTTATTTATTTATTTATTTATTTTTGATTCTTATACTTTAAGTTCTAGGGTACATGTGCACAACGTGCAGGTTTGTTACATATGTATACAAGTGCCATGTTTGTGTGCTGCACCCGTTAACTTGTGATTTACATTCAGTATATCTCCTAATGCTAGCCCTCCCCCACCCCCTACCCCACGACAGGCCCCGGTGTGTCATGTTCCCCAACCTGTGTCCAAGTGTTCTCATTGTTCAATTCCCACCTATGGGTGAGAACATGCAGTGTTTGGTTTTCTGTCCTTGCGATAGTTTGCTCAGAATGATGGTTTCCAGCTTCATCCATGTCCCTATAAAGGACATGAACTCATCCTTTTTTATGGCTGCATAGTATTCCATAGTGTATATGTGCCACATTTTCTTAATCCAGTCTATCATTGATGGACATTTGGGTTGGTTCCAAGTCTTTGCTGTTGTGCACAGTGCCACAATAAACATGTGCATGTGTCTTTATAGCAGCATGATTTATAGTCATTTGGGTATATACCCAGTAATGAGATGACTGGGTCAAATGGCATTTCTAGTTCTAGATCCTTGAGGAATCACCACACTGTCTTCTACAATGGTTGAACTAGTTTACAGTCCCACCAACAGTGTAAAAGTATTCCTATTTCTCCACATCCTATCCAGCACCTGTTGTTTCCTGACTTTTTAATGATCGCCATTCTAACTGGTATGAGATGGTATCTCATAGTGGTTTTGATTTGCATTTCTCTGATGGCCAGTGATGATGAGCATTTTTTCATGTGTCTGTTGGCTCCATAAATGTCTTCTTTTGAGAAGTGTCTGTTCATATCCTTTGCCCACTTTTTGATGGGGTTGTTTGATTTTTTCTTGCAAATTTGTTTAAGTTCTTTTTAGATTCTGGATATTAGCCCTTTGTCAGATAGGTAGATTGCAAAATTTTTCTCCCATTGTGTAGGTTGCCTGTTCACTCTGATGGTAGTTTCTTTTGTTGTGCAGACGCTCCTTAGTTTAATTAGATCCCATTTGTCAATTTTGGCTTTTGTTGCCATTGCTTTTGGTGTTTTAGACATGAAGTCCTTGCCCATGCCTATGTCCTGAATGGTACTGCCTAGGTTTTCTTCTAGGGTTTTTATGGTTTTAGGTCTAACATTTAGGTCTTTAATCCATCTTGAATTAATTTTTGTATAAGGTGTAAGGAAGAGATCCAGTTTCAGCTTTCTACATATGGCTAGCCAGTTTTCCCAGCACCATTTATTAAATAGGGAATCCTTTCCCCGTTTCTTGTTTTTGTCCATCTACAGCCCCGTGCGATTTTTAACAACACCTTTAGGTAACAGGATGCCATACACTAGTTCCTCATTTTGCAAGTGTGTCCTAAGCAACACGCAGCTAGTCTGTGCCTGAATCAGGCTGTATGTGATCCTTAGCACTGTGCTCTTTTCCTGGTGTAGACCATTTCTCTGATAGCTAGGGAGCCAGGGGATAAGTCATTTCCTGTGCCAAATAGTTTTCTTCTACACAAAATGACCTTAGAGATTTTTGCTACGATTCATACATTTTTGCTCTTTTGCGTCACAGTGGACAACGTGGAATGCTCTGGCACCAGGATGTTGTTGGAATCACTGACTGATCAATTCTTAGTAGCTGCTTGGACAAGCCGCTTAACCTCTCTTGAACTGTAAAATGGTATCACAACACAGATCATTCTTAACTCACGTTATTGAGGATCAAACATGATAATATAAGTGAAAGGGCTTTATAAGTTCTATAATGCTATTCAGATGTGAGGAATTATTATTTTTATATGCTCAAGAAGGCTGGCACGGCCCCTCTCCCAGGTGACTAAAAAGCATATGTGATTTTATTTGCTCCAATAATTTTATTCTTATTAGTACTTGTTCAGTATACTACATGGGCATGCACAATGCACAAAGCATTTATTCTTCTGGCTACAGTAACTACCCACCCCCCTCCAAACTTACCCTTGTAAAAACAAATAAGACTTGTAAAACAAAACAAAAGTAGAAAGCGGGGAGATGGCATTATTTGTAACTGCGTGCCATCAAACAAACTCACCTCTCACTTGAAACATGAGCTGCCTTTGAGAGTGGACAGTTAATTCTTTTGACCAAACAACTGCCCAAACTAATGGGTCTATTGCTTTTTCTTATTTTTTTTTTCACTTTAATTTTTAATGCGGTTTCCTAACCCTCCACTTCAGGAGGTAAATACAATTCTGGCAGAGTCCTGGTCGAATTTAGTTTATTAGGGCTTTTACTACAAGTTTTTAAGCACTTGCTGATTTTCAAAAACATATTAAAATGGCCATGGCCAATCTCGTAGATTGGTACAAGTCCACATTTCCCAAACGACTTAATAGTCTGCAACTTGTGCCAGACAGAGAATGATTTCACCATTCTCTTTCCCACAACTTAAAGGCTGGACATTGTTTTTAACTCTGTGGTGGGAGGGAGCAGTTTGCTTTGCCATGTTAGTCTCCTCCCTAGAATTCCCTCCTACAAGTTTTATAGGTCCCACTGTCCTGGAGGGCACATTAAGTCCCCAAAGAACATATTTGTAGGCCATTTTTGGAACAACCAGCCCTGCTCTGACCCATTCTTCGACAGAGAAGCTCTTAGGGATGTTTTTCCACACAAAGTTTGGTATTATGGGAAGGGGGGTTATAAAGGTTATGGAGACCCTGTCCTATGGCAAAATAATTAAAACTGGGATTTATGTCTCAAACTTTTTTCCTTTTCTATTTCTCCATTTCTTTTCCAATTGCCAGTAAATTCAGCAAAAATTTATGCAGAACAAATACATGAATGGATAAATATTTGAGACCTTCTACTGTCAGGCTCTATGCTGAAAACTGGATCACAGGAGTGAACTCACAATCTAGTGGGGGAAGTCACATCAGTATATATGTACCATATAACACCCTGGGATGACATTTGGGATTGGAGTTTAGGTCAGGGTTTCAAGGTGGTACAAGGTGAACTAGTTAACTACGTGGACAGAGATTGATAAAAAGCAAAGATGGCGGATTCTCCACAAAAAAGACAAATTCACCCATGAAATGGTATTACATGAGCACTGTGCCTGAGATTCCTGTTCCATCGCTTACTTGAAAGAGTTGACATTTTATTTCCTTCTGTTAGCTCATGTGCAGCCCAGAGTGTTATTCTGTGCCTGAGGATCTGTGGAAGACAGCACAGTACTTTAACACTCTGGCGTAACAGCTGAGGGGGAGTTCTGGTTTGAGTTTTACCACAAGTGGTGAACTGACCTTGGACGTGTCGCTTCATTTCTCAGATGAGACAATAGCACAGGATGTACCGACCTCTCAGGGCAGATCTGAGGATCAAATGAGATCACGAGAATGATGATTTATATTTAAAAAGTTTGAAACTTTTCTCAAATGACACTGAAGCACAAAGGAGTGCATATGTGTATATGCCTTGAGGAATTACAGCAACAAATATAATTAAGTGGTTTTGAATATCAAAATCAAAGTTAATATCATCTGCATGTAGGAAACAGGCCTACCTTGGGATAGGGCAGGTTGAGTTCCAATGAAGCAAATCTCACAGTAAAACAAGTCGCATTAATTTTTTTGTTTCCCAGTGCATATAAAAGTTATATTCACAATATACTGTGGTCTATTAATTGTGCAACAGCATTATGTCTAAAAAATAATGTACATATCTTAATTTAAAATATTGTTTAAAATTGCATACAATCATCTCTGAGTCTTCAGCAAGTCTTAACCTTTTTGCTGGTGAAGGGTCTTGCCTCTATGTTGCTGGCTGCTGACTGATCAGGGTGGTGGTTGCTGAAGGCTGGAGTGGGTATGGTAATTTCTTAAAATAAGACAACAATGAAGTTCACCCACATTGATTGACTTTTCCTTTCACAAAATATTTCTTTCTACAAAATGCTGTAGAAAGATAGCATTTTACCCACAGCAGAACTTCTTTCAAAATAAGAGTCAATCCTCTCAAACTCTGCCACTGCTTTCTCAAGTAAGTTTTTGTAATTTTCTAAATCCTTTATTGTCACTTCAACAACGTTCACAGCATATTCACCAAAGAGTGGATCCCATGGCAAGAAACCACTTTCTTTGCTTATTCATATGAAGCAACTCAATATCCATTCAAGATGTATCATGAGATGACAGTAATTCAGTCACATCTGAAGGCTTTACTTCTAATTTTAGTTTGCTTAATATTGGTACCACATATGCAGTTTCTTCATCCGCTGAAGTGTTGAGCTTCTCAAAGTCATCCACAAAGGCTGAGATCAACTTCTTCCAAATGCTGGTGGTGTTAGTCTGTTTTTGCATTGTTACAAAGATATACCTGAGACTGGGTAATGTATAGAGAAAAGAGGTTTAATTCACTCACAGTTCTTCAGGCTGTATAGGAAGCATGGCACCAGCATCTGCTTGGCTTCTGGTGAGGTCTCAGGGAATTTTTACTCATGGCAAAAGGTGAAGCAAAAGCAGGCATATTACATGGCAAGAGAGGGAGCAAGAGTGAGAAAGGGGAGGTCCCAGACTGTTAACCAACCAGATCTCATGTGAACTAACTTTGAGAGAACTCACTCATTACCAAGGGATGCTAAGCCATTCATGGGGGATCTGCCCGCATGATCCAATCACCTCCCACTAAGCTCCACCTCCAACACTGGGGATCACATTTCTACATGAGATTTGGAGGGGACAAACATCCAAACTATATCACTGGCTAATGTTGGTATTTTGACTTTCTTCCATTTATGATAGATGTTCTTAATGGCATCTAGAATGATGAATCCTTTCCAGAATTTTGTCAATGTACTCTGCCAGGATCCATCATAGGAATCGCTATTGATGGTAACTATAACCTTATGAAATGTACTCCTTAAATAATAAGAGTTGAAAGCCAAAATAACTCCTCGATCCATGGGTTGCAGAATGGATGCTGTGTTAGCAGGCATGACAACAACATTAATCTCCTTTGCAGATCTCTATTAGAGCTCTTGGATGATGAGCTGCATTGTCAATAAGCAGTAATATTTTAAAAGAAATCTTTTCTTCTGAGCAGCATGTTTCAATAGTGGGCTTAAAATATTCAGTAAACCGTATGCTGTAAACAGATGTGCTGTCATCCATGCTTTCTCATTCCATTTATAGAGTACAGGCAAAGTAGATTTAGTCTAATTCTTATGGGCCTTAGGATTTTCAGAATGATAAATGTCCACTGGCTTTGACATTGACCACCAGCTGCATTGGCCTCTAACGAGAGAGTTGGCCTGTCCTTTGAAGCCAGGCATTGACTTCTATTCTCTAGCTAAAAATGTCATGAATGGCATCTTCTTTCAATAGAAGGCTAGTTTTCCTACATTGAAAATCTGTTGTTTGGTGTAGCCATTTCACCAATTATCTTAGTTAGATCTTCAGAATTACTTGCTGCAGCTTCTCCATCAGCACTTGCTGCCTCACTTTGCATTTATGTTATGAAGATGGCTTCTTTACTTAAACCTCATGAACCAACCTCTTCTAGTTTCAAATGATTCTTCTGCAGCTTTGTCACCTCTCCCAGATTTCAGAAAATTCAAAGAGTTAGGGTCTTGCTCTGGACTAGGTTTTGTCTTTGGGAAATGTTGTGTCTGGTTTGATTTTCTATCCAAACCACTAAAACCTTCTCCATATCAGCAATAAGGCTGTTTTGCTTTCTTATCATTTGTGTTTTCACTGGAGTAGTACTTTTAATTTCCTTCAAGAATTTTCCCTTTGAATTTACAACTTGGCTTACTGCTTGGCACAAGAGACTTAGCTTTTGGCCTCTCTTGGCTTTCGACCTGCCTTCCTCACTAAGCTGAATCACTTCTAGCTTTTGATTTAAAGTAAGAGATGAGTGGCCCTTCCTTTAACTTGAACACTAACAGACCAATGTAGGGTTATTAATTGGCCTATTCTCAGTATTGTGTCTCAGGAAATAGGGACATCCAAGGAACAGGAGACAGATGGCAGAAGGGCCCATTGGCAGAGCAGTCAGAGTACATGCATTTGTTGATTAAGTTTGCTATCACATATGGGAGCACTTTGTGATGCCCCAAAACAATGACAATGGTAACATCAAAGATCACTGATCATAAATCACCACAACAGATAAAATAATAGCAAAAAAGGTTGAAATATTGTGAGAATTAACAACATGTGACACAGAGATACGAAGTTAGCACATTCTATTGGAAAAATGATGCCCATAGGCTCACTGCAGGGTTGTCACAAACCTTCAATTTGTAAAAAATGCAATATCTGCAAAGCACAATAAAACAAGGCACAATTAAATGAGTATGCCTCTATACATAAGCATATAAAAACATATATACGTACATATATGACATATGTGTGTATATGCATTCATACATGCATACGTAATGGTTGTACATGCTAAGAAGAGAAAGAAAACAATAGGCAATAAGCAGTGATCTGATCACTGGAAGTTGCACTTGACTGGTCTACAGCTGTAATGGATGATTGGAAATTCATCCTCGAAAGCCAGCCTACCTGAGCTTAACTAGTAGTGCTCCCACTTATTGTCGTGTCATCTTAGGTTAGTCACTTCATCTTTCTAAGCCTCAGTTTCATCATCTGTAAAACAGACACATAACAGTGCCTTCCTTGTCAGGTTGTTGCAAAGAAGAAATGACACACTATTTATATAAAGTGCTTTGTAAAGGATTTGGCACACAGTACGTGCTTGATAACTAGTAGTTATTGCTATTATGAAAATGTGTACTTTTTTTAAAAAAGCTTTGGGGGAAATCCTCCAGTCCTGGAGATCAGAATACAAAAAGAATTTTAAAAATATGTAGGAATAGCTCTAAAACTTTCCAGATAAAAAGGCATTCATGCAAGAAAAATGAAACTTCTTCGCTGTGTTATGCTATAGATATATTGACATTATACAGAATTAACATTACTTTTCTAATAACAAAGAGCATCACTCATTCCCTAGACTCAAACAGCCAACTGGACTCTGGGGAAAGGCATATATTATGTTAGCAACTTGGAATAGAAACTGCCTTTGAAAGTTGCTCAATAAAGAGCCCTTAATGTGCTACACATAATGTAAGGCAACATGTTTTGTAGTTAATGAACCTAGAAGCTAAAGCCATTGGTGTGGCTTAGAGAACAGCACTCCTTCCTCGATGCTACAAGGTAAATTAGCATCAAGTCCTGTGTCATGAAACTTTCAATAAAGAACTGATTATATAAGGCATTAAGTCTTTCTCTAATTACCACTATAAATATAGATAATCAAGTCATTCTGAGTACTAAAATCAATTTTACTGTTTATGCTTTTTCCATTTTATATATTTAGCTGTTGACTTTTAACTTGAAGACATAAGCAGCTGGTGAAAAATATGCTTAGAATACTAATTATGTTGTCATGGGGAATACCAATATATGTTGCCTGTAGGAGAGTTAATAAGGATTGAAAACAGTATAATTGTTTTACCAATGAAAACACTACATACTGGGGGAACCTATGATTTCATTTTATAAATTAGATGCCAAATACTTTACTCTGGTGATTTTCAGTAGTGTCATCTCTATAATAAAGTTCGTTTTAACTGCTTAGTTGAATGTTATGTGGATGCCTGAGGCTCAGATGAAGGCTTCTAGCCTGAATCTTAGGGTTTGCACATTTGGGTAATGTGAGGAGGTAAGAATGGGCTTACAGAAGAGACCTTGAGTACCCTTACACAGCCATAAACATGGATGAGGACCACAGACACGCTGACACGCCTAGCAACAGATAGAACAAAGAATGGCAGGTCTGCTAAATTTGGCTGTATTCTACTTGTAGCTCAGAGACAGAATATGACCTTGCCTCCTAGAAAAATGTGGTCTAGTGAACTATCAGAGTAACTACACTTCTCTCTTGGAGCAGGTTGAGTAAAGGGTAGAAAGAGAGGCCAGAAGAGTGCCCACCAATACTCCATGTATGAGAAGAGGAATAGAAGGCTACATGCATCCCCCAGAAATCACTTCTTCCTCTGTGAATCTATGGTTCTCTTTGTTGACTTATTTATTCACATACGAGTATTCAGTCATACAAAAGTATTTATCGAACACCTTCCCTGGTTAGACATCAAGCTATGAGATGAGCTCAATCTACTGGTTTTCATATAATAGAATGTGCGATGAATGCTTCTTGAATCAAAGTCAGCTTAAAGAAAATTGCTTCCAGATTTTGGGAAGGAAGGAAGGAATGCTTTATTAGGCTTAGTATGTGTCCACTAAACACCAGGCTCTGTTCTGGGCGTCTTACAAATATGATTTCATTGGTTCCTTAGAGAACTCCTATGTAGGTAGACAACTCAGTTTTACAGATGAAGCAACCAAGATTTGGACTGGTAAAGTGACTTGCTTGAGGTCACACAGTTTGCAAGAAGCCAAGCAGGGATTAAAATTCATGCCTCAGATGGCCTTTCTTCCTAACATTCAGCTCCTTCAGGTCTCTGTGTTTTCCCAGCCCGAGCTAGGGGCAGAAAAGCCAAAGCTCATTCTGCTGCCCTACAAATGGCTCTTGTCTCAATTTTTGCCTGTTTTTTTATCCCCCCTCTAGCACTTTGAAAAAATGCGTTCCGTTCTTCAAGTTGTCTGGAGCAGGAGTACTGCATTTCAAACAGGGCAGGGATGTACCAAACAAGGCCAGGTCAGCACCAAAAGAGCAATGATGACTGGCAGGAGCCTGGCCTATTTCTCCTGGCTAAGAAAACACAGGAGAGTTTGTTTTCCATGCCCTTGTGTGACTAAAAGCTTAGAAAGTGTTAACAGGGAGTCTCTCTACTTTGTCTTCTCCTTTCCTAAGCCTAGAATTTCCTGAAGTATGTTTTAAGGGATATTTGACCTATGATCATGAAACATGTTCAAATATGCTTTAGAGCCTGGTTAAAATAAAGTTGGTATGGATTTGCAGAGGAGGGTGAATGACATCTCACCACCCTCAAAAAACTGATAACCAATTTTAAGGGCTGGCTACATTAATACACAAGAAAAATTAGTAACTGGAAATTTCTTTAGCAGTTATTCTGCATTTATAATCGATTCCATTGTTACTTTCCTTAAGTGACAGTGAAATCTCACCTAAATAATGAACTTAATTGGAGAATATTGCGTAGAAAATAACTTAATATTAATAATAGAATTTCTCAAAATCTGTTTTAAGGGACATTTATCCTATGATCAAGAAACATGTTCAAATAGGTTTGGCAAATGCTACACGTTGCACCCTTCAAATGCTTTATGATGTCCATCAGCATATTAAACGTCTGAGAAGTTCTGCTGCAAAAACCAGGTAAATGAAACGCATTATCTTTCCTTGACCCATGCCTTTCAACTAAACCATCATGCCCCCTGGAATGTCATTCCCGCCCACCCTGAGGTTAAAAATCCTACTCATTCTTCAAGGTTGAATTTTAAAAATATATAGATCCTCAGGCCCACACCGAGAGAGTCTGATTTGGGAAAAGCCTAGAGAATTTTTAAGTACCTTCTTAAGTATAGATTTTAAGTGACTTTAATTCTAATAAACAACTGCTGAATTCACAGCTCCTACCTTTGAGATTCTCCACATGCAGCCTCGAGTCTGAATCTAGGTTAGCACTCTATGTATTCAGGAATCCACAGGCTAAAATGTGTTTACATCAGCAAAATTAGCTTATGTTGCCAAATTATATTGGGAACTTTACGTATCTAATGATATGATTTATAGCGGGGCATATTTAAATGAATGTCCCCCAAATAACTATTTTAAATTTTTGAAGCAGTTCTTATGATTCTCTTGGTGCCCTCAAGTCATACGATACATGAAGCAGACTGATGGATCAGATCATTCTGGGGTCTCATCAGAGTTTAATCCAGGCCCAGTTCACCTAAGTCTGCACCTCTCCCTCTGAAGAATCCTACAACCTTTTAGGACTTTTCAACTTGGTGAAGACAAAGTTGGTATGGACTTCCAAGGGAGGGCGAATGACATCCTGCTACCCCCAAAAGACTGGCAATCAATTTTAAGGGCTGGTTACATTAATACACAAGAAAAATTGGTAAATTTCTTTAGCAGTTATTCTGCATTTATAACCAATTCCATTGTGACATTCCTCAAGTGACAGTGAAATCCTAACTAAATAATGAACTTAATTGGAGAATATTGCATAAAAAATAACTTAAATATTAATAATGTATTAAAATAAATCCCAGGATCTCACAAAAACAAACAAAACAAAACAAAACAAAACAAAAACAAAAACAAAAACCTATGTTGGCAGTTATAGTAAAATTAGGAGCTTAGGCAGTTAAAATACCAATATCATAGAAAATAATATTTTCACATCTTTATTTCTGCTGTTGCAGACATCACGTACTTCAGCCTATAAGAGGAATGTGGTTTCTCAAACAAATGTTATATTGATCTTTTATTTTGTGAGGCACATTCTGATTCCTGCAACTAAGTCATCTGGAACGTGGGAGTCACTGATGTGTGGGCTTGAGCATCAGCCAAAGCAGGAAAATTCATTGTAAGTGGATTATGAAAAATATTCCCTTGTAACCTATTTCAACAGGGAAGATGGAACAGGAGTCTCCAGCTTGTACTTGGCTCTTGCTTCTGAGAGGCCTATTTAAGCCCAAGGTGAGATGATTTTTCACATCACACATATGCATCATGGAAAATGGGCATTCATTCCCATGCTGGGAAACCAAAATTCCATCTGTGTTGTTGGGCAGTGGCAGAAGGGCATGCACACAGTGGCCTGAGGCTGCACCCCCTTAAACATGGACCCCGTGAAGCTTGGCAAGATCATGTAGCTCTGGCATAGGCCTGTGGTTAGATGGGAACCCCCTTGGGAAAACCAAACCAAATGGTTGAACAGAATCCGTGGTGGCTAGTCAACTGTTCACTCTGCCGGTCAGGCTGGAATCATGTCATTCACCAAGGAGAAAAGGGCAGGGGGGCCTTTCACCTGGGGGCTCTGGGGAAATCCCTACGATTCTACAGTCAAGGAGGGCAAAGTTGGCATGAGTTCCTGGAAACTCCAACCTGGCCTTCTTGGAATTACCTGGCTTGCTTGTTTTAAGTTATAGGATTGAGTAACATTCTTTAGGGGAATAGCAAGTGTTTCAATCTGGACAAAAGGCATTGTGTCCTGTGAGACTCCATACTCCCAATGATAGGATGAATTTTTTTCTCTTACAATATGTAATCAGTCCTGAGGCAGTGACATTACAGGAAAAATAGAACATAAGCTGGAGTGTTCAGCTCTTTCTGGCTCTACCTTCATCTTTGTCCTTTGCTTCATATTATCTACTCTCTCCTCAAAGAAGTGTTTTCCTACATACAAGACAGGTGACCTAGTTCAAGGCTCCATTTGCACATAAGTCTTAAAAAAGTGCTTTGAGTACCTTGGGCCAAATTCTCTTTCTCATTTAATGTCTTTTGAGGGCCAACGATATTCGAAATAAGGGATCAAGTACAGACTTTGACATAGTGACCACAAAGAATGGTGAAGACAGTCTGCTTTGCTATAAATGGAGTTCTCTTAACTCCTTGTGCGCATTGAATGGGTTCCAACCTATAACAAACACTCCGATCCCGTGCATTCCCAAGTGCATATCCATCAAATCCAAACTTTAAACTTGAGTAAATATATCTGTCTTACAAAGTCCAAGGTATTTATTACAGGGATCACCCACTTCAGGAATTTAAACAATGTTCAGACCAAGGAAAAATTCCTTACCAGGGGTTTTAAACTCCATTTCCCCTCTCTCCAGCTGGCTAGCAGAACCTGGCATGAAAGCAAGTGAACCAAGCGATTGCCATTCTTCCCTCCCTCAGTCCCTGACTCCCTAGCCTCTTTAACCCCTCCTTGCCCAGCCACATGGATTCGCATCATTTACTAGAAAAATGCATTAAGTTGGTGCCAAGCTGGCTGGAGCCCCCCAGTGGACTCACAGCAGGGTGATAAGAACAATCCTCCCCTCCCAGTACCCCCCTTCATGTCACACTCTGCAAAAATCAAATAAATAGATTTAAATTAGGAGATCATAAAAAAGGTATTTTTTTGTCTCTCTCTCTCTCCTGCCTCCCTTTCCCAGACCTCCCACCCCCAACTCCCCCACCCCCCTACTATCTTATAATAGGCTATTAATTCTAGCCATTTCAAACCGTCTGAAGTGTGGAGTGTAAACTGTGGCTGCATCAATCAGAGTTGTGTGTCAAGTTATTTCAAGCATTCCCTGTTGGCATAAAGAAAGGCTGGTTTGTCCTGCTCCAGCCCAAGTGCAGCTGAGATCTCCATTGATTGATAACTGAATGCATAGGGCTGGAAAGTTCTACAGCTGGGACTGCAGGAGTAAGCATATCTGAGTAGTCCAAGGAGGGAGTGGGGAATGGTGGAAATGGATGGTGACAAGGCATTTTATCCAGTGAAGGCAGGTGGGGATCTGGACTTCACCATCGCTTGTCAACTGGCCTCACTGGCTCTGACTTCATGAGCTGAGTTGCTCATTTCTGAAGATGTCTCACAAGGGCTTTGCAATGTGTATAGGAAATTCCCCAAACAACTCAACTCACCACCTCACAGCACCAGGTACAGTGGCATCATCTTTGTGACAACACAGGGGATTTCAAGGTGTTGATGTCCATGAGTGTTAGTGTCTTCACTCCCAACCAGTTATATCTAGGTGTTTTGTTAGTTGTTATTTTTTTGTTTGTTAGTTTTACCTCTCTCCTTGTAAAAACAAAACAAAACAAAAACAAACAAACCAACAAGAACTAACTGTCTGGCACTCAAAATTCCTACCCTGTCATATTATAAGTAACCTTTTCCAGACTGAAAAATGACAATATGAAGTAGGTCCTCAATCAATAGAGCACTTATTTTGATATCTTACTATGTATAAGTAAAATCCTGCAGACATCAAAGAATAATGGTAGATGGTAGTCTGGGTGTAAAAGTTAGAAAATATTTGCTTAATACAAACGTGGATATAGGTTTTTTTCCTGTATTACTCTTCATTTCAAAAGGTGGGTGGGGGTGATCAGCAAACAGGAATAGAAATTATGGCACAGAGAGAGATAATTAACTCCCTCCCACTTAATAAAAAAATAAAGAAAGAAGGTCCACTTAAGCTTATGTATCTTTTAGACTCATTTTGACCTGAGTAAAACCCATTCCCTGCCACTCCCTCTCAAATCCCCAGGGTTAAGCTTGGCTTTCAAACACTGACATTCAGTCTGGGGGAGGGGAAAGATGAAGGGAATCATAAAGGTGGGAGGAGGGACTCCGCTAGGGAGATCAATCTTTGTTCATCTTTATTCTCTGACGTGGGAGTCAGTGAATAGATTTGAGAGTGAGTAGGTAGGGGTCTGAGTGTCCCTGGAGACTTCTCTGGGCAAAACACAAACAGGGAGCTGTAGCTCTTGTGCTCTGTCTAATTATAGGACCCTTAGCAGGAATGAACAGCTGATCCATAGGCAGAAAACAACCATGAATCACCAAAGATGATGGTGAGAAGGGGGAGAGGCTGTCCCAAAGGCACAGAGAGACTCCATGGAGGGGGAGCACAAGTAATTGCACCAGGTCTAGCCAGAGAACCCTCAAGCAATTCACTAAAAAGATCACTGCTTGGAAGATTTGGAAGCCAACCTCAGCCTCTGCTCCCTCCTCCAATCCAGCTGTCCCAGAATGTGGCTGCTTTGCACACTTGGTAGGGATTCCAGGTGGCATCAGCTCCAGGGTCCCCTGGCTAGGCTGCCTGAGGCTTTGCAGTGAAGAGTGTCTCTGGAGGGCTGAGTGGGCTCACAAGTCTTTGAAGAGCTGCTGGCAAAGAGAGAACCCTGCAGGCATCTGGCTCTGTGGCCAGCCCAGGAAATGAATGCAGCCTCCAGAGAATGAATGCAGTCCCTCCCCTCCCAACTGCACCACCCACAATGTCAAGCTGACCCACGGATTCTTGGAAGGCAGCAATGGCACCTGATAGCACAGCAAGTACAGGGGAACCTGGCAGATGGCATGGACCTGCCTGGCCCCAGGACTCAGCTGTATCAGAGAAAGGAGGCAGGAGTCTACCCTGATGAGGAAGGAATACTCAGGGCAGATTGTGGAGAATGTCAGCCAAGTAATTAATATTTGGGATCAGTGGGTCTCAGATATCTGAATTTTGACATTTCCCAGCTGATACTTACTCATTCATTCACCAAATATTTATAGAGTATCTTCTCTGTGCCAGGCACTGTTCTAGGAGTTGGAGAGACAGTACAGTAGTAAGTTAAAAGGACAAAAATCTGGCTGGGTGTGGTGACTTACACCTGGAATCCCAGCGTTTTGGTAGGCTAAGGTGGGAGGAACGCTTGAGGCCAGAAGTTCACAACCAGCCTGGGCAACATAGGGAGAACCTGTTGCTACAAAAAAAGAAAATAAAAAATAGCTGGGCATGGTAGTGTGCATTTTTAGTCTCAGCTACTTGGAAGGCTGGGGTGGGACCATAAAAAAAAAAGAGCCAAAAATCCTTCTTCTCCTATAATTTCTATTCTTGTGGGAGAGAGAGTGAAGTATATGGCAAGGTGACGCATGCTGAGTTCTATGGGGAAATACAAAGGCGTAGGAAGCACAGGTGTCTATGCAGTATAAACCAGGGTGGTAGGAAGGTTAGGGAAAGCCTCACTGACAAGGTGATACTTAAGCACATACTTGAATATGGTGGTGAAAGAAGCCATACCCATGTCTGGGGAAATACATTCTATGCAGGGGGAACAGAAGGCAAAGGGTGAAGGCAGGAGTGTGTGGACAACCGCCAGGTGGCAAAGTGGCAGAGCCCAAGAGTGATGAGGAGTGACCAGAGAGGGGAGCCAGGAGCTAGCAGTGGACAGGCACACAGAGAGATCCACAGGCAAGCTGACATTTGAGGACATCATTCTAAAACTACAATTATTGGAGCTAGTTGATAAAATCCACTTTCACAAATTTTACTTAGGGTCAGATAGAGGCCCAGGGAATGGATGGAGAAAGCCAACTCACAAGTGTAATTGGCATTCTTGCTCTCAGCCTGCCCTCTAGGACCTTGTATCACAGTGGTGGGGACTGAAAACTAACCACACAGCATGACGTTTGCTAAGAGCTAAGTGTGCAGTGCCGACAACAGATGATACAAGTGCTCCAGGGAGGGATCAGTGTGTCCCTGTCTGCTGGCTGGTTCCAGAGGACTTCCTGAAATGGGCCTTGCCTGACCGGTAGTATCAGTTGTCAGGTAGTGCCTTTAAGACAGCGTGGGACAAGAGCCAGCTGAGAAAGTGCTCCCACTCCAGCACTCCCTGGATGCCCCACATCGGCTCTCCAGGCCAAACAGCTTGTTTCAGCAAATACATCCCATGCTCCTGTCTCCAATTACTTGGCAGCTCCCCTGGCTCTTAATCCTGGGCTCAGCCTCTAGACTCTGAGTTGGCACCTCCCATGTCCTGCTCTTGGGACCAATAAGAGCTCTCACTGCCACCTCCTAGCACTGAGCATGGCAGCTTTCATGGCCCTGCCTTTTGTATCATACTGAGCTTGTCACCTGCTTGCTGCTTCCTGGTCCTGAATCTGCTGGATACAGTTCCTCCCAGCCTGATGTCTTGGTGTTTCACTTGATATGATAATTAAAAATCAGATAAGTGAAAGAGTGAGAAGAAGATGCTGCTTGCAATCAAGGATGCAGAATAAGAAAGCTACAGGAGTTGTTGAGGGAAAGAGGAGTAGACATACCATTTTCCCTAAAGTTAAAAGGCAAATAAAAGGAATAGTGCATCACAGCCTTTCCAAAGGATGCATTCTTTCAAATTAGACAGGCATGCATTTGAAATCAAGTTCTACTTTGTCTCATCAGAGGCTAAGAGTTATTTATCACGTTGAGATTAATTTTTCTCATTCATAAAGTGAGGATAATAATACTTACCTTTCAGAAAAGCAGAGAGTATAAAATAAACTATATTAGTCATTCATGTATATAACAAGAACATGGTAAGCCTGCAATTAAACACAGAGTTGTTTTTGTTTTTTTGCTATTATTATTATTGTTCCTGATAACAGCAAATACCAAAGGATGCTGGGGATTAAGTTCTAGAAGATCTTGATCAAGGAGGTTAAATGTTAGGGTGATAAATAGAAAAGCCAGGACAGAGACCTTCCTTGATTCTTTTGCTAGCCCTGCTAGCTAGGAGTTTCTTCCTTAAGACCTCAGGGTATGTCTGGGTAGAGTTTGCATTGCAATCACTTGTTTCCCTGCTGTTTTCTATCTTCTCATCTGTGCCTGGACAGTTTTAATGGGTCTGTGTGAAGACTCAGACTCAGTGTATGTGACCCAGCTGTGGACAGCCTCTTGTTTCAGAGAATTGGCCTCTTCTCAGAGGGATACCAAAATGAAGAAAACTTTTCCTTGGCAGTTTCTACAAAGTGAAATGCCAGTCCCCAGCCTTTGGATTTTTTTCCCCTTCTGTTCACCCACGCTGTTTATGGAAAATGAATCATGCCACTCATTCACACAAATGGAGAGGTAGTTTGGGGATAAACAACACAACTTCTTGGAATGCCCTTGGCTGCTCATCACACTGCTGTTTTAACCATTGCTGTAGACCGTTGGTTTGCAGAGAGCCTCCTGGGGTATAGAAGGTGCTGCTTAGGTCAGTGGGAGAAACACAGGCTCCTGGCCCATCCACCAGGCTAATTAATCCTGGAGACAGGATTCCCGTCTGTACATTGTTCCTTCCCTGCCATGAATCAAAACCACTGGCTCCGGTCTCCCCAGCACTAGTCCCTCACTTCCTTCAAAAGGGAGAGTGAGTACAAAAGGCCAGGGGAGATGGAAATAAGACAATGCTTCCTGGTACTTCCACCTTCAAATGGAGGGTTCCTAGTGAAGCCCTGAGGCCATTTCCCATGTTATGCATTTCCCCGCCAGTGCCGGTCCCTGCTTCCTTCAGAGACTCTCATTGAGTTTCTAACTCCTGCAAATAACTTTCTTGAGGATCAGCCCCTGCCACACCTGGTCCTGAGAAAGCTTTACCATGCCTGCTCTCCATTTCCTTCCAGCTCCCCCAAGATAAGTTTAAAAGTTGTTCTTATTCCAGAGACTTACATCAACTTGAGAAAATAGGGATGTATGTGTGTATGGCGGTGGTAGTAAGGGCAGGTAACTAGATATATAAATATGGGGACTATACATATATATATGTGTGTATATGTGTGTGTGTGTGTGTGTGTGTGTGTATATATATATATATATATATATATATATATATAAAAAATTTTTTCTTGACAGAGTCTCACCCTGTAGCCCAGGGTGGAGTGCAGTGGTGTGATTTTGGCTCACTGCAACCTCGGCCTCCCAGGTTCAAGAGATTCTCCTGCCTCAGCCTCCCAAGTGGCTGAGACTATGGGCACGCGCCACCATGCATGGCTAATTTTTGTATTTTTAGTAGACATGGGGTTTCACCATGTTGGCCAGGCTGGTCTTGAACCCCTGACCTCAGATGATCCACCCACCTTGGCCTCCCAAGGTGCTGGGATTACAGGCATGAGCCACTGCACCCGACCTGTTAGGTTATTTTAATACATTTAATGAAGATTGGCATTAAACACATCCCGATACTTCCTGATGAACCACTTAGCTCCAGCAACCTGTCTGCCTCCTGCAGACTCTGTCGCTCCCTCTCTGAGTTCTTATAGCTCTTATACGTACTCCCGTATTTGCATTGGTAATTATTGGCTTAGGTGTCTATCTTACTCTCTGGGCAGGTATCCCTGAAGGGGCAGGGAGCCTTCCTTCTTCCTCCTGGAGGAGGAATACAGTAGGAGCTCAATAAATGTTGACTTACTGAGTGAATGGGTGCCTTCACTAATCATTTTCTTTGACGCCAAGGTCATTTTTTGAATATTCTTCCATATTTGTTTTTCAAGATGGAGCAAAGAAGGTGAATGAATCCCTCAGTCTTAGAACAAGGGACACTTTCAGGACCTGGGATGGGGGCTTGCAAGGTCTTTTTTCTTCAGCAGAGCTGCCACCGATCCATGTGGATTTACCAGATCGACCTGATCAGGGCCTCTGTCTGTTAACCCAATCTCTGCAGTCTAAGCTTCTGGATAGATCATCAGATTGACCAAAGTCAATGTACCCACTTGATTAGGATTACAAAGAGCAGCCTTAGGGGACTTGCTCTTGCCTGCTGCCTCCCCAGCAGGAGCACCTTTAGGGTTTGTCACTGAGGCTGCCAACAGGGCAGAACAGGAGTAGCAGGGCAGCTTGCCATGATGTGTTATTAACATCTCTACACTAAGCCCTCAGGATGGCTTGGCGCTGTCTCCTGGGATCTCTAGGAAGCCTGTTCTGCCACTCTGATCAATGCCCATCTTACTTTTCTGCCTTTCTTAAATCTCCCACTCATCCTGCTACCCTCCATCCCTTTCCTTCTCACTTGGTGGATGTACTACTTCATAAAAATATTAGAAGGCTGGGCTTCGTTGCTCATGCCTATAATCCAGCATTTTGGGAGGCTGAAGTGAAAGGATCACTTGAGGCCAAAAGTTGGAAACCAGCCTGGACAACATAGTGAGACTTTGTCTCAATAAAACATTAAAAAATTAGCTGGATGTGGCGGTGTTCCTGTAGTTCCAGCTACTTGGGAAGCTGAGGTAGGAGGATTGCTTCAGCCCAGGAGTTCAGGGTTATAGTGAGCTATGATTGTGCCACTGCACCCTAGCCTGGGCAACTGAGTGAGATGTCTCTGAAAAAAAAAATAATAATGATAATAATTTTAAACGGAATTAGAAGTTCTCTAATGGAAATTAAATTTTTCCTGCCAGGGCTACACATCTCCCTGCCTCTGCACACTTCCTCTGCGCCTCTCCTTTAGCTTCAAAGGAGAACATGCCCCTTCTCTGGTCCAGGGCCAGGCCTTCAGATGATTTCTGGATATGCCTCTTTGATGCTCTCTAAAGACCATTGTTTTCCCCGCTTTCTGTTACATCTCCAAACTCCCCCTGCCTTCTGGATCATTCCTCACAGTATTCAAGCAGGCTCGGTTCCCTCCATATTAAAATGAAAACAAAACAAGACTCCTTTGAAACCACATCTCAGCAAAGGCAGTGATCTCTAGTCAAAATTCTAGAAGCAATGGTCTAAGCCTACTGTCTCCACTTATCCATTCACTCCTCAACCTCCCTTTCCAAATAGCCTCTACCCCTCTAAAGTAACTGTTCCAATTAGGGTGATGTTGGGATTCATTAGCACCTATATGAAACCAGCATCATCATGCTAAAAAGATGCCTCATAATAATAATGAAATATAGGCTTATCAATAAGTTGTGTGAATTCTAAAAGCGTTTGTGAAAACAAACGAACTAAACCAAAACTAAACAAGAAAAAACAAAGCTAAGAGCTTACGATGTCTATCGATATTCTAGATATGACAATTATCCAAAATGGTAAGTTGGTCTTGCAATTGATTATAACCACAAAAATACATTTCCTGTGAATTTAAAATAGCCTATGAAAAACAATTGCAAATTTCTTATTTAAATTATTTAGTGAATATTTACTGAGTAATATGTGCAAACACTTGAGTTTGAAATGAAAAAGGAATAATAAATACATATACAACTTGTCCCAATTCATTAGGAAAAAAAGAGGAAAAACACCAACAGTTGCTGAAGTCCTGTCCTATCTGCCTGATGAGGTTATTACATTTCATTCTCCTAAGAGTCCTACACAGTAGTCACACTAGTCATTATTATCCTCATCAGCCTTTTTTTTTTTTTTTTTGTGACAGAGTCTCACTCTGTCTTCCAGGCTGGCAGGATCTCCTCTCACTGCAACCTCTGCTTCACGGGTTCAAGCAATTATTGTGCCTCAGCCTCCAGAGTAGCTGGGACTACAGGCATGCACCACCATGCCTGGCTAATTTTTGTATTTTTAGTAGAGATGGGGTTTTGCCATGCTGGTCAGGCCGGTCTCAAATTCCTGGCCTCAAGTGATCTGCCCGCCTTTGCCTCCCAAAGTGCTGGCATTACAGGTGTGAGCCACCACGCCTGCCTATTCATCAGACATTTCTAGTGGTCACTGACATCTGGTTCCCCTCTCTTTCTGAGTATGTGGAAGCCTGCATTTTCCAGGCCCACTGAGGTTGGGTCTATGACTAAAAGTGACATAGGTCACTTCTGTGTTGGCCATTAATTGCTTAAGTGAGAGCCTTTACACTCTCTCTCCCTCTTCCCCTGCTGTAGCACTGGAAGTTTCCACGTGATCCAGATGACATAGTTGTAAGGTGGTGAAGCCTCCATCAGCCTAGGTCCCTGAGTGACTACATGGTGCAGAGCTTCCTGCTTGCCTGCAATGGATATGTAGTACGAGTGGGAAACTTTTGTCATGCTAAACCACTGAGATTTTGGAGGTGTTACTAAACTATAGTGTAGTACATTTGAATATACACAATGAAGGTATTCAGGAGTCAGGTAACTCACCCAAAGTCATCTAAGGCAGAAAAGTGGGGCTACAAACCCAGATTTAATTGGGCTCCAAAGTTTGCACTGCTTTACCACACCATGCCAGCTTTCATAATTATGTGAAGTCCTTGGCATACAATTGGATTTAATAAGTATTTTATCCCTTATTATTGTATTATTAGTATTGATAGTAACTTAGACATTTTCAACATTTGAGCCAAGGTTTTCAATTACATATATATATATATATATATATATGTGTGTGTGTGTGTATATATGTATGTGTGTGTATATATATATATGTATATATATATACACACACATACATATATACACACACATCTATGCACACACATATGAATGTATATATATGTAACATATATGTATACATGATATATGTTTATATAGCATGTTTAACATATAATATTTATGTGTATATGTATATTTATTTAACTTCCACACTAAGCTCATGAGGTAGATCTTAGTAAATTTCTCTCTTTATCTCCATTTCTTCCTTTCTTCCTTCTGTTAAACAAGTCATTATTGATTTTCTAAGCTAGGCCAGGCACAGCACTAGGGGCTGGGTATATAGTGATGGCTGATCCAATAATTAAAGAGATTCAATGATTTATCTCATGACAACTAATGGGAAGAACTGGACTTTGAACATAGGTTGTCTGATTTTAAATTTCAGGAGTTTATAATCTAATGGAAGGCAAAGAAAGCTACACAAATATTCAATACAGCAATCAAAAAGCTCAGAGAGGGGGTATAGGGTTTGTCATCAATAAATGTTATAACTAAACAAAAAAATACTATGGGGATTCAGGAGTGAAGGGCATGGTCATGTCCAGCTTCAAGGGAGAGTGGAACTCACCTCAGCTTTGTAGGGTGGGTCAGATTTTGACTGAAAACTGTGACTGAAAGCATTTTAGGCCATTCCAGTGGCCTAAAATGTTCAAAATGCATTTAGAGGAACTGTTCAAAATGCGGTTGGCTGCAGTATGGGCTTCACGTTAGAAATAGTAGGTGGTTAAGATGGAAAGAGACTGTAGAATTGTGGAATGTTAGAGCAGGAAGCAACCTCAGAGATCATCCCATTGAGGGAGGTAAAGGGCTTTGATTTCAAAAGTTAACTGGTCTGTTGGAAGTGACGGCATGGATGATTTTGAAGCTTATTAGCGCTCAGTGGGAAAAAGCCAAAGATCAATTAATGATGAATTCCAAGGACACTATAGGAAAGTAGTGGTGACTGAATGTCATTCATCTGGCATCTCTGATCTTGTCCAATCACTTCATTCATTTCACATTCACGAAAACTGAGATCTAGGGAGGAAAAGCAACTCTTCAAAGGTAACTACAACCTAGAGAGGGAAGGTAGCTCTTCCAAGGTCACATGGTTACATTGTAGCATAACTGGAACTAGAACAAAGACCACCTGATTACTTTTTTTATGCATTTTTTCTTCACACTAGGCACCAGATTTTGGAAGATCTAGTGCATTTGAACTATTGGTAGGTGAGAGGGAAGCTCTGCAAGTTTTTCAGCAGGGAGATTGCATTGAAATGATGGTGAGAGTATGGTAGGCAGACTGAAATGTGGAAAACAGAGGCAGGGAAGGGTTAGGTAAATTCCCAAGGAGAATTAGGACTCATGGACTAGGACCTGAATTGGGGCACTAGAGGTAAAAAGGATGGATGAGTGTGATTTCAACAGACGAGGAACAATTCTTGTTGTTAGTAACAACACTGGCACTGTTGTTCATAAACAGAATCAGATCCCTGTTCTGGAAAGTGATGTTGAAAAGAACATTTTCCTCCAGAAAACCCAGACTAATCCCATGTTTCAACAATCCTTGGATCCTGTATTCCAGGCTAAAGTTGATTGTTTCTCTGAGTCCCAAACACCCATATGAAAACTAAAAAAAAAATGAGTCCAACATCTGAACGTTTGGTCTATATGACGCCAAGCATCCCACGTGGCCGATTCAGAGGCAACAAGAGGGTGTGTGGTGCTGACTATTGGTGTAGACATTTTATAAATTCCACTAGAACTCTGAGAAATTTGGGTATGTAGAACATGTTACCTAGACAACATTTATTTGAATCCTTTTGGCAGATCTACTTCACTTGACAAGGAAATGAGACATAAAGCATACCCTATCTCATTTAAATAAAATCCTGCTTAGAATAGTGAGTGGCCTAGTTAATAGTGGTCTTGTGTAATATAGAATAGCAGTCTATGTAATAGCAAGTATAATAGCATGGAACACGGACTCGATGGGTGATTATGAAATATTTTCTTAAAAAAAAAGTAATTGGTAAGCCATGAGCTAGATAGAGGATGGTATAGCAAGAAACAGGTCCTACGTGACCCTAAAGGAATCTGCATTTGGATTTACTCAACTTTAAAACATTTAACAGAATGAAAGGCACGTAGCAGTTACTCAAGCAATATCAATTTTCATTCCATGATACTGACACAGAGCTTAAAGTTCATAAGGCAACTGGAGTGAACCTATTTTACAGGATGAAAAGCAAATTAGGTGGGCTCTGAAACATTAACTAAGTTGTCCAGTGCCACCTAACTAGCAAATGATGGGGACCAGGTTTGATGCCTTTTGGCTCTAAATCCAGTGTACTTTTCACTACACCATAACAATGAGCATTTTGTGTATACTACCATTTCTTCTTCGTAGGTTATAATTTTGGCAGTCTGAACTGGATTTTATTTTCCAGTGTGGCTTGTCCAATAGTTATCACCATCAAGTATTTTCAACTGACAGAACAGATTTCTATTGAGAAACAAATTGATGCATTATCCTGAGAAACTGGCTGAACTTTATGATAAGAGGCCCCAAGAATAATCTACAGGTCACAGACAATTTTCAACTTGGAATCTTGGGGGCATTTGACTGTGTTAAAAAGACTTTGCTATTTTCAAATAAAGAGGCTTCCAGAACTTCCAGATTGTTGATATTAAGAAAGCTGTGTCTCTAAATCTTTTTTTCACTTAATTAATTCATTTCTTCATTAAATCATTGATCTAGCCAGTAAACATTAATCATGTGCCAGCTACTGTGCTACGGGCTGGAGAATAAGAGGTGAGATAGACAGTCCCCACCCTCAAGCAGCACAGAGTCTCGATAGAAACAGACAAACTCACAATGAATTAGGGTACAACATGAGAACAGATCCAGTAGAGATGGGCAGCGAACTATGGCGTGTTGAGGAAGGGCATCTGACTGAGACCAAGGAGTAGGGAGATGGGCAGAGTATTCCCAGAGGATCTGGCATCTAGGCTGAAATGTAACACATGAGTAGAAGTCATCTAGGTGTAGAGGAGGGTGGAATGCAACGGAGGTCTTTCTGGGCCAAGGGAGCAGCAGATCCAAAGGCACAGAAGGGTGGAAAAGCAAGGTGAGTGGAGTATGTGGCCAGAGTTGAGGGGAATAAAATACAAGACTGGAGATATGGATGGAAGACAGATCATGAGAGGCCTTGGGGGTCCACATTTTTACTGTTTGACTCACATGGGGGATTACTTTTTACACCAAAGTCACACCTGCTATTGCTGATGCAGATTTACCCAAATTCCATGATGATGTGTACAAACACCAAAATACACACACCACACAAAACACATCACATTACGCCTACACTGAGGAAAGAGTAATAAACCAAAACTGTTCTGCGTGTCTAGATGCTTTCTCCCTCATAGATGGGAGTTGGCACCTTCAGTCATGTAGCTTGTGTGTTTGTTCAGATTGTCTTCTAAGTCTGATGGATTAATATTCACAGGCATTGGAAGGGAAGGAAAAAGAAGTCAAACACTATTAGGTAGAGCTAAATGGATGAGTTCCCATTGATGGGCAGGCCTCTGCTGTGCTACTCTTCCCCCTACAAAGATGTCAACAGCATAAACTACCTCTAAACTTTCAGGAGTAAGCTACCTCTCAGTTCCTTGGTCAGTAGAAATCTGTTGCCAAGGGCACATCTTTCCAAGGAAACATAGGTATGGAAGTATGAAAGTCGGCATGGGTCATGGAAGAAGCCCACAGGTATGTGTGCTGAGAAAATGTGAATCACAGAATTATAAACCAGGGGAGCTGGAAGTTTTAGGAAGCAAGCTAGATAGCCCAGGAGCCAGCCAGGGCTTTCTGCACCGCTACATGACTATTACTTGCTTCATGTATTGCTCGAGGCTGGACAGTGTCAAGTTTAAACAGTGGCTAGTGTCCAAATGAAAATCTGTATGCGTAGTGGAGGTAATAATGAGTCATTTCTGCTTGGCTCTGCTCTTAGAAAAATCTCTGTGAACAATGTTATAGGCAAAACTGGCACCTCGGTTAGAAAGGGTTTTACCAACTTTCATTTCTTAAGGTTCAAGTATGGGTTTAAAAGAGAAAGAACGGGCTGGGGGAGAAAAACCTGTTTATCTCTGTTCTGGTGAGCTCAACCAGCAAGTTTGGAATGTTAAATAACTCTGTAGACTTTACTAAGTGATTACTCTTTTTTTTTTCTTTTTTTCTTTTTTTTTTTGAGATGGAGTCTCACTCTCGTCACCCAGGCTGGAGTGCAGTGGCGCGATCTCGGCTCACTGCAACCTCTGCCTCCAGGGTTCAAGCTCTTCTCCTGCCTCAGCTTCGTAAGTAGCTGGGATTACAGGCGCCTGCCAGCATGCCTGGCTAATTTGTGTACTTTAGTAGAGACAGGGTTTCACCATATTGGCTAGGCTGGTCTCAAACTCCTGACCTCAGGTGATCCACCCGCCTCAGTCTCTCAGAGTGCTGGGATTACAGGCGTGAGTCACTGCGCCTGGCTGATTACTCCATTTTTACTAAAAGTGTTATAGATAAAATAGGTGTTTGCTAATTGATATTTCCACTCATTTGTGTTTACAACATGCAGTTACAGCCTAAATTTTGTTCCCTCACCCAAATCCATATGTTGAATTTCCACACCCCAGTACTTCAGAATATAATTCTATTTGGAGATAGGGTCTTTAAAGAAGTACTTAAGTTAAAAAACAAAGTCATTAAAGTGGACCCTACTCCAATATGACTGTGTCCTTATAACAAGAGGAAATGTGGACAGATATGTATGGAAGAAGGACCACACGAAGACCCAACGACAGGATGGCCATCTATAAGCCAGAAGAAGAGCTTAAAACAGACCCTTCCCTCATAGTCCTCAGAAGAAACCAACCCTCTTGACACCTTGATCTTGGGCTTCCAGCCTCCAGAACTGAGAGACAATAAATTTCGGTTGCTGAAGCCACTCAGTCTATGGTAGTTTGTGAGGCGGCCCTAAGCAAATAAACATAGATGCATACTTATTATGTATAGATATTATTAAGTTTATAATGTGGACATTTTAAATTTGGTTACAGAATCCTGACTTCTTTTAGGTAGGGGAGAACTACCTCTCCTTAGTTTTATGTATTCTTGGTGAGACTCTAAATAAGACCCCCTGCCCTGACTACACTTGGGGGTGGGGTGGACATGTGACCCAAGCTAGGCCAATCAGACTCTTTTCTGGGATTTTGACTTTGAAGTGGAACTAGGATGAAAATAACAACAGAAACTTACTCATGGTGCTGATCAGTGAAGCTGGTAAAGTTTCTGCTCTCACATCTGTGTTGCTGCCTGCATCCTGCATTTTGGCAAGCATGGTTGTCCAGCATTCCCATAGACCCTGAGAACTGTCCCAAATCTTCTACAAATTATTTTCTTTTAAGTTAGGAAGACACATTTTCTATAGCTTGCAAGCAATTATATTTCTAATTCAATTCATGAATTTTTTTTTTTTACTGAAATCTAAGAGAAAAGTTAATTTTTTTTAATGTAAAATCTTTTCCTTGTCTAGGTCTCTTTTAATCCTCTATAGGGTTTATGCAATAATTCATCATTCAATAAATGTTTATTAAGCATATACGTGTCACACATTATGTTAGCTGATTTCATCAAACAAAAAGATGTTCTGAGTAATGTGGGGAATTACAGAAATTTGGAAATTAGTTATTTCATATATCAACAAATTGCATTATATACAGCCTGTATAAGTTTGTATCAGCAGCTCAAGCAAATTTCATTTAAACCTAGAATTTTTAAATCAGGAAGTATTTATTGAGTACCTACTGTGTACGAGTTTCATATCAAAGTAATACAGAGTGGGATACGAAATGGAAATAATGACTATCTTCCCTGAACGCAGTTACTAGGACCCCTTCAGGTACATTTCTCAATTAGTAAACAAGAACAAGTTCTATAGTAAATGCCAAACCTTAAGACAATGAGAAAAGTTATTCTGAATCCTGTTAACCCTAATGATACTACCACGATAGAATTTGCTGTATTTATACTATGCTAAGCAATTTAATGCATAATCTCATTTAATCCTTACAGCAAAACTCTGAGGTCGATACTATTACAATCTTTATTTTACAGAGGAGGAAACCGAGGTTGAATGAGACTAGGAAACTCTCCAGCAACCTTTATAGTTCTTAAAGTGGCATACAAATCTCCTCTAATTCTATTTGACCTTTGGCATCACCACCATCTCAAGTATTAGAGGCCAAAAGAGCCCTCTGGTTTTTTCAAAATAGTTATCAAAACAGAACAACTTCACACCCCAAGGTTCAACAGCATTAGAACCTGTGCACTATGTGCCACTGTCTCTTGTCTTCTCCTGGGTTTAGAACTTTGATTTATTTGATCATTCCTTCTTCACCTCTAAGGTATCATTACTGTTTTATTTCTGAGCCTGGAGGGTGTGAGCTTTGGCAGCAGTCTCTACCAAGACTGGAATTTCAGAATAAATCAATAGGCATCTTCCACGGGATTCATTACAATGGGATTTCATACTTACCATTACTTGGCTCCTAGACTAATTTAATGGAAGCAATCGGCAGCTCCCATCTCTTATAAAAGTTTCCATAAGACAAAACATGAGAGCTCTGTTCCATTTTTTTCCTGGAACTCTTTATCTCTTATGAGCATCAGTAATCAAAGTGGCATTTACTAGCTTGGCAAATGAATAAACCTTTACTTTCCCACAAGTTCAGTTGTAGGCATCAAGCTCTCCTAAAGTTTCCATAGCAAACAGACCGCTGAATGTAGTGGAAAATAAAGAAAAAGAAAGAAAAAAGAAAAAAGAAAGAAAGGAAGAGAAAGAGAAAAGAAAGTTAGCCATAAGGAAAAACTGTGTAACAAGGACCACACTGATCCTACATTACTTTCCTAGAAACTTGCAGAGTTTGTAATTTTTATCATTTACCTTTCTCTCCACTACACCAATTCCTAGGGGAGGGTTCATTTTTTATTCATTCTGAAAGTTTACCATCAATCATCCTCTTAAAGAGCTTGCCAGAAACTTGGACAGAGCCTCATAATAAAATTGCAGAGACAGAGGACTAATTGATTTCTATAAATAATGTTTAGCTGTAAAGATATGAAAGGTGGTTAGAACCACATGTATTAATCTCCCTTTTGCTCCATCTGTGTCTGCAAAAGCAGACTGTACCTTGACAAAGTACCCTGACTATTTTGCCCTGCAAACACACAGCAGGAGATTAACACCAGATGGCCCACCCCTCCCATCTCTCTGCCCTGCCCTCCTGCCCTGCCCCCACCCCTGGTCAAATCCTCTAATTACTCCTATCCCCTGCCCCGCCCTGGCCCCCTTGGTTATATCCTATAATTTTAAAATGCTATTTCCATTACTATCCCTGCTCTAACAACATGCAGGAAAGCTGACAGTGCCCCATTTCTCTCTGCCCCTCTATCTTTCTGTCCAACAAACAAAAATACAACCCGAACCTCAAATGCAAAAGCATTTAATCAGACTGCAAGACTGACGATGTTCAAGAAAAACAGTAACTACTGGTGCTAAAGAGTTATTAATACGTGTGTCTTGGAAAGGGGGAGGGTAGAGGTTAGAGTGTGTCTCCAATGGACACTGTCAGGTACTACTAGCTTTAATCACATTGCATAAAAACACTTAGCAGTTATTACTTGTCAACATCTTATAAAATGGGAACAAAATTATATCTGGGGAAATATATGCTGGTTGGACAAAGATAATGCTATAAATCTCATATTTATTTCAGAGTTGCTGAAGAAATGTTCAGAACTCACAGAAGTACTATCTGCTCAGGCTAACTGTGATATGCTGAAATAAAAGGCAAATTAGAGACAGGGCAGAGCCTGTGATAGATGTTCAATTCTAAATTATGAAATTAGGTCATTACAGACTCAAGTGCTGATTCATAAGGGCAGCACTGTAGCCTGTTCAGTCAATCAGCTGGTTCCAATCCCAAGTAAACACAAAACAAAATGTCGCACTTCACATGGAATATCATTTTCTGGATATTGATTAAATGCAGAATGATGACTTTCATTCAGGAGACAGCTGAAGTTTTCACACTAGACAGAATTCAACAAAACTGGCCCATTTCTTCCTCTTCTTCTACTTCTTCTTCCTCCTCCTCCTCTTCCTCTTCTTCTTTCTTCTTCTTCTGCTTTTTTTTTTTTTTTTTTTTTTGGCCTAGACCATTCCTAGATGGTGGTAAATATTTTCTATCAATAAGAATGCTAGGGAATCTTGTTAATGGGGCAACACAAATGACTAAATTGCTGTAAATAAAGCAATTCTATATTAGTTTACTTCTGATGGCATCAAGTATTCCTGATAATTATCCTACTTGAAATATGGTAATAATTTTAAAAGCTTTCACACATACCTTCCTTTTCTGTAGCTTTTCATGTGAGGCAGATCAAAATTCCCCAAAGCTTTTATTTTAGGGGGGAAAATACATGCGGTGTTTAGCAATTTTAGCCTCAGTAAAGTTAACCACACTTATAAAAAAATCATTTATTTTCAGCATAGGCTCCTCTATAACATCCCCTCCCTCCCCACATGCTGTGTTGTTGTCTGTCTTTACCCCCTTGAATCTGCTTGCTCAATTCATTTCAGCAGTTTCTTATTTTGATGGTACATTCCAAGAAAGCAGAGGCTGTTCTAGCTCCACTTGCTTTGTCCAAGCCCCCAGTGGCTTAATGAAGGCTGCTAGCACTGATAACAGGCAGCAGTGTTTTAGATTTGCTGACTTTTTCTTACAGTTTCATTTCATTTCATTTCTGCTAGGGCCGTAACCTCATCTAAGCACCAGGATGGAAGAAGGCAAATGGAAGGGAATCATTGTGGAGGCTAAGATTGCTTTTCTTCTTCCCTTTCTTTTTAAAAAGGTCTTGGGTTGGGAGGATGAGCCCATGTTGGAACTGGATTGTCATGCCACTTGAACTCAGTTACTGACCAACTTCTAGGAATTAGGCAAGATAACCACTGGGGTGTATGTGAGGGGAGTTGCTCAGCCTGTGAATTAGCTTGAGTGTTAGGGCACTGGGTGACTGATCCAACCCCGAGTCCATGGTGTTCAAATGGCTGAAGCATTCCCAGCAAGTGAAAAATTAGCACATCTGTTCATTGGATCAGTGGGAGGAGCCTAATGAGCCTGAAACACCATGGCAGATGCATCTGGCGGATTATTTAGCATTCCTGAAAGCTGGGGTGTTCTCCATGTAGGCTGGCTGGAAAGTTATGAGTGCCAAGAAATACATGGCACTATATTTATATTACCTGGAGTTGAAGAACTGTGTAACCCAGTTTCCACTGCTTAAGGCAATAAGCCTGAAAACGGGAGTGGAGAGGAACAGGTACCGGTAAAGCTAAAATTCGGATTCCACGTATCCAATCAAGTGAAGCCTCCACTGCTTTCTGACCTATAGATTTACACCTACAAATGTACCCTCAAGCCCTAGATTAAAACCTTGAGGTAGGTAAGTAATCACTTGTCAAGACTGAATGCATCAGTAGGTTTAAAGGAAGTGGAGTCCATGTAGGAGAGCCTATTTAAATGCCTCAATGGGAACTTGGAAATCCAAACACCTGAAGCCAAGCTGTGAGCTTCTTGAGTGCCAGGCAGGGAAATAGTCCCTGGTAAGACGCCATAGTCCACACATACTCCTAAAGTCTCGAGAGAGGAAGGAGGAGTCACCAGGAAGATCCATTTGCATCTGAACTGTGGTCTCTGGGAATAAGCAAGCATTGTTTCCCAGTGTGCTAATGATGGTCATCCGAGGGTATAAAGTGATGAGCAGCCCTGAGGTCCAGCTAATCCCTGATAGGTGTGTCCCAGAGAGACCCACTCAGCAGTGCACATTCAAGTTGTGGTGGTCAGATAAAGCTGCTGCATTGCTCATTTCCTGAGCCCTCTACATTCCTCCTCACCTGTTTTAGATAGCTGTCTCTGAGGTCTGAAATAGTTAAGAGCAAGTATTTGGGATTCCCTTCTTCTCTACCCAGGTACCATGCCCAGAGTCCCCATCCTCTCCCTTTGCTGTCCCCTGCCAGGTGACCAGTGTGTTTCTGCTGGCTCCCAGTGGCCTGAGATCTCTCACTGCAATATTCTACCAGTACAGTGCTCTCCTCAAAAGAACCTCTGAATCCCACTGTTTTGGAGACCTAGAGAGGCCAGCCTTTCCTATTTGGTAATATCTAAGCTAAATACAATAAAGCCATGCCAATTAAGGGAGAAGAATGGTGTAGATGGGGGGCTGGCAAACTTTTTCTGTAAAGTTCTGGCAAGTAAATATTTTGGCTTTTTGGGGCTACACTGTCTTTGTTGTAACTAATCAACTCTGCTGCCCTGGTGTGAAAGCAGCCACAGATAGTCTATAAATGAGTGAGCATGGCTGTGTTCAAATAAAACATTATTTATAAAAACAGAGGGCAAGCTAGGATTGCCCTGTGGGGCTGTAGTTTGCTAACTCTAAGCGTAAAAGAAAGAACATGAGGCAGGAACAAAGAACCTGGCCCCTAGACACAGCCCTGACCTTAACCAGCTGCAAGACTTGGCACAAGTCACCTTACTCCTTCCTTTTCCACCTCCCACGTTCCCAAAGGGAGCAAGGTATAAAGAGGATAATATATGAAACCCACCATGCATCTTACGTTTCCAGTTGTCTTGCTCATCTGTGGCCCATAGTGCAAAGGTCATGGGATTAGTTTGGACAATAACACTATCATTTTAAGCAGCTGCTTTGAGATAACATATGTAATCTCTCTGCTTTCATCTTCACAACTCATTGAGGTAGATAATGTGGTCCCTCTTTAAGAGGTGAGGAAACAGGCTGGGCGTGGTGGCTCACACCTGCAATCCCAGCACTTTGGGAGGCCAAGGTGGGTGGACCACTTGAGGCCAGGAGTTTGAGACAAGTCTGGCCAACATAGTGAAACCCTGTCTCTACTAAAAATACAACAACAAAAAAATTAGCCTGGAGTGTTGGTGCATGCCTGTAGTCCCAACTACTCGAGAGGTTGAGGCATGAGAATTGCTTGAACTCTGGAGGTGGAGGTTGTAGTGAGCCAAGATTGCACCACTGCACTCCAGCCTGGGTGACAGAGTGAGACTCTATCTCAAGGAAAAAAAAAAAAAAAAAGAGTGAGAGAGAGATGAGGAAATGGAGAAGAGGGAAGTTAAATAACTTGCCCAAATTACACAATAGGTCAGCCTCAAGATCAGGATTCAAATCCAGGCCTATCCAACCACATCCAAGTTTCCCAGACACCATGTGACTTCCCACGTAGGCTGCTTAGTTTCCAAGCCCTTCACTCTAACCAACCACTTTGCAGATATCATCTATAGAACACTATCCTCTGCGCATTTGCTGGAGTGATCAGATATAATTATTTCTATGTAAAAATTTATCCAATGGCTTCCCATTGGTCCCTATCATGACCTACAAGGCCCCTGTGATCTGTGTCATCTCACTCCAACCTTCTGACCTCTCCTCTCTGCTTCACTCTGTTTCTGCCCCAGGCACCTTGCTTTGCCTTAAGACATGCCAAGCTGACTCCCCAAATCAAGAGCCTCATACTTACGGGGGTCCTCAGACTCAAGCCAGTGCTATTCTCCCACTGTAAGCACAGCTTATTCCTTCACTTAATTGGTGCCTCAGCTTAACTGTCACCTCCTCAAAGAGAACCTTCCTGACCACGCTATCCAGAAAAAAGGAAAGTTATTGGCTTTCAATAATTACCTGTTGATTGTCGAATAAATGAAAGACTATATTGGAATGAAGAGACAGAGCGTGGCTGGCTTAGGACCAGCTGCTTGGCACATTCCAAGGGCAGAGATTCAGACCTCTCAGCAGTGAGAAGCCTTGTCTCATGGAAGAAAGGTAGCTTGCTTGCCTATATCAGAACAAATGACAGTACTGCTTTGTGTCATCTTCAAAAGTACCTAATACAGGAGAGGTGACACAAAACTGGGAGAGATAAGTCTCATGACTCTGAATAAATGTCAGAGTTACAAGGGACCTGAGGAGTCCTCTAAGGTCCAGCATTTTCCAGCTTCCAGTCTCTGAGCCACTTTTTGCTCTACTTCCTCCTCTGTCTGCCATGTTCCTTTTTGCAGCAGCTGTTCTTGACCAGACGGGCCTCCCTCTCCCAAACCCTCCTATCCCCCAGGGTTGAGGGGGGCATGAAGGCTTTAGATAACTACTTTTGTTGGGAAAACACTGTTCTCGTTTAAACTCTGTCACTTCATGGATGAAGAAACTGAGTGTTAGAGAACTGAAATAGTATGGTCGAAGTTCTGCCACTAATTAGTGTCAGACCTGAGCCTAGAGCCTAAGTCTTCTGACCACAAGACTAGTCCTAGCTCTACACTTCATGGAACAAATGGTAATCATACCCCACACTGTTCATTCAATTCAATTCTACAACCATGAATGGAGCCCCCCAAATGTACCTGGCCCCTAACTGGTTAGAATCAGGGGCAAAATATTGAAAACTGTATAGTTCCTGTCCCCAAAGGGTTTACTGAAAGTTTGAATACATAGTAAAAGGAATAAGTTTTTTTTTTTTTTTTTGGTGTTGGCATATTGGTTAATAGGTTAATGCAGTAGCCAGTTTAAACTCAGCAAGTACTTCAAGATACCTTCTCAGAGGTTCCATAAGCAGTTATGCTTAGGCCTCACTCTGGATGTGATTTTATAAGGAAGGAAGGAAAAAGAAAGAAAGGAAGGAAAAGAGAGAAAAGGAAAGGAAAACTGAACGGTGCTCTGGCCTCCTCCTTTCATGCCTTACTTGCACTTATCTCTGGTTTTTTCAAAGGTCTTAAGCTTCAGGTTCATTCCTGAAAAGCTTTTTGGTAAGGTCCTCACCTACTCTGAACTCCTGAGGGGAAGTGAAGTAGCTGAATAAGTTCCTCCTATTAGTATCCCCTACCAGGACCTCAGCCAGGACTTCAATAATAACCTTCTGAATTATTGTAGAAACCTGTGATTAGTATTAACCAAGTCAATAACAGGCATTTCCTCCATCAACCAAAGGCACATTTGAGGTCTTCTGGACCAATCTGGGTCAGTAACAGGGATTCCGATACCACCGACACAACCCACAGGGTTAGTATGTGTCAATCAGTTCTGTCCTGCCTAGCCCTGGCTCAGCTCTTCAGAGATGACCTCTTACAAAAAAAAAATCCACTTCCAACTTTAGAAAAAATTTTACTTCTCCATCATCATGACAATAAAGTCCATAAAAAGTGAGAGAGAGAGAAGGAGAGAATCCATGTGGGAGACAGTGAGAGCGTGTGAACAGTCAGAAATCATGAGCAAGAGTTGGCATTAACATGGAGACAAGTAATCCCTGGTTTCCTTGCTTTATATAAATAAAATGATAAGGATAAAAGAGAAAACAGACCATAAAGTAAAAACTTGTCTCTAGAAGCCTCTCTCCTTTAATCTCCCCATTCTCCCACCTCCCAAAAGACAAAGACACACATTACAGACCCAAACTACTTCAGATCAACATTTGCCTGTTTACAGAAATGAAACCAGCTTTCCCTCTGCCTGACCATGGATGCTCACCAGCTAACGCCCGAATTCACTCGCCCACTCAACTCACATTTTCCTGCCTGTTGAATGCAAAACAATGGCCTCCAAACACCAATTACCGATATTTAGAACTATTGTTTTCCTACCCTGGTTAGAGACGCCTCCATGAGAGACACAGGACTGAGCTCTTGAGTTGAAAGAGGACCTGGGGGGTGGAGGGAAACCCCTTTGCGAATGTCCACACGGTCCCGTTGCCAAGGGAACCCTGGCTTTATCCAGGGAGACTGAGCATGGCTGCCTCTCCCACGGCTTGGCTCCAGGAGTGTCCAGATTACAGTGCAGGGTCAAGAGGAGAGGCAGGGGAAGTGCCACACAGGCTTGGTGACAAAGAAATCGTTTTCAAAGAATGAAAGAAATGGTGAAAAATATCTTAGGAGGTGCCCGGTGGGGAGGGAATAAGTTGATTGATAATGCTGCGATCAGATTTGAGTTGGTCTTTGTGCCCCTGAAAGGGGTGGGATTCGAAAGTATATCTGAAAGGAGACAGGGTGGGAAGGAAAGAGAGAGTGAGACTGAGAGAGGAAAGGTTGAAAGGGGTGGGTTTTAGCCTCCTTCTGCGGATGCTGAATACTAATCAGGTAAACAATTATTTCATTAAGATGCTCAGTTGAAGCTTTGGAATGGATTATTTTGGCTACTGGATTGGTTGGAGGAGCTGTCTGGCTGTTTCCTAGAAGTCTGGTGGGAACTGGAGGGGAGATGATAATATAATCTTGATAGTCAAGCAAGTTTTTATTTGGCCTGCACTTTAAGGGCTGAGGCTGGCCTTTCTTTTCAGAGTGAAATCTCTTGGGAAGTGTGCCAAAGGAGGCACATTATGTGCATGCTTATTTTGAAAACCCATTTGTCAAAGGAGGAGTATGTTGAGCAGTGGTTTGGAGAGTTTGATTGGACCCTGATTCCTCACCTAGTGCCTGGCACAGTGTAGATGTTCAATAAAACATTTGCCACCTGAATGGTTGCTGAAGGAAAACTTGTTTCCAGCAACTTGCCTGTCCAGCAAGGATGAGTACTTTGAAGCAGTTGAGGCTCAGCAGATGTGGCTTACCTATTGACCCACAGATGAATGGGAACAAAATAGAGGACTTGAGCCCAGAGCCCCATTACCCTTGATCATGAATGTCTAATTGCTTTTTTAAAAATAGAGAATTCAAGGGAACTCTCTATCTAAATGTTGCTGCTACTATACAATAGGAAAAAAAAAGACAAGTAAATGAAAAGAAGTAATAATAGGTATCTCTGCAGGTGATCTGGGCTTAACATGGAGTGAGGATATTCGTACTGAGTTACAGTGAGGCACTCAGAAAAATTAAACACACACACACACACACACACACACACACACACACACACATATATATATATATATATTTCCCTGCAAGATGGTGAGCTTCTTATATTACTCATCTTCCAAGGCTTAGCTCTGGCATCAGTTACCCCAGGAACTTTCCATTACTATCCCCAACCTCAGCTTCCATAGTACTTTTTACAGTTTTTCCTCAGAATGCTTATCAAATGGATTTAGTTGTTGCTGCATGTGTACATAATCACAGGAATGGCCCTCTACCAGAATGGAATCTCCTTGATGGAAGGCACCATGCTTCATTCCTTTTCTTTAAAAAAAACTCTTTAATACTTAGTAAAACGCTTGTTACATAGGAAGTGCATGATACATATACTCAAGAATTGAACAGCAATGAGTCAATTTGTGAGTGTTTTGTTGAGTGTCAGCTGCATTAAGCTCAAGGGAAGATTCAAGTCAAGGTGAAGGTATAGTATCTGCCCGCTTCAAAAAGTTTAAAATCTATGTAAGATGAAGGTGACTTGGTCTTTAATGTTACTTAGGCTTACTGCAGTAAGTGTAGCTGAGAGTAACGGAAGTAATGCTTTTATTTAATGGATAAAAACCAGCTCTCTCAGTGGTGCTGTTGGTCAGATTGTGGCTATGAAACCCCAGAAACTCAGAGTTGCAAAAAGGCCCAGTTAGGCTTGCATGGTACGTGCTTATTTCTTCTTTTCAATACCCTTGGCTTTGTCAGCCCATCTACTCTAAAGAGGCCCCATTTAAGGGCGTGTTTCCTAGTAGTAGACAGGCTGGAAATAGCCCCAACCCAGCACTTTCTCCACTCTACCATGCTGCTTATTTTATAAAAAGACTAATCTAAATCCAACAAAACCTACTACCAAAAAATGCACAAATTACAACTGGCACATAGCCACAAACCCAGCATTTTAGACATTCATATCATTTGGGAATATCTGGACCCAGATTCCCTTCTTATTTTCTTCAGGGGATGATGACACAATACAAACTTTGCATGGCTGACAGCACTAACCAGGGGAAGATTCCAACCAAAGGGAGCAGGTCCTGTCCTCACTGCACCTTCATGATGAAAACAGCAGGTAGAGGGTGTTAGGTGCCAAAGTGAGTAATAGAGGACCAATGCTATAAGGTCATAAGGAGGTCACAGATGAAGACTGAGGACCAGAGAGGTGGCTGCACACTGAGTGAGCAGAGATGGGACTACACTCTTAGCCTGGAAACACTCAGCCACAACTTCCCTAGTGGGCTCCCCATGTCAGGTCCTTGTCCCTCCATCCTGCCTCTCACTCTGTCCCCAGAGTGAGCTCTCCAGGCTGATCATTCCACCTGGTCAGGTCACTCTATTCACTTCCCCGGTGTCCCAAATCCTTTCCCAAATAATCAACTAATTACTTCATCACATTCTTTCTCTTGCACTTTCCTTTGCCAATATTGACTCAAGTGACAGCAATGTCACTGATATCTCCCTGAGTCAGCTCTCAAGGTCACTCTGCTTGGGCTAGGGAGTGATAAGCGAGACATCATGGAATGAGAGTCTTGGTGGAAGGAGGCTAACCTGGGGTTATGTTACACTACAGTGGCAGGAAGGGACGATATTTTGGTGCTCGGCATTCATCATAAGGTGCTGAGCATTTTGGGAAGAGAATGTGATGAGCAGAAGAATGCCTAAAGGAAAGGGAAAGGAATTAGAATTCAGTTGTATCTACTACCCAAGTGCATTTATAACTTGTGGGCACCAACTAGCTTCTGCTTAAACCAATACCATTACCACACATTGGGATCTCAAAGTTAAATGCCTACAGAGGCCAGCTAAGTGAGACAAATGAGGGCAGTGGGCTTTGTGTCAGGTAATAAAGAGTGGTGGAGACTGTGGCAAAATAGGGACCGAATGCTACGTCTAAAGGGGGTATCGGTAACCCAGCTCCAGCTGCTTACTGACATGTGGGGTTCTGACCCAGGACTGCCACGTCTTTTCATATTTTTAAGAGAAGCTAGAAATGTGAAAATGTGTGAAATTTCCCAACTTAATCATGTTGATTCCAAGTGTTAACAAACATTGTGTAGGTCAAAGAAAATTACATATTGGTGGACCACATCTAGTTTCTGGGCTGCCACTTTGTGACCTTTGCCCTATATGGAACTTTCCAGTGTGTGCATAGGTGTCTGCAGGCAGGGATTTGTAGCTGTTGTCAATAATTCAGGCCAAAAAACTTACGTAGAAATATTCTTAGGGTAACAGAGAGTCATAAAAAATGTCAACATGCTACTCAGCAAAAGAGAGGGTGATCCAGTGAACTGATAGAAAAGAATGGAAAACAAAATAATATAATAAGATCTACACCTCCTCAGAAAGCATGGCTTTGTTTGAAGTGGTGATGGGATTGATAAAGGCTTCCTTCCAACCCTGGAAGCTGGACAGCTCCAGAGGCAGTCTTCCCGAATCCTCCTGCAGGGAGGCTGGGCTTGTGGAGGGGTAGGGAGGGATGTCGTCATGGAGAACAGGATTGCCATGCCAGGTGTGTAGACACATGTGTGGCTCAGCACAGGTTTTTCTTTTTCTCACTGGCCTCAAGCATACTTCTCCCAGCTCTTAGCCAGCATAACCTCAAGGCTTCTCATCTGGGGAGGGACTGAGAATGGTGAAATTCTCCTTTCCAAGGAAGCTCTTTCTTTACCTGTGACCACCTGTAAAGGCACTGGCACAAGTGCATGTGGCCCAGTCATTCACAGTGGCTGCCCTGCCTCTAGCCCTCTCTGTTTAAGCCTGAGGAGGAAACAATGCTGGCCTTCAAAACCCTTTTCATATCCTTTCTCACAGTGATGATACTGTGACTGTACCTCCTGAGAACTTGCCGTTGGTGCCATTTCAGCTCTTCCTTTTCCTTTAGTTATGATTCAAGTCTCACCAGTTATTTTTCTACAGAGCTTACTCATCCCAAGACATCATTTTCTATTTCTACAGCCACCATCCTTTATCCAGGTGCCCAAGATTTCAAATTCCTATTACTATTCATGGCCTGTGAAAAAGGGGTTTCTTGCCTCCAGTCTCTCCCCACTTGCCCCAAACACCACTTTCATCATGTCATCTCCTTCCCTATTATTTATTATCTCAAATTAAAATACACAAACATGACCGGAAAAGACTACCCCCTCTCACCCACCCCGCCACTGCCTCCATGTACAGCCTATCCAGTTACCTTCAGGCAACAGAAAGAGAATATATTTTGGAATCACACAGACCCAAGTTTATGTCTTGACTCTGCCATTTGCTCCCCGTGTGACCTGAATGAATTATATAACCTCTCTTGCCTGCAGTTACCTCATCTGAATATTGGGATAAATAATACGTACCTTTCATGGTTGTTGGGAGAATGACGTAAGCAAATGTGTGGCTACCTCATTGTAAGTACTCAAAAAAATAGTAGCAGTCATTAACATTACTCTCCACAAATGTAGCCTTAGAGAGACAAAATAAGAGGGTGTTTGCATCTGTCAGCACATGATAGAAATGTCAAAAGAATCTGAAGGAAAGTAAATAATTAATGGAAATGTGCAGTTATTTGTTCTGCTATTGGGCAAAAGAAAACTTTTAAGAATTTATCAAAAGAGAAGATAAAAGTCTACTGCTACCAAGTTTTGCCATTTTTTTTTTTCCTCCTAAACATTTTAGCTGTGTCATACCTATGTTCTCCTCCAACACAGATAGGTGGTTCTGATCAAAGTCCCTGCAGGTCCCCTTGTAAACGACTAGAACATGCTCAACCTTGTGCAATCTGACCTGCAGTCACCTTCCACCTTCATAGCACAATTAAGCATGGCAGAGCGGAAACATGTGAATTGTCTGAGGTCAAACAAACCCAAATGTGAATCCTGTCTCTATGTCCTAGCTGTGGGACTGCAAGCAGGGTATTCAATCTCTCCAAGCCTTAGCCTCTTTCCTGTAAAATTAGGAGAATCATCCCATTCGTGTAAAGAATGCTAGATTAGTGTCACTTCTAAAGGGATTCACCTATTTTAACTATGCAATAAATGTTACCTTCCATTTTGTTTCCATTTAAGTGGATGCCAATGTTTACATCTGCTAAGAAATTTCCTTGATCAAGTCCTCTAATGCTAACTGCTACTTTACTCTGCACCCTCTCATCAAATGAAATTTTAAAATCTTAGAGCTACAAGAAAAAAGAGTTTTTGAGTTAGACAGACTTGGTTTTGAATTCTGGTTTCAACAATAACTAGCTGTGTTATCTGGATAAGTCTCAGTTTCTTTATCTGTAAGACAGGAGTAACACCAGTTCTTCCTTTAGAGAGCACTTATGAAGATTCAATGAAATAATGCTTAGAACAGGATCTGGCAGAGAAGAAGGATCCAGCAGAGGGTAGCCACCCTTATTAAAGTGGCAAGTAGAAGTTGTAGCTAACAGGTTGAGATTTTTATCTTAACTTGACACAAGTAGTCCATTCCCATAACCTCTCTGTTTCCATATCTGGAAACTGAAAGTCATACACCTGCTTTATATCCCAGGAATCTTCTGAAGATGAAATAACATCATGGATATGAAGATTTCTTGAAAAATGAAAAGTACAGTGATAAATTTTGGCTGTGTCCCCACCAAAATCTCATCTTGAATTGTAGTTCCAATAATCCCCACACGTCAAGGGTGGGACCAGGTGGAGATAAGTGAATCATGGGGGCGGTTCTCATGATAGGGAATTAGTTCTCATGAGATCTGATGGTTTTATCAGGGGCTTCCCCTTTTGATCAGTACTCACTCCATCCTGCTGCCCTGTGAAGAAGGTGCCTGCTTCTCCTTTGTCTTCCACCATGATTGTAAGTTTCCTGAGGCCTCCCTAGTAATGTGAAACTGTGAGCCAATTAAACCTCTTTCCTTTATAAATTACCCAGTCTCAGGCAGTTCTTTATAGCAGCATGAGAATGGACTACTACAATAAATTGGTACCAGTAGAGTGAGGTGCTGCTATAAGGATACCCAAAAATGTGGAAGGGACTTTGGAACTGGGTAACAGGCAGAGGCTGGAACAGTTTGGAAGGCTCAGAAGAAGACAGGAAGATGTGGGAAGGTTTGGAACTTCCTAGAAACTTGTTGAACGGCTTGACCAAAATGCTGATAGTGGTATGGACAATGACATGTCCAGGCTGAAGTGGTCTCAGATGGAGATGAGGAACTTGTTGGGAAATGAGGCAAAGGCAACTCTTGTTATACTTTAGCAAAGAGACTGGTGCCATTTTGCCCTTGCCCTAGAGATCTGTGGAACTTTGAACTTGAGAGAGATGTTTTAGGGTATCTGGCAGAAGAAATTTCTAAGTGGCAAAGCACTCAAGAGGAAGCAGACATAAAAGTTTGGAAAATTTGCAGCCTGATGATGCCACAAAAAAGAAAACCCCATTTTCTGGGGGAGAAATTCAAGCTGGTTGTAGAAATTTGCATAACTAACAAGGAGCTGAAAGTTAATCACCAAGACAACGAGGAAAATGTCTCCAGGGCATGTCAGAGACCTTCAGTCCCTCCTATCACAGCCTTGGAGGCCAGGGGGTAAAAATGGTTTCCTGGCCCAGGGCCCAGGGCCTCCCTGCTTTATACAGCCTCAGCACACAGTGCCCTGCATCCCAGCTGCTTCAGCTCCAGCCACAGCTAAAAGGGGCCAATGCACAGCTCAGGCCATTGCTTCAGGGGGTGCAAACCCTAAGTCTCAGTGGCTAACACATGGTGTTGGGTTTGTGGGTGCATAAAAGTCAAAAACTGAGGTTTGGGAACCTTAAAAATTGAGGTTTGGGATGGGTGGAAATGCCTGGATGTCCAGGCAGAAGTTTGCTGCAGGGGCAGAGCCTTCATGGAGAACCTCCACCAGGGCAGTATGGAAGAAAAATGTAGGGTTGGAGCCCCCACATACAGTCCCCACTGGGGCATGACCTAGTGGAGCTGTGAGAAGAGGCTCACTGTTCTCCAGACCCCAGAATGGTAGATCCACTAACAGGCTGCACCATGCACCTGGAAAAACTGCAGACACTCAATGCCAGCCATGAAAGCAGCTGAGAGGGGGCCTGTACCCTGCAAAGCCACAGGGTAGAGCTGTCCAAGGTCATGAGAGCTCACTTCTTGCATCAGCATAATCTGGATGTGACACATGGAGTCAAAGGGGATCATTCTGGAACTTTAAGGTTTAATGACTGCCCCACTGGATTTTGGACTTGCATGGGGCCTGTAGCCCCTTAGTTTTGGCCAATTTCTCACATTTAGAATGGGTGTATTTACACAATGCCTATACCCCCATTGTATCTAGGAAGTAACTAACTTGCTTTTGATTTTACAGGCTCATAGGTGGAAGGAACTTGTCTTGTCTCAGATGAGACTTTGGACTGTGAACTTTTGAGTTAATGCTGGAATGAGTTAAGACCTCAGGCAATTGTTTGGAAGGCATAATTAGTTTTGAAAACTTGCCTTGTCTCAGCTGAGACTTTGGCCTGTGGACTTTTGAGTTAATGCTGATGTGAGTTAAGACTTTGGAGGACTGTTGGGAACGCATGATTGGTTTTGAAATGTGAGGACAGGAGATTTGGGAGGGTCCAGGGGCAGAATAATATGGTTTGGCTATGTGTCCACCCAAATTTCACCTTGAATTGTAATTCCAGTAATCCCCACGTGTCAAGGGTGGGACGAGGTGGAGGTAATTGAATCATGGGGGTGGTTTTCCTGATGCTATTATTGTGACAGTGAGTTAGTTCTCATGAGATCTGATGGTTTTATCAGGGGCTTCTCCCTTCACTTGACACTCAATCCTGCTGCTCTGTGAAGAAGGTGCCTGCTTTTCCTTTGCCTTCTGCCATGATTGTAAGGTTCCTGAGGCCTCCCCAGCAATGTAGAACTGTGAGTCAATTAACCCTCTTTCCTTTATAAACTACCCAATCTTGGGCAGTTCTTTATGGCAGCATGAGAATGGACTAATACTACAGGTTTTACACATCTGCTAGCAAAAAACATTCTATTTTTCTGACTCCCTTTATGTCTGTCTGTTGGTCTGACAGCTCACTGAAGTCAGGGAAAGATCCTTTAATTTCTTTTGTACCCATTCCATGGTTTCTAATTCCCATTGCCTGCTCAGTGCACACTCACTGCTTGTTTCTCACCCATGCCTGCCTTATAGAACAAGATAAAATTAAAAACACCTACCCCTTTTGTGTGGGCAGTGTTTCTGCCAAGGCAACGATTCAGCTCCTTCCTGGTATGAGGGCCTGAGCTGCCCCAAGGAGAGGGGAAAGATTAAGCATCTGTAATAAATGTTCCCTAGGCAGGGAGGGAAAAATCACCTAACACTCTTGTGGTTTTTAGAAAAAAAAAAGGGTAAGAGAAGAGAAGGAGGAAAAAGAAAATCCTGAGCTTTAAACAAGTGGCCAGGCTGTTTGTCACCTGTAAAATGAGGCGATGGAAAGCAGGAAAGGGCAGTGGTCCCTGGGTCTGCTTCAGGGATTTGTGCCTCAGACATCTGCTCCAATGCTCCTCGGCTGTCCATCTGCAATTTCTTTTTCTTTAACAAAAACAAAGAACCCTCACTGGACTGAAGTTTCCCACCTGGGCTGAATTTTCAGACCTGGCCTAGGTGGTCCCTAAGTAAATAATTTTATCCTCACTCACTCACCTCCTCCTGAGGAAAAAAACCCATCTTTTTGCTCAGTGAGAGAAGAAAGCACCCAAACCAAACAACAGATTCTCTGCAGCATTGGAACTCTCATTCTAGGGACTCCCGCGAGGGCATGCGGTTTAAATCAGAGTACCCAAGCTACTTGTCTATCTCCTGGGTAAACCTGATTAACATGGACTCAGAGAGAAAGGTTGGATGCATGCCAAAGTACTTTAGTGCCTGTGTAGACTGGTGCATGGACTTTTCCCATCACCCAATAGTTCTAGAAGTCCACCTGCAGGCAAAAAGTAAAGAAACAGCCTGACCTAAAGTGCAACCTGTGGTGTACTCTTGATTTTTCACATGGAGCCCTTCATGATTTCACCATAGCTGATAGATTCAATAGAAGTCCTCCTGCTGTAGAGAGAATTTCTGTGGTCCTTTTGCCTCTGCATTCATTTGGTTTGGGCTGTTTTTTTTTTTTTTTTTTTTTTTTTTTTTCAGATGCGCCTCTGTTTGTGTCAGGCACTTGTGCTAGGCTGGAGGGATCCAAAGATGAACAAATGACAACCTCTGCCCTCTGGGAGCACACAGCTCTTGTGATAAGGATAAAAATCCAGACTGATGATTATAAAGTGATCAGTTTGCTAGGGTTACTATAGCAGATTATCACACACTTGGTGGCTTGAAAAAGCCTCCACTTAACCTCTCACAGTTCTGGGGGACAGAAGTCTGAAATCCAGGCGTCAGCAAGGTTGGTTCTTTCTGGAGACTTTGCAGAAGAATCCATTCCATGCCTCTCTCCTGGCTTCTGGTGGCTGCTGGCAGTCCTTGGGATTCGTTGGCTTGTAGCTGCGTAATTCCAATCTCTGTGTTCGGCTTCACTTGGCCTTCTCCTTGTGTCTCTGTGTCACATATCCCTCTCCTTTATCTTATAAGGACGCATCACTGGATTTATAGCCCATGCTAAACCCAGGATGACCTCATCCAAAGACCCTTGACTTAATTATATCTGCAAATATCTTATTTCCAAATCAGGTCACATTCATAAAGTAATGGGGCTTAGGGTTTGGATATATCTTTTGAGAGAACACAATTCAATCTACTGCAAAGATCAAATATGATAGGTACTATAAAAATAGAGGCAAGCACAGAACATGATTGTAGCAGAGAAGAGAATGGTCCATTGCAGCTGAGTGAGAGTCAGGAAAGGGCTCTAGAGGAGGTGGCTCATAAGGGGAGTTTTGGGGGGACAAGCTGGCGTGTGTCCCAAGGAGGGGCTGCTTGTGTGAAAGTGAAGAGGTTTGCAAGTGTCATAAAGGGGATGACTCCAACTTTGGCACTTGAGTGTTGGCAGGATCCTGGAATCCCTTCTGTGCTCAACCATCCTCTCCACCACTGCCTTTGATACCTGACAAGAAAGACCTCTCTGAGCTGGCTGGAATTTCAAACAGTGCAGCCTCTAGCCTACCATGCGTGAAGCCCCCAAACTTGGCCTCTCATCTAAACATAAAAAAGCCCCAAACTACCCCCCAACCCCACCCCTAATTGTTCTCCTTCTCATCATTGGAATTCTTCGCAATGTCTTCTCTTCCTGAGAATCTCAGCTTCCTGTGAATACTAACTAAACATTCATTCATATTCATTGGTGAGGGTCATCTGTCTCAGCCTCCAAATGCATTCCTGGGTGAGTGATCAGATCGCGCCTCTGGGAAAACTGACCAAATAGAAAAAATGGTGGGAGTGGGGAATCATAGAGTATTTGTGTGAATGGCTTGTGTGGAGTGTGAGTAGGGTGGAGGAGAAGTTAGTTCGCATTGGAGAGGTAAACAGAAGGCAAATTACAGAGAGTCTACAATAACAAAACTCCTACAGCAAAACACAAACTGGAAAAGGTGTATCAAAGCCAAATAGCTCAAATTCACCTGTAAAACACAGGTGCTGCTGCTTTGGGACCACCCTGGTTCTCAAGAAATGAAGGCTTCAGCATGAGGAAATACAGGATAGGATGGATGAAGAAACAAAAGTCTGAAGCGTGGAGAGCCTTCTAGAGGTGGAGCTTCCTGTCTTTAGAGCCAGAATTTTCCAGGGTCTGAATTTCATTCTGTAAGCCTGTTTGAGGTGAGTTAGCCCTTTAGGCATGTGGTGCAGATGATTAAAGTTCTTGGCCAGTGTCCATTGAGCCCATCACTAGCTTACAAATGTTATGTGTTGCAAAAGAACCTTTTGTTGGGCCAGAGGAATGATTTACTCTTCATGGAGTGAACTTGGCCAATAGCTACTCTTGACATAAGTGTGGAGGGACAAAACAATAAGGAGATTTGCAACTTGTCGTTTCCACCCAGTTGACAAAATTATCAGAGCAGCATTTGTGTGACTTCTTTTTTGACTCCCATGAAACTCCCTAGACCATAAAGTAAGCCCTAGCTGGCCAGGTGCGGTGGCTCATGCCTGTAATCCCAGCACTTTGGGAGGCCAAGACAGGCAGATCATGAGGTCAAGAGATCGAAACCATCCTGTCCAACATGATGAAACCCTGTCTCTACTAAAAATACAAAAGTTAGCTGAGCATGGTGGTAAGGGCCTGTAGTCCCAGCTACTGGGGAGGCTGAGGCAGGAGAATCACTGGAACCTGGGAGGCAGAGTTTGCAGTGGGCCAAGATTGCACCATTGCACTCCAGCCTGGGCGACAGAGCCAGACTCCATCTCAAAAAAAAAAAAAAAAAAAAAAAAAGTACACCATCGTTATGAAAAAGAGGGGGCTATCTTACACACTCACTGATGTGTGGTTAGAAGTGCTTTTTGATTAAGGATGTCTGAGCTTGCTTTAGTGTAAAACAGTTCATGAATTTGTGGAAATTATCCACCCCCACACTGATTGTTCTGCTTCAGCTGAGGTCACAGCATCAGGGTGAGGATTTGTGTGGAAATTCAAACTGCACTGGAACGCTGTGCTCAAATAATTCCTGCTCCCCCACCCCCCACACACACCCTGATGAGTTTTTGCGAATGATCCTTTATCCTAAATATCCCACCACTCCAGGAACACTATATGGGTGATTCAGAAGGCCACATCCCATGCATTCTTGTTGCCCTTCCAAACTCATTATTTATGTGTGGCTTTGGATGGTCTTCAGAAGATTTGCTGAAGCATTCACACCACTCCAATCCAAAACTTCACTCTATTGCTAGACCATTCTTTATGTGACAGCTATGGCATCCCAGATCATTTTAGAGTCAAATGTCAGGCACATGCCCTTTCAAAGATAGAAAATGGAGGGGAAATCGCCAGCTGCCCCAATCTTCAACTACTTCTCCTTAAAGGCCCTATGGTATTCCATATTAGAGGCTTGGAAAATCACCACACGTCTGTCAGCAAACTGCGGAATTGTACTGGCAAGATTGGCTTGTGGTGGCGCTGTCTACAGATTTGTGTTTCTTGTCTGCCTGCCAACACCCACTGTCCCTGATAAATGTAGCGCTCAGAGATGGCTAACAAGAGAGGTGGATTGTAGCACACACACCAAGCCCCTGGAGAAGATCAGTGAGGGGAGGTTTAGAAATAAAGCAGAGATGGTGAGATTGAGAATTAGAGAATCTGGGTGCACATCCAGAAAGCCAGGAGCAAATCAATGCTTAAATCATTACGTGCATAGCTCCAGTAGGTAAGGCTGATAGTAGGGACTGTGGAGATATAAAGAAACACATGATGTGACCTTTACTTTCAATGAGCTTTCAGACCATGTGTGGCTAACAGATGTCCTACTTGGGAGTGTAAGCGACAACATAATTTAATAAATGGAGGAGATAAAGGTTATATCTATGATATATTAGTAGTGAACATAGGGTAAGAGATATATTCCAATTTGGCATACTTAGGGAACATACACATTTGTATTTATTTAATGTGTTATATAGCCATTACCAGTTCTGAGTGCTCTAACCAGATGCTAACTCATTTAATTCTCCTCACAATCCTATGATGCAGGCATTATTAGAATATTCACTTCTTTTTAGATGAACAAACAGAAACAGAGAGCTTAAGTAGGTTGCCCAAGGTCATCCAGCTACTAGGTGGCAGAGTCGGGATTCAAAACATCATGGAAGGGAAAAGAAGTTTGGTTGGACTTTGAAGGCAGGTTAGAATTTGAAAGACAAGAAAATAAGAAAGTCTTTCAGCTGCAGGATGGCAGGCCACTAGTGAGAAAGGGAAAGACATAATGAAAGAGTCATACTCCTCCCTTTCGGATGGTTGATCTTATGGTGCCATGCAGGGGATATTGGAAAGGGGAGCTGAAAAACAAGCTGAAAGACTATGCAGTCATTTAACCCACACTTGGCTTAGGAAATGGGTATTAATGGACAAATTCAAAAGAATCTATAAGTGAGGAATTGACACAAATTGGTGACTAACTAGATATGAAAAAAAAGGTTATGGAAAGTCAGTGCCTTCTCTCAAGTTTTGACCTAGGAAACAGCAGTGCCATTGATGGAATTAAGGAAGCCAAGATGAAGCAGGAGTTCTAGAAAGATCAGTAATGTTTTAGATGTTTTGAGTTCGAGATGATTGCAGACTTCTAAATATACACGTCCATCAAGCAATCGCTTAAGTGGGACTTGAACTTAGGAAAGTGGTCAAATTTGAGTTTATAGATTTAGGAACAATTAGTGCAGAAGTAATACAGCTGCTCCAAGGGATAGAAGAGCAGAGGTTAAGGACTGAACTTTGTTTCAATCCAGTTGCCAGAGGAAATGGATTAACTAATAATCAAACAGAGAAAAGGATATGAAGAAACGTATAAAACCGAGATAGTGTAACACTGTGGAAACCAAGGGACGATGATACAAAAAAGTTGGTAATGTGGTCAGTAATGTGTAATGCTGCAATGAGGCTACGGAGAATAGGAAGAAATGTCCTATACAGCATTTAAGGGCCAGAAAAAAGACAGTGACTTCTGAGCAGCCTCTATAAGTGGGGTGGTCCTTTTCTCACTTCTTCAGGCTGAGTTTGACTGTTCCGTTAACATTTCCTGATATAGAATGGTTTTAAAGTTTTCAACCTTCTATCACTTTCCTCTGTCTGTCGGCAACAGAGCATAATGGGGGGAAAATCACATGGGCTCAAATCCAAATTTGTTTTTACCTCTGCCGGTAAAAACAAATTTGGCAACCAACTGAGCAGGTCACAAGCTGAGGGCAGAACCCCTGATTCTAATGGCACAACATTTCCTCAAGCCTGTCAGTCTTTGAATGCAATATTCAACCAGGTGTGAATCCACTTGAGATACTTTGTTGAATGCCTGGTTGAAATTAATAAGTGCTATGTTTGGGAGTAGTCCCTTAATTTATCAGTATAGTAAATTTTAGCTCAAAGGCAAATGAAGTTAACCTGCCATGATTTGTTCTTAGTGAACAATGGTGGGTTCTTGGTGATCACTTTATTGTTTGTTTGGTTTTTTAGCCTACAATTTAATCATCTTTTCTAGAATTTTGTCAAGGATTTTAATAATGGCATTAAAAATAAAATAAAAACATACAAATGTTAACGAAAATTTAGGTTTAAGGAATTAGATTTTAGTAAATTTGGATAGCTTCTGATCACTAGCCTTTTGAGAACTCTCCCATTCATTGTATCATCTGATAGATTAATAATAAGGTTGTTAAGAGGACATGTGTATATTTATTTTAGAGCTTAAAACTTTCCAAGGCCTAAACGGTTGAACTCATGAGTGCTTAATTGTTCTCCCTCAATCTTGACTTGAATTCTTTTTTATATTGTTTGTTTCATTGAGTATAAAGATAATTATTGCTAGAAAATTGAAAAACCAAATAGAAGTTGAGTGTTGTGGCTGGGTGCAGTGGCTCACACTTATAATCCTAGCACTTTGGGAGGCCAAGGTGGGCAGATCACTTGAGGTCAGGAGTTCGAGACCAGCCTGGCCAACATGATGAAACCCCGTCTCTAACAAAAATGTAAAAAATTAGCTGGATGTGGTGGTGCACACCTGTAATCCCAGCTATTGGGGAGGGTGAGACAGGAGAATCGCTTGAATGCAGGAGGCAGAGGTTACAGTGAGCCGAGATCATGCCACTGCAATCCAGCCTGGGTGACAGAGCAAGACTCTGTCTCAAAAAAAAAAAAAAAGAAAAGAAAAAAAAATGTTGAGTTTTCTTCCTACTATCTGTTATTTGGGAAAGCAGTTCAGTTTGATAGCTGTTCAAGCACCCACTCTGCTGTATGAGTACTATGAAAGGCTTCAGTGACATGAAGATCTTACCCAAGATTTACTTCATTCTGTTTTTAGTGTCTCCAGTGGTCAGCAAATAACTGGCACTAATACTGCACCTTCAGATTCAAATCCATTTTCTGGATGGACTTTTTTTGAGATCTAAATGCACAAAGCCCCGCTATATATCCAATAGGGTTCATGAGTTGCCCATTTCCTTTTATCTTCAGTGGGATTATTTTCAACTGAGTAATCATAGTGTTAACTCTCAGTATTCCTCAAATTTAGAAGTCCTCATTCACTTTAGATGTCTTCTAGATGTGGGCTTGCTTCTAGCTATTCTCTGAATTTCTTGAAGCCTTGGGTAACATGTCCAGCAATCCGTACTGTATCTTTTACCTCTTGGAGAGGGTTCTCTCAAAGTTCCTGTTAATTCAAGACTGTTTTGAAGGCCAGTTCTAAGTCAAAGGGCAACTCATCTATTTTTTCCCTCTCTTTGCTAAATGATAAAATTGTCAATGAGGCTAATGTTTGTGAGATATTCTAGTTTCAATGGAATCAGACTTCTGGTAAATGTATGTAGAGTTAAAGTCTCCCATCCTATTATCTCTGTATTTTTAAAATATAGTCTGTATTAGGAAATAATTTTAAATAATTTATATAAGAAAAATATCATCCTTAAACACTATCTGGCTAGGTATCCTATGATATAATTCCACCAAAACAGAACTTTTGATTCTCTTTCCCTTTATTGCAATTGATATGATTTTTACTTTATTTCCCCTCTCCGATCGGTAGGTTTTTATACTAGTATATGACTCATTATTTACAGGTCTAAATTCTTCTGCTGTTCCTACCCTTGATAGGCAATATCCCACCTGGTTTCTTCAGATGGGATTAAGAAAAGATTTACAAGTAAGCAGGACTAGCCACAAGCCACTGTCAAGCAAGAAAGGCTTGAAATGGGTAGATTGGAAGTTTCTACGAGGGCTTATCAGGGCTGGCAGTAAATAAGGGAAACTTGGGCAAGGGATTTGCCTCATGAGAAACTTCTTTAGCATTGCTGAGATTGACCCTGCTCAAGCATCCAACTCCTGATGTTTTCTAAGATTTGTGTCTTATAGAGCCAGGCCCCTAAGGGAATACATTATTTTCATTCATCCACAAACCTCCAAAGCCAGTATTCAAAGAAGGGTCACATTTTCTGCTGGGAAACTCATTCCCTTTCAATCCCCTATGATTTTCACTTTTTCCCCCATTATACTTCCAAATACATCTGACCTGCTGGATTTTAAATATTCATTTTTCACATCTCTCTTCCCTAACAGATTGTAACCTCCTGGAGGGCAAAGGCTGTGTCTGCCTCATCTGTGCATTTCCACCACCCAATCTGTAGTAGATGTTTCTTGAATAAATGGTCTTATTTCCTTTGTGGGCAGTATGATGGATCCCAGGTAAGGGTGTCTGTTTGTATGTATGAAGAGTAACCCTAATCTTTCAGAGCAACAGAATCCCCATCTTTTGTGACTTAGCCAGGGCAAGAATTCTGGTCAGAAGTATTTGCCATTTAAATGTGTTTCTCTGGATATGATTAATATTCTTCTTTTGGCTTTTTTATAATGGTTCATTTATCATATGTTCTAGTCATAGGCTTCACCATGCAAATAGAGAAATATCTAGAAGGTTGCATATATCTTTGAATCTTGGCATGTCAAGTTCAACTGTTTGTCCCCTCTATTCTGTAGGTTTGGTATATAAATGACATTTACTATTGCCTAAGAACTACTAGGAACTTCTGCCCACACTGTGCTGCATCTTGCTATGTCAGATATAGCATCTTTCATATAATTCTGTTTTGCAATATATTTGGTCTTTTTTTCCTCTCTCTGACAAAAACCCTGTTTCCACTCTGTTGATCAGGGCAGAATTGTCTGCCAAATACATTCTTCCCAGTCTTTGTGACGTGTAGCCAGATTCTACAGATACTAGCCAGGACATTTGTTCTGGTGTCAGGCCACAGTCCAGGAAATTAACATCTTCTCTTCAACACTGTCTCTAGCTGTTCATTCCCTTAGTCTCCTTTCTTTTCCAAAGACATGACCTTCAGCTGGAATAGCTGAAAACATCACCTGTGTCCTGAGTGCCCCTCTACAATTTTCCATACAGAACACTGGGATCTCTGGGCCCCCAATCCACCATTCATTTCCATGGGGGGCAGTGAATGGTGAGATTCAGGGGTCTTATCTGTTATATTGCCACATACCCTGTCTACTGTGGTCTTTTGACTGACTGTCCATGCATAGGTGCCTCTGGATGGCACAGGTCAAACTCTTCCTGACAGATCATTTCCTCCAGGAATAATAATGGGGTTCTTTTATGTGATGGCCCCTAAAAATCTCTTTTATTGTTCTTAGAGCATGAAATGATACCTTTTTATCAAAATATCTCATAGCATGCTCCACTACAATCTCTGTGGAATTTCCTCCTTTCTTCTCATTCACATAATTTTTGACATCTATTTCTATTCATAATTTTGGCATCTTTTTCTACTTGGTTGCTTACTTCCTGGATTAGTTTTTTACTTTCTATTATGTTCATTCTTGAATAAACTAGAATATAACAAGGTGATCCTCAAACTTTTTCTTTCATTTTTAAAGGCCACTGAAGCTTAAACATAGAGTAAATAGAACCCTTAATCAATAACTTCAGAGGAAGAGAAACACAAAACAGATTCCAAAGGTCAGAAAGCTCTAATCTGTACATCACTTCCGAGCCTGAAGAACAAGAAAGCATCTTGGAGCTGCAGGGAACAATTGTTTTCAAGCCCCACTGACTGGAACAAGTTAATGACCTTCTCATTCATTTTCTCTTAAAAGTGCTCTGTATATTTGAGAATCTTCATGTGGCTTCTCAGCAGCTGCTACTGAGACATTAGAAAGCCCATAATCAGCACCATGATGTTGTTAAAAGAACACCAGGTAAGGAATCTAGAGACCTGGGTTCTAATCCAAATTCCTCCATTGTGTGGTTTAGGGCTATTTATTTGAATTCCGAATCTCATATCCAGATCTATTGACTTGGGGCAGAAAATAGTCCCTATTGTTTTTCACTGGGTAGTTGTGAGGTTAACTCACACACACACAAATATATTTTACAAAGTGAATAGTGCTGCACAAATACTACATTTAAAGTAATTATCATTGCAGCTTTAAGGTAGCTTGCCAACCTATAGCCTTTATAAAAAGGATAAGCTAGAATGAATAATCCTAGATTCTTTGATTTATTTTATTTTTTATAGCAGAGGGGCTATATGAGATTGAGCAGGCCACTCATCCTGTCTGAGAATTCCACTATCTGTGAACTGGGGATGATAATAATATCTGGCTTTCTAAGTTCTACTTTCTGGCCTGAGGCTCAACCTCTTCACCGCATGAATGATACCAGGAAGATTCAGCCTTCAGGAAAAAGAGTGCCCCTACTCAACTCTGAAATCACAACTTTACCCAAAGAGTCCATCAGGACAACACATCAGAAGAAAAAAATAATAAAACCAACATCTATACAAACATGACTTGCATAATAGTTGATTGAGATGGAGGTAGAAAGAATTGACATTTCTTTGCACTAGGGTATTTTATACTAGGGTACAAAATAGCTTGAAGTAGAACCTATCTTTTCAGCTTATAGCTTTGGATAGCTATGCCATCCTTAATTAGTTGATTTTCTGTCTACAATTCTTTATTATACTGTGAAATAATAAGAAATACACGTATTGCCCCCAGTTTCTGGCATAGAGCTGCTAAAACCCTTGCAATTTCCTGAACAATAGGGATGCTAGGAGAATCTTTAGTTCTAATATTTGGTCTTTGAGCCCAGTTCTTGACACAGAGCTCCTAAATCTCTTGGAATTTCCTGGGTGACAGAAGCATCTTTTGTTCTTTTGAGGTTACTCTTGGTGGGCTCCTGGATAGGGGCCGGTCACCAGAAAGATCAAGCCATGATTACAAGCTTGGAGCTTTCAGCCCCAGCCCCCATTCTCCGGAGAGGGGAGAGTGGCTGGAAATGGAGTGAATAATAAATCATGCCTACATGATGATGCCTCCATAAATATCCCTAAACTGTGGACTTGGAGAGTTTCTGGTTTGGCAAATGCATCCATGTGCCAGTAGCACAGCACACCCCAATTCCATAGGGTCAGAAGCTCCTGCACTTTGGGACCCTTCTCAACTTCACCCTACATATCTCTCCCACCTGCCTGTTCATCTATATTCTTTATTATATCCTTTATTAATAAACTGGTAAATATAAGTTTCCCTGAGTTCTGTGAGCCATTCTTAAACCCAAGAAGGAAGTCGTCAGAACCACAATTTACAGCCCATATACCTATACAGTATACTTGTATAGTATAGGTAACATCCTACTACTTGCGATTGGCATCAAAAGTTGGGGTAAGTCTTATAGAACTGAGGCCTTAACCTATGGGATCTGATGCTATCTGCAGGTATGTAATGTCAGAATTGAATTGAATTGTAAGACATCCAGCTGGTGTGTGCTGGAGAACTGCTTGTTGTATGATAAAATATCCCTGCACATCTGGTGTCAGAAGTATTATGTTGAGTGGTGTGTGAGAGTGGAAAAAAAAAACACTTTGGATTTATTTTTCTTATCTCTAATAGTACAGTTCAGCCAGAACTACAGATTCAATGATTGTCTACACTGACAAAGCTTGAGAATCAAAGAGAAAATGACATTCGTGGGTACAGACTGAGGCATATGACATGGAAATGTAGAGTGATGGAATGTAGCCCAGAAAGTCCAAAAATCTATGAGCACACAAGAGGAGATATAGATATGTGTACACACACACACACACACACACACACACACACACACACACACACAGGTATACACATCCCAAATGGTATCAGAGCTGAGAACAAATAGGCTCTGCTATTCTATTTTTAAGGCTGTCATTTTTCAGCACATCAGAACAAAGGAAAACACAGTAGGAGACGAAAGCAAACTGAGGGTTTTATTGCTTTTGTTTGAAGTCATCCATGCTGAAGTTGATTTTAATTTAAATGTGGGGTTAGTTTACTTTGGGGGTCATAGTGCACATGCAAGCTAGGACCCTCAGCAATTATCTTGCACCATGTAAAAATTGATGAACCTGTTCACTTGAGGAAAGGCTATTTCTTGTTTTTTCACCAGAAATAAATTAACCAGCCAACTCAAGGATATATACACCTAATGACAGTGACAGAAATGAGTCGATATCATGTTTACTGACTTCCCCCAGCAAATGTAACAGAGAGTTGACTTTCCTGGGTTGGTATCTAGAAAGGTAAGCCTGAATGGTTATTTTTTAATAATCTCTCACGTGTAAACAGAATGTACTTCCCTGTTTTGTGTTTGGCACTTGCACCAACATAGTGATTTTCAAGTAAACAATTCTGAACTAGAATCCTCATGACTTGCTATGGTCTGAATGTTTGTTTCCCCCCAAAATTCATGTCTTAAAACCTAATTACCAAGGTGATGGTATTAGGAGGTGGAGTCTTTGGGAGATGATTAGGTCGGGAGAGCTTCCCACTCATGCATAGGATTAGTGCCCTTATGAAAAAGACCCCAGAGAACTAGCTAGAGGGCTACCCTTCCACCATGTGAGGACATGGCCAGAAGTCGGCAGTCTGCAACCCAGAAGAGCGCCCTCATCAGATGCTGAATCTACAGGCATCTTAATCTTGGACTTCTTAGTCTCCAGAACTGTGGAAAATAAATTTATGTTACTTATAAGCAACCCATTTGAGTATATTTTGTTATGGCAGCCTGGACCGACTAAGGCATGACTTTTCCCAATGACCTACTCTGTTTGCGATTTATTGATATATTCCGATTTTAGGAAAACCCATTAGAGACAGTCTTTGCTTTATAAAATTGAAGAATTGTGAATAAAGAAAATATTGGTAGATTGAATCTCTTATGAAATATACTAGATAACTTATTACAGTGGGGCCTTCACATTTGCAAGAGGTGCCCTGAGAGCAGGTGGCCACATATGGCTATGCAGAGGAGCACTGCCCCATGCCAGGTCACACGTCTCAAACAGACCTGAGATCTCCAAAAAGCACCAAAGTTGCTTTAATGTCATGTTTCTTCATTTATCAAATGGGGAGAGTAAATGCATCCTCAATGAGCTGAGAGGATTAAAAGATACTTTTATATTAATTGAGAGCAACGAGGCTGGACTAAGATGTGGGTTTTTGTTTGCACTAAGTGATCAGCCTCTGCACATCATCTTTGTAGCTCAGAAGATTCAAATTAAAAAGAAATCACGAACTACCTATCATGAGTCACTTGCAAATAGCTACAACTGTGAACAGTAAATGAAGCCATGAATTCTTACATTGAAAGGAATTCATGATTACAAGTTTTAATTTGAGGGTCCATATGATTCGATTCTTAAGTTAGAGTACACATTTGTAGATTTCAGAATAATTCTATTCCTCAGAGGAGTCTTCATATGATCAAAGATTCACTATAATGTTCTCATCTTTAAAAGAAATTGTTCTTAGAGACAGGGTTTTGCTATGTTGTCCAGGCTGGTCTCAAACTCCTGGGCTCAAGAAATCCTGTCTCGGCCTTCCAAAATGCTGGGGTTACAGGAATGAGCCACCACCCCTGACCATAGTATTTTCTTAATAGTGAGATTCCCACATAATTTTAAATCTCTTTAAATAGCCTGACTTTGTAGAACCACACTGCGGTGAATTCTTGCTACATCCGTGTCCAGAAGGACATACTATTGATCACATCATGAGATAGTTCTGGATTCTTGGGTGATTAATGTCCTTGGAACAGGTTCAAGACTGGGCTCCACTAGAACAGACCAAACTCTAAATGAGTGCATTTTGTAAAAAGAGATACAAATTAGAGTCAGAGATTTTTTATTTTTTATTTTTGCCAACTGAAACAATTATGGTGGCTTCAGAGATTTCTGATTTAGTGGCCTTAAGTGCTTCACGCAAACTTTCATTTAGACAGTCCTCAGATCTCCAGGGCATCCTATATGTAGTAATGGGTTATTTCAAAAGCTGCTTCTAAAAACCTCCTGAATATTCTCCATTTACACATATTGAGGCTATACAGATACAGTTTGTTTCAAGACATAAGAAAGAAAATAATAAACAGCATTATGGATGGTGTATTGGGAATCACTATCTTATGTTCTAGCTACCTAGAGAGTCAAAATATTCAATTGCAAAGTGACAACTTCCATTTGCCCTTTATCTGCCTGGAATTTTCTGACAGTTTCCCCTACAGATTTTTTGAGCTCTTTGGTATCATACTGGTTTAGTCTTTACGGCACAAAGCTGGGTTTCTTTCAACTGCTCCTCTCTTTGTCTCAGATGCCCCATTCAATTTAAGACATATGCCTTTTTGCTTTTGTGAAAATGTAATCTTTTAAGTGACTCACAGAACAAGAAAAAAAAAAACTCAAGTTAGAAGCCTGACAAACACCCAGATCAGCCAGCCTCACCCAATTCAGTCCAAGGAGGTTTGACAAGTTGCTATACAGAAAAGCAGTCTTTTGGAGGCAAAACTGCTTGCCAGTGTGCACATCAACTCTGACAGAGGGCAAAACACCAGCTGCCTGAATACACTCTCAGGCTGCATCTCCAAGAGCAAAAAGGGCTCTTCAGTTTCAGCAAAGTGAACTGTCCTCCCCCCATCTAATCAAAATGCCCCTTGGTTGGCAGATCGAAATATCCTTCAATCCAGTAAACCTGCATGACTTTTCACAGCTAACCTCTGCCCAGGGAGAAGTCAATAAAGAAACAAAATGCAAATAAATTAGCATTCATCACTGCTGATCTAGTATAAATATTTATAAGGGAAAGATGCAGCGATTTTGAGTGATACCATGATCCGGACCCCACATAAACAGTTAAAAACAGCCATACTTGAGATATTGCACTTTGCATTTTTTTTTCCATTTCACATCACCATAATCACCTAATAAATATTTAAATGGACCTATTTGCTGTAACTATAAAAGAACCGTGTAAACTTGTTGTCATCTAGACACATTAGCCGTGGTGGAGTCAATGAATTTCAACAGTCACTTAATATCGCAGCCACTAGCTACCTTAAAACTGCCAGCGAGGGCCTGCCAGGAAGCTACTGTAACAGCCCAGATCACTGCCTCCTGAGCAAGACACGAGCTTCATTATGAATGCGAGCATTGCTGCTCTAATTAGGCCTGGGAGAGGTTTAACAACCATCCTACAGTCTTGCTGCTGACAAATATAAAAATAAAGCCTTGTTCGAATTAGCAATGTGAAGTGAGAAGGTCTAGAAGCACCAACTGTCTGAGCGGCCCTGGGACGGCTCTAATCTATAGCGAGGTTATTTTGGTTCATAAACTGCTAGTATGTTACCTGCAGGAGGTCTCCCCTGTAAAATGAATTATAGTAAGCTATATGTGATAATTAACCATGCATTAGCAAATATCTTGAAACAGGGAGGCTCTGTTTTCTCTGTATTTTGACTAATAAAAGCATGAATTTGTTCAACAAATGATCATTTAGGTTGTGGAATTCTAACCATATTGGAAGGACACAGTGAGCAATACAACATTGTGCTGGTCTAAGGCTTTCCTTACCCAAACAGGCTGCTTAATAGGCTGGCTCCATACTATGATGCTATTCACAGACCTAAAAACCACAGCGTTGAGAAGACAAATACAATATACATTTAAAATAATATGAACCTTGTGTTCTTATTTACTTTAAAATCACCCTATATGTGACAATTAAAAAAATACATGGGTAAAGTTCTATTTCAGAAAGTAACCTTATGTTTCATTTAAAATATTTAAAAAGAATTCCCATGACTTTTCCACAATTAAATAAATATATATCATTGTACTTTTTTTTTTTTATGGAGTGGTTTGCTAAGAACTTTCTTTAGATGGTTTCAAACATGCTCTGGAAATAAAAACTAGATCACAACATTGAATAAGACTACACCATTTTCTGAATTACTTAATGCATCCTCCAAAAGAGTACCAGTGAGTATATCATATAGGTATCATTGACTTTGAAAGAAGTGTTTTGGGTGCTGCATTGGGGCTGAAGAGTGGACTGGGCTGAATAAAAAGAATCCTGGGAGGTTGATGAGAAGAAGCGTCATCTCCAATTGTCAGGGCATTCATGCAGAACAGGAGTCTAGGTGTTTTTATCATTATAGGAAGCCACATGATGCTAATTTTGTGACCAGAGCCTGCCAGTAATAGAAGGTACCAATGATGCCTTAAAATTAATAGATTTTTCCCTTGTCCTGCAAGACACTGATTGCTTCTTTATAAAAAGCAGTATCTTCTCCTTTTTTCTCCTCATCTTCTAACCTCACAGCTAAAATGTATATTTATATGTAGTATATATAAACACATGCACACATACTTACACAGATCTAAAAATAATGCAGACAGACCACGCAGGCAGCTTCAGTGTTTATCCCAAATATGTGACCAATAGTTCTGCCTTAAATAGTCTATCCAAATCCATCAATAAGTTGAGGTTATCCCTTCTAAGCAGTTCCAAGAGTTTATATGTTTATACCCGAACTGTTTCCATGGGATATTAATAGATGTTAGCTAAAAGGGTTCTGTGGTCAGATATATATGAGAATCCCTGGATTAAGTAAAGTGACATAGGTTTCTTTACTGTAGGACTTCTCAGAGCCTTTACTACTGCCTTGGGAAATACTGCCCCAGTGCAAACATTAGGTACACATAGCCAGCTCTCATTAGAAAGAGCATCTAGTTTTATAAAAAGTCTCACCAGTGACGCAGAGATGGAAAGAGATGTTGTTTCTGAAGATCCTGAAGGCCTTGCAGGGCTAAAAACCAGGACATTGTTACAGAACAGAACACCCTATACTCCTATACTCAACGAAAGAACATTCAATCCCAAGTGAGATTGAAGGCTTTCTTCGTTTGGCTAAGGGGCAACACTCCTGATAATCAAAACATCCTTCAGTTGCAAGTCTTTCACCCACTTCAGGATTGCAAGGAAAATCACAAAGCAAACACATTTTGTAATCTTAGCAAAGAATCCCGTCTTTCCATTGCATATCAAGTCAAAGCATTTTTACTCTTAATCACTGAGCACCTCCCAGGAAAAAAAAAAAAAGGGCTATTGGCTTCCAGGAGGGAGGTAAAAACAAACCCCTTAGGCTCTACAGTCTTTCTAGCTCTTTCTGAGCAAGAGCTCTCTTTTTTTAACCTGTCGATGTATTGGGTGGTTACAGTGCAGACTACAAACTCCTATGAAAGCAGAAATCTTCAAGTTGAGTGAAGATCCTGGGAAGGAAAAGGGGAGAGGACTGGTGCTGAAATAAAGTGAATTCTTCTGTGAAGTTTGAGGACTTGGTTTTGGTGTGTTTCATAACAATAGTTTTGCTATTACATAGCAGGTGCAGAAGCCTGGAGAGACTCATTGAAAGGAAAACAAGCAAGGATCTTCCAGATACCAACAAACATCTTTGGAGGCTGATGGCATAGGAATTACCTTCACTACCTAGCCCCCAGTTCTTCCTTTCTCCACAAACAAGCTTTGCTGAAAAAGTTAAGAATTTTAGTTAGGATCTTTGAATAGAAATGGAATTGTATCTACAAGGGATTAGAGCTTTTTGGCACTGGCTTCAGGCTTTGGTAAAGTGATTGTGGGGGTCTGAGACTAAGTGAGAAACTAATGCATTATGAGCAGAAGATCCTAAACTGTGTTTTTTGTCTGATAGAAAAAGCTCAGGCTGGCCGGGTGCGGTGGCTCACACCTGCAATCCCAGCATTTTGGGAGGCCGAGGTGAGTGGATCACCTGAGGTCAGGAGTTCAAGACCAGCCTGACCAACATGGCAAAACCCCGTCTCTACTAAAAACGCAAAAATTAGCTGGGTGTGGTGGTACATGCCTGTAATCCCAGCTACTCAGTAGGCTGAGGCAGGAGAATAGCTTGAACCTGGGAGGTGGAGGTTGCAGTGAGCGGAGACCGTGCCACTGCAGTCCAGTCAGGGCAACAGAGCAAGAGTCTCTCAAAAAGTAAAATAAAATTTTAAAAAAGGAAAAGCTCAGGCTTGGAATCAATCAGACAGACCTAGGTTCAAATCCCGCCTCTCCTACATATGAGGACAATATATTTAGTCATCCTGAGCCTCAATTTCCTTATCTACAAAATCATGATAACAAGATAATTTATGCAAAGTGCTCGGTGCACTGTAGGAATTGAGTGATTACCTGTTAGCCCTCACTTCTAATGGTATTCAATATAAAGACCCATTTCATGATTACACTCTTGTGCTATGAGCCAATCTGGACCTAGCTTCAGTGCCCCTTTTAAGAGGTAGTAAAAGTTGAGTATGTAATAGCTACTCTTTTTGAGCATTTATGATAGATATGCCAAGGCATTGTGCAAAGCAATTTTTTGTGCATTTATCCCATTTAATTTTAACTGTCTCCCCATGATTTAGAGCTTCTATTTCTAGTTGATGAAAAGTCAGAAAAAAAATTTAAATATCTAGTAATGAGGGTGGTTTCTTTCACCCCATTCTGCTTTCATCAGGACCAATCTTAAAGCCTGGTGCTGTTTCTGCACTATTTTACTTATCAAAATGGTATTATTGATTGGGCTTGGGAGCAAGTGCTAAGAGTGCCCCCTTTTGGTCCTGGAGAGCCTTACAAATCATCTGGGAGAATTAGGTGTGAAGCCTCCTCTTTGCCAGCGCATTCAGGGTTATTTGTGTCTCCTACTGTTGTGTCCCCTGGTCGGTCTGTATGTGGCTTTTACATTCCTTAATAAAGTAATAGACATGAAAGAATTCTGTGGCCGACGCCAGCAGCCACAGAGAACACCAAGTCTAAAGTCAGCAAAAGGTAAACATATGGAGCCATCCAAGGAATGTAGCAATAAAAATTGGAACATATGACGAAGCCTCCCCTCCCCCCTCTATTTTTCTGGGATAATTGTGTCAAGAAGGGGGAGAAAAGCATCTCTTTGCAGACAGCATGCCTTCATTGTGATCCGCTGTCGTCTGGCAGGGGGAGCCAGTCAAGGAATCTTTCAAGAAATAGCCCCCCCTTTTTTTTTCCTGAGTGTTCAATGACCAAAAATCTCTCAAATCAAATCCAAAGACAATTATTTATTTTCCAGACTTAATTTAATAGCAAAAACACCCCTGGAGGACTGAATGTGGTATTTGACTTTTATTTGGGCCACTCTGGGCATCACCAGCAGCTTTATTCTCCAAAGTGTGACTTTGCAGTGAGCTCCTTGGCCCACAGAACAGTCCAGGGGCACTGGCTGGGATCCTCGTTCCCCACACAACAGCAGCCCCGGGCGGGGCCAGAGACAGCACATAAATAATGCTTCCCCGTGCAAATTTGACTCGGTATTTCTTTTCTGTGGCTCATAGTCTTCATTCTCATGAAGGGAAAACATGACCCCGGACTGTCCCCAGACCACCTTCCCAGCCTTGTCTGGCACCATGGTGGCCCCTGCCGGCCTGTCTGCCCCTGCTGTGTGGGGTGCATTGCTGCTTCCCTCTCTTGTCTTGCCTTTGCTCATGGCTTTACCTGTGCCTGGAGCATTTCCATCTCTACTTAGAACATTAGTATTCAAAGTGTGTGCTGTGGAGTTCCAGTGATGGATTCAAATCATAACTTTATTACCGAACGATCCACATGCCTGGAGAAAGTGAACTGGCCTCTCTGTGCCTTTCCTTGTGTTTCCTCATTTGTAAAATGGAAACTATCATAGAAACAACTTACTTTACAGGGCTATGATGAGGATAAAATGAGCACATGGTCTAGCCAGTATCTGGAACATGGTAAGCACACAATACCTTTTAGTTATCATTATAATTATTAGTAATCCCACTATGGAAGTCCTACTCACCCTTCAAGAGAGATCAATCTCATTTCTTCTATGAGACCTTCAGGGAGTCTTCTCCTTTTTTCCCAGGTTCCTTTTTATTCAACTGTTCTTCCACCTCTTTGGTTTTTGTTCCTTCATTATACCAAGTATTAGTCTCACTTGGAATAATTTCATACATTTAACAGCCATTTACTAAGCACATACAATGTGCAAAGCATATTGCTGGAGATAGGAGGACCAACCAGATTTGGAGCTCCCTTTGAGGAACCAAAGATACAAGGGAAGTCACAGCTCAGGCTGCCCATAGTGAAAGGTCAAAAGTGTCAATTCCTATGAGACACATGAAAGGAAGATGTTGTTGGGCAGAGGGGTATAGAGAAAAGAGAGGTCAATGTAAGTTGAGGTGATTAGGAAAGGTTCTATGGGAAAATGGTGTTTGCAGTAGATTCCTCAGGTTTTATGCATTTAAAGATGGGAAGAGTGGGGAGAAGAGCAAAGCAGAGAGACAAGTGACTGGTTATTTGCATTCATTACCCCAACCAAAATGTTAGCCCCAGGAAGCTAGAGACCATCCCAGAAATAGTGTCACCTTGCCATTAGGCATGTCAGGAGGTCACACGGAGACCAGGAAAGAGAACCAAGGACAGCATGGGTTAAAAATATGGGGAGAAAAGGGCTGGCCCCTTGAGGGTGTGATTGGTAATGGCAAATGAATAATCCCAAAGGCAGGCCTGTTACTCTAGAATATTCCAAGTGGTATTCTAATTCATTAGTTCCATCCAAGGGGCAGAGTGAGGGCCTATAGTTGTGTCTAGTGGCTAGTCCAAGAAAAGTAATGAGAGTTGTTCCGAGCGTCTGATTGGGACAATAGAAAGTGGGCCAAACCCTAGGTTAGGATTTGACTGGGGTCCTGAACAAGAGGGTTAGAGTGGATAAAGCCAGACTCCTGTCCCAGCATACACTAAATCCAGGGACCCAAGAAAACAGTGGGCTGAGTAAACCGGCAGGGACACTGGGGCCTGTCCTGTGTCTCAGTACCAAGGACCACGTTTGTATGCCACCACACTGAGTCTCAAAGAAGCTGCAGCTTGAATGTGCTTATATGCTACAGTGGCGTATAACAGAAGCAGCATGGATTCTGTGGCCATCACACATGGACTGAACCCACCAGCTCCGTGACTGAGCAAATCATTCAGTACTCTATGCCTCAGCACTTTTATCTGTCAAATGTGGAAATTCACACACATTATATTAGGATAAAAAGAGAAAATTATGTAGAATTTAGAGTGTGGTTCACAGACCAGCAAAATGTTTGTAAATTTGTTAGAAATGTAGTCTCAGCCCCCGTCCCAGACCTACTGAATCAGAACCTGAATTTTAACTCGACACCCCAGGTGATTTACATGGACCTTAGAGTTTGTTAAATACAGGCCTAGATTAAAAGTTGGTATACTTGTTTGGTTTTCTGCGCACCATGGACCCCTCGTCTACTGGTCAGCAGGTGTGACTAATTGCCAGCCCAAATTCAGAAGAGATGCCTTCTGGGGGTTCTTACTGAATCCCTAGAGTGGGACTAAGCCTACTGGGGAATGCCTCTCATAATTCATGTAGACTTGCAGTGACTTGCACAGTCTCTCTCTCTCTCTCTCTCTCTCTCTGTGTCTCTCTCTGTCACACACACACACACACACACACACACACAATCAGTCATGCACACAGGCTCACACACATAATGTACACAAGGCCTTTAGAAAAAAACAAACTTGAGTTTGTTAATCCATGAGCAGCAAGGTCTCTCTTTACACCTAATTACTCCTAACTTCTTGACTCATTTCTTAGATTTTCAACCTAGCACACCTACTGATTTCACACTTAAATGTGCTTTTCACTTACAATACTAATTTAAAGTGCAGTTGTCTTCATTCTCACTGGATAAAGGCCCATGCGGCTCCCTGCTATAGTGAAAATCTTCTGTGTGTTTTTGGGAGTCCTGAAAGAGGCTGAACTCTAAACCTGCCGAACACAGGTCACACAGGTCACAGAGCACTCTCCCTCACTTTCTGCTCTGACCCACCAGATGGTTCTGGCATATTCCTACCGCTGCCCTCCCCATCATCTTCAAGCCTATCCATTAAACTCCCATACTGTGATGTTTCAGCCCCATCTCTCTGAGATGCTCAAGGCAGGAGCTGTTCTGCATTCTCAGAGTTCGCTGATGGAAGATGCAGCCACTCTGGTTAACATGGTATAGGCAGAAACAGTCAAGAGCATGGGCTACAGAATGCAGCTGGTAGATTTAGCACTAGCTAAAATGTCTCTGACCACATATTTAGCCACTTATTGTGTGACCTTGAGCACGTTACCTAACCTGTCCATGCCTCAGTTTCCCTGTGTATAAAGTAGGGGAAATAATGGTAGAGGATTCAATGAACTCCTCCAAGGAAAATGCTTAGTAAAGTTCCTGGCACATAATAAGTACTCAATAAATGTTTGCTATTAATATTAGGCTCACCTTATACAAAGAGGTTACTCTCTGCCCTCCTTTTCCATTTAATAAGCAAACAGACAGCTCAGACTTGGAACAGAGTTCTGGTGAGCTCCACCCAAATGGAAGCCAAGTGGTGCCTCATAATCCCTGAAAAAACAACAGGTAACCTCCAAACTACACACCCACAAGAGCCAAGACCAATGCTTTAGTGCCCATTAGTCCCTGTCTGGCTTTCTATAGGAAATATGACCACTTTTTTTCAGTGACTATAATTTGTGGATTAATTAGACTATTTGATTTTCTTTCTCTTTCTTTCTGATGGCCAGAGGGCCTCATTAGCACCTCCATTAGCATTTGGTCAGGGGCGGAAGAAGCAGTGGTGAGTTCCAATAGTCTGAAGCAGAAGAAGGGAGTAGGGGATGAATGAAGTTTTCTCTGTGGGATCCTGAGTTTGAGATGTGGACAGGGATGAACAATCTATCCATTCATATATCACATGCTTATTAACATCCTGTGTATACATACTATGCTTCTAATCATTATAGGGAGTAGAAGAAGTAAACTGCAGCTGAGAGAGCAAGACAAATATACATAGAAAAGCAAATCCATGATATGGAAGTAAAACAGTGACAACAAAGAAGATCTCAGGCACGTTTCCTTCCTTTTAGGTTCCTCATCTATAAAATGAAGAAAGTAGGTTATGATAAAGTTATAAAACTGTAATTTCAAGGTTTGAAGGAGCCATAAAGGTCTTCTAGGCCAACATTATGCTCTATTAACTCCAATGGTTAAAACTTAGATGATATTTTACTGAGAATATATCTCCCTATATCTTCCTCCTGTTGGTAGTATTTCTGAAAGCTGTCCAAGTCTCGGAAAGCCACTACTCAGACTGTCCAATTCTAGGGGTAGGTTCCTCCTATGCCAAGTTTCAGAATGTCAACCTGTTAACTGGCCAGCTCTGATCTTCAGCTAGCAGGTGCTAGTGAATGTTTGTCAGTTATAAAGCACCTCTGTACTAGTGTTAGATAACCACTGCCCAAACTACCTCCCCCCAGCAACCCCTGCTACCCTAAAACCCCAGCACCTTCCTGAGGAATGTCTAACTTTGTCATGATCCAGAAACCAAAGGCTTCACGTCTAGTACAGCAAGGAGGCCCTCTAGGGCTCTACATTGGACCTACAGCCAATATCCTTTCTAATTGATTCTTGTTTCTGCTATACTGATTGCTAAAATATTTTCATATAACCAATGTTAATGATCCCTTTATTCTCTGGGTCACATGGACTAACTCTAAATATTTTTCTATAACTATGCGGAGACAACTGTCCAACCTACCAACCCTGAATATTCCCATATTCAGACCTCTCCCCCACCCTTTTTTTCCCCTAGCACTCTCCCTCTGTACGTATTTCATTTGGTCACTGTCCTTCTTTGATGTGACATTCTTGGTGGAGGCTGAATCACACACAAGAGAGCAAAAGTCCCCGTATAATGAACACTTTACCTCTAGCAAAACAGCCAAAGATAATGTCATCTTTAAGAAGCTGTCAGATGTAAAATTCTAAGAAATGAAAGACAGGCAAACACAAGGCATTACATGACTAACATCCAGGACATGATTAAGCTAGCTGAGTGCTCTTAGCTCATAGAATGGGAATCATTAACACTAAGGCGCTGATTCTCTGAAAGACGTTCAACTGAAGAGAGCCTTGAGGAAGATGATCGCTTTTGAGTGAAACTATATGAGCAAAGGAGAGAAAGCAAGAACAACTCCTGGGCGACACCAAGAAAAAAACAAGTAGAACACGCTGCTTGGAATAAGATCTTTTAAAAAGAAGCAGGAAGACATTAAAAAGATGAAAGGGTAGGATGGGGACATCTGGACATTATTTTTCAAATATATGGAGTCACAGGGATTTTTATCTGGGTGGTGATATGATCAAAGTGCAGTTCCGAGAAGATTAATCACTAAGTGCTATAAGTGAGGAACTAGGAAGACTAGGATATAGGTTAAAATGTCAGGGAAATGGGAAAAATCGATAAATTCAAAATCATTAAAGAGTTTGAGTAATGATGACTAAATGGATGATGGTAGAGTTGGTGGTATGGGGCAAGGGTTATAGGTATCAAACCGATATTAGAGTTTTGACTAATTCTAATATTAGTCTGGACTGGAAGAACAAATAGCATACTGCCAGGAAGTGAGCACTTAAGAAATGGAGCTGATAATGGCAAGTAATACTCAAACCTCCTGAATTCAAGGTGATGCTGCAACCATCATTGGAGGTGTCAAGAAGACAGTTGAAGTTGTGAAACAATTAGTGCATTCTAGGAAGTTCTCTATCAAGGTAAATTACTCATCGTATCAATTGGCATTGCAATTTTTCTCTTATTTTCATGCTTGTCCAAGCTTTGTCCAGAGGAGGCGGCAGTAATCAGGTGGGCATTTTTCCTGGGTAGGAGAGTCATAAGAGTTGGCTTCCATTAGGCATGGCATATTCCAAGATTGCCAAAGACCATTAGAACCATTCTAAAAGAAATCCTAAGGGTTGGATTAAACTGAGGATAGCATATCCCAAGATTGCCAAAGACTATAAGAATCATTCTAAAAAGAATCAAGGTCAACTCTAGGGAGAAAATATCATAGATCAAGTCCGAAGGGTGATGAGAGGATAGGCATAAGAGAACAGTGGAAAACGTGGCTTGTAGAAGGGCAGAATGGAGTGAGATGTAGAAACAGATCAAGTAAAGCAGTGTAAGCCCAGGGCTGTGAATGGCAGGTTGATGCTGGGGAACTCCCTTTTATGGAATGATAATGACAATGATGACAAGAGTAGATGATTAAAAATATGGCTGAGTAATGTAATCGAAATGGTAAACCCATGTTGAAAAAATGAATACATGTTGATGATGGAAGAATGAAGCATCATTTGAGAATTAGGCTTAGGAACAGGAAACCTAGTTAGCTATTTGAAGCTTAGATTAATGGAAACAACATCCCTGCCAGCAACGAAAACCTGAGAAAGGATTTGACGAACACAAATCACACAGCTGTGTGGAGTGAAATAATAAGTGCTGCCATTTATTGGGAGCTGTCTATGTGCCAGGTGTGATAATAATGACTTTTCATATGCTATTTCTCATCATTGCAATAATCCTGAAAAGTAGGATGAGGAAACTGAAGCTTAAAGCTATTAAATAACTTAATCTATACATGACAGGTCCAGGACGTAGTTCATGTTCTTCTGCTACCCTGTGCTTAGTAAAACTTTCAACATTTGCTCAGTCTATACACAAAAGGTGCAGGCAAAATTAATAAAGTATAATTGAACTTGGAACATAAATCATTACTTTCATACTTCACTTAATTCTTACCAATAGCCATAAGTACTCTTTTAGCATTTTCTGTCAAAGGCAAAATGAACCATGTTTCTTTCCCTGCTAGTTACTGCCCTATTCCAGATTCTTCTCTACCAAGCTTTTAAAAAGAGTTATAACATTTTTCTGCCTCCATTCCATCATGTTCTACTGGCCTGGTGTACTCTCCCACACTACCCTACCACATAGCTGTCTAGAAAGTCACTAATAACCGCCAGGCCTCTCAATCCAAAGCATCTTCACCCTTCTGGGCCTCTGAGTGGCATTCACAACTGTTGATGGCTCTTTTCCAGGAAATACACTTTTCTTCTGACTTCAGGAGCATTACAAGCTCTTGTTTCTTGAGTGCCTTGTCTTTCTTTAACTCGTCTTTAAATGTCAAAGTTCCTCAAGGTCTAGTCCTAGAAGGTCTTATCACATCATTTTTTTACCCTTCCCCTAGGCAATTGTGCCCACGATTTCAGTGATCTATGGGACTCCAAAATTTATACATTGAGCAGATCTCTGTTCTAAATTCCAAACCCGTATTTCCAACTGTTTATGTCTCACAGATCCCTAAAGATCAACATGTTCAAAATAGAAATCATATTTTTTTCTGTCTTATACCCACCTTTTCACCTCCTCGAACCTCCATGCTCCTTAAGAAAATAGCACAACTGTCTTCCTGTTGCCCAAACTGGAAACCTTTTTGTGCATCACTTTCTATATCAAGTTAATCAAAAATGCATCTTGATTTCATTTCTTAAATATCTTTCAAATCAATAGATTACAAATCCATTAAGGACAGAGACCAAATCTCTTTTGCTCATAACAGTCAACTTGGTAAACTACACGGTATGCCTAGCAGAGAGTGCATGCTCAATAAATATTGTGGACTGAGTAAATAGACAAATAAATGATGTAATATGTTCGCTTCTTAATATCTCACTACTGTTCCACCAGTACAAGTTATCATTATTTCTCATCTATACTATCTATTTCAGAGGATTGCTGGGAAGATTAAATGTGTGTTAACACATGTAACATACTTGAACAGTGACTGTAATATCATAAGTCCTTAATAAATGCTATGTATCATCATCAATAGCAGCAGTAGTTGCAGCAGCAGCAATATTAGTAAGGGACTAATAAGGGACATAAGTAAATATCACAGATTCTAAGATATAAGTGTACCCATTTGATTTTATGACAGATATTTATATGCAAATCAGGTATTACAAAAAATGTATTTGAAAGTTAAAAGACTATGTGGAAAAACAAAAACTTTCATTCATTGCTGCTGGAAATGTACTATGTTGTGGCTACTTTTGAGATCAGTTTAGAAAACAGTTCCTCAAAGAGTTAAATACAGAGTTACCATCTGATCTAGAGATTCCCCTTGTAGATGTATATCCAGAAGAAATTAAAACATATGACCTCGCAAACTTGTGCTTGAAAGTTCATTGTAGTATTATGCATAATAGCTGAGAAGTAGAAAAAATACAAATGTCCATCAACTGATGAATGGATACAATAATGTAGTATATCCACGTACTGGAGTATTATTTTACAATAAAAAGGAAGGAAATACTGAAACACAATAATGTAAATGAACCCTGAAAACATCATACCAAATGAAAGAATCTAGTCACAAAAGACAACATTTTGTATGATTCTATTATAAGAAATGTGTGGAATGGGCAAACCTATAGAATCAGAAAGTCAATGAGTCTGGTAGCCAGGCCTGGAGAATTGGCAGAGATGGATAGGGACTGCTAATAGGTACTAGGTTTCTTTTTGGGGTGATGAAGATGCTCTAAAATGGATTGTGGTGATGGTTGCATAACTTTATGAATATATTAAAAACCATTGAATGGAACACTTTAAATGGGTAATTTGTACAGTTTGTAAAATATAGCTTAAAAGAAACCTTACAGAACAAGAAAACGGAAGAGTCTGAGAAAATTGCCCTCCTAGGATACTATTTGTCTTTGCCTATTCCTTTTCCAGTTTTCGTCTTGGCTATCTCCTGTGTAATTGGTAGATCATGAGAAAGAACAGAAAGCCTAACTTTAAAGTAAATCAACATTTGAAGCCTTCTTGAGACAAATTTCTTACTCAGTAAAAACTTCTCTAGAAGATAATTAGATTTTGCAAATGCCCTGGGTAGTATTTTTGTGGCCCATCCCATTTGGAGGGAAAATTTAAGGACATTTATTTAAGTACTTTTGCAGTCCAATGATGACTACCGTGAGCTCACAATCTATCTCCTTCTATTTTTCATCCATTAGATAAGAATAGTCTCCTAATGATGCAACTAAAATCAGGTGTCCTTTGTGATGTTACTGAGCAAAAGTCAATACTTCATTCCTTGTCACTACATGTATTCATAGAAAATTCAACAAATAGTCATTGAGGGCCATGTGCTTGGCCCCACTTCAGGCTCTGGGGACATGGTGATGAAAAAGACTGACAGTGGTCCAATCCTTATGGATTTAATAAAGGCATAAATTTATAATATAATACCATGGGGTGACAAGAATTATGAAGAAAAAAATAAGGAAAATAAGGCAAGAACAGGAGCTATTTTAGATAAAGTGGTCAAGATGGACCTGTCTGAGGAGCTGAAAAATTTTTAACTTTTTTATTGAAGAAGAACATACATACAGATAATTGATAAATTTTCACAGAATGAGCACACCTGTATTACTAACTCCCAGATCAAAACAACAGAATATGACCAGCATTCCAAAAGCCACCTTCATGCTCCCTGCAGTCACCATCCCCTAGAAAGGTAACCATCACATCTATCATGAGAAAGTCACATTTTAACTTAATGCAATCTTTTTTGTTTTAACTTGCCTTCTGTCTTAGCCTGTTTGTGTTACTATAAAGGAATACCTGAGACTGGGTAATTTATAAAGAAAAGAGGTTTATTTGGCTCAAGGTTCTGCAGGTTGTACAAGAAGCATGGCGCCAACAGCTGTTTCTGGTAAAGCCTTCAGGGTACTTCATCTCATGGTGGAAGGTGAAGGGGAGCCGATGAGAGAGGAGGCAAAAGAGAGAAGAAGAGGTGCCAGGCTTTTTTCAACAACCAGTTTTCATGGGAACTAAGAGTGAGAACTCACTCACTTTCTTGAGAATGACATCAAGCCAGACATGAGGGATCTGCCCCCATAATCTGAACACCTCCCATTAGGCCCCATCTGCAACACTGGGGATCAAATTTCAACATGAGACTTGGAAGGTCCAAACAAACCATATGCAAACAATACTACCTTTTGTTTATCCACTGGATTGTAAATCCTTTGAGTGTAAAAAGGTACATCCTGTTTATAATAATCCAATACTTGCTATATAAGGCCCTATTATCTGGAAGGCATGAAATACCACAAAGAATAAAGCATTATGCCTGAATTCAAGAGATTGTATGTCTAGTTGAGGAGACATATGTAAAAACAATGAATGCAATCTAGCATTCAGTATAAATATAGATAACATTAAGAAAGCTGAAAAAAGAGGATGCTCGGTTCTACCTGGGGACATGGCTGGGAAATGTCAGGAAAGACTTTGGAGAGGTGGTGATGTTTGAATTGAGTTATGAAAGATTTCCATTCCCCATATTGGCCACTGCAGTGCTCTATGCACAAAAAAGTTAATGCATATTTGGGAAATGGAACATTCAGTGTTGTCCTCTAAAATGTAATAGGATAGCTAGTAGGGAAGGTGCTAGAAAGCCTTGACTGTGCACCCTTGATTCCTGCCTGGCCGTTCCCCTGTAGGACCAGGGGCTCAAGAGAACCAGAACTCTGCTTGCTAGAACTAAGAAAACTGAGAGTCCTGTGACTTCTAGCCCCAGTGAGAATTCAGTCATTCAAAATTATCCTTTCTCCTGTATGCTGGAGCATTTTCTTCCCAGACATGTTAGCACAAGGTCCTTTTGCATTAAAGTGGACCAAAGCAAAGGAGAGGTATATGTGAGCTGGGGAGAATGAGTCTTCAGATGATCTCTCATTATTTTTCAATTAAATTTTGTTTTAAAATTATATAAGGAATAAATTTTTCAAACTCAACAGTCTTCCACATGGTTATAACTGTTTTGTTTGTTTTCTGCATGGTTATTACTGTTTTATTTGGCATGCATCCTTCCATTTACCTGTATAGATTATTAACATATATAATTTCATTGTGTGAGAGTAACAATTTTATATGATTGGTATATACTGGATGTGATATTCTCCAACTTGCTTCTTCTGTGTGTTTTGTTTTGAAGAATTTGGCATGTCAGTACTTACAGATCTGCTTCATTCACTTTAACATCTGCTTACTATCCCATTTCATGGATAACATGCTGAAGTCCCTGCAATTGTTCATCAATACAAGCAATGTCACCGCAGACATCCCTGACTGTGGCCCCTCAAATACAAATCACAGTGATTCTCCAAGGTAATAACAAGAAGAGTAACTGCTGAGACAAATGGCACAATATATTTCCATTGAAATTTTAATAGAACTATATTAGTTTTCTATTGCTGCTGTAATAAATTACCACAAACTTAGTAGCTTAAAACAATACAAAACCTATTATCTTGGAAGTCTGACATGGATCTCACTGCACTAAAATCAAAGTGTTGCTACGACTGCATTTATTTCTGGAGGCTTTAGGGGGAATCTGCTTGCTTGCCTTTTCCAGCTTCCGGGGGCTGTGCATACTCTTTGGCCCATGGCCCCTTCCTCCATCTTCAAAGCCAGCAATGGCAGATTGAGTCTTCAAAGCACATTGACCTTGCTGTCATTATTTCTCCTTCTCTGACTTTGATTCATCTGCCTCCCTCTTTCACTTTTAAGGACCCTTGAGATTGCATTGGCTGTCACTGGATAATATAGGATAATCTCTCTATTTTAAGATCGGCTGATTAGCAATTTTAATTCTATTTGTAAACTTAATTCCCCTTTGCCATGTGACCCAGTGAATTCACAGGCTCTGGGGATTAAGACATGGCTATTTTTGGGGTAGGAGCATTATTCTGCCAAGAGCTGTCCAAAGTGCTTTCCAAATGTATGTATTAATTTCTCACCCCTCACACTATGTTTGAGAGTACCTATTTCCTTATACTCTCACCAGCACTTGATGTTATGCTCTAAAATATTTGCCAATCTGGATGATGACAAATGAACCACTTCTAGTCCATTACAGGCACTCAAAAATTCCTGTTGACTGCATAAACGAAGGACTAGTGTTTTGTTTTTCCCTGATTACTAGCAAAGTTGAGCATCTTTTCACATGTGTGTTAGCCATTTGTACTTTCTGTTCTGTGAATTACCTGGTCTTCACTTTGTTCCATTTTTATCTTGAGGTGTCATTTCTTTATTGATGTGCAAGGGTTCTTAACTTGGTTATGTTTCTAAAAGCTGTCATCCAAAATCAGAAACAAGAAATAAAAAGGTGCTTTTGCAGACTCATTCTTCATTATATCTTTCTCTGTTTAACTAAAAGATGAAGAGTAATATAGAAAATATGAATATGGAGGAAACATGGACTTGCAGTTGGAGGCACAGATCCCTGTTTTGGTTCTCTTGCTTGGGTAGCTGTATAATCTTAGGTAAAGTCACTTCTCTCTGAGTCTTGGTTTCTCATCTACGCAACGAAATTTTTGTATTCCATGGCCTCTAAGATCCTCTTCTGTTCTGACGTCCAATTAGTTTGCAATTAGAAGATAATTAATCATTCCCCTCTGGCTAATTGGACTCTGCTCTACAAAGGATCAATGAATTTCCCTCTAACATCTATCTCTCCTAATCATATATCCATCTGACCTTCTCAATTGCCACTTAGTCACTGCTCAAAGACTCTATTTCTCCCTGTGGGTGTATGACTGCCTATTTGACTTATGATAACAATAGTAATATACTAGCTATTGTGTTTACTATTATTATGGTTAACAATTGTAGAGCCCAATGTTTATTTTCCAGGCACCGTGCCAAAGATTACACATGCACTGCCTCATTACAATAGTCCTAAGAAAATGACAACATTAGAGTTCCATTTTACGGATGAGAATGTTGAGATACACAGAAGGTGTGTAACTTGTCCATGGTTCCACAGTACATGTCCAGATATTCAATCAAAGCTTGTACAGTCTGACTTCACCAGCTTGTTTTCTACACAGCATGTAACAGGCTAAATAGGGGCCCTTTCCATTCTTTTATCTTGCTAACTTTTAACATAATTAGTGCTGCCTCATTAAAGAAGTCAGCCTGGGGCTCCTTTTCATTGTGCATGCAGTTCTGAGCTTAAACGGTCTCATTTTCTTTCATTTTTTGGGTTCTGTACAGTTCTCAATGACTATATTTTGTTTCATCTGAAGGTTTATTACCCAAAAATCCTAAAGATAAGGCTAGGTCCACCTCACTCCCAACCTTGGAAAAGCAGCGGAAATCAGCATTGGCATGTGATTTTCTACCCACCAGGTTGGCAAAAATGAAATGATGAATAATATCTAGCGGAGTGAATGCATGGCAAAAAGGGCACCATCACACACACCATCACACAGTGTAAATTAGCAGAGCACTTTCATAAGGTCACATGATAGTATCTTTGACGATATCAAAGTTTAAGTTGCATATACGATTTAGCTCAGTTAATTGCTCTTTGGGAAATTCATCCTACAGAAATACTACGTCATATAGAAATGCTATAGAAGTACACACATACACACATCAATTACATGCACACATATCGACATGCATATGTATGCATGTGTATATATATCTGATACATATTTGTTATTGTGAAGAAATAGGAACCATCTAAACTCTAACAATAGAAGAAAAGTTAAATAAACCATTGCAATCTATAGAATGGAACACTATACAATGTTTAAAAGAAATTAGGGTGTATCTACACATATTGGCATAGTTCTCCACGACATATTCTTAAGTGGAAAAAAGCTTGTTGCAGACCAAAATATATAGTGTGATTCTATTTAAAAGTTTAAGATAATCTAACCCCATGTGAATTTATTTTCATATATAATCTCCATGTGTGTGTTCCTGTTCATTTTTAGAAAACATTATCCAGCCAATGGTGGTTATATCTAGAGAGGGAAGGGAATAGATTTGGCTTGGATACATGGGTTAGAAAGAGAATTTCACTTTTTACTCTTTATACCTCTGTTCTGCTTGGCTATTTTACAATCAAGTATTACTTTAGTAATTAAAAATCAAAAATGGGAGAAAAAAGAAAAGACCAGAGTCTGGATAAAATTGATTTTAGTTGTAACCCGACTAGATCCTCACATTATGACTCATAAACAGTAAATCAGATTAAAGTAGAAACCACAGCTAAACTTCCTCACCATTCTGGAGGGAGGCCATCCTTCTGTAAGTCAACTCCCTCAGGAATGATATTAGAATGGTTTTTAGCCATGAACAAGCTCTGGAATTATACAATGCATAACTCTTCCTGGACTGTTAAAAATGACTTCTTGCTCTAATAAAAGACAGCATCATAATAGCAATGGCCCTAAATGTCTGAATAATTTTTATATCACTATAACAATTTTTTGTCAATAAAGCCTTGCATGAACAAATTTAATCTATAAGGTGAAGATAATTTCATCTGTAGCTAGCCCCTTGAGAATTTTGCCATGCACTTAAGTAAAAATATATAGCCCAGGCAACATACTCTTGATTCAGACCATAGATTTCTCCCTCAGATTACCATTTTTGTCCTTGGTTCAGCAGGCTGTGCCGCTGGAACAGCAGCCATTCTGCTCGTTATGATTTCAAGTGCTCTTCAGAGTTAATGGAATAAACTCAATGAGTTATGCCACCAGTATTTTGCCATCCTCTTTTTTTAAAGATGTACTTTATAATTATGTTAGCTAGTTACCTAATAACTTTAGCATTAATTATCAGACTTTTTCTTTCTGACCAACACCATCGATTTTCATTTTTACATACCCCAAACAGGTAATTTAACAAATTTAGAACTATGGGAGATGTCACCTAAGATGCTTATTTTGGGGGTTTGTTTGTATGTTTTTATTCCAGCATACATTTGTACCAAGGGATTTGTTCCTAGTAATCCAGCTTTACTACAGCAAATCTTTTTTTTTTTTTTTTGCCATTTATGAGAAGTTTTGTCTTAAATATTTACTTGTATTACATTTAGGTATGGCATGCATGGCTTCAGCAAAAAGCAGTATGATCATATTTCAAAGGGAGAAAGAGACTCACAGGCACACAAGGAGAGGCAGAGAGGTGGTAGGCAGAGAGTAAGTGGCATTTGAGCAGGTCCAATTGATGTGTGCCTGGGAAAGATGCAATGAGCATCTGATTCTCTGCAGACCAGGGTCCAGTTAACCAGGGAGAAAGTGATCACTCCTTACTGGAGGTGGAGGTGAGCACATGGGTGTGAATGGGCCCCAAGCCAGTGGGGAAGAGATTTGGATTCCCTCCAGGTTAAAGGAAGGAAGAAAATGGATTTCCATTCAAGTTTGAAAGGCCAGCTGCCAGGCTGTTAAGGGGCAGGGGGAGTGGGCCAGATGAATGAGGCCAAGAGCTACCCCTAAAACCTGAGAAAGAAGGGCAGACTTACCACCTGGGGCTCAGAAGCGGCCTGTCAGTGCTCCCAGCCTTCAGGCTGTTCCCCAGGGCTCCAGCTTGAGGCTGCCCAGCCAGCTCTGTTTAGAGACTTTTCACCATGGTTCCCAACCAGGAACTGGGAGCTCTGTGCAAACACAGCTACTGTGGTGGCATGCCGGGGTGAGGCACTTGGTCACTGTGTGTGCAGGTGGCATACCTTCTGCTAGGAGTGTCCTCAAGGAAATGAGGGACCTGACATTTTAGGTTAGGACTTTTTCCAACTTTCCTTTCCTGCAAAAGGTATTGTTGGGGTGAGTACATTGTTACCTGCAGCATGGTTTAAAGGAAGGAGTTCAAAGCAGGTATCAGTAGACCCAGAGTTTAGTCTTGGCCTTCATTCATTCATTCATTCACTTTGCCTTCATTCATTCATTCACTTTGCCTTCACTCATTTGTTCATTCATTCATTCAATCAATCTATATTTATTGAGAGCCTATTATATTCCAGGTGAAAGGCCCTGGGGTTATAAGGCGAGCAAAAGAGAAAAAGTCATGACTGATTTGGAAACCAGTAAGGGAGACAGACACTAATCGACTAGTCCCACAAGCAAATATATAATTACAAATTGTGATGTGTGATGAAGGAAAGGCTTCAGGTCTATGAACATTTATTAGAGTGAGGGTGGAGGAGGGAATATCTAGCCTGAGAAGTCAGGAGTGCTTTTCCGAAAAGTAAACAAATTAGTAAGAATTAACTAGATAAATGGGACGGGAGCCTTCTAGACAGGAGAAATAAAAGACCCTGAGCTAGAAAAGATGGTATGTATGGTGTGTTCAGGGAAGAAGGCTCGAGTGGCTAGAACACAAGAGTAAGAAGAAGGTTAGCTTAAAGTGAGGCTGGACCGCTTTCAGGCAGGGCTCAGTCGGGTTCTTTGTTGATGCTGTTGTTGTTAAATAATAACAGGAATCTTCAACTGGCCAACAATATTGGTTAATAAGAGCACTCTTTGCAATTAAGCACCACAAACTAACCAACCTCTCCTGGCCTTTAATAAAAGAAAGCTCTGACAAGTGAGGTGCAAGTTCTATGTCCCTATGAAGGAGCTGTTGGTAGAGCTAGCTTGACCCATAGCTGCATTCTTCCCAGCCTGGCCAGCCCTGCATTGTGTTCTAATATCAACAGTTCCCAAGTAGTGAACTCTTCTTATTAGCCTGGCACTGTGTTAAACACATCACACGCAGTATTTCATTTAATCCTCTCAGCAGCCTTAGATGGTTGTTTATTAGAACTGTTGACAGGTATTTCAGCTCTCCCCTTCCCAATTTGTATTAATACTGTACTTCCTACCTCCTCGAAGTTAGGTTTGGCCAAGTGGCCAGCTTTAGTCAATCCAAAGTGAGGAAAAGCAAGTATGTCATTTTCATGTGGGAGCATTTCATTGCCGGTGTTCTGTTCAACCTTTCCTTTTTTTTCAGCCATTCTGATTGTTCTGATTATGGCAGTGCATGTGTAAATCAGTGATTCTCAACCAGGGGTGATTTTTGCTTCCCATGGGACATTGGAAATTTCTGCAGATAGTTTGGGTTGTCACCACGGGGGAGGTGGTACTACTGGCAGCTGGTCGGTAGAGGTCAGAGATGCTGCTAAACATCCTGCAATGCACAGGACTTCCCTCACAACAAAGAATTATCTGGCCCCAAAATGTTAATAGTGCTGAGGTGGAGAACCATTTGTCTCGATGGAGGCTCCATCCACCCATGTCCCTGAGTAACCATAATGGGCAAATCCCTTCTGCTAACCTGCAGTGAACATAAGTTTGAATGAAAAACAAACCTTGGTTGTATCGAGCCACTGATAAATGTGAGATGCCTGTTACTCTGACATAAGCTCATTCTGACTGATAAATACAGTGGTAGATGCAGTGATTATCCTCATTTTATAAATCAGGAATCTGAGACTCAGAGATGTCAAGCAAGTTGCCCAAGACCACACAGCTAGGCAGAGCTGAGACTTTTACCCAGATCATCTGAACTTTAAAGCCTATGTGTTAACCACTCTATTAATGATTAACCAAATGTTAGTCATTCAGGATCCTGTTCACAGACCTCAGGGGAGAATGGCCTTAACCAAGAGCCACTTGGAAGAAAGTGGCTTACAAAATTACTCCTATTTATCTGATACCTGTTTGCTGAAAGAATTCAGAAAGATGCCGAGAAACAGGTTCAGCTTATAAAGCAAGATGGTATCTCAACATTGTAATATTTTGCTTTTGTTCCCCATACTTCCTTGTACATACAAAATAAAAAACCTTCTTCCTAGTGCTAATTCTAGTACTTTGGAGATATCCTGTTACTCCAGAAAAATTAGGATTGTTAGTTGTTGTTCATTTGCCAGAACTCTGGAGTCTGGGTTTGAACGTCAGTTCTGCCCTGTACTAGCTGCGTTATATATTGGTTAAGTTACTTAACCTCTCCGTGACTTAGTTTCCTTATTTGTAAAATCAGATGGAGTAGCAATAGTACTCTTCTCATGGGGTTATCAGGGGGATTTGAATATCCAATGTTTGCAATGGTTATCATATAGTAAGTGTGTTCTAAGCATTTGTTAAACACATGAAGTTTCTGGTGAAGGAATGCAAGGAGAAAAGAAGAGTCGAAAGAAGAAAAGCCCTGGTTGCCATCTAAGATGACTCAACGTGTAGGCATGTAATGAAAGTGCTATGGGAGGCCAGGCGCCGTGGCTCACACCTGTAATCCCAGCACTTTGGGAGGCTGAGGTGGGCAGATCACGAGGTCAAGAGATTGAGACCATCCTGGCCAATGTGGTGAAACCCCGTCTCTACTAAAAATACAAAAATTAGCCGGGCATGGTGGTGTGCACCTGTAATCCCAGCCACTCAGGAGGCTGAGGCAGGAGAATCACTTGAACCTGGGAGGCAGAGGTTGCAATTAGGCTGAGATCACACCACTGCACTCCAGCATGTGCAACAAGAGCAAGACTCCATCTCAAAACAAAAACAAAACCAAAAAATTAGCCAGGTGTGGTGGCGCATGCATGTAGTCCCAGCCACTTGGGAGGCTGAGACAGGGGAATCACTTGAACCTGGGAGGTGGAGGTTGCAGTAAGCTGAGATTGTGCCATTGCACTCCAGCCTGGCAACAGAGCAAGACTTTGTCTCAAAAAAATAAAAATATTTAAAAAATAATTTAAAAAAGGTGCTATAGGAATGCAGTGACAGTGAATGCGTTTGAGGGCAGGAAGTTCAGAGAAAGCTATTCAAAGGAACCACTGCTTGGGTCTAAAGAAAAGAGTAGGAGTTACCAGGTGAACACAGGGGAGGGGCCAGGTGTGAGACTGCCAGAAGAAGGCTAATGTGGACTGAGAGAAAAGGCAAGTTTGGATAATGTGGAGCAATTCCCCCTGGATGACTAGCTCAAAGGTGTGATAAGAGAGAACACTAGCGGGCTCTTTGGGATCAGGAAATAAAGAATTTTGACTGTAGCTTAGTTTCCCAACAAGCTCCTTAAACACAGCCCCTTAAAAATAAAGAAAACAGAGCCAGGCCCTAAAGCTGTGGGAATGAATAATTGCTCTGCCTTCACTCAGATATCACCTTACCTGACCTGTCATTGTAAAATTCATTGCTATGACCCTCCAAAAACTATCCAGATTAAATGAATGATGGTCTAGCGATTGGCCTTTTTTTGGGGACATGGATGGAGCATTTTGACAAGATCTAAAACCACCAAGCTAGATGGGCAGAATTCCTGGTCTCCATTTACTTCCTAAGTTCTTGGGCACCTTGAAACCTCCTTGGGACTTCAGGCAACTCAAGCCCACCCTTCAAGCTCTGCAGCCCCAGCCCAGCCAGCGCCCAAACTCCTGGGTTCTTTCAGCAACTTAGCTGCCCCCTGCCATGGCTTCTGTGGTGAGAGGAAACCAACATCCACCAAAGTTCATCCAGAAATCCAGGCACTTGATCCCTGACATCAAAGAAATGGAGCACTTTGCCCCCTGGATTATATGATTTTCTTTGGTACAGGGGTTGAGGCACATGCAAAATTGAAGCTTCCATGATGTTCTTGGGGACAGTATGAGAGTGAAGTAGTATTTCAACTGTAAAAACCTCTCAGTGTGTCTCTCTTCAGTAGATTCCTGGGAAAATGCCCACTGCTTCAGTTACCTAAGCTGGCTCCCAATAACAATCATTGTTATACAGAAACATAACCATTTCACTTTATACATTCTCAGGCGCCCTCCCTTGGATTTTCTATTTACTCCTCAGCAAAATCCAGAGGGAGAAATTGGTAGGACTGGACGGCCTTCAAGATGAGATTTTTGAGGAAAAGCAAATATTATTATTCCCAAGTGAGAAGATGAGGGAAATACTTCCCAGAAAAGGTAAATACTTGCCAACATGTCATGATTAAATTATGACAGTTCTGGGATCAGAAATTGGGATTTCAGATTCCAACCCTCTATCCAAGCTGCTAAGAGAAAATGAACCCACAGATTAATTTGGTGTTATCATCATCTGGCAGTGAAATCAATCCGCAAAGCCTAGCGTTTGAGAGCCAGGTGGGATTTTGTAGCTCAGTCAGTTCTGAGGTCTCTGTTTTATCGGTAAGGGGATCTGAGGTCCATGCTTACCTTTGTACACATGTAACATAAATTGCATTTCAGCTTATGTGCTGCTTTCACAACACTCATCTCACTTACTGTTGTCCTCATGACAACTCTAGGAAAGGGCAGAGCTGGTATCACTGGCCATGGATTTACAAAGGTACAAAAGGGATGGGTGGGGCAGAGGTTATTGGAACCCAGGTTTTAGAAACACACCTGGTTGGAGTCCTGGCTGTGTGACCCTGGGCAAGGTGACAGAAGTCATCTGTAAAATGGAGACAATAGTATCCTCCTTGCAGGGTTGCTTTAATGAATATATATTATAGTATTTAGAAAGTCTTAGCTCTATGTTGGGCACAGAATAAATACTCAGTGGATGACAGATAGTATGGATATTATTATTTTTAAAGTCTAAATCAAGGTTTCTCAACTTCTGCACTACTGACATTTTGGGCCAGGCCATTCTTTGCTGTAGGGGCTGTCATGAAAGTAACAGGATACTTAGCAGCATCCCGTGCCTTTACCTCCTCTCCCCAGTAACACCACCACTATCCTCTCACCACCCCAATGGTGACAATCAGAAATGCCTCCTGGGGAATGGGCAAAACTAAGTCTGGCTGAGAACCACTGATCTAAGGCTTTCTGACTCAGTTCACTGTGATGTAACTCTCTCTCTCCCTCTCTCCCTGTCTCATACACACACACACACACACACACACACACAGACAAAAAAACCCCCAAAACTCCAAAATTAACTGAAAAAAAGCAATAATAAACCCCAAGAAGGAGACAGACAGGAAGAGAAAAATGACAGACAGAGAGGAAGAGAAAAATGAATAAATGGAAGGAAGAAAAGAAGGAAGAAATAGAGAGAGGAAAGGAAGTCAGGAGGCAGGGAAGGAGGGAGGGAAGAAAGAAAAAGAGAAAGAGAAAGAAAAAAAGATACAAAGGAAGGATGGAAGGAAGGGAGAGAGTGAGAGAGAGAGGGAACAATTTCATCCAAAGGCACTGAATTGTTCCATAAAGCCGAGTATTTCACACGTGCCTCGGAGGTGTGCAGGGGTAGCTAGCAGACTCCCGTGATCAAGTGCACATCATTCTGGATTACTCTTTGCATTCCACCTCGTCCTCTGCCTGTCCTCTCAGCCCACACAGATTGTGTTCCATACAGAACCAGTCACTCATCAATCCCTCCAAATCCATGCTCCTTGACTATTGTTTCCACTGCTTGGAGAGGGTTTCCACATTCAGTGCGCCTGGTAAAAGCCTAGTTCTTTTTAAAGATGCTACCCAGGTTCATCTACCTGTGTGAGACCTTCTCACCCATTACCATCCAGGCAAAGTTGCTGCATATTTCCCTCTGTACACCCATTATATGCTCTATTCTTAAACTATTTGTCATTCTCCATGAAAATGACCAATTTCCATATTTCTCTTCCCCACAAAACTGTGACATGCTTGGGAGCAAAGATCACCTCTCACTCATCTTTGATTCTCAATACCCAGCCCCTGGCTGAAGGAGGCTTTGCAAAGCATATCTGAATGCATGAAAGTTTTTTTAATGTAGTTGTCCTGTGACCCTCTCCTCAAGGACTCTAGAATCCTGAAACACCATTGTGCAAAGATTTACAATACTACCTGCCTCCCTTCTGTCACCTCTTCTCTTCTCAAACATTACTCAAACAATTAATACCAGGGAGCAGAGCAGAAGCACAGGGCTCTGCCAAAGGGAAACGTGGACAGGACAGCACTGCTATCTGTCTTGTATTTGTCATGCAAATCACCTGAGCCTCCATGACTACTGTGGACACTGGGGCAGGAACCAGGGGAAGGGCTAGCTCTGGGCACCTCCAGCCAGCAGCCTCCCCAAACCTGATACCCACAGGGGACTATGCTTCTCTATTCTGAAGGTTGAAAAAAGGGTGGCACAGCAGTAAGTGTGCTGAACTGGGTGTCAGAAAACCCTGATGGGACCTAGGTTCCATGACTAACTTTCTCTGTGACTTTGCTCAAGCCAGCTCCCCTCTCTGGGTCTCAGCATTCTCATCTATGAAATGAGGAGCTTGCCTTTGACAAGTGTTTCACAAATTGAGAATTGTGATCCATCAAGAGGTCTAAAGCCATTATTTAAAAAATGAAATAGACTAGAAAAGAAAGTATTGGAATGCCTTGTGCTTTGCAAAGGCAAGTATATTTTTTGAGAAATGTTTCCCAGGTGAGTGTATGTGTATACAATCTACATATTAAAACGGGTTGCAATGAAGTTTAAATGACATCAGGTCACATGATTTCTAAATTTCCTTTCAACTCCAGCTTTTTTATTCCATGAATGAGCCAAGAAGAAGACAGAGACATCCTCAGAACCAGAACCAGAGGATATCAATGGCTTGCTCTGCTCATAGTCCTATTTTATATTGGAGCCACATCAGAGAATATTTATAATTACTGGGCATGCCACAAACAGCCAATCTATTTCCTTTGCCAAGAATATCCCTCCTTTCCTCCCCATCTTACTCTGACCGCTTGGTACCTGGTGAAGTCCCACAGATCCCTGAAGAGCCAGTTCAAATATCACTTTGTCAATTTCCCCAAGGCCCCAGGCAGAATGAACTGCTGCTTCCTGGATGGGCCCTGCAACTCTGTACATAACCCTCTACCAACACTTTTTGTTTTATTTGAGGCAGCTGTTTATGTCTGCTTTCCCCTACAGACTGGGAACTCTGGGAGCAAGATCTGTTTATTTCATTTCCTTATCATCAGCCTGAGACACAGTCTTGATTATGCTGGTTGAATGAAACTGAATTCTCTTTTCAGCAGATCCTACATCTGCTGGGCAGTTCAGGAAAAGAAATCACTTTTACCTCATGGAAGAACCACACACCCAATGGGACTCGGTGGAGCACTGTCGCCCAACCCTCTGCAAGCCCCTGGGCTATTGCTGGCAAGGAGAAGCCATTGCTCAAACTCCCCCATGATACATGCTGCTCTCCGGTCCTCCTCCAGCAGATGTTCTCTAGAAGAAGCTGCTGTGTTCCACTTTCCTGCAGTGCCTTTGGCTTTGGCCTTTTCCAGACTTGATAACCAGAGGCTGCCATTAATGGCATCTGTGCCTTCCATCCTGCGCCTTTGATCCTGCTCAGCTCTGCTCCTCTTGTTCTTTCCAGGGATGCAGCCTGCAGAACTCAGGGTGTACAATTCTAGGCAGGATACATAGCATGGCAGAATGAGATTCCTTTTCATGTCGCTCATTACCTGAATTGCCTCACTCTCTCCTTCAGTGCTGATTGACTTTTCAAAGGCGACTGCAGTCAGCATTTTTGCTCATTTTGTAGATATCCAGATGCACACAGTCCCCAGGATCATAGAGGTAGCAGCCCTATTAAATGTCCCGCTGTGTTAACTACCAAACAGCAGATGCTCATTTACATATTTTGCTGCATACTATTTATGTAATATTTAATTATCAAACATCCATGTTTCTCAGAGCTTTGATTCCCCCACCAGACACAATTCTCTCATTAGAACTTCAATATTTGGGTTACAATATTTTAGCGATAGGCTGGGCACAGTGGCTCATGCCTTTAATCCCAGTGCTTTGAGAGGTCAAGGCAGGAGGATCGCTTGAGCAAGGGAGTTTGAGGCCAGCCTGGGTAACAGAGTAAGATCCTGCCTCTAATAAAAATGATGATGTTATAGGAATAGTGTTATTAATTCAGTGATTTCCAAAATCTGCATGCACACCTCAGTCATGTGGAGAACTTGACAATACAGATTCCTGTGACTCTATTTCCTGAAAAAAAAAAAAGGCTAGGAAGGGCTTGGGCATTTTTCAGGATCTCCCCCAGTGGATTCTAATGCTTGTCCCTGTTTGAGAGCCACTGCTTCATATGACACTGTCAGGGAATGAGATGTTCCCTATTCATGAACTCCAGATTAATACCATTTACAAATTCAAGAATTTAACCATTTAACCATTTATGTAATATTGCTGTAAAATGTAATTTATTAAACAGAATGTAGGGAACATAATTAGCCTTTATATTTATGACAAATGTCACCTTGAATCTTAAGTACTATGATGTAGTCTAGTATAGACTAGTATAGTCTAGTATAGACAATTATACAAGTATTTATAATTGACCGTATAGTAAAAGAGGCATTGTTTGCCCCTTCACTGAATGGCTCCAGATAAAATGATGTTAAAAGAAGGAGTATCTCCAGATTTTGACTGCAGGGCAGGGGGCGATGCATTACTGTCTGTTAATATGTAAAAACTCTTTACAATGAGTTCTTTTTTGTACACACATAGGATGTGGCTTCACTAGTATATGGAGTTTGAAACATTTCCCAAGCGTTGGAGGTGGGTTTCCAGGGGTACTTCTTGGTGATAAATGCAATCTCTGCCCTTAAGGACAATCATTTTAAATGGCTGAAACAGGAATGGAATCTTTGAAAACTATGTTCAAATCGACATAACTAATTGCTTCTCAAACATTACTGTGAGGGAGCATCTCAGTTGCTTGTTTGAAACACAGATCTTATAGCCCTACCTCCAGAGACTCTGATTCATTAGGTAGTAGGATGAGGCCCAGAATCTGCATTTTAAATAAGAGCTTCAGGTATTCTGATGCAAGAGACTGGTCAACATGTGCTTCTCAAACTATTTCTGAATGATCAGTTTTATTTTTGCATCTCAATTTGCTGCCAATACCCGGTCCCTCAGCTCATTCATGGAACTTAACCACACAAATTTGACTAGATCCAAACTGGTCTATGTCCCATTCTACAAAAATTATCTACTGATGATGTCTTGGAGGTTGTGCCAGTGACAGGTTGCTTAAAAAGTTTCTAAGTACTTACTCTTGAGGACTGGCACTGGTGCACAGAGCACACTTTGAGTAGTACTATCATATAACATGCTAAGAAATACTTCATTAAAGTATGAGTTGCTGAGAAGTCCCTAATCCTAGTAATCCTAGGGGACCTAACAATCATGGCTTTTGACACAAATGAATAAATAATTGGTTAAAGTGTAGGTTAATGAGGAGGGAAGTTTGGCAGTATGTGATTTAGCTTGAGGAGAAGAGAATGGAAAGATTCATCTGTGACATTGATTTGTTTCCTATATGGTAAAGAAGAAGTGGGGAGGAAAGAATTGTAAGAAGACAATTGTCTTTGTCATTTCAGGTTGCTGTAACAGAATACCATACACTGGTGGATTAACCAGTGTTAATAGACATTTATTTCTCATAGCTCTGCAGGCTGAAGAGTCTAAAATCAAGACTCTGGAAGATCTAGGGTCTTGTGAGAGCCTACTGTTCACTTCCTGGATTGTAGAGGGCCATTGTCTCATTGTATCCACGTACGGCAGAAAGTGGGGGTGCAGGTGGATCCCAATGTCTCCTCCTCCACTCTCATGACCTAATCTGATTACGTCCCAAAGGCCCTACCTCCAAATACCATCACATTGAAGGTTAGAATTTCAACATGTGAATTTCAGGAGGACACAGTCAGCCCATAATAACAATGGTACAGAACCCTCTCTAAAGAGTTCTGTGTTCTTAATCCAGGAAAACCTAGATAGGATCCAAACTACAGGTGAAGTTTGGGGGAACCCCAAAGGACAAATTCACTACATCCTAAATTTGGGAATTGGGACAGAATAGACTTTTTCTTTAAGATGCCCCTGAGGATGCTCAGGTCTAAGGCTTCAGCTGGAAAGCTTGGCTTGGAGAAGGGAAGGGGTATCTGAAGACTACTAAGTCTCTGTTACCCTACTGCCTCCTCTGATCTCCTCTCTCACTAGGGGATTGCAAAAACACTGGAATTAACTTTAGAAATAGAAGGCCAAGAGCTATCATTATAGCAACTGTTTACTATTGCTACTTAATTAATACGTCATAAAATAATCATCATGTGGTTCACTAGATGCATGTCAGGGTAGCTTTGATGACTACACTAAAACATCTCTGCTACATTTTTCATGTGTAATACATTGATCTGTCCACAATCTGAAGGAAAATATTGTCTCCAAACACAACAGGGATCCATAGGTTATGCTCACTGGCTCCATTTCATCACCTACAACAATCATCAGAAAAGTTGAATGGCACAGACATCTAACCTTAAAATCCTAGGAGCTCCAGCAGGCTCCTTCCACAATCTCATTTTCCATATCTGATTCATCCGTTACTTGTATAACAACTTCCTTGCAGAGAAGATGGGACAGATACAGAATACTTGAGAGTGCACAAGTTCTTTCTGGTTTCTGGTCCTGCCTTCACTGCCATTTTGCAGCAGAATTGTGGCTTGAATATTGGAGAGAATAATTATTTTGATCAAATTATTAGTGCCTGTGGGGTTCACTTGCATCTAATTTGCTCCATCTTTTCTGTGTTTGTTGCCGCTTTCTTTGTTAGAGTTTCGTCTCTTCCTTCTGAAATTGGCATAGCCACCAAACCAGTCTCCCTCTTCTGCTCATTTCTCTCATCTATCTTCCATGTACAACCAGAAGGGTGAAGTGACTGAGTCACTCTCCAGTGAATGTCCTTCTGTAAAGTTACCCATTGGCTAGAGTCCCAGTACTTGAGCACGGTGGAATGCCTCATGACTTGGCTTTTGTTGCCTCTCAAGCAACAGTTTCCACCTCCATCATTACCCTACCCTCCGGCCATGCAGAATTATCTTCTGTCTCTCTAATGAAGAACAGACTTTCTTTAATCTTGTTGGTTCTCTACCAGGAACCTCCTTCTCCTTAGATTCTGCCTGGAGAATTTCTACTCGTTCTTTAAGGCTGTGCTCCAATGTCTAAATTTCTGGCTTCTCCAGGATACCAAGACCCATCTGGCAAATAAGGACTGGGTTTAATCAACCTTTATGTCCCCAGAGTACAACATCTGGTGGCAGAAATCTAGTAAGCACTTAATCTACACGTGTTGAACATCCTTAGAAGAATCTAAAGGTGTTGAACACCCTTGGAAGAATGGTGGAAGCATGATGAGTTAGAGTGGAATGAGAAGGAGAGGAAGGAGGAAAGCTTGGAATTCTAAGATAGTACCAACTCCTCCCAGTCTAAAATCAGCATTCTATTCACCTGAGATTTTTCAGATATGTTACATGAAACATCAGTGAAGGAATAAAGCCAGAAAATTAAGCATCGAAGTAACTTGTGATCTGATCCATCAATCCTTTTCTGTGTTCTTCAGAGTGAAAGCCTCAGTTCTGCCCTGTTTGACTAACAAGATTCAGTACTTAAATAGGAACCACTTTCTCTCCCCTTAATCCATTGCTCATAAAGCCTCCTGGGGTAGAAAATTGGTGCACAGAAAAATAGCATGTCACTTCTGAGTTGTGACAAAGTAAGACTATCCCTCCATTACAGCTCCTGTTCTAAACCTGCTGGGCAAATAATAAAATAGTAAAGAACAACTTGGCAGGTGTGGACGGGCTGGAAAGATGCAGCTCACTTTTCTCTTAACCTCAGGGCATCTGAGCTTGGCAGATGTAACCGCAAAGACATTGTGTCCTTCTCTTCCTTTTATCTAGCACCCAACACACACACACACATGCACACACGCACACACACACCCCTCTGACTTCTAGAGATTTACTCTCGGCAGCAGTAGAATAAATGTATTTATTGCTACTTTTCTGGTCATACATTTGAAGGTGAGGTTTGGGTTGCAGTGAGGTCTTCAAATATAAATTATAATTTCAAAGTTTCTAAGGTTCTTTATGCAGTTAAAGGGGAAGGCTTTCATTCATTTACTCAATAAGTAATTAGAGAGCTTTCACTTTGATCCAAGTGCTTTTCTAGGTTCTGGAGATATATCAGTTAATAAAACAAAGGGCCTGCCCTTATGGAGCTTACGTGATAGAGTAGGAGATAGATAATACATAAATGAACTCATAAGTATATCACGTGTCAGAGAGTGATGAATGCTATGAAGAACAGTAAATCTGGCTGGTGGAATGGGGATAGAGTATGTGCGCGCGCGTGTGTGTGTGTGTGTGTGTGTTTGTGTGTATGTGTGTAGCAGGGGCTATTTTTGTATGAAAGTGTCAAAAGACATCTCCCTGAGATGAAATATGAACAAATGTAAATAGAGACTACATTAGTTTCTTATGACTGCTGTAACAGATTACCATAAACTATGTGTCTTGAAACAATGGAAATTCATTCTCACACAGTTCTGGAGACCAGAAGTCTGAAATCAGGACTTCAGTAGGGCCATCCTCCTTCTCTAGGCTCTAGGGGTGAATCCATTCTTTTCCAGCTTCTGGCAGCTGTCAGCAATTCTTTGACTTGTGATTGCATCACTCCCACCTCTGCCTCTATGGTTATATTGCCTCCTCCAATCTCCTTCTGCTTCTCTCTTATAAAGATATTGTGATGGCATTTAGAGCCCACCCAAGAATCCAGGATAAGCTCCCCTTTTCAAGATCCTTAACTAAATCTTATCTTTTCTATAGAAGATAACATTCACAGATTTTGGAGATCAGACCATGGATATATTTTTGGAGGGCTACCATTGAGTCCCCCGAATATGAGAAATAATATTACCCAAATAATATGATAAAGATAGGAAATCTGGGGGAGCAGCACTTCAGGCCAAGAAAACAGCAAGTGCTAAGGCTCTGAACCAGCATACCTTGCCTGATAAAGGAGGGGCAAGAAAGCCAGTGTGCCTGGATGAAAAGACGAGGCTGACAGAGTGTAGCTGTGAAGATCATGTAGGCTGGAAAGGACTTTCACAGAACTCGCTGGAAGGTTCTGAGCAGAAGAGTGATATGAACTGACTGTGTTTCACCTAAGGACTCTGCTTAGACTGCGGAGAGAGACTGTGCACAAACTCCACCCTAACAGACCACTGATGCATTTTTGAAGATGTGCAGATAAGCCTAGAACAAACTTTCAGTGGGCCTGGAGTTTGAAGAATAAAAATTCTCAAGTAAGAAAGAAACAAGCATTTTGGAGGTTACAAACTGGTGGCAGGAAAGAGAGAAGGGAGGATGGTGTGGACTACAGAGACACGTCCAGTAAGAGGAAGGCAAGTTGGAATCTAAGGCAGGGCAAACCTGGGGAATAACCAGCAGTAAATGATCCTTGGTGGGCAGGGATACCTGGGTTATCTTAGCCATACAATCTTCAAAATCTTCATTTTTAAGTTATTGCCTATATTGTCCCTTTAACTTTTATTTTAGGTTCAAGGGTACATGTGCAGGTTTGTTATATAGGTAAATTGCATGTCATAGGAGTTTGGTGTGCAGATTATTCTGTCACTCAGGTAATAAGCATAGTACCTGATAGTTTTTTGATGTTCACCCTCCTCCTACCCTCCACCCTCAAGTACACATGTATCCGTCTGTACTCAATGTTTAGCTCCCACTTATAATCGAGTATATGTGATATTTGGTTTTCTGCTCCTCTCTTAATTCACTTAGGATAATGGCCTCTGGCTCCATGTATGTTGCTGCAAAGGACATGATATCATTCTTGTTAGTGACTGCGTAGTATTCCATGGTGTATATGTACCACATTTTCTTCATCCAGCTTACTGTTGATAGACATTTAAGTTGGTTCTTTATCTTCACTATTGTGAATATTGCTGCAATAAACACACATATGCATGTGTCTTTACGGTAGAATGATTTATATTCCTTTGGGTATACACCCAATAATGGGATTGCTGGGTCAAATCATAGTTCTGTTTTAAGATTTAAATTTGAGAAATTGCCACACAGCTTTCCACAATGGCTGAATTAATTTACATTTCCACCAGCAGTGTATAAACATTCTCTTTTCTCTGCAACCTCGCCAGCATTTTTGTGGTTTTGATTTGCATTTCTCTGATGATTAGTGATGTTGAACTTTTTTTTTCTGTTGTTCCTCTTCCATTATCCTAAACCATCAGTAAAGATTTACTACCAAACATACTACCCTTGGGTTAGAGTTCCTTTGCATAAAAGCAATTCCAACTGTTCTAAAGCACTTTGGGACTATTGTTTGGAATCTGAACCAAAGTCTGGTAGACTTTAATTCAAATTTCATCTCTAGGACTATTTGGGGTGGGCAGAGGCAGGCAGAAGATACTGAGAAATGAAAACATGAGAGAATGGTAACTAACCATTGTAGAGCACAGGACAATAAGGTACCAGTAATAGGTCAGGTCATTTTACATCTCTCTCTCATCAGACAACCACATCCTGGCCTCTGGCTGGTGTGGGAAGAGCTATGCCCTGTGGAAACGTAGCTCATAGCAGCTGTAGAGAAGGGACAAATGTGGACCTGTCATTTGTTGGGCACTTAACATGTGCCAGGACCTGTCCATAAATTCTCTTTAATTTAGTGCTAACAACAACCTTACAAGTAAACTATTATTATGGCCACTTTACAGGCAAGAAAACTGAGGCCTGGGGAAATAAGGTAAAATCGTTCAAGGTCATATAACCAATAAACAGCAGGGTTGGGATTTCCACTAGGCATCTCTGATTCCAAAGAGCCCACGTTCTTTACATCAGACTAAAATCCTAGGGCTCAGTTAGGCCACTCTGGTCCAAGGACTTCTTATTTCTCTGGGAATTTGTTGACTTAACTAAGTCAGACATTGCACAGATCCTGCATTTTGGATTTCTGCTTCCATCGTGGACACTCCTGTGAGTCACAGACCATCTTTCAATGCCTGCCCAACCCAGTGACCTCCCCTGGCTTTCACAAGGAACTCAACATGCTTTGCGCTCAGGGCATAAGCACTTCCCCCAGACATAAAGCCTGGCTTCTTTCTGTATAGCTTCGCTAGCTCTCTAGGACACCTCATCCAAATTAAAGCATTCAGACCAGATGTGATGGCTCTTGCCTGTAGTCCCAGCACTTTGGGAGGCTGAGGCGGGAAGATTGCTTGAGGCCAGGAGTTCAAGACCAGCCTGAGCAAAATAGCAAGATCCCATCTCAACAACAACAACAAAAAGACGCAAAAATTAGCTGGGTGTGGCGGCATGCACCTGTAGTTCCAGATACTTGAGAGGCTGAGGTAGGAGGATTGATTGAGCCTAGGAGTTCAAGGTTGCACTGAGCTATGATTCCAACACTTCCCTTTAGCCTGAGACCCTGAATAAGACCACGTATCAGAAAAAAAAAAAAAAGTAAAGCATTCAACAAGCAGCTGGGTGAGTTTCCTCTGAACTTATCCTGATGTTAGTCAATCACAGGGCTGAAAATAGTTACATTGCTCTTAAAAGGCCTATTTTTCCAAATCAGCAATATTCCTTATCAACACCCAGTTTGGGCAAGTGTTGATGTAGGCCCTATATTTAGCATCTGTATTCTTTTGCTTGCACAGTACATGGGTCTCTCTAAAGAAGCTGTTTCCACAAGCTTATACTAGAGTGAGCCATTGTATAAAGATTTTAGGCTGTTTACTTGGGACTTGGAGCACAATTTAACCCTTACTGCTATTTGTAATTAACCCAAAATTCAGTTTTGAAGCAGGCAGTTTAATTAGGATAGCAATGATAGCCAGCATTCACTAGTGCTAATTTCATTCTGAATAGCTTACGTGCACAGTCTCATTAAGTCCTCACAATAATCATATTGGAATCCATTTAATAGAAGAAACAGGCTGGGCGCTATGGCTCATGCCTGTAATCCCGACACTTTGGGAGGTCAAGGTGGGTGGATCACGAAGTCAGGAGATCAAGACCATCCTGGCCAACATGGTGAAACCCCGTCTCTACTAAAAATACAAAAAAAAAAAAAAAAAACCCAATTAGCTGGGCGTGGTGGTGTGCGCCTGTAGTCCCAGCTACACGGGAGGCTGAGGCAGGAGAATCACTTGATCCCAGGAGGCGGAGGTTGCAGTGAGCTGAGATCATGCCACTGCACTCCAGCCTGGCAGCCTGGCAGCCTGGCAGCCTGGCGACAAAACAAGACTTCGCCTCAAAAAAAAAAAAAAAAAAAAAAAAGAAGAAACAACTGAGAACTGAGACAGTATTTAAGTACAGTCATTTCTGCTATAATGCAATATATACATTCCTAAGTGTTATTATCTTTCTATGCTAAAATTATGTTGAAAATTATGCTGAAAATCATAATTTTACTCTGCAAAACCATGAAATAATATCCATAGGGCTTATGAGAAAATTTGGCTTGTGTCTGCATTAGTTTCCTAGGGTTGCCATCAAAAATACCACAAAGTGCATCTCACAGTTCTAGAGGCCAGAAGTCCAAAATCAAGGTGTGGGCAGGGTTGGTTCCTTCTGAGGGCTGTAAGGTTCACTCTGTTCCATGCCCCTCTCCTGTCTTCTGGTGGCTTGCTGGCAATCTTTCACATTTCTTGGGATGTAGATGCATCACCCTGCTCTCTGCCTTTATGGTCATACGGTGTACTCCCTGTGTGAGTTCACAGATTCTTCCTCTGTACCTGTCCAAATTTCTCCTTTTTATAAGGACAGAAATTATAATGGATGAGGACTTACCCGATTACTTCACTTTAAATTCATTACTTCTGAAAAGACCTAATGTCCAAATAAGGTTACATTCTGAGGTATTGGGGATTAGGACTTCAACATACTAATGGTTGGGGCGCACAATTCAACTTATAACAGGTACCACACTCAAGAAACTTCATCAGTTACACATTAAAATAAAGGTAGGGAACTCATAAAAACAGTAGTATAGTTTTATGCACATTACCTAGTTAAGAAATACACAAATACTACAATAAATACGGAACTTCACCTTGGGGCTTGACATTTACTTGCGAAAGCAAACTTGGGAAGTTGTAGAAGGGGGATCATCTGAAATCAGAAGGCAAGTTGTAGCACTTCTTGGATGGGTGTGGCTCATAACGCATGCAGTGAACTGAGGAAGTTGTTTGAAATGTGTGCATTTCGTGTATTCCTAAATGGCAGTTTTTATTCCTGGGTGCCGTTTTTTGCGCTTAGTATTCCATGAGAAGGAAATTGTGCATAAGCAAATGGGAAGACTGCCTGATGCTTAAAATCTTCCCTATATGCCAGTGTCTCTGGAGCCACTGGCACGTTCAAAACAAGCACTACGGCAGAAGGGACTTTACTTTGCCCAAGGTCACACAGTCATAGTTGAGAAGCTAGGTTTTAAGCCCAAGTAGACTGACACCATGGCCCACATCCTGTCACTAAGCTGCTGAACTCTTTGTGCTAGAAGGAAATTAATAAAATAAATGATTTAATATCATGCCATCATGACAGGTCTTGGTCATGTTCCCTGTGGAAAGCAGAATCTTAGGATACACCTCTCTCCCCGCCAAGGTGGCCCACCCTGATTCCTGGGACTGTGAACATCATGAGATATCATGCCTGAGATCACATTATGCTGCCTGGCATAAAGGATTTTGCAGATATGATTAAAATTATTAATTTGTTTGATTATGAATTAATCAAAAGGCATGCTAGCCAGGTGAACCTAATCTAATCACAGGAACCCTTGAAGAGTAAAGTGTTTTCTCTGGCTGCAGGCAGAGAGAATCAAAGCATGAGAAAATTCCAAGCAACTTGGCAGGCATTGAGTCTGGAGGTCCCCAGGGAGAGTGGTCTCTAAGAGAAGAGAACAACCCCACACCCACAGCCAACAAGGAAAAAGGGTTTTCAGTCCTACGACCACTTGAAACTGAATTCTGCCAACAAAATGAGCTTGGAAGCAGATTCTCCCCCAGACCCTCCCAGATGAGACTCTAGACGGCCAAAACCTTGACTTTGGCCTGTGAGATGCTGTGTAGCAAACTCACCTGGCTTCTGACCTGTAGAGCTGTGAGCTAATAAATGGGTGCTGTTTTAAGCTGCTAAATTCACAGGAATTTGTTGCACAGCTTAAAAAACATACTACCGACTGGGCGCGGTGGCTCACGCCTGTAATCCTAACACTTTGGGAGGCCGAGGTGGGTGGATCATGAGGTCAGGAGATCGAGACCATCCTGGCTAACACAGTGAAAACCTGTCTCTACTAAAAATACAAAAAATTAGCTGGGCGTGGTGGGGGGTGCCTGTAGTCCCAGCTACTCGGGAGGCTGAGGCAGGAGAATCACCTGAACCCGGGAGGCAGAGCTTGTAGTGAGCCGAGATTGCGCCACTGCACTGCACTCCAGCCTGGGTGACAGAGCAAGACTCCATCTCAAAAAAAAAAAAAAAAAAAAATACTACCTCACTCCCTGTGCCTACATTGTGATGCAGACAAATTAAAAGAAAAGAAAGAGCAAATTCCTTACTGGTTCCTCTAGGCAGATGGGTCTCTATATAGTGCAGACCATTTCTAATTTGTACCAACCCTTTTTTCCAGCTGCCCTGGGGCACTTGTGCAGAAAGGCTACATTGTTTTTCTTTTGTAAACATATGCTTTATGATAATTTTTCTTTTGTCTTCTTTTCTTCTTTTACATATCTTGTTGCAAGCTTTCGAGGTAACAGCAATTTGGAAATGCCATCCAATTAAGTTTGTTTCCATAAGTGACATATTTAACTTAGTTCTAGAAATTATTTGAGGTGGGGGAAATGATACTCTCCCTGTCCCTCTCCATGTACACACATGAAGTTTACATATACATTACAGGGGATTACATATCAATTCAACTAGTTAATACATTTACCTCTGCAGCACTAGCTGGAATCACAATCCTCTCAAATAAAGCGGTTTTCTTGACCACATAGTCTCTGGCTGCTTTAGCTTAGGTCAATCCTGAGCATCTCCCTCTTTGATTGAAATAATTCAAATCTGAACGTTATCAGTGTGGAAAAATGAGCTGGCTCCCAATTTGCTTTATAAGGAAGTCAATGCTTTGAACACAGTGTTCACTTCTTTTCAGAGAAAAACATTTCTTGATAAGTGGAAATAGTTTTTCAACAAAGAACCTGCTGCTCCACATTTGTTAAAAAGCTGGTTCAACAATCTGTTTCTATTCCTATGTCAAATGTTGCAGTGAAAAGAATGTTGAGAAATGAACTCTGTGTGTGTGTGTGTGTGTGTGTGTGTGTGTGTGTGTGTGTGTGATTTGTTTGGAAGAAAAATGAAGTATTTTAAAAATAAATTTTAATTGATAAATAAACCCTATTCATTTAAAATATATATTGCAATATCAGTTGCACAATTTTACTCAATGACCTTATTGTATCATGCCTACAGTTTCATTGTGTTTTACAGTTTTGATTAACGTTTTTATTATATGTCTGTCATTTTTGTTGAACCATTTACCAACTTCTTTGCTGGGTTGGTATAGGACTTTATATCTCTCTTTCACGTTCTACCATTCTCTACAGAATTCAGAATATTCTACTTATTTCAACAAGAATTTTTTGAGGCGCTACTACGTCTTATGCTTTGGACCAGCTTCTGGGAGGAAAACAAGAATAAATAGTGCACCAGTCTCTGCCCTGAAGATGCTCATAGTTTGTAACAATTGTTCACAAGTGTGTCCCAGAGATGGAGACACAGAATTCCTCATACTTTTTGCAAACACCACGTTGGTATTGGTATAATATATTCAAATTAAAGCAAACGCCTAGCCAGGCACGGTGGCTCACACCTGTAATCCCAGCACTTTGGGATGCCTTGTTGGGAGGATCACTTGAGCCCAGGAGTTTGAGACCAGCCTAGGCAACATAGGGAGAGCCAATCTGTACAAAATTTTTTTAAAATTAGCCAGATGTGGAGGTGCGTGCCTGTAGTTGCAGCTACTCAGGAGGCTGATGTGTGAGGACCACTTGCGCTTGGGAGTTTGAGGCTGCAGTGAGCCATGATTGCACCACTGCACTCCAGACTGGGCAACAGAGTGAGACCCCATCTGAAAAAATAAGCAACACTTTACAATGTTATGATGAGCCAGATACAATTTTGTATTAGAATCTAGAGTAGACAGTGTTTGTGACTATCAAAGATTAAAGAAAGAAAAGCAAAAAGGCAGGAGAATACCCTAAGCACAGAGACAATTCTACACCTAATTTTCTTGTAGATTGGGAAAGGGCCATTGCTACTTTAGGTGATCATGGTTTGGGGTCATTGTTTCATTAGGATAAGTCAGTACGGAAGCAAATTGAATATGGTGGGTTAGAAGTCCTTACAAAGTTTACCTTTCAGGTGACATACTGCTTGCTCTCTTCCTGTGCTTTTCTCCTCCAAAATTTTCAGCTCTTCTCTATTGCAGATAGGTTGGAAACTTAACGACTTACCCGCACCTGCTACTCAGTGCTCACATTCTGGCTCATACACTATACAGCGCCCCATTTCACTCCGTGACATGCTCTGCCCTAGCCACTCAGAACTGCATTCTGTCCCCACTCCCACCTCGTCATGCTTAACATCTTTCTCCACACATTTTCCTACAACAGTTCTTCCCTCGCAGCCCCATCTTTCAAAGAAACAAGTCCAACTCAAATCCACAAATCTTTCCCTGATATCCTTCCGCTTTCAACAGTAAGCATGGATGCTTTCTTTTCTATCTTTCCCTTTCATATTGCATATACTTAGCAAAGTCTCTCTTGCCATGGTGGTAGTAGATGCCATTTTCCAGCCAATACGTGCCAAGTACAAGGTTATTATCATGCACATATTTGGATGAGGAAACAAAGGCTCAGGGAGCTGCTGCTGGAGATGACCCGGCTGGTAAATAGCAAAGCTGCAGTTCGAATACCAGGCTTTCTTTCAAAGACAGTGCTGCTTCCATTACACCCTAGAGCCTTCCTTCACTACCTTTATGGGGATATAGGCAGAGATGGTTCTTCTTCCTGTCTTTGCGCCTTATGCCTGGCAGCCACGCAAAATACATCTATTTAATTGAATTGAATTTATATTAGGGGGAGAAAAAGATAATATCACTTTTCCTAGCTCCTACTGGCAAATCTTAAAATAACTGATACTATTCAGTATTGGACAGCAGGTAGAAGAAAAATAATCTCTTTAATTCATTGTTAATGGGAGTGTTAAAGTAGCACTTTAGAACTGTGTATCAGAATAAAATTATGTATATGCTCTGGCATGCAATTCTGCTTTTAGAACTTTCTTCCAGAGAAATAATTAGAATCAAGTGCAAGGACATGTATATGGTGTATTTATCGCAGTATTATTTATGGTAGTAAAACCTTATGCAATCTAAGTGTTCATCAATAGGAAAATTAGTAAATACATCAGAGGATGTAGTATGATGGAGTATTATGCAGACATTAAAAAGGTTAATGTAAATGTATACATACAAAGACAGAAAGGTATTCACAATATATCAGTGAATAGGTAAAAGCAAGTTTTGACATGATAACTAGAACACTTTCCTATTTTCTTCAAAACAAGAAAAGTCCTTCGCCCTTTTAAAATCCTCTCCTCCACATATGTTCATACAAATGCAAACTTTTGAAATTGACAAGTGATTTTTTTTTATCAGTATAGTGGTTACAATCCAAAGATGAGAACAAATGCTAAGCATCCTACATTCTAAGGAGAGCCACTAGCAACTGGCTGTGGCCACCCTCCTCTAAGCCATGCTAGACCAAGCCAGAATTGATTCTACTACCATTATACATGTGCCTCCTTTTTCCCTCTGGGCCAATAACAAGAGATGCTAAAGAAGCTATTAGCCTTGTGAGGTATACAGGGGTTGAAGTGAGAGGTTATCATTCCTCTTCTCAAGGGGGAGGAGAGCACAAGGGAGGACAAAGCTTACAGAAAATCCCATCTTAAGGTGGGAAGTGTGTGCTGTAAGGAGGAATCACAGTAATTTTCCCTGGAAGGATGTCAGCCAGGAGAAAGGAGAACAGGAGGAAGATAGGTGGAGGGAGTCATGCCCCAGAGGTAGCTGGGGAGGGGAGAGGAGATGAGAGTGGAGGCTGGAGACAGGGCCTATGCAGTACTGGGGGATGGGGAGGCAAAGAGGGACATATCAGAGAGATGTGTGGTGACTGCCACCAGCTAGAAACCAGCTAGAAGAAGTGACCGGATGCCTCAGGGGGCTTCCAATGCCTGACAACTAATCACTCATTCCCCCACACTGGAGCCACCAGCCATCTTCATGGGGCTGACAGACAGACAGCAAGATTGGTAAGTTTGTCTAACCAAAGAGAGAAATGCAGTATCACCAGCAAAGTAAGGAGTTTTAAATTTTTCCACCTCTCCCTCCTCATTCCTCTAAAATTGTTTCATGAGTAGAAAAGGGAGATGGGATGTATCTTGCAGCCAGGGAATATGTTCTGAACTAGCTAGGGCCACACTTCTAGCTGGTGCTAAAAAACGAGATGTGTTAATCAGTTTACCAGACAGAGACTTTTAATAACTGAAGGTGGTTGAAAATTATAAAAGTGGACCTAGATATCATTAAAGAAGATTCTACCTGGAGGGAAAGTAAGAGCAACGTGACTTAGGTGAAGATGGCTACTGGAATTAATAAAACCTCTCATGCCTATGCCTAATGGATTGAGTCTCAGTAAAATGTACACACACACAGACACACACACACAAACACATACACACAAACACACACACACATATAGAGGTATGTACATAGAAAATATTCTATAGTCCAGGGAAGAGGTCAGCAAACTCTTTCTGTAAAGGGCTTTGTAGGCCATACAGGCTCTGTTGTGACTACTTAACCCTGACATTGCAGTGCCAAAGCCGCCATGGATTATAGGCACACAAATGAGCATGGCTCACTTAATAAAGTTCCAATAAAACTTTATTTATAAAAACAGGCAGTTGTCTAGTCTTGATCAGTGGCTGTGCTTTGCCAACCTCTGTTTTAGAAGAACTAGCAGAACGTCCATCACAATGTTAACCCTCAAGGACTGGGAGGGGTGTTCCAACAAAAATTGCAATGAACAAGTGGGTCAATGGGAACTTTTGAAAAATTTTCTGGAGGCTAGAATGGAAACAGATGTCACCATCAAGTGCAGGGGAGTCCACTGGCGTTGAGCTAAATTGAAGGGCAAAAGAAGCAGTAGGTATCTAGAGCAGAAGGCAGGGGATTTTAGAGAGTGCTGAGTAGAGAGACACTGCCCGGATAAAGAAACCACAGTCTCTCTGAAAGGACATAGTGGGTTCCACACGTGCTTTCCAAGGTCAGGTGAGGCATCATGGTCACTGTTGTCCACAGTCACTTCCCTTCTAAGAGTGAAGAGTTACTGTGTAGCCCACAGTGCCCTTCTGGGGCAATCCAGGTCATGTCAGTGACCAGATTCACCCATGGCTAAGGCTTAGCCATTGCCTTGTTCCCCATGAAAGACCTGGGAAATAGTCAAAAGTAGTACAGACACAGAATCAAACAGGTCAAGGAACAGATCCTGGCTCCATCAGTGCCATCTCTGTGACCCTTGGAGAAATTACATAACCTCCTGAGCTACTCTCCTCAGTAGTAGTAGTGGCAGCAGCAACAACCAACATAAGTGTTTCCTGTGTACCATTTTAGACATATCATCGATGATCTTCAAAAACTTTCTGCCAGATAAATACTGTTAATAATAAATGCCTGAAAAGGAGATGATACTATCCCCCTGGCAGAATTATAATGAGAATCCAAGATAATTCATGCTAAATTCCTACTCTGGCACTTGACTTGGTATTGGAGTTCAAGAAATGATACTTATTGTTATCCTTTTTATTAATCATTTTTCAGGAGTAGTGTGAACCTGGCACTAGGCATGGAGCTAGAACAGTCATCTACTGCCGGTCTCTGTGACTTTTTAGTAAGTTTCTGTAGGACAATGTGCACATTTCTCAGATAACAAAAAAAGAAGACATCGTGGGCTAGGCCAGTGTTTCTGGAAGCCAGGACTGCTGTCCAGGATGGGATTATCTCCAACATATGGTTCAGGTAAGAAGCCCTAGGAGAAGAATCCAGGTGAAGCCTCTGGCTAGCCTGATAAAAACCTTAAATGGGGGAAACCTGAAAATGCACTGACAAATGGGGAGAGTGGCAAGAGAAGACATTGGAAATGTGAACTTTGAAACAGTAATCCTTTTCCCAGTGGGGGCCAATCCACTTTCAAACATAACAAATTGATTTTTATTTTCATTTGATTTTTGAGATGGAGTTTTGCTCTTGTTGCCCAGGCTGGAGTGCAATGGTGTGATCTTGGCTCAGTGCAACCTCTGCCTCCTGGGTTTAAGCGATTCTCCTGCCTCAGTCTCCTGAGTAGCTGGAATTACAAGCACTTGCTGCTACATCAGGCTAATTTTTGTATTTTTAGTAGAGATGATTTCACCATGTTGGCCAGGTAGGTCTTGAACTCCTGACCTCAAGTGATCCACCCACCTTGGCCTCCCAAAGTGCTAGGACTACAGGTGTGCGGCACTGCACCTGGCACAAATTGATTTTTAAAAGCATATTTTCTCTACCATAAATTCTATATTTTATTTATTAAATTCTAAATTTTATTTAGAATTATTTATTCTAATTATTTATTTAATGCTATATTACATTTATTAAATTATATATGTTTTCCACCACCTTGTAGGTTCTTCACATTTCCTTCTTTTGCATCTTCTAACAACTAATTTTTTTGTGTGTCTTAAATTCAAACTCTGCAAAGAGAAGAATTTAATCGATCCAATTTGTTCATCACAGCCTGCTTACAAGCTTGAGTCAGATGTTTTCTCCTGGTAAACCAGCTGCCTCCCTCAAGAATGACATCATCATGTGGTGGGGACCATGGTAACCTGAGCAGAAAGAACCACCTTGGATTGTACCCTCAGCAGGGAGCTTTGAGTTGAACCAAATGGTGTTGCTGCTTCATGAAAGTCCCTTGCGCATCCACAGATGGTCATCCCACAAAAGAGGAGAAGTCAGTTGCCAGTTGGTGGGCCTGAACCTCATTGTATTCATTTCCTAAAGCTGCCATAACAAATTACCACAAACTCAGTGGCTTAAAACAATAAAAATTTATTCTCCCTCAGTTCTGGAACCCAGAAGTCTGAAATCGAGGTATTGGTAGGGCCATACTCTCTCAGAAGGCTCCAGAGGATAATTCTTCCTTGCCTTTTCAAGTTCTGGTGTCCCCAGATATCCTTGGCTTGTGGCCACATCACTAAGTTCTGCCTCTGTTTTCACATGGCCTATTCCTATGTTGTTCTCTCCTCTGCGTGTCTCTGACAAGAATACTTGTCAAAGGGTTTAGGACTCACCTGGTAATCTACGATCACCTCATCTCTTAGTTATATCTGCAAAGAGCCTTTTTTCAAATAAGGTCACATTCACAGGTTCCCAGGATTAGGATGTGGAGATATATATATATATATATATATATATATGCTTTGGAGGGCAACATTTAACCAGAGAAATAACTATGAAATATTTAACATTAGTCCAACTCCTGAACAACCTGGCACATATTAAGAGCTCAACAAATATTTGTTGGATAAATGAACAACTCAGCACTTTAATTTTACCAATTGGGAAACTGAAACCAGGAGACGTGATCTACCAAAATCACACATCTAGATTATATTAAATCTTGAACTGAGCCCAGATTGTCTGCCCTGGGTCTGAGGCTCCCGACTTCACAGTAGGCCATCACCTTATTGCTGTTGCATTACAAGTAAGAATAACTGAGTTTCAGAGACACTTGACCAAACTCAACTTATTATCAACTGGCCTAGGTCCCCAGATCCCCAGCCCAGAGCCACTTTCATCTCATTCTACAACTTGAAGGCTTTCTTCATCAAGCCTGGAAAGGAAGTTTCAGATAGTAAAATGAAGTTCCAGAAAATCCAAGGAGAAAACAAAGAATAGCATGAGGTATATTTTATCTGTACTAAAGAAGGTTGGTAACACATTCTGTTTTCCCACCTTTTCCTACAAATTCCTCAAAGATACACTGTCAACACGCAGGAAGGACCAGGCCCTTACCCGGTGGAAAAGCTTTTGGAGCACAGCTCGATATTTTCAGATACACAGCCAGCCCACACGATAGAGGCTCAGTCACCTCAGAACTAAGAGGGCCTCTCCCGACTTCTCCAAGGTGCTGCAAAGCCAGGAGAGCAGTGTGAGAGAAAAACCAAATGTGTCTTACAGGGAAAATCAGGTCTTTATTCACACAATACCCTTCATGGTTTTTATCTAAATGCCAAAGCTACAAAAGAAAAAAGGGAAGAAGGAAGTTATCCTTTCCCAGTACCCCATTCTTGGTTGCCGTGACAACATCCAACTGCTGCACGTCCTGTTCATCCTCTTGGTTTCCCTTGTCCCCACTCTCTGAGGTGGCCATTTGCCTTCTGGTGCCTCCCATTGGTTAAACCTAACCAAAATATGTCTCTAGAGGGTGCCTATTTCTTTCTTAAATATTGAGAAATTTCGATAGAAGTCAAGATTTCCTGCTTCTCTTGAAACATCCTAGGCTCATACCAGAGTCTGAATTCCCACAGGGCTATATAATGGGCTTGAATTTGGAGTTTGATGATCCTTCCCTCTGAGTACAGGCTCTCTAGGTCACCACTGTTCCCACCTGACTGCTTCTTTCCTTCATGGTACCAGCCTGAGGACATTTTACTTTGAATCCTTTCTTTTTGTCAACTGGTATTCATTCAGTAGGTTTCAGCTAAGCATGTCATTTACATTGTTGTAAGATGACTACTCAAGAATAGGCAAGTGCTATTCATAGTTCAAAAGTGACTTCCACAAACAAAGGTCCTATGTAATCTCTCATAAAAATTTGAGCTTGAACATCTGATTGGATTTTCCCTCAGCCACCTTAGCTCTGCGTCCCCACAATACCAGAGGTTTCTGCTGTTGGATGCCGGTTTCTGCTGAGTACTGGACAGCTCCACTTTTTGCTTAAAGTCAGAACATGGGCATCTAAAAATATCTCAGTCATCACTGCACTGACATAATGCTTCTGTTGCTCTAAGAGCAGATCCTCTGTCAAAAGAATCATTTCAAGAGCCAGTTTGGTTTAAGTTCAATAGCTACATGTGAAATGACTTTGAGCTTTCATTTTCTCTCTCTCTCTTTCTTCCTCTCTGGATGTAGAAGCTCTTTTTAAAGGATCTGGATATGGCAAAATAGTAGGAGGGAGTGTGGAGAACAATTCTGCCTGGAATTGTAGAGCATGCTTTGACTTAGCGTGTGCAAAGGCATTAGTCCCAAGCATATGTCTAACACATGATAGGTGCACAAAATACATTGGAAGGAAAATGGAGAGGAAGTTACCCAGTGTGTAGGCTTCAGTTTCTCCATTTTGTTTTAGTGACCTTTATTGAGCACCTGCAATGTGTAAAGCATTCTTCTCGGCACAGTTGAGTTTCATTGATTCACTTATTCATTTTTCCGTTCTCTGAGTGTCCACTTAGCTTCCCTACTGTTCCATTTGCATATGTGATTTCAGTTCTCGACTGTCAGCTCAGAATCTTATCACTCACCCAAATATTCTTTAAGAGCAAAAGGCTGCTCTTATCATCAGCAGTTATCACAATACATTTGCTATCTAAATTTAACAGGAAATTTCCTATATTTGTTCTACATGGTATAAAAGAGAATCTCTGCAACCACTCAGGAAGAAAATTCTCCAGTAGCTTTGTCTGTGGGCTGGAGTGACTCACTTCATCTCAAATTTACCTAAACCCTGGAGAGCTCACTGGGACAGGTGCAATGGCAACTGGTTGTCCTCCATTGGACCAAGTTCACTGAACGGTACATCTAACATCTAGAGAGTAACTCACCAACAAGGAAGTCATTGTGTTGTCTCACCAGATTGTGATCAAGCCCATCCACCTCCCCAAAGCATAATACTTGACAGGGACTAGGCACTCAACATACTTTTGATCAATGAATGAATGAATGAATGCACAGAGAATGAATGAACAAACGAGGCACCAGTTTTTCAAGTAAAATGGAGACCTAGAAATTCCTGGGCTTCTGTTCTAACCACTAAATCAATCAATGTCCTCTCCATCAGCAAATCTTACTCTCAGTGGGCTGAATGCACACCTCTTTTCATTTTATATAATAAATTCAGAACTCTGACAAGGCTCAGTGCCTCGTGGTTTTTTTTTGTGTGTGTGTGATAGGGATTTGAGGAAAAAAATGCAGCAGGTTTCCTTTACCATCTGACAATAGAGCCCGTGGAGATTCAAAAATATCAAATCTTCCAGACAAAACTTGGAGAAGCCAAGAGGACAAAAACAAAAACAAAAACAAAAACAAAAACAAAACAAAACAACAACAACAACAACAAAAACTTGGTTGTATCAGGAAGCAGCTTGGGCAGAGGGGAAGATGAACTGAGGTCTAGTTTCCATAAAGGCTTTAGCTGATTTGTATGGGGAGCTTGGAAACTGGGATGTGTTACTAACTGGTAGCTAGTCAGACATGAACAGGGCAGGAGAGGGCCCCCAAACCCCACCAGGAAAGTCAGGCGCCCATCAAGTGATGGTCAGGCAGTTGTCACACTGCCTCTGTAAAATAATAATTGGTCGCAGCCAGCACCAGGGAAAGGCAGTTTCCCTGTAGATAGAGAAAACCTAAAATTGGTGATCAGAAGCTTCCTGATAAGATCTCAGGAGTTCGGTGCGTGGGCTCACACACGCCCACTAAGAGGCAAATGGCAGAATTTAACTGGTATATGACCTTCCAGGGGCATTCCACCAGAAAAGGGAAGAAAGCCTCAGGTGAGTATGTGTACAACTCCAGTGTGCTTGCTCACCTCCTAAACGCACTGTGCTTGCTTACCTCCTAAATGCTAGCAGGCCACCAAGCATGCAGGCAGCTTACCCTAAGGGAAGAATCAAGGGAAATGGAATACAAGATGCCGGAAGTAGGTCAGCATATAAAACCCTAAGTCAGGCCAGGTGCAGTGGCTTATGCCTGTAATCCCAGTACTTTGGGAGGCTGAGGCAGGCGGATAACCTGAGGTCAGGAGTTCAAGATCAGCCTAACCAACATGGTGAAGCCCCATCTCTACTGAAAATACAAAAATTACCTGGGCGTGGTGGCGGGTGCCTGTAGTCCCAGCCACTCTGGAGGCTGAGGCAGGAGAATTGCTTGAACCCTTGAGGTGGAGGTTGCAGTGAGCTGAGATCACACCACTGCACTCCAGCCTGGGCAACAAAGTCAGACTCTGTCTCAAAAAAATAAAAATAATAAATAAATAAATAAATAAACAAATAAAACCTTAAGACAAAAGGTTAAACCCCACACTTGTCCTTCAAGTCACCAGCTTGGGCCTCTTCCAAGTGTACTTTCCTTCCTTTCATTCCTGCTCTAATGCTGTTTAATAAACTTTCACTCCTGTTCTAAAACTTGCCTTGGTCTCTTCTTCTGCCGTATGCCTCTCAGTTGGATTCTTTCTTCTGAGGAGGCAAGAATTGAGGTTGCTGCCGATCTGCATGGATTCACCACTAGTAACAAGATAGACCTTCAGAATCATTTTAAAAGGAGGCAAGGGGCCAGGTCTTTGTATTCCACGCTCTTCCAGCATCACTGGATGTGAGTTGCCCCTCAACCCTGCAGAAGCGGCTTTGAACATGGAGGAGGCAGCCCCCTTTGACAGAGGGCAGTTTCTGGGGAGGGATTGCGTGATAAGCCATCAGTAGCTAATGGCTCAAGCATGTGGGTGAATGTGTGCCTTGTTATTTAAAGGGCAACTAGGTGGCACACTATAGACATATACTGCATTATATGCATTTTCCAAAACACACACTTTCTATGTCTCTATGAAAACATAAAACGTGTATACATACAAAAATAAGGGGCAATAGAGCATAATAGTTAAAGACACATACTCTGGAGCCAACCTCGAAAATTTACTTAAGCTCTCTGGGCCTCAGTTACCACATGGTTAACATGGCGGTGGGTGGGGATGGTGTAGAAACAATAGCATCAAGTCTTAGGAGTATAGGGAGGATTAAATGAGTGAATTAGTATAACATTCTGAGAATGGAGAATGACACACAGAAAAGCTTAGCAACATCCTTGTGCCACTCAACGATTATCTTGGACAAGCTTCTCTTTTATTTACACAGATGCACCTCATTCTTATTAGTGGCTGAATAATATTCCTGAATCCTGAATCTTGTGGATTAGCCATAATTTCTTTAATAATTCCCTTACTGTTGGGCATTGAAGTTGTCTCTGGTTTCTCCCAATTACAAGTCAAGTAATAGCAAACAATCCTTGTACATATATTCTTACATACTTGGAAGGAAATCTATAAGATAGATACCTGACTGATTATCAAAAGACAAGCACATTGAATACTTTGACAGGTACTGTTAATTGCTCTCTGAAAAGACTGTATGGTCCTAATTTGGACTTCAGCATCATGAGATGAGAGTATCTGTCTCCCTCATTTCCATATCAACATTAAAAATTGAAAATCTTTTACACTTTTGCCAGTCTGATAGGTGAAAAACGTATTTTCTTGTTTTATTTGCATTTCCATTAATCTCTGAGTAACCAAGCCTTTTTTGTTTCTTGTTTCTCAGACATTCATCTCTCCGCTTTTGTGACTTGCCCAACTGTTCCTTTCCTCTGAGTTACTTTGTTGACATGTCTTTTAATTTATTTATTATAAATAGATTACCCTGCCCTCTTATGTGTCTTTTAGCCTATTGAGAGTACCTCCCACCTTACAGAGGTTAAATTTCCATGTGCTCAAATGTGCCAATGTTTTTTACAGAAACTAGATTCAGAGTTCTGTGCATGTAGGCAGTGCAAAAAGGGAGTCACCACCTTGTCACGTTCTGATGCAAAGCTCCCTTTTATCCTCAGAACTGTGATATTTTTTACTGGCCCCAAACTCTTTATCTGCCTAGAGCAGGAAGCTTCTTTTTTTGTCATTTCTCTTTTTCTTTATCCAGCCCAGTCCTGATAGTTAGAGTCTTAGACAATGTCTAATCTACAATCTCATTCTCACAGTGTCTTTCACATGGGTCTTTCCTCTCCTCTTCTTTCTGACTCTATTTCTTCTTTTCACTTATTTTGACTGTGCCTGGCTTGTGAGGATGAATGGGGCAGGTCAGCTTCCAGGAGCTTGTGCCATCATCTGGCTGTGGTCACTTCTCTGCTAGGCCCCACTGCTGGTATCATCCTCTGTTTGGTCTTGGCACTAATGATGCTGGTTCTGGCTCTGACTAGTTGCTAGGTATGTGATTGGAGCCAGTATGGTGGGGAGGCAGAATGGAAGTGTCTACGTTTTCAAACTGTTTTAGTGCATTGGGAGTGCTTTCTGATGCTATGGAGGCATCTAAGAAGTGAATCATTCTCAAGCAGCATCTGTTTCTGCTGCCTTGTGGCATGAAAGGCCTCCTCGGGGGCAGTTATCTTTCCTTTTGGCCCTCGTCACACTCCTTATGAGAAACAACCTTTGGCTCCTTTTCCACAGATAGACTTCAAGCTCTGGCAGCAGGGTTTAGAAGAATGAGCTGGCCCTATTTGTCAGCCCCACTCGTTTAAGAGCTACAGGGAACTTGGATGGAGTCTTCTGCCCTCTTGATCACTCTAAAATGCTGGCTTGTCCCATCCTGCCAGTGTGGTGTACTTTGAAAATCCTCCTGTCTCTAAAGTGAGAGCTGTTTGCTATGTGTCCTCCGTGGGTGAGGTGGCTAGGAGAGACTTAACACCTCACCAACTGTGCTTTACTCAAGAAAATAAGTCTTCCTCCTTTTCTCCACATACATCGAGACTCAGAAAGGGTGATGTTCCCACACAGCTTCTGGAGAGAACCACTGCTGAGTGATGTAAATATTCCAGAGATACATTTTGGATCCTTTTGTCTGTCAGCTCCACGATGCCTGCCCAGGGTATCTGTGTTTCTGTGACTTTCAGAAAGAGAGGACTTATTATGAGAATAATAATAAGAGTGTTCACTTATTGAGCATTTCTGGAGTTCTGCATTCAGTATAGTGGAATAATTACCCAGCAATCTGACATGCACAAACAACAGTTATAAACTCTGGGCAAAATATTAAAAGACACAATATACGCAAAGACTATGGACAGCTAACAAAGGTATGTGGATTTTAGATGGGAGCTAAAACTTGGAAGAAGAGATCAACAGAGCATGAGCTCCCCCATTTTTTTCCTGCAATTTTGTCCTAGGAATGGTCCATAGTCATGGTATGACACAGGCTGGCTGAAGGCATAAGAGAAGATTCACCATCTCTGTGGCCTAAGGAATTGAAGATAGAACCCAAGGTGACCAGGGCTTCAAGAAAGGGAAGAAGGAAGCCCAGAAAGGAAAATGATGGAGTAGGGGAGCCCCAGTTTCTGTGTCAACTCTGGCCAGGTCTGTGCCTTACTCTCAAATCACATATGCATGAAGAAGACTAAAAGTAGCCCAGCTAAAAGAGTTGAACTGAGATTTGAGCTGCTGCCTACCACAGGTGTCTTACTAGACAGAGTATGCAATTTGAATCTAAACAAATTTACTGCCCGCTACAACAAAAACATTAACACTATTTAGAGGAATATAACAGAATCTAGAATCTCCACGGCATACCAACACAATGACTAGAATACAATCTAAAATTTCTCCATGAAATAGAGATAACAAAAACTTCTTCTTAAGAGTGGTTATGAGACTTAAACGAGATGATGTATTTAGCATAGTGTTTGTAAAGTAAGTGGCATGCAGCTAATGGATGAGTGACAACCTGTCTCTCCTTGGTTCTGGAGGTGATATCACAGGAAACTCCCACCAAGAGGCTGCCAAATGCAGTAAACATTCCAAGGTGGGAGAGAAAGCACATCTGTCATTACCAGCACATTTAGGATCCAGAACCCTAGAAGTAGGGGCAAGGCATACGTTGAAAGGAAGATCAGCACTTGAGTTACTTGTCAAAGTTGCCAATGAGTTGGCCAGAGAAGGGGAGTAAAGACTGGTTTAGAAAATGCACAAAATAAGCCAAATGTGAAAACAATAGGAGCCAGAAGGCCAGTCCAAAAAGTGCCAGGAGGGTAAAAAATCACACACAGGTATGTACATGTCAGGGCTGGAATAAAGACAAGAGCAGGGCCACTTATGAAAAAGTTGGTGAGGGCCAAGGATTTGAGAATTTGGGAAGGCAGGTTTAGATCGGGTCCATAGGTTGCAGCTGAATTTTCCTTGTGATGGTGGACATATTTTGGCTATCCATGAAGGGCATCCTAGCCCTGCAACCCAAGGTTCTTTATCCCTTTATTGTCTCAAGAGGAAAGCATTTCAGAGGATGAATCAAGGGTTACTATTACCCTCCATGGGTAAAATGGAAGAATACAATGGTTGACCAATACAGTGGGGAAGTCTGTCTATTCTAGATGAAGAAGTATCCCCTTCCCAATTCAGGACCAAGGCCAGCATAAGGCCAAGTTTAATTTCTCTCCAATATTATCTACCTGCCTCACACAACAAAGCCATTGATAACATTTGGTTTGGGTGGATAAGTCTCCTTGTGTTGCTGTTACTCCTACTCAGTGTTAGATCAAAGTTTTACTTCCTTATTGAAAAATAGATACCATAAGAATATAAAATCTTAGCAAAGATTTTATTTCTACTAACTTTAATACCACAACCCTAGAGATATCCCAGAAATCAAATCTATCATAAGACTGATGCAATTCTTATTTTTGGAAAGGTAGGTTGGTGACAAACAGAAGAGAATGCTACCTGATGATGTTTACTCAAAAATATTTTAGTTTTTTTTCTTGTCTTTCTGCTTTCTCCACCAAATTACCTGCATATGATAATAATTATAATAATTATTAAATTGTATCAAATAGTACGCTGGTTGCATTACAAAAGTTACTTCATTTAGTCCTTATAACAATACTATAAGGTAGAGGCTATTGTTATCAATCCCATTCCACAGATGGAGAAACGGAAGCTTAAAGAAAGCAAGCTGCATTTGAAGGGCACACAGTAAGCGGCAGAGTCAGGATCCAAACACAGCAATGTGGATTTAGAGATGGTAATATTAATCATTGTTCTCTGCTATCCCCATGTAGTGCCCCCATAGTAGAGGCTCACTAAGTGAGGGTAATTATAACAATAATGACAATTATACCTTCATAACATAGTGAAGGCAATTCCATCATGCATTGTCAATGTATTAATTCAACTAGCAGATTATGCAAATGTGCTGAGAGCTTGTATAATGAAAATGTGCTTCCAAAATGTGAAAAATAAACAAAATCATTTATCTCTCCATGTACTTCTGCAATACCCATCTCTGGTATAGTAGCAGCACCTGGTGTCCTGTGGGTGTTGAACAAATGCATATTAATTTATGGCTCACACTGGTTATAGAACAAAATGATATAAATATTACTAGTAATATTACAATTGTCATGGTTGAGAATTCCATATTACAGAAAAGTGCTATTGAAATGTTAGAGTACAGAATGGACCTTACAGAAGTTCAGACTGAATGACCTTTCCAAAATTTAGCAAAGTCCAAATTGTGTATCAGAGATAGGTAGAGATGCCAGAGCAATTAGTTCTGTTCTGCCCTGTAATGGTTCAAGAGGGTTAGTCTGTCTTTGAGAACCAGCATTTTCTGAAAAATGTGTCAAGCCTCTCAGTCTTGTCGTCAAGTTTGTCCAATTCAGAAATTGTACAAGGGGATGAAAAACTATCACTCGCCTATGTCTGCCGTCAGTGCTTGACATGGTCAGTCTTCAGGATCCCAGTTAACTTCTGTTTGAGAAAGCTTGCAGAACTAGGAACAAAATAATTACTAATGCACAATGTACCAGGCTGCAGTGTTCCAGCCCTTCTTCCCTTTCATGTTAAATTCACTGCCTTAACTAAGTGGCCCTTTGCAAAGCCTGCCTTGTGACTAATAGGCCTTTGATCAGGTTTTGCTTCCTGACAGCTATACATATAAATGAATGTTTATCCCAATTATGTAATGAACATTGATTCTTTCTACCTTCTGACTGCAAAGGGGCCCCTCATCTCAAAGTACCTCCATTGTTCTTATGCCATGAATAATATTTTTCATTTGGAAGAACTCTGCTTGGGGCTGGAGCATGTGCAATTTAGGACACTATGGAGAAAAAGAGCCAAACTTGAGGAGATGCTGAGAACAGATTTTCTAAAATTTGTTAGCATACTCTAGTTTGGGCAAGAAAACTGCAACTTTTGAACACCTGCAATTACTAGTATGCAAGGTACTTCACGTACATTGTTACATTCTAACTACACATTAACCTTATGGGTTAAGCATCGTTAGTTCCACTGTACAGAGAAGGAAAATGAAGCTAGGGGCTAAATGACCTACTCATGGTTATGTGGCTTGTCAGTGGCTGAATCACAATTAAAATAGCACAATTCCAGGTGCTACATGACTCCACAGTTTTATTTTCCTGATAATTTGGACTCTCATGATCTCTTCCTCATACAGCAGCAATAGTACTGGGCTTGAGGTTTGGGTCTGTTTCCTGCTAGCTTAATGACCTTGAGTAAGTTCCATATCATTTTTAATCTGGACCTCTTCATCTGCAAAATCAAGATCCACCAGCACCTTCTTGCTTTACCTGACAAGGTTGTTGTGAACCTGATTTGCACATGATAACATGCTGTACAAAATATGGTGGGTTATTGGCATGCTTACAAACAGCCTTTGTGGCTGGCTCTGCTCCGCTCTGACTCTCCCTTTGCTGCTTCCCTTTCCTGACTCTCCTAAAGCAACACTTGGGTACGCTTTGCCAATAACAGATTTATTTTCATTATTAAGGATGATTCTGTCTTGAAGTTGGAACAGAAATGGCAATTGAATGTGCTTTCTTGGGAATTTCAAATATTCCATTTTTCTGGGAGAAAGAAGAAATAGGAGCTGATGGAACAGCAATTAAATCCATAGTTTAAAAACAAATGCTACTAAGGCACAGATGATATCATGCAACAGTTGGAATTTCTCCTGTTTTCTCAGGCTCGTGGAGCAGGGGCAGCCCTATGAAATCCCTCACCAGCTGTCAGCGCCTGTTTCAGAAGCTGCCACTCCCAGGCATTTCTTTAGCAAATTACTCTCTCCAACTCAAACCTGTTGTACTTAGCTCCTAGTAGAACCCAGGAAACCATGAGGGGGCCTGGTGCTGCTTCAGCCATCAAGGGCTCACGCAGTGTCAGAGGGGTCTCGCTCCATGTGGCAGTTCCCTGGAATGGAGACTCATTGATCATTCAACAGGAACCATTAATGGAGCCGTGGGTGCCCCTGCAGGTTATATCCGCTGGGTCCCTCTAATGCCAGGTGAGTTGACATGCCTACAGGAGATGAGAGGAAACTGTAGCCTGTCTAGTCAGTGCCTCTTCTCACATGCCACTAAAATCCCTGCATATTTTATCCAGAGAGGAAGCTACTCAAGGGAAAAACTGAAGAAGAGAATGATCCAAATTGAGCAAGTGATTTCCCAGGGTTCAAAAACCTCCTACCAAGAAAATAGTTTGACAGTTCCTCAAAAAGGGAAACACAGAATTACCATATGACCCAGAAATTCTACTCCTAGGTATATACCCAAACGAATTGAAAACAACCTCTGAAACAAATCTTTATACACAAATGCTCAAGTAACACAATCTCCAAAAGGTGGAAACAACCCAAATACTCATCAATGGATAGATACACAAATCATGATATTTGCATACCATGATCTCATTCAGCCATAAAAGGAACGGACTACTGATACGTGCTGGAAGTGGATGAAACTTACAAACATTATGCTAAGTGAAACAGATCAGACACAAATACATATTGTATGATTCTGTTCACATAAAATATCCAAAATAGGTAAATCCACAGAAACAGAAATCAAATTGGTGGTCACCAGGGACTGAAGGGAAGACAGAATGAGGAGTAACAGCTTAATTGGTAAGAAGCTTTATTTTGGAGTGACAAAAATGTTTTGAAACTATACATAGGTGGTGGTTCTACAACATTATGAATATACTAAATACCAATTAATTTTAAAGCGGCTAATTTTGTGTTCTATGAATGATATTTCTTTAAAGAAAAACACTACTAAAAGTCTGCTGCTTCCTTTGAAATGCATAAAATATAAAGATGAACTCACAAATGAACAGACATAAATATGGAACAAAGCACGAAAAGTAACATGCTAATTGTAGAACCCAGGTGGTAGACACGTGAGTATTCACTGTAAAAGTCAATGTTTCGATGTGTTTGAAAATTTTCATAATAAAACGTTAGGATGTTAAGAAAATAATAGGCCGGGCGCGGTGGCTCACGCCTATAATCCCAGCACTTTGGGAGGCCGAGGCGGGCGGATCACGAGGTCAGGAGATCGAGACCATCCCGGCTAAAACGGTGAAACCCCGTCTCTACTAAAAATACAGAAAATTAGCCAGACGTAGTGGCGGGCGCCTGTAGTCCCAGCTACTTGGGAGGCTGAGGCAGGAGAATGGCGTGAACCCGGGAGGCGGAGCTTGCAGTGAGCCGAGATCCCGCCACTGCACTCCAGCCTGGGCGACAGAGCGAGACTCCGTCTCAAAAAAAAAAAAGAAAATAATAAAACCTTACTTATCTCAGCAGACAGTTAGAAAGGAGGTACCAAAATCCTGCTTTCTAATATGGGTCTTCTGGTCTTGGTCCTGGCCAGGATACATTTGGGAATTTCTCAGGATAAATTTTTTGGGCTTTGTCCACTGCACATATTCCTTTCCCTTTCCCCACCTTCTCCTCTCCTCATCTGCACTTCACCCATCTGTAGATAATGCCATCTTTTCATGATAATAACTGCGACTTACACACCTCAGTTACAGGCCAGAGCCTGTGCTAGGTGACTTACATTGATTGTCTCCAATTCTGAAAACACTCAAAGTGAGTTACCGAAGAGAAAGCTGCTACAAGGATAGCAACATCAGACACAAGAGTACATATATTTCATATAAGTAGGTTGTATATAAAGTAGGAAAAGAGACAGACAAAACGAATTTATGCTGTTAAAAGGGAAGATCATGCTACCTTTGGGAGGTAGCATTAGAAGGTCTCATGAACGGGGGTTCTGGGAATTTTCCTGGAATGGAGGCTCATTGAACATGCAATAGGAACCATTAACTGAGCTGCGGCAGTACTGTTTTGTTTCTTGATCTAGTGTTGATTACACTTGTGTAATCAAGTGTATTTACTTTGTGGAAATCCATTGCGCTATACTATGTGTGCCTTCTTATACGTACACTACATATCAATAAGAGTTAAAAAAGGAAATGAATGAAAGACAGTTAAGTAAAATTAATCAGTAAACTAGAAGCCAATTTACTGAACAGATTAATTGAAAAAATAAGAAGAAAGTGAAAACACAAGTGATTAATATTAGGAATAAGAAGAGATATAACTACCAATACAGAGAGAGTTAACATTTTGCAGCAGAATACTGTATACAGATTTATCCCAATAGCCTCAAAAATCTTACTGACATGGATGCTTTTCTAAGAAAATGACTAAAACTAAGATTGCAAGGGCGCAGCAACCAATCACAGATGTGGCTGCTGCCTGGAGTCTGAACAACAGCAGAATTCACAAATCCCTGGTCTCTTGCTGTGCCCGGAGGGCCCAGAACATGCACTCAGAATGACCAATCAGCAAATGGCTAGGGACCACTGTGAATGGTGAGTGCCTTGTTCTGCAGAAACTCCAAAACCCTGCCTATAAAAGGTGGTGAAAGTCACTGTGGTTAGAGTCTAAATCCATTTCTTATGAAATTGCAAAGCACTGGGATATGTCCTTGTCTTGGTTGCCTTCCCAAAGCCAGGTGAAGACTAGATTAGACTAGGATGGCTCAAACCTATTGAACAGGTGTGAAGTTACACTGGGAGATGGATATAATGTTTTTGTTGTAATAGATATCCTTTTATAAAAACAAACAAACAAACAAACAAAAAACAAGAAGCCACCTTTTGTCCACTTTACAGGCAGTTGGAAATGTTATTTTGGCATTAGGTTGATTCTTAAAGAAAAGTCAACCCAGTTGATATGTAAAGGAGGGAATACAACAAATGTTAAGTTTGGAAAATAATCCATTAGTATCTAGGCAGAGTATTATTGAGGGAGTTTTTCTTTTAGCTGGAGAACCCCTGTAAGGCCTAACTTTATACTCCAAGGTCAGAGAGAAACTTCTTCAAACAGGAAGAGTCATTGCAGAGGGAATCACAAGGATGAAAGAGAACCAAAGTTTATGGGGTTAAGTAGGGGTTGAGCAACCTGAACTTTCCTGGTAAATACAGAAAGGCAGTTTTTGCAATGAGAGCAAAACTCAGCCCAGAAATGGGTGCAAAATGAAAAAGAGAAGGGATCCTTCCTTGGAATGGTTGTGGAGGGGGAGGCTTTTGTGAGGTGTTGGTGGTGTTAGAAAGGAGTTTCTATGTCAAATATAGAATCAGTCAGAGAGAAGCTTGTTTGTTTAAGGTTAGAGCATACTTGCAGGATGAAGGGAAGGATCAAGTCAAAAATGTTAAAAATGCAAAAGAGACAAGGCACGGTGGCTTATGCCTGTAATCCCAGCACTTTGGGAGGCTGAGGTGGGCAGATCATGAGGTCGAGAGATCGAGACCATCCTGGCCAACATGGTGAAACCCCATCTCTACTTAAAATACAAAAAATTAGCTGGGCGTGGTGGTGTGCACCTGTAGTCCCAGCTACTTGGGAGGCTGAGGCAGGAGAATCGCTTGAACACGGGAGGTGGAGGTTGCAGTGAGCTGAGATCGCGCCACTGCACCCCAGCCTGGTGAGAGTGAGAGTACGTCTCAAAAAAAAAAAGAAAAAAATACAAAAGAGAAAATGGACATTATCAACAGAACAAGATCCTAGATTCAGGAATATGAGACAACATGGACTCAAAAGGAAGGTTTGGCTTTGGAGAGGTGGCAGGTTAAGAGAACAAACATAAACCTCTATAGTGAGGGTGTACAGTGGCCCCAAAAAGGTATATTCATTTCTTAGCCCCCAGTACTCATGAATGTGACCTTATTTGGGAACAGTCTTTAAAGATATAATTAAAGATCTCCAGAGTAGATTATTCTGAATTGAGGATGGGCCCTAAATCCAATAACTGGTGTCCTTATAACAAAAAAGAGTGGAACATTTGACACAGGCACAGGGGAGACACATAGGGGAAAGGGCCATATAAAGAAGGCGACAGAGTCTGGAGTCACACAGCTCCATGCCAAGGAACTCCTGGAGCCACCAGAAGCTGGAAGAGGCAAAGAACAATTCTCCTCTAGAGCCTTCTCCCCTAGAGGAAGGGCAGTCCTGCCCGGACACCTTTGTCAGAGGTGTTTGAACCAGAGCAACTCCATGTTGAGTAGGGGTGAGGTAAAATGAGGCGGAGACCTACTGGGCTGCATTCCCAGATGGTTAAGGCATTCTAAGTCACATAATGAGATAGGAGGTGGGCACAAGATACAGGTCATAAAGACCTTGCTGATAAAACAGGTTGTAGTAAAGAAGCTGGCAAAATCCCACCAAAACCAAGATGGGCAAGAGAGTGACCTCTAGTTGTCCTCACTACTATACTCCCATCAGCACCATGACAGTTTACAAATGCCATGGCAATGTCAGGAAGTTACCCTATATGGTCTCAAAAGGGGAGACATGAATAATTTACCCCTTATGTAGCATATAATCAAGAAATAACCATAAAAATGACCAACCAGCAGCCCTAGGGGCTGCTCTGTCTATGGAGTAGCCATTCTTTTGTTCCTTTACTTTCCTAATAAACTTGCTTTCACTTTACTGTATGGACTCGCCCTGAATTTTTTCTTGTGGGAGATCCAAGAACCCTCTCCTGGGATCTGGATCCAGGTCCCTTTCCAATAACACCTTCATTTCAGGATTCTGGCCTTTAGATCGTGGGAGAATAAATTTCTGTTTTCTAAGCCACCTAGTTTGTGGTAATTTCTTATGGCAGCCCCAGGAAACAAACATACCCTCCAAACTCCAGTTCAAAAATTGACCTAGTAGAGGGAGCAAACCAAGATGCACCAACATACTTCAGAGATATAACCTCATTCAGTGGTTTGCTTAGGAGGAATGTCCAGTTGTCACAGTGAAACCTTGTTCCTGGAATACTCGTGCCTGTGTCAACCTCTCCCTTAAATGTACTCTTCATGGTCAAGGTCCAGTCTCAGGTCAGCCTTTGCTTTTCACTGTTTTAACTGGCATTTCGCGCTGTACCCCAGACACTCCATCCCCATCACTTTAGATACAAAGCATTAAACCCTCTGGTCTCTCTCTTCTTGCCACATAGGTTTATATGAAAAATCCAATTAAACAGGCCAGGAAAAAGTTTTATTATATATGAAACTTCTGCTCCCCAGTTTTTATTCAAACAACAGTATTGTTCTTTGTGAGCACCCACACAAACATTTTCATGGTTGGCCTAAATTACTGCTAATTCCTTCCACTTAAGTTCCATTTCCTCAATTCCTCATGACTTAATGTGCCACCAATTACACAATAATGAGGCACTAATAATCTTTCATTTGAATCATTTTAACTCCCTAGCTGAGATTCATAGGAGGGGGACATTAATTCTATATATCTAATTCATTGAGAAATTCCCATTCTAGAATCAACATACATCATGTAGATTTCAAAGAGGGTTTTAGAAATACATACGTGATAAAGGAATACATTCATTTACTCTGTCTGTATTTAACACCTACTCTCTACCAGGTATTTTGCCAGGTGTTAGAAATATGTGTATGAATGAGAGGAAGGAGTGTGACCTTCAAAGAACTCATTGTCTCATGTGTAGTTGGGGAAAAGGCATTTCATTGAACGATATGAATACAATATGAAAAAGATTATCCTGCAATGTAAACGGTGCTGCTAAGGAGTCTTGAGAAGGGAGTGTTTCTGGAGAAAGAGTTTGTGGAATTGTGCTGGACAGTTTCTGCTTGCCCTCTAAATCTTTCACTACCTTCTTCCACCTGCTGTGTGCCCTGGGGCTGGTGAGCTCTATGGGCACTCATGCCATTTGCCTTTCAGATAGCTCAGTCAGTGGGAGACAATGGAAAGACATGAGAAGATGTAAGAGGGACATCTCTTTTTCTGCCACACTAGGTGCAGCCACTGCTCTACCTAGAGCACTCTTATGAATCTGGCCATGTCCCAGCAACTCCTTCCTTCTTCCAGCTTCCAGCAGCAGCCTTAGGCTGCTTCACCTTCTCATCTCAATTTCTCTTAACACGGCCCACACCTTTGTAAATAGTTCCATCATTCAACTCCCTTTAACCACTCATTGGAGTGTGACATCTATTTCCTGCTGGGACCCTGATGGATACTGGGGTCAAGGGATGCTTCACAGAGGGGTGACCTTTGAACTACGTCCTGATGAATGGGTAAAGTTTCCCAGATGCATACAGGTGGGATGGGGTCTCCCAGGCCAAGGTTAAAAGAAGTATGAAGGCTGGGAAGCCCAGGAGTGCACCGCATATTTGGGCAGTAATAAGGAATACTTGTCTTCACATAGAGAGGTCTGCAGGGAGTGGCAGAAAAGGAAACTGACAAGCAGAAAGGCCTTAGATGATAGGCTAAGGCTTTGGGGTTTTATTCTGGAAGTGACGAGAAATTCCAAAGACACTGATGACATTCCAATGCCTTGCATCTCTAGATGCCCAGGTCTTTCCAGGAAAACTGTATTCCAGAAATGAGAAGCTGGTGTCGATCTCTGCTCTGAATTTATGCTTTATTGGTTTTTGCACTCTTCCCTGCCTCGTAGTTAATAAAATTTACTCGCAGCTGGTAAGCTGAGGAAAGCTGTTGACTTTTTAAAAAATCAAATTACTTCAAAAGCTTTTCCTTCTCAGTCCCAATTTATTGGGTCTTCTACTTATGCATTAAGGAAGAAAAGGTAACATTCCTCTTGAGAAATGTCACAGTTTCATCTAATTACAAAAACACTTAGCTAAATGTGACAGCCTTTCATAGATCCTTATAATCTTAGTGGTTGATCAGAGCTGAGATTCTTGACTTAGGTCTTAGGGAAGGGGAAGGAGAGAGGCCAAACTAACACCTGGTGAAGGGTAGTTGAGGCTTCATGTATGGGAGTGAGAAAGAGAGGCCATGAGATAAAGAAGGCACCGAGGAAGGCAGAAAAGTTCAGAGCAGCACTGTTCAATAGAGATAAAATGTAAACCACAAATATGAAGTACTCATATAATTTTAAATATTGTAATAAACACAGTCAAGAAAGGAAAAAGAGGTGGAAGCAGTCCAAGTGTCCACGGATGGATAAATTGATAAACAAAATGTGGTATATATATATAATGGAGTACTATTCAGACTTACAAAGGAAGGAAACTTTTTTTTTTAGATGGAGTCTCACTCTGTTGCCCAGGCTGGAGTGCAGTGGTGCAATCTCGGCTCACTGCAACCTCTGCCTCCCGGGTTCTGCTGATTCTCCTGCCTCAGCCTCCTGAGTGGCCAGGACTACAGGCACTCTCCACCTGGCTAATTTTTCTTGTGTTTTTAGTAGAGATGGAGTTTCACTATGTTAGCCAGGATGGTCTTGATCTCCTGACCTCAGGTGGTCTGCCAGCCTTGGCCTCCCAAAGTGCTGGGATTACAGGTGTGAGCCACCACACCTGGCCTAGGAAGGAAACTTTTTGACACACGTTACAACATGGATGAACCTTGACAATGTTATGAAGTGAAATAAGTCAATTACAAAAAGACAATATGATTCCACTCATATGAGGCATGTAGAGTAGTGAAATTCAGAGCAAGAAAGTAGAATGGTGGTTTCCAGGGGCTATGGGGAGGGGAAGAAGTTGTTTAATGGGTACAGAGTTTGTAAGAAGAAAACAGTTCTGGAGATTGGTTGCACAGCAATCGGTGAATGTACTTAACACTATTGAACCTTAACCTAAAAATGGTTAAGATGATACACGTCATGTTATGCATATTTCACCAAAATTTTTTCAAAAGTAAAAATAAATAGGTAAAATTAATTTTAATAATATATTTTATCTAATCCATTATATGTAAAATAGTTTTGCCTCAATACGCAATCAATGCAAATCTATTCAGATAGTCTACTTTTTTATACTAAGTTATTGAATTCTGGTATGTATATGCACATTTATAGCACATCTCAATTTGGACTGGCCACATTACAAATGCTCAGCAGCCACCTGTGGCTAATGGCTAGCATATTAGACAGCATAGGTACCGAGCACTGAACAGAGGTGGTGGCTCAGCTGGGGTTCTTCTTTCTCTTATAAGTGTACATTGACTTCCCCAATGGTGATATTTCTCCAAGCCTTCTTCCTTTAGGAACTTGCCTTTGAGCACTACCAGGAATGGGAGGTGATCTAAGTGTTTTGTGTAGCACCATGCATGGGTGATCTAAAAGCCATCACAGAACTCTAAGCCAAAAGAGATCAGAAGAGGCCACTGAGCCACCTCCAATGTCTCAGGTAATCCTTTGTTGTTGCTGTTCTGGCCTTTGTTCTAGCTCTAACCTGTTGGTATGTCATCAAGGTGTGGTCATAGGCATAGGCATACCTAATTTTGTTGCTTCACTTTATTGAGCTTTGCAGATATTTTATTTTCTATAAATTGAAGGCTTGTGGCAATTCTGCAGTGAGTAAGTCTATTGGGGCCATTTTTTAAACAGCATGTGCTCACTTTGTGTCTCTGTGCCACATTTTAGTAACTCTCAGAATATTTCAAACTTTTTCGTTATTACTGTATCTGTTATGGTGACCTACAATCAGTGATCTGTGATGTTTCTATTCTTATTGTTTTGGGGTGCCATGAACCATCACTATATGAGACAGATAACTTAAATGGCAAATGTGTGTGTTCTGACTGCTCCACCAACCATTCCCCCATCTCTCTTCCTCTCTTTGGGCCTTCTTATTCCCTGAGACACAACAATATTGAAATTAGGCCAATTAGTAACCCCAAAACAGCTTCTAAGTGTTCAAATAAAGGAAGAATGGCAATTTTCTCACTTTAAATCAAAAGCTAGAAATGATCAAACTTAGCGAGAAAGGCATCTCAGAGGCTGAGATAGGCCAAAAGCTAAGTTCTCGTGCCAAGCTGCAAGACAAGTTGTGAATGTAAAAGAAAAGTTCTTAAAGGAGATAAAAAGTGTTACTCCTATGAGCACATGAATGATAAGAATGCCAAACAGCCTTACTGCTGATATGGAGAAAGTCATACTCATCTGAATAGAAGATAAAACCAGCGACAACATTCCCTTAGGCCAAAGCCTTGTCTAGAGCAAGGCCCTAACTCTCTTCAATTCTGTGAAGGCTGAGAGAGGTGAAGAAGCTTCAGGAGAAAAGATGGAAGCAATAGCATAGATAAGACAATGAGGTGCAGGGCCAAGATGGTCGACTAGAAACAGCAGCAATCTGAGGCTCCCATTGAAAAGAACCATAATAAGCATGAGGATCCTTCACCACCAATGAAGGCATCCAGGTTCTCTCCTCAGAACTGACTAGGCAGCTGCTGTGATCCACGGCGAGGAAGGAAGAACAGTATGGTGCAGTGACCCACCTGAGAGTCCCACGGGCAGGGGAGCCCCCACCCCTGCCAAGGAAGGTGGTGAGTGAATGTGCTACCTAGGTGGGGAAACCATGCTTTTTCCACAGAATTGTGCGACCCACAGATTGGAAGATCCCATTCGTGAATCCACACCACCGGGGCCTAGCATCCCAACCCTGGAGCCGCACAGAGTCTCAACATCCTCTCAGCTGGAATCTGCTTAAGCCTACTTAGCTCCTGGGGGGAGGGGCAACAAGCACCACAGCTGCGGCTGCCTGCTGTCTAAGCCATTTGAGCTCCTTAGGGGAGAGGCAGCAGCCAGTACTTGGAGTCACAAATGCCTAACATGCTAAGCTGCCTGGGTGGGGGAAAGGTGGCATCTATTGCTATAGCTCCAGGCTGTGCTTTTCCCCTGCTGGAGCCAGGGGGCCTGGACGGCTTGGTCTCAAGATGCTGGTCCCACAGCCCAACATACCAGCAGTGGCAGACTGCGGCCAGAGTGCCTCTTCAGGCCTGACCCTGGCTCATCCTTCCTCACTGGGCAGGGCTTCCCTGCAGGGACTCCGATAACTCCAGCCAGAGGCTCAGGGACAGAACCCAGATGTCCCTGGGCCTGAGCCCCTAGCGGGAGTGGTGGCCGCAGTCTCCGCAGACCAGCACACTTAGCCTTTCCTCCTGTTAGTACAGAGGAATATGGGCAGCCCAGACGAGTGGGTTTTCCCCCAGCACAGCACACCCCTTCCATCAAGGGACAAAGTGCTTCATTAAGTGGGTCCTACTCCCCATGCCACCCAACTGGGTGAGACCCTCCAACAGGGGTTGTCAGACATCTTATACGGAAGTGATTCTACTGGCATCAGGTTGGTCAGAGATCCCAGAAGAAGGAGTACGCACCCATCTTTGCTGTTCTCCAGCCTCCTTCAATGACATCTCCAGGTATGAGAGTGAACCAGATGAATAGGGCCTGAAGTGAACCCCCAACAAACTGCAGCAGCCCTACAGAAGAGGGACCTGGCCATTGAAAGAAAAGTAAACAGAAAGCAACAACAACAGCATCATCAACAACAACAAAATCACCCACAAATCTCTATCCAAGGGTCAGCAGCCTCAAAGATCGAAACTAAACAAACTCATGAAGATAAGAAAAAAATGCTGAAAACTCAAAAGGCCAGAGTGCCTTTTCTCCTCTAAATGATCACGATCTCTCTCCAGCAAGAGCACAGAACTGGATGGAGAATGAGATGGATGAATTGACAGAAGTAGGCTTCAGAAGATGAGTAATACAAAACCATGCTGAGCTAAAGGAGCATGTTCTAACCCAATGCAAAGAAGCTAAGAACCTTGATAAAAGGTTAGAGGAACTGCTAACTACAGTAACCATTTTAGAGAGGAACATAAATGACCTGATGGAGCTGAAAAACAGCACAAGTACTTTGTGAAGCATACACAAGTATCAATAGCCAAATCGACCAAGCAGAAGAAAGGATATCAGAGTTTTAAAGACCACCTTGCTGAAATAAGGCATACAGACAAGACTAGAGAAAAAAGGAATGAAAAGGAATGAACAAAGCCACCAAGAAATAAGAGATTTCATAAAAAGACCAAACCTATGATTGATTGGAGTACGAGGAAATGGGAAGAATGGAAACAAGCTGGAAAACACATTTCAGGATATTATCCAGGAGAACTTCCCCAATCTAACAAGACAGGCCAATATGCACATTCAGGAAATACAGAGAACACCACTAAGATACACTATAAGAAGATCAATCCCAAGACATATAATCTTCGGATTCTCTAAGGTTGAAATGAAGGGAAAAATGTTAAGGGCAGCCTGAGAAAAATATTAAGGGCAGCCTGAGAGAAAGGCCACGTCACCTAAAAAGGGAAGCCCATCAGACTAACAGTGGACCTCTCAGCAGAAACTCTACAAGCCAGAAGAGATTGGGGGACAATATTCAACGTTCTTAAAGAAAAGAATTTTCCTCTGAGAATTTCATACCCAGCCAAACTAAGCTTCATAAGCGAAGGAGAAATAAATTTCTTTCCAGACAAGCAAATGCTGAGGGATTTCTTTACCACCAGGCCTGCCTTGCAAGAGCTCCTGAAAGAAGCACTAAATATAGAAAGGAAAAACCAGTACCAGCCACTGCAAAAACACACCAAAATAAAAAATCAATGACACTATGAAGAAACTGCATCAACTAGTGTGCAAAATAACCAGATAGCATCATGATGACAGGACCAAATTCACACTTAACCTTAAATGTAAATGGGCTAAATGCCCCAATTAAAAGACACAGACTGGCAAATTGGATAGAGTCAAGACCCATTGGTGCACTGTATTCAAGAGACCCATCTATGTGTGCAAAAACACTCATAGGCTCAAAATAAAGGGATGGAGGAAAATTTACCAAGCAAATGGAAAGAAAAAAAAAAAAAAGCAGAGATTACAATCCTAGTCTCTGACAAAAAAGACTTTGAACCAACCAAGATCAGAAAAGACAAAGAAGGGCACTACATAATGGTAAAGGGAACAATTCAACAAGAAGGGCTAACTATTCTAAATATATATGCACCTAATACAGGAGCACCCAGAGTCATAAAACAAGTTTTTAGAGACCTACAAAGAGACTTAGACTCCTACACAATAATAGTGGGAGGCTTTAACACCCCACTGTCAATATTAGACAGATCAATGAGAGAGAAAATTAGCAAGGATATTTGGGACTTGAACTCAGCTTTGGATCAAGTGGACCTAATGGACATCTACGGAACTCTCCACTCCAAATCAACAGAATATATGTTCTTCTTAATGTTACGTGGCACTTTTTCTAAAATGGACCACATAATTGGAAGTAAAACACTCCTCAGCAAATGCAAAAGAACTGAAATCATAACAAACAGTCTCTCAGGCCACACTGCAATCAAATTAGAACTCAGGATTAAGAAACTCACTCAAAACCACACAACTACATGGAAATTGAATAACATGCTCCTAAATGACTCCTGGGTAAATAATGAAATGAAGGCAGAAATCAAGAAGCTCTTTGAAACAATGAGAACAAAGAGGCAATGTACCAGAACCTCTGGGACATAGCTAAAGCAGTGTTGAGGGAAACTTACAGCACTAAATGCTCACATCAGAAAGCTAGAAAGATCTCAAATCAACACCCTAACATCTCTAAGAGCTAGAGAGGCAAGAGCAAACTATCCAAAAGCTAGCTAAGATCAGAGCAGAACTGAAGGAGATAGAGTATGAAAAACCCTCCAAAAATCATAAATCCAGGAGGTGTTTTTTGAACAATTTAACAAAATAGATAGATTGCTAGCTAGACTAATAAAGAAGAAAAGAGAGAAGAATTAAATACACACAATAAAAAATGATGAAGGGGATGTCACCACTGACCCCATAGAAATACAAACTACCGGCTGGGTGTGGTGGCTCATGCCTGTAATCCCAGCACTTTGGGAGGCCAAGGTGGGCAGATCACCTGAGGTCAGGAGTTCGAGAACAGCCTGCCCAACATGGAGAAACACTGTCTCTACTAAAAATACAAAAAATTAGCTGGGCATGGTGGCAGGCACCTGTAATCCCAGCTACTCAGGAGGCTGAGGCAGGAGAATCATTTGAACCTGGGAGGCAGAAGTTGCAGTGAGCCAATATCATGCCACTGCACTCCAGCCTGGGTGACAAGAGTGAAACTCCATCTCAAAAAAAAAAAAAAAAAAAAAAAGAAAAACTACCATCAGAGAAATCAGAGAATGCTATACATACCTCTATGCAAATAAACTAGAAAATCTAAAGACATGCATAAAATTCCTGGACACATACACCCTCCCAAGACTAAACCAGGAAGAAGTTGAATCCCTGAATAGACCAATAACAAGTTATGGAACTAAGGCAGTAATTAATAGCCTACCAACCAAAAAAAGCCCAGGACCAGACAGATTCACAGCCAAATCCTTCTAGAGGTACAAAAAGGAGCTGGTACCATTCCTTCTGAAACTATTCCAAACAGTTGAAAAAGAGGGACTCCTCCCTAACTCATTTTATGATGAAGCCAGAATTATCCTGATACCAAAACCTGGAGGAGACACAACTAAAAAAGAAAACTTCAGGCCAATATCCCTGTTGAACATCGATGTGAAAATCCTCTGTAAAATACTGGCAAACTGAATCCAGTAGCACATCAAAGAAATATACACCACGATCAAGTTGGCTTCATCCCTGTGATGCAAAGCTGGTTCAACATACACAAATCAATAAATGTAATCCATCACATAAACAGAACCAAAGACAAAACCCACATGATTATCTCAACAGATGTAGAAAAGGCCTTTGATAAAATTCAACATCCCTTCATGTTAGAAACACGCAATAAACTAGGTATTGATGGAAAATATCTCAAAATAATAAGAGCTATTTATGACAAACCCACAGCCACTATCATATGAAATGGGCAAAAGCTGGAAGCATTCTTTTTGAAAACTGGTACAAGAAAAGGATCCCCTCTCTCGCCACTCCTATTCAACATAGTATTGGAAGTTCTGGCCAGGGCAATCAGGCAAAAGAAATACATAAAGGGCATTCAAACAGGAAGAGAGGAAGTCAAGTTGTCTCTGTTTGCAGATGACATGATTTTATATTTAGAAAACCTTATAATCTCAGCCCCAAAACTCCTTAAACTGAGAAGCAATTTCAGCAAAGTCACAGGATACAAAGTCAATGTGCAAAAATCACAAGTGTTCCTTTACACCAAAAATAGACAAGCAGAGAGCCAAATCATGAATGAACTCCCATTCACAATTGCTACAAAAAGAATAAAATACCTAGGAATACAGCTAACAAGGAATGTGAAGGACCTCTTCAAGGAGAACTACAAACCACTTCTCAAGGAAATAAGAGAGGACACAAACAAATGGAAAAACATTCCATCCTCATGGATAGGAAGAATCAATATTATGAAAATGGCCATACTGCCCAAAGTAATTTATAGATTCAATGCTATTCCTATCAAACTACCATTGACATTCTTCACAGAATTAGAAAAAAAACACTTCAAATTTCATATGAAGTCAAAGAAGAACCTGTATATCCAAGACAATTCTAAGCAAAAAGAACAAAGCTGGAGGCATCATGCTACCTGACATCAAACTATACTACAAGGCTACAGTAAGCAAAACAGCATAGTACTGTTACCAAAATAGACATATAGAACAATGGAACAAAATAGAGACCTCAGAAAACCACACATCTACAACATGTGATCTTCAACAAACCTGACAAAAACAAGCAATAGGGAAAGGATCTCCTATTCAATAAATGGTGCTGGGAAAACTGGCTAGCCATATGCCAAAAACTGAAACTGGATCCCTTCCTTACACCTTATACAAAAGTTAACTCAAGATGGAATAAAGACTTAAATGTAAAAACCCCAAACCATAAAAACCCTAGAAGAAAACCTAGGCAATACCATTCAGGACATAGGCATAGGCAAAGACTTCATGACAAAAAACATCAAAAGCAATTGCAACAAAAGCCAAAATTGACAAATGGGATCTAATTAAACTAAACAGCTTCTGCACAGCAAAAGAAACTAGCATCAGAGTAAATAGGCAACCTACAGAATGGGAGAACATTTTTGCAAGCTGCCCATCTGACAAAGGTCTAATATCCAGAATTTACAAGGAACTTAAACAAATTTACAAGAAAAAAACAACCCCTCAAAAAAAGTGGGCAAAGTATATGAACAGAGACTTCTCAAAGAAGACATTTACATGGCCAAAAAACATATGAAAAAAAGCTCAACATCACTGATCATTAGAAAAATGCAAATCAAAACCACAATGGGATACCACCTCAGGCCAGTCAGAATGGAGATTATTAAAAAGTCAAGAACCAATAGATGCTGGTGAGGCTGTGGGGAAATAGGAACCCTGTTACACTGTTGGTGGGAATGTAAATTAGTTCAACCATTGTGGAAGATAGTATGGTGACTCCTCAAGGATCTAGAACCAGAAATACCATTTGACCCAGCAATCCCATTACTTGGTTTATACCCAAAGGGTTATAAATCATTCTACTATAAAGACACATGCACACATATGCTTATTGCAGCACTATTTACAATAGCAAAGTCATGGAACCAACCCAAATGCCCATCAATGATAGACTGGGTAAAGAAAATGTGGTACATATACACCATGGAATACTGCACAGCCATAAAAGTGAATGAGATCATGTCCTTTGCAGGGACGTGGATGAAGCTGGAAGGCATCATCCTCAGCAAACTAACACAGGAACAGAGAACCAAACACTGTATGGTTTCACTTATAAGTGTGAGTTGAACAATGAGAACACTTGGACACGGAGCGGAACAACACACAGCAGGGCCTTTTGGGGGGTAGGGGGCAAGGGGAGGGAACTTAGAGGATGGGTCAATAGGCACAGTGAACCACCATGGCACAAGTTTATTTATGTAACAAACCTGCATGTTCTGCACATGTATCCTGGAACTTAAAGTAAAAAAGAAAAGCTGGAAGCTAGCAGAGGTTGGTTCATGAGGTTTAAGGAAAGAAGCTGCCTTTGTAACATAAAAGTGCAAGGTGAAGCAGCAAGTGCTGATGTAGAAGCTGCAGAAATGTTTCCAGAGGATCTAGCTAAGATTATTCATGAAGGTGGCGACACTAAAAACAACAGATTTTCCATGCAGATGAAACAGCCTTCTATTGGAAGAAGGTAACATCTAGGACTTTCATAGTTAGAGAGGAGAAGTCAATGCTTGGCTTCAAAGCTTCAAAGGACAGACTGGCTCTCTTGTTAGAGACCAATGCAGCTGGTGACTTTAAGTTGAAGCCATTGTTCATTTACCATTCCAAATACCCTAGGGCCTTTAAAAATTATGCTAAATCTACTCTGTGCTATGCAAATAATGTAAAATAATGCCTAAATGACAGACAGCACATCTGTGTACGGCATGGTGTACTAAATATTTTAAATCCATTGTTGAAAAGTACTGCTCAGAAAAACAGATTTATTTCAAAATATTACTGCTCATTGACAATGCATCTAGTTACTGAAGAGCTCCGATGGAGAAGAAGATGATCTCCGATGGAGATCTAGAAGGAAATTAATGTCATTTTCATGCCTTCTAACATAACACCCATTCTGCAGCCCATGGATCAAGCAGTTATTTCAACACATTTTTTTTTTTTGAGACAGAGTTTCACTCTGTTGCCCAGGCTGAGGGCAGTGGCACAATCTTGGCTCACTGCAACCTCCGCCTCCTGGGTTCAAGTGATTCTCCTGCCTCAGCCTCTCAAGTAGGTGGGACTGCAGGTGTGTGGCATGAGACCCGGCTAATTTTTGTACTTTTAGTAGAGACTGGTTTTGACCATGTTGGCCAGGTTGGTCTCGAACTTCTGACCTCAAGTGATCTGCCCGCCTCTGCCTCTCAAAGTGCTGGGATTACAGGCGTGAGCCACTGTGCCCAGCCTTCAAGTCTTACTATTTAAGAAATATACTTAAGTCTATCGCTGCTGTATATACTGTGCCCAGCCTTCAAGTCTTAGTATTTAAGAAATATACTTCTTAAGTATATCGCTGCTGATGGAGCTTGACAAACTAAATCAAAAGTCTTCTGGAAAGGATTCCCCATTCTAGATGCCATTAAGAACACTTGTGATTCATGGGGGAAGGTAAAAGTATCATTAACAGGAGTTTTGAAGAAGTTGATTGCATTCTTCATGGTTGACTTTGAGGGATCCAAGCCTTCAGTGGAGGAAGTAACTGCAAATGTGGTGGAAAGAACAAGAGAACTAGAATTAGAAGTGGAACCTAAAGGTGTGACTGAATTGCTGCAATCTCATGATAAATCTTGAGTAGATGAGGAGTTGTTTCTTATGCATGAGCAAAGAAAGTGGTTTCTTTAGATGGAATTTACTCCTAGTGAAGATGCTGTGAACACTGTTGAGATGACAACAAAGGATTTTGAAAATACATAAACTTGGGTTGATAAAGCAGTAGCAGGGTTTGAGATAATTGATTCAAATTATGACAGAAGTTCTGCTGTGGACAAAATGCCATTAAACAAAATATGCTACAGAGAAATATTTTGCGAAAGAGAGTCAAAGTCAAACAATGCAGCAAACTTCACTGTTATTTTTTAAAATTGCCAATTTATCTATTTTCATTTTTGTTGCATTTGCTTTTGGAGTCTTCATCATAAATTCTTTGCCTAGGCAAATGTCCAGAAGAGTTTTTCCTAGTTTTCTTCTAGGATTTTTATAGTTTCAGGTCTTACATTTAAGTCTTAATTCATCTTGAGTTAATTATTTATATATGGTAAGGGATAGGGGTCCAGTTTCATTCTTCTGCATATGTCTAGCCAGTTTTCCCAGCACCATTTATTGAATAGACTGTCCTATCTCCATTGCTTATTTTTGTCAGCTTTGTCAAAGATCAGTTGATTGTAGGCACTGGGCTTTATATTTGGGTTCTCTATTCTGTCCCATTGATCTATGTGTCTATTTTTATATCAGAACCATGTTGTTTCAGTCACTGCAGCCTTGTAGTATAATTTGAAGTCAGGCAATGCAATCCCTCTGGCTTTTTTTTTTTTTTGCTTAGAATTGTTTTGACTATTCAGGGTCTTTTTTGGTTTCACGTGAACTTTAAAATTGTTTTTTCTAATTCTATAAGAAATGACATTAGTAATTTGACAAAGATTGTGTTAATCTGTAGAGTATTTTTAGCAGTATGGGACTTAATTAAAATAAAAAGAGTCTGCACAGCAAAAGAAAAGAATCAACTGAGTAAACAACCAACCAACAGAATGGAAGAAAATATTTGCAAATTATGCTTCTGACAAAGGACTAATATATCCAGAATCTACAAGGAACTCAAACAACTCAACAAGAAAAAAGAAAAACATTAAAAACTGGGCAAAGAACATGAACTGATATTTTTCAAAAGAGGAAATATAAGCAGCAAAAGAAAAAAAAACATGAAAAAATTCTCAACATCAATAATTGTCAGAGAAACACAAATTAAAACCACAATGAGATATCTTATGCTAGTCAGAATGGCTATTATTAAAAAGTCTAAAAGCTACAGATGTTGATGTGGATATGGAGAAAAGGGAATGCTTATACATTGCTGGTGGGAATATAAATTATTTCAACCTCTATGGAAAACAGTATAGAGATTTCTCAAAGAACTAAAAATAGAACTACCATTCAACCCAGCAATCTAACTATTGAGTATCTACCCAAAGAAAGAGAAATCAATATATAAAAAGACACCTGTACTCATATGTTCATTGCAGCATTATTCACAACAGCAAAGTCATGAAACCAACCTGAGTACGTCTCCATCAGTGATTGACTGGATAAAAAAATGTGTATATATACATATATATATATATATATATATGTATATATACCACACACACACATATACCACATTAGGCATACACACACACACACACAGACATACATACACACACACATATATATATACACACAGACATAATGGAATAATACACACACACACACACAGACATAATGGGATAATATACAACCACAAAACAGAATGAAATCATGTCCTTTGCAGCAACATGAATGAAGCTGAAGGCCATTATCCTAAGTGAACTAACTCAGAAACAGAAAACCAAATATCTCATATGTTCACACTTATAAGTGGGAACTAAACAATGGGTACACATGGACATAAAGATGGAGATAATGAACACCACTAGGGACTCCAAAAGGGAGGAGAACGGGAGGTGGGCAAGGGTTGAAAAACTACCTATCAGGTACAATGTTTACTATTTGGGTAATGGGTACATTAGAAGCCAAATCCCCACCAGTATGCAATATATCCATGTAATAAACAACCACATGCACCCCCTGAATCAAAGAAAATCAGAGGAAAAAAAAAAAAGGAAATTGCCACAGTCACCTCAACCTTCAACAACCACCACCCTGATCAGTCAGCAGCCATCAACGATGAACAAAAATGTTATGACTCCCTGAAGGCTCAGATGAGCATTTGTATTCTTTAGCAATTTAAGTTTTTTATTTGTATTTACTTATTTTTATTTTTATTGTTTTTGAGACAGGGTCTTGCTCTGTCACCCAGGCTGGAGTGCAATGGTGTGATCACACCTCACTGCAGCCTCAACCTCCCAGGCTCAAGTGATCCTCCCACCTCAGCCTCCTGAGTAGCCGGGACTAATTCTTGTATTAGTCTGGCTAATTTGTTTATTTTTTGTTGCCCAGGCTGGTCTTGAACCCCTAGACTCAAGTGATCCACCCGCCTCAGACTCCAAAAGTGCTAGGATTACAGGTGTGAGCCACCATGCTCAGTCTGCAATTAAGTATTTTTAAATTCAGGTATATACATTGATTTTTTTTAGACATAATGCTATTGTAAACTTAATAGACTACAGAATAGTTTAAATATAACTTTTATAGGCACTGGAAAACCAAAAAATCATGTGAATTTTGTTATTGCAACATCCACTTTATTTTGGTGGTCTGAAACCAAACCCGCAATGTCTCTGAGACATGCCTGTAACAGGCATCAGGGTCAGACTCACTAGCTCTACGACCCAGGACAAGTTGCAAAACATCTCAAAACCTGAGTGAGTTTCTTGGTGAAATAAGAGATATGGATGGTGGCTATTTTTCATGGCTGTTGTGAGGATTAAATAAAAATTCATGCACATGTTTAAGTGTCCTTTTCATATAATGAATTATTTTCCTTTGGGTACATACCCAGTAGTGGGATTGCTGGATCAAATGGTAGATCTACTTTCAGCTCTTTGAGGAATCTCCATACTGTTTTTCCATAGAGGTTGTACTAATTTACATTCCCACCAACAGCGTAAAAGCATTCCCTTTTCCCCACATCCAAGCCAACATCTATTTTTTGTTGACTTTTTAATATGGAGTGATATAACGGACTTCAGAGAATCAGAAGAGGGAGGGAGGAAGAATGGCTAGGGATAAAAAACTACACATTAGGTACAACGTACATTACTTGGATGGCAGGCGCACTAAAATCTCAGAATTCACCACTATAGAACTCAACCACTTGTACTCCAAAAGTGATTGAAATAATTTTTTTAAAAAATACCTTTTTTCCTCATTAATTAAGGAAATTGATTAAAAACCAACATCAAATGCTGGTGAAGATGTGGAGAAAAGGGAACCTACATGCACTGTTGCTGGGAATGTAAATGAGTACGATCACTGTGAAGAACAGTTCGGAGTTTCCTCAAAAAAAACTAAAAATACAGCTACCATAAAATCCAACAATCCCACTGCTGGGTATATAACCCAAAGAAAAGAAATCAGTACATTCAAGATATCTGCACTCCCATGTTTTTTGCAGCTCTGTTCACAATAGCCAAGACTTAGAAGCAACCTAAGTGTCCATCAATAGATGAATGGGAAAGAAAATGTAGTATATATACACAATGGAGTACTATTTAGCCATAAAAGGGAATGAGATCCTGTCATTTGCAATGTCATGGAGAGAAATGAAGTTGTGATTATGTTAAGTGGAATGAGCCAGGCACAGAAAGACAAACTTTGTATGCTCTCATTTACACTTGTGGGTGCTAAAAATTAAAACAGTTGAACTCATGGAGATAGACAGTGGAAGGATAGTTACCAGAGGCTGGGAAGGGTAGTGAGGTGGGGTGGGGGATAAAGGCATGAGGTGATGGATGCCCCATTTATCCTGATGTGATTATTACAAATTTTATGCCTATATCAAAATATCTCATGTTCCCCACAGATACATACACTTCCTATGTACCCACAAATATTAGAAATAAAAAAAGTAAAATAATATATGCTCAAAGCCCCTACAAAAAGTATCCGGTACATAGTAAATAGCATTAGTCACTATTGTGATCTCATCATCATTACTGTTATTATTATTATTACTAGTACATTTTAGCTACACAGTAGTGTTTCAATGCTCTTTTACATTTTTTATCATTCCCTCATCCCATGTTAAATGAGTTGACGGTCCAGTGATTAAGAATGCAGACTCTGGAGCTAGACTGTTTGGGCTCAAATTGTGGTCCTACAACTTTCAAGTGGCATGAGACCCTTTTCTCTTCTGCAATGCCTTCTTATCTGCTGGCTGGCATACGTGAGACCCCATCTACTCTCTGGTATAACTTCCTTGTTTCTCAATTTTTAAACCTGTAAGAGGGAAATAATAATAGTGCACACCACATAGGGTTGTTGAGAGGATGACATGAAACAATGTAGCTAGAACACTTAAAGCATGGCCAACACACACAGCAAGCCCTAAGTGGAAGCTGTCATTATTAGGTGAGAGATGGGAATGCATGCAGTGAATAAAGCAGAAACCACACTTGCCCTCCTGAATATAATTTTGCAGAAAATCTAGACCTTAAACCAATAATACACTAAAGATTGAGAAGTGTTATCATTTAGAAAGTCCTCCTAATGTCTTTCTTAAATACTACCATTTAAAAGCCTCTTATCTTCTCCTTAGTGGACCAAAGCTTTATTCTTTTCTGCAGGCCACGGGCATGCCATTTCTCCTGGTCTGTCCATCCTAGGCTTCCTTTCCTTCCTGAACCACTGCCCCACCACTTCCACTGGAAATCACACTCAGATCAGAGTCCAGCTTCCAGTAGCTCCCCAGTTTTGTAAAGCAGTGCTTCTTCTAATAAGCCCTCGCAGACTGAAAAAGTCAGTAAAGCTTCTAAAAAAAATCATTTATCTATATCTCTGTTTTGGTACCAGTACCATGCTGTTTTGGTTACTGTAGCCTTGTAGTATAGTTTGAAGTCAGGTAGTGTGATTCCTCCAGCTTTGTTCTTCTGGCTTAGGATTGACTTGGCAATGCGGGCTCTTTTTTGGTTCCATATGAACTTTAAAGTAGTTTTTTCCAATTCTGTGAAGAAAGTCATTGGGAGCTTGATGGGGATGGCATTGAATCTGTAAATTACCTTGGGCAGTATGGCCATTTTCACGATATTGATTCTTCCTACCCATGAGCATGGAATGTTCTTCCATTTGTTTGTATCCTCTTTTATTTCTTTGAGCAGTGGTTTGTAGTTCTCCTTGAAGAGGTCCTTCACATCCCTTGTAAGTTGGATTCCTAGGTATTTTATTCTCTTTGAAGCAATTGTGAATGGGAATTCACTCATGATTTGGCTCTCTGTTAGTCTGTTGTTGGTGTATAAGAATGCTTGTGATTTTTGTACATTGATTTTGTATCCTGAGACTTTGCTGAAGTTGCTTATCAGCTTAAGGAGATTTTGGGCTGAGACAATGAGGTTTTCTAGATATACAGTCATGTCATCTGCAAACAGGGACAATTTGACTTCCTCTTTTCCTAATTGAATACCCTTTATTTCCTTCTCCTGCCTAATTGCCCTGGCCAGAATTTCCAACACTATGTTGAATAGGAGTGGTGAGAGAGGGCATCCCTGTCTTGTGCCAGTTTTCAAAGGGAATGCTTCCAGTTTTTGCCCATTCAGTATGATATTGGCTGTGGGTTTGTCATAGATAGCTCTTATTATTTTGAGATATGTCCCATCAATACCTAATTTATTGAGAGTTTTTAGCATGAAGGGTTGTTGAATTTTGTCAAAGGCTTTTTCTGCATCTATTGAGATAATCATGTGGTTTTTGTCTTTGGTTCTGTTTATATGCTGGATTACATTTATTGATTTGCGTATATTGAACCAGCCTTGCATCCCAGGGATGAAGCCCACTTGATCATGGTGGATAAGCTTTTTGATGTGCTGCTGGATTTGGTTTGCCAGTATTTTATTGAGGATTTTTGCATCAATGTTCATCAAGGATATTGGTCTAAAATTCTCTTTTTTGGTTGTGTCTCTGCCCGGCTTTGGTATCAGAATGATGCTGGCCTCATAAAATGAGTTAGGGAGGATTCCCTCTTTTTCTATTGATTGGAATAGTTTCAGAAGGAATGGTACCAGTTCCTCCTTGTACCTCTGGTAGAATTCGGCTGTGAATCCATCTGGTCCTGGACTCTTTTTGGTTGGTAAACTATTGATTATTGCCACAATTTCAGCTCCTGTTATTGGTCTATTCAGAGGTTCAACTTCTTCCTGGTTTAGTCTTGGGAGAGTGTATGTGTCGAGGAATTTATCCATTTCTTCTAGATTTTCTAGTTTATTTGCGTAGAGGTGTTTGTAGTATTCTCTGATGGTACCAAAACAGAGATATAGATCAATGGAACAGAACAGAGCCCTCAGAAATAACGCCGCATATCTACAACTATCTGATCTTTGACAAACCTGAGAAAAACAAGCAATGGGGAAAGGATTCCCTATTTAATAAATGGTGCTGGGAAAACTGGCTAGCCATACGTAGGAAGCTGAAACTGGATCCCTTCCTTACACCTTATACAAAAATCAATTCAAGATGGATTAAAGATTTAAACGTTAGACCTAAAACCATAAAAACCCTAGAAGAAAACCTAGGCATTACCATTCAGGACATAGGCATGGGCAAGGACTTCATGTCCAAAACACCAAAAGCAATGGCAACAAAAGACAAAATTGACAAATGGGATCTAATTAAACTAAAGAGCTTCTGCACAGCAAAAGAAACTACCATCAGAGTGAACAGGCAACCTACAAAATGGGAGAAAATTTCCGCAACCTACTCATCTGACAAAGGGCTAATATCCAGAATCTACAATGAACTCCAACAAATTTACAAGAAAAAAACAAACAACCCCATCAAAAAGTGGGCGAAGGACATGAACAGACACTTCTCAAAAGAAGACATTTATGCAGCCAAAAAACACATGAAAAAATGCTCATCATCACTGGCCACCAGAGAAATGCAAATCAAAACCACTATGAGATACCATCTCACACCAGTTAGAATGGCAATCATTAAAAAGTCAGGAAACAACAGGTGCTGGAGAGGATGTGAAGAAATAGGAACACTTTTACACTGTTGGTGGGATTGTAAACTAGTTCAACCATTGTGGAAGTCAGTGTGGCGATTCCTCAGAAATCTAGAACTAGAAATACCATTTGACCGAGCCATCCCATTACTGGGTATATACCCAAAGGACTATAAATCATGCTGCTATAAAGACACATGCACACGTATGTTTATTGCGGCATTATTCACAATAGCAAAGACTTGGAACCAACCCAAATGTCCAACAATGATAGACTGGATTAAGAAAATGTGGCACATATACACCATGGAATACTATGCAGCCATAAAAAATGATGAGTTCATGTCCTTTGTAGGGACATGGATGAAATTGGAAATCATCATTCTCGGTAAACTATCGCAAGAACAAAAAACCAAACACTGCATATTCTCACTCATAGGTGGGAATTGAACTATGAGAACACATGGACACAGGAAGGGGAATATCACACTCTGGGGACTGTGGTGGGGTCGGGGGAAGGGGGAGGGATAGCATTGGGAGATATACCTAATGCTAGATGACGAGTTAGTGGGTGCAGCGCACCAGCATGGCACATGTATACATATGTAACTAACCTGCACAATGTGCACATGTACCCTAAAACTTAAAGTATAATAAAAAAAAATCATTTATCAAACCCGCTTCTATATGGTAGGAAAGTCTTGCTCCCAAGACACTGTTATTTCCCACTTGTGCAGGTCAGGGTGGGCAAATGCATGCTGAGCTGCTGTGTGGTTGCCACTGGGCATTCTTGGCCTTTGCACAAATCATTAGCGAATGAATAAAAGAGATAATCACTGAAGCAATTTATAAGTGAGTTACCTAGGAGGTCAGGGAAGCACAGATTAATCTCCAAATGGATAAGACACAAAGGAGGAGAAAATAAAAGAACACTTGAAAAAATTGTCCCCACAGCAGGTAGAAACTGAAAAAGAAGTATTCTACAAATCTGATTTGATAGGGGTTGACATTCAGAAATCCTTGCGCCCTGTCTGGCCTCCATCACTAAAGCACATGCACTTGTGAGATCATTACAGGGCAGTGGAAACTATAAGACATGTTATTTTTTTCCCCTGATTACCTTTGCTAGTCTTCACCTTCCCCCAAACCCCACACCCACTCTGCCAGACATCAGCTTCAAATCCTGCCCAAGAAGTGCGCTTAGCTCTATGCTGGCTCTGTTAGGGGAGGGAAGGAAGACAGAGGCCCCAAGGCATCTGCCAGGATTGAGCTCTAGGGCTTGGAACTAGGCTGGCTTCCCCTCCTGCATACCCTGGCTCATGATTTTCAGGTGCCCTGGGACAGGATAGAGATCTTCTACCTTTCCTTTCTTCATCCTTTACAGGGATGGAAATGAGAGGCTGCTGAGCTTGATGCTTGATTTCCTCATGCCTGTCATGGACAGAGTGAAGGCACCTGGGAAGCTGCAGGCCTGTCCTGAGGAGGACAAGAATGCTTGGCTCACTAGGACTCAAAGCAAGTTTTAAAAAAGGGGGCCAGTATAATTTTACAGCTCCTAATTTAGGGAGAGAAAAAAATAAAGAATCTAATGTGCATCAGGCTCTAGATAATTGGTGTTTATCTGGACCATATTATTGATGATTTTGGAAAATAGAAACACGTTTCAGAGAAGAGTCTGGTAACAGGCATGAAAAGCCATAAAAATTCATATTTTCTTAGTAATATCAATGTTAAGAATTCATCCCCCCAGGAAGTAAAAATGCTTTGGGCACAGAAATATTCATAAGTGGCATTATAATTATGAAAAAAACTATAAGCAATTTAATTATATCCAACAATTGCTAAACAGATTACAGCATATCCATATCAGGGATTAATTCATTCAATCCAACCACAGATGATAATCTCTATGAAAGTTGTACTGGAATAAGGGAAAGTATTTTGGAATAATACTAGGGAATAAAGCAAAACAAATACAAATATCTAAACCACAGTTACAACCGTGTCAAAAATGTATACATGGACAAAGATTGGGAGATGGCACAGGGAAAAATCAGAGGTGCTAAAGGGGTGAGATTAGGAGAAGATCCTTTAAAAACACTGTAACGTTTCTGCAATGCATTAATAGTAACGGGAAAAAATAAAGAGTCACAGGCATCAGATTATTCATATTGCCCTATTTTGTTGGCTTTTCCTGGGTTGCTTAAATTAGGTCTTCTCAACCTGTCTGCCAAGGCACACCACTGTGTCATGGAAGGGTCCAGATATGGTGCTGACCCCTAGCATTGAGCCCTGTCCACTTGGATGGCCACCTGAGCCCTCTTGCTACTTATCACCTGATTTGAACAGCTTTCTCCGTTTACCCCCATGTGTCATGGTGGGGGCAGGGAGGGGAAGCGTGGGGAGAACTGCTTCAGTGAAAGGATACCTTGTAGAAGACAGATGGCTCTTTCCTCTCCCCAGTTCCCATCCCCTGGTTCATATTTCATTTTATGTCCCATAGCAACTTGGGAGCTGGGGCCCTGACTCCCACATAACAGCATTCAGTTGTGCACCCAAGCATCCAGCCAACCACGCCACTCCTGGCCAAGTCCCAGTGCAGAGTGCCTCAGACTCTTCAACCCTCATTACACACAGCTGCTCAAAGCCAGCTCTAAGGATAAGCAGAGTGCTCCTCCCGTGCTCCTTCGTTCTCCCCCTTTCCCCCTCTCTTGGAGATGAACTAGTATGCATTTACTGCAGATTCCCAAATATCTAGACATTCAGCATGACATGCTGAGAAACATCAAAGCCTTTAAGGAAAGAAAGAAGCAGGGCAGGGAGGGGGATCCTGTGTCTCCAGATAACCAGGATACAGGCAACTTTATGACCAGACACACTTTTGCTCAGCACATTATTTAGCATTAGTAACGACCATTACCCAAAGGTATACAGCACTGTCTTATACTAAGACAACCTGATGCTCACTGCAAAAGTGCTTTACAGCAAAATCATTCTTACCTGTCTCCTTTCAACTTCAATCTATCCAGTGTTCACAGATAGCAAATTTCAGGGCTTAATTTAAAAAAAAAGAAAAGAAAGGAAAAGAAAAAACTTTCCCATAGTTCAAAACAGGTGTCAATGTTGAAATACCTCGTTATTTTCCCCAGGCTGAGAGGATGGGTAAAATGCAACTCATGCTTTTCCGTGCCCAGACTGTGTTCTTTGAACACATTCAACATTGACAACTGAGAGGTTAAATCATATTGGATTTGGTGCTGTTTATTACAGGCAACTCCAGCTGAGAACCAGAGATACAAAAGTCACCCTCATCTTTTTGCAGCTAGAGGGATGTAAATGCCCCTCCACATTAAGGCGCTTGATAGCAAAGAAATAGAGATCCACACATCTGCAAAAGAAACTTGGGAAAGAAACCCTCTAGGGAGTTCTTTCACCTGGGAAAGCTCCTCTGGACAGTGATGTCTTTCTGCCATGCAGCCCACTTTAAAGACTGAAGAAGAAGGAAAAAAAAGAAAATATGTCCCACCTGCTGATTTTTTTTTTATAATCTGCAGAGAAAATGCAAGTGCGTGTGGGCACACTCCTGTACCTCCTTTGGAAGAGGAGGACAGATTTCAAATGCACTTGTTAATTACTGCCAGCCCCAACCCACACACATATGCCCACCTCACAGCCGAGACCCCTCCCCAGCATTCCTTTCCCAGCTGCAAAGAAATCACAAAATGCTACTCACATGCGGCAGCCTCAGCCTCCCTTTACCTCTTCCCAGCCTGTGCACGGGCTCCAGTCGCTGCTGCTGCTGCTGTTGCTGCTGCTTTTCCTGTTGCAAATGAAACAAACCTTCATCGACAGAGATGGTTTTCCTCTGGGCTGCTTTGTCTGAGATTCCCCAGATGAACACCGACTCGTTTATGTCATTATCCGTGTTCGATAGCTCCCCTAACACAAGCAGGGCTTTGGGGCTGTTAGTTTCCACCGGCTGGGCTTCTGGTGAGAGAAACAACAGACCTGAAACTGACAACTGATCGCATCAAAACACTCCAGGGGATGGCAACCCAAGACTATGAAGTAACACATTAGCTAACAATGATACCATACAAAGCCGTAGATCATCTGTCTACATTGGCACTGTGAGCCTAACCAAGTTGAAGAGACATTATTTATGAACTTATAGCATCCAGAATGGCTCCAGGTAAAGCCATATAGGCATAGTGTCATAGAAGGATTCTGCAACCCTCAGACATGTTCAACATTGTGGAAATCAATAAGGAGGTAATACCATTTAAAGTTAAAGGCTTTCAAATAGACCAGGGCTTATAGAAATTTAAGTGGACTTAGGTTTAAATGTGAGTTCTATCACTTCTTAGCTGTGTGTATTTGGGCAAAGTCCTTGTCCTCTCTGAATCTCTTTCTTCATCTGCACATTAGAGATAGTAATACTTACCCCATAGGAGGGTTGCAAGAAGTAAGTGAGATAGTATATATAAATAATAGCATTCAATGCATATCATATAATAGGCACCCCATAAGAAATATAAAGATCCACCACTCTGCAGCAGTTCACTTTGGGGACTCCTCATTTCTTAATGAAAGTCCTTGTAGTTGTATTATAAAATACCAGGATCATTCCAACGGTCCATTTGAACCTTAACTGCTTCCTCAGAGGAAACAGGTTATGACACTTATACATATTTGGGGCAGCCCTAAATTCCAGGTCTCAAGCATGTAAGAATCCTGGGATGTCCAATTCTCAGTTGTGGGAAACAGAACCACAGATTGATCAAGATTGCTCAGTACGAAGAAGACACTGACTTCTGCTGCTTACTCTTAGAAACAGCCTCGTAAGTACAGAATGGGAATCTACTTTCATGGAAGCTCCTTGTTTAGAAAGGCTGGGGGTTTCTCATGACTGACCGGTTTTGACAAGGGGACCCTCAGTAGAGAAATCTGTATTCACTTCAAAACTTGAAAGAGAGTGTGTTCAAGTGATGAAAAAAAAAATACAGAGTGTTAATGCCTGAGTAGATCTCTAGGGCATTCTCATCCTAACTTCTCTTTTCCCAACTGAGAACATTGATGTTCAGGGTCTGGTCTTTACTGACTTCTCTCCTGCCTCCCACTACCCCAAAAACAGCAGAAGAAAGCTTGTCCTGTGCCCCAGCCCTTGGAAAAATGCCTATTGCCCAGTTTCAAGGACTTTCTACCAGTGGAGCCAACATAAAGTAGACCCAGGGTTGGCAAATAGCTTAGCCTAGTCTACTGTGCCCTATCTAATCCCACAAAGCACGTTAGATGGAAAGTATGCTTCTGTGTCCTGGACACTACTCTCTCAATGAATCAGGGTGAATGAACAAATGTTAGAAACCTCAACCAGATAAGTTCCTGGAAAGTCTTCTCTCATGGGGGTGACATGAAGGGATATATCATCGCTCATGGCTTTAAAAATGAATTTGTAAATTTGTAAATGAATTTAAGATACAAAGGGAAGAACTGAAGAGGTAATCAGTCAACTAAGTTACACACTAGTTCCTTCTAAGAGCTTAGAGAGCCTTAATAAGACCCACCATGGAAATGCCATTTTGTGAGGAATGTATACCAAGTACTTGTACCAGTGTCTGCTACATTGTAAGTGCTCAATAAATTCTGGTAATAATAATAACCAATAAGGACAAAGATGAAAGAATTCCTATAATTTGAGCTCATAAGTTGTACCAGGCATCACACCAGCATTTTACATATGTTGCCTTATTAAATGCTCACAACCACCATGGGAGAGGGATATTATAATTCCAATTTTATGGATGAGGAAATTGAGGCATAGGAACTGAAGCAATTAGAAGAGAATGTTCACAAAGTTCCATGACTACACTTGCCCAACTACCAGCATCTGTGCCTGCAGACTCTGCCTCCTCTACTTACTGTCAATGAATTGTTGCTTTCCTCATCTAAGGAAACCTTCTGACTACTCAAGGACATCACTGCAGCAATATTCTTAAATCTTTATTTCCCTATCAATATTTCCTTCTCTACTGGATAATTCTCAACAGGTTTATGCTATTTGTTCTCCTCTTAAAAAAAATAAAAACTTCAGCTGATCCTATATTCACCTCCAGCTTCTGCCCATTTAGATATTCCCCTCTATTTCAAAAATTCTCTCAAGAATAGTCAAGATCATTGTTTAAATTCCCTTTCTCTCTTGAACTTACTCTAATCTGACTTTTACTGCCACCCATCAACCGAAGTACATTTGTGAAAGTCATTGATGACCTCTAGAATTCTATTGTCAATCCTCATCTTTTTTGACCTACCAGCATCATTTGATACAGGTGATCCCTCCCCTCCTCTTTGAAACACTTTCTTCAGTTGGCTCTCAGAACCCCACGTTGCCTGTTTTTCCTTCTCCCTCACCAGCTGTCCTTTCTCAGTCTCCTCTGTTGCTAGCATCTCTCTTCTAGTTATAGAAGAGTGTCAGAAAGCAGTCAAAAGCCCAAACTCTAAAGGTAGAAAGCCTAGGTTGAAATCCTGGCTGTGCAAGTCAGTAGGTGATCTTAGGAAAGTTACTTAATCTCTTTCTCCTAGTTGTCTCATCTATCAAATAAGAATAATAAATAGTTCTTACCTTATGGGGTTGCCGTGAAGATAGTAAATGAATTAATATATGGAAGCACTTAGAACAGAGCCTGGCACCTGGTAAGCACTGCATGAACGGCAGCTATTTTGATTACCCACCTCTTAACATTGAGCACCTGAGGTCATAGTCCTTGCATGACTGCTCTTCTCTGAGTGATCTCATCTCTCATTGCTTTAAAAATCGTTTACAGGCAGGTTTAAATCTACAGTCTAGCCCTCTCTTCAACAAGGTGGTCCCAGTGGCCTAATTAGTATTTCCTCTTAGATGTTTACTGGGCACCTCAAAATTGAGATATCAAAAACCAAACACCTGTTTTTCTCAACAAACTTGTTCCTCCCTCAGGTTTCTTCATCTCAGTTAATGACAAATCCTTCTTTCCAATGGCTCAGGTCAAAAACTTTGAAGTTATTATCGACTTATCTTTCCCTCACACCCAACATGCAGTCTATCAACAAATCCTGGTGGCACTATCTCTAAGTATATCTAGAATTTGCCCCCTCTCACTTTATCCATGGCTGCCTACCTGGTTCAAGCCACAGTGATCTCTTGCATGGATCATTTCAATAGCCTCTTACCAGTTCTGTGTGCTTCCATCACTTCCCTCCTGCAGACTATTCTCAACATAGTGCGATCTTTCAAAACCTGGGGCCAGATCGCTGGGCGTGGTGGTTCATGCCTGTAATCCCAGCACTTTGGGAGGCCGAGGCGGGCGGATTGTCTGAGCTCAGGAGTTCGCGACCAGCCTGGGTAACAAGGTGAAACCCCCGTTTCTACTAAATACAAAAAAATTAGCCAGGCATGGCGGCGTGCGCGTATAGTCCCAGCTACTTGGGAGGCTGAGGCAGGAGAACTGCTTGAACCCGGGAGGCGGGGGTTGCAGTGAGCCCGAAGCCGAGATCGCGCCACTGCACTCCAGCCTGGGTGACAGAGTGAGACTCCGTCAAAAAAAACAAAAACAAACAAAAAAAACCTGGGGCCAGATCATTCCGCTCCTCTGCTCAAAACTCTCCAGGAGCTTCCCATTTCACTCAGGAAACAAATGCCAATGTCTTCTTAATAGTTTCCAAGCCCCTAAAAGGTCCAGCTCTCTGCTTCCCCTCTTAAATCTCTTGTAGCTCATTCCCTATTAACTCTCCCCATCACTTATAGTGCCCTAGACACACAGACTTCTTGCTGGTCTTTGAACACACCATGCTCCCTTCTGACCCCTGCCCCTCCAGGGCTTGTAAGCTTGCTTTCTATCTGCCTGGAGCACTTTATTCCCATATACCTACCTGATTCATTTCTTTACCCCTTCAACCTTCTTTCCAATGTTACTTTCTCAGTGATACCTTCCCTAATCATCCTATTTCAAATTGGTTTCTTCGGCCAGGTGCCGTGGCTCATGCCTGTAATCCCAGCACTTTGGGAGGCCGAGGTGGGTGGATCACCTGAGGTCAGGGATTTGAGACCAGCCTGGCCAACATGGTGAAAACCCATCTCTACTAAAAATACAAAAATTAGCTAGGTGTGGTGACAGGCACCTGTAATCTCAGCTACTCAGAAGGCTGAGGCAGGAGAATTGCTTGAACGCGGGAGGCGGAGGTTGCAGTGAGCTGAGATCACACCATTGCACTCCAGCCTGGGTGACAAGAGCAAAACTCCATCTCAAAATAAATAAATAAATAAATAAAATAAAATAAAATAAAATTGTTTTTTTCTCAGCACTCTCTCTTCCCCAACTGTATTTTTCTCCATAATACTAGTCACTGAATAACATGCATTTTCTATTTGTGCATGTGTTGTTTTTCTTCAGATGTCTCCCTTTATAAATATGTAAGCTTGATGAGAGTAGTTTTCTCTCTCTCTCTTTTTTTTTTAACTGCTACCCATCCAGTGCCTAGAAAAGAGCTTGCACTAAATAGATACTAATTAAATATTTCTTGAATGGATGGATGGGACTAAGAGGATGAAACCTCTTGTTGGAGGCCACAGAGGTAATACATGATGGAGCTGGACTTAAACAGATCTTTCCACTTTCCCAGCCCTTGTTCTTTCCAATGCACCAGTACTGTCTCTACCGAAGTGTTGTGAAGACCATACTAGACTTACTAGTGCCACCTAAACAAAGTTTTAAATTCTTAGTGACTTGTAGATCTTATGCTACATTTCACTGGCTTCAGGCTGCCTGGCTCTCTGTCACTACTTGCTAACATTCTATCAACAAAATACTTAGTGAGCTGTGAGTGTATTTTACCAAAAGGCAGAACAGCCACTTTATTCCTTTGAATAGATTTATTGGAAGTCAGCATTCTGACTGAAATGAGAATTTGCCTTATGGCAGATGTCCTTGGCTGTCCATTCAAAGACAACATGCTGTCTGCAAGGCCCTTTAAATGTCTTTTGTGCACAAAATTATTTGACAAAAAATAAACAATACCCTGGAATAACTGAGTTTTTGAAGCATGTTTCAGAACCAGTGGTTGAGCACTATGAGGGATCAGAGACTTTGTGAGTTTTTTTCAACAATATGTGAGAAAATAAATTTGCTTTTCATTGATTACCTTTTGAATCTCTTTAGTGTCCATTGGGAAGGACATGCTGTCCTTACGGGGCAGTCTAGGAAGGACCCTCCAGTAGGAGAGAATTCTGGTGCAAAGTGCAAAGACTTCTGGCTTAGCAGTCAGAAATCCTAGGTTTCATTCCCAGTTCTATCCTTGACCATCTGGGAGGCCTTGGGGAAAGCTCTTCAATCCATTTGGCTTCTGCTTCTTTATCTATATAAAGCAAAGACTGAACTAGCTTGTCTTTGTTATCCCTTCTAGGTTTAAGTTTCTGTTAGATGATGAGTTCCATTCCCAATTGTGAGGGTGAGTGTGTGTCGTGCTACAATCAAGTGACTGGTAACTGAGTTTAAGCTTGTAGACTACTCTGGTTATAAGCAGACCAAACCTACCTGGTCAGTGTCAGAATGTATTCATTCATTCAGCACCTACGAGATATTTGCCACTCTGTTACATGTTAAGTATATAAATAGGAGCAAAACATTTTGTATATTAAAGGAGTTCATAGGCCAATGTACAATGCAGCAAAGCACATAAACAATTATAATCCTATGAGGACGAGGGAAAACAAAGGAGGGCCATTTGATTAAGTCTAGGACTTAGGGATGGCTTTTTGGAGGATGTGACCCTTAGGCTGAATCTTGAAGAATGAGAAGGAGTTGTCCTGGAGGAGAAAGGCAGGAAGGGGTAAAATGGGTGATCCAGACAAAGAAAAACATCACCTGTAAAGGTAAGAAAGCTGCAAGAATGCGACCATGTTTAACCAACCGAGATTTTTGGGTAGAATTCTGACTTTATATCTTATTTCTCCTACTCTTTTCTGTAAATTTAAAAACTCTTATCTTTGTTCATCCCAAGGATAAGAAAGGAGATTTGCATTTCAAATTCTATTCAATAGCATTGTATAAGAAAGATGGTAGGGAAATTGACCCAAAGTGATATCTGATCATTATTTTTATATTTCTTTGCTAATGTTATCTTTGTGTCCTGCCATCTGTGTCTCCCACTCTGGCCCCCACTATTCTGCTGAATAAATTATGTACATGTACCACAACCTGCCAGAATGTGTCAGCATTCATCAAGTAAAGGTGTAACACAGCCAAATAAATCTTGCATGAGGAAATGTTTTATCATGAGAATTAGGGTGGGAGGCTCAAGGCACACACATCCTGGCCTTGAGTTCTGCCTTGGAACTCATGTTTTTCTCATCTATAAAATGGGAGAAAATGACAGCATTTACTTCAGAGGTTTGTGAATTAAAAGAGACAACTCATATAAAGCTATTGGCCCAATGGCTGGCATAGGGGAGGAGCTTGATGAATTTTAGTTGATTAATTCAAGTACTGGCATTTTCTTAGAAATAGACATCTGAAACTCAAAACTTATTTAGTGTTGTGTCACTTGACTCAATGCACTCCCTATATTAAACTATGAAACTTGGAATTTAATGGTTAGGTTTTAGCTAGAATGCAGATATCACTGTTCAAGCAACTGTGAAAGTAATCCTATCAGACCCTAACTTGCCAATGTTCAGTTACTGGGCAGCCAGCGGCCAAGACTGAGGTACATGTTTAGCCAGGGGATCCATGAACTAAGACCAGGGCTAGATCTGCCAAGGATGTTTCTTTTTTTAAGGTCAATTACAGTTTACAAACCTTTTTTATTTGAGTTTCTGGGGCATGGATTGTCTTCAACTTTATATCTCCAGTGATTAGCACTATGGCAATTGTAGGTGCTTTTCGAGGCTTTGCATTCATCTGCCATAATTGGTACTGCTTAGGCCTCGTAGACAATTAACTGTACATGTCCACTGACATCTATCATTGCAGAGTTACACGGTAATTGTGCATCTATGGTGTCCAGTCACTGTTACAGAACTTGTGGGCAATGTAGCAAGATGGCATGTAGGTGCATACCAAGAACTTGGACCCTCATCCCAGATATGTATCATGGACATGAGACTTGAAAGGCAGTTTTGCAACCATTAAGGTAACCATGTTGAGATTTCAGGGTCCATGTAGGGAGTCTAAGAGGCTTGGCAAGTCTTTCTCAGGGCTTTCCAAGATCTGGCAGGAGCTCGTATTGGGCAGGCAAAATCCCCTAGCCACCGATCTGAGCATATTCTTCATAAGGAACAGGGGAGACTTAACGCCACACTTTCTGAATTCCCCCAGCTCAATGTCTCCTGATACTCTTCCCAGAGAAAATATCCTTTCAGTTAACTATGACTTCTATAAGATGTACAAGTATGCAAGTATATGTTGAATTGCTCATTTTCCTCAAGCTTAACCCAGTACTCTGCCGAACAATTTCAGATGCTCAATACATATCTGTGGAATAAGTAAAAGCATGCATGAAAGAATGTTTTCATCCCTGTGATTAAACAGGGGTCATTTTCTTTCTGTCTCTCCAGGAAACAGAATGCTCTAAATAAACCAGAGGCCACTTGCTGATAGGTTTCGGGCAGAAGGGGCCATTGGCTCTCATATTTCAGGGCTGCTGTGTGGCGCCTCCAGTTTCATCGGGATGTCACGTTTTTGGTAACAGCATCTGCTGTGCTTCTAACGAACAGCCAGTGACAAACACAGAGCCTCTGCCTCTCCCCAGGACCTGCAGAGGACAGGGAGGCCGCAGCTGGGAAAGACAGAACAAGCCCATATTTCATAACAATTACTCTGGATTATCAGGAAAGGTGGCAAGAAAAACTATTAGCAAGTTGGTGGAAAGAAGATTTATGGCTTGGCAGCCCAAAGGTGTGACAGGTTTCTCCTCTGATGAAAAATGACTTCTCTGGAGGTGAGAAAAGGGCAGGCTCCCTGTTCAGCAGACAGGAATCTGTCAAGTTAACCTCACTTTTTTGAATAATTATTAGTCTCAGTCCAAAAACATCCCTTCAACTTCTTAGGGCAAATAATTTCCTTTTTATCCCAGGGAACGTTGTAAGATTCACAAAGTTTAACATGGCCACCTCCACCAAAATCCTGTCTTATTACCTATACATTTATGAGTGCTTTTTAAAAAATTTTAATTGACATACATTTTACATATTTATAGGGTACATAGTCATGTTGCATACATGTATAGTGATCAGATCAGGGTAATTAGCATATCTACCATCTCAAATGTTTATCATTTCTTTGTTGAGAACATTCAACAACATTCATTCTTCTAGCTATTTGAAACTAGGTAATATGTTATTATTACCTATAGTCATCCTATAGTGGTAAAGAACTCTAGACCTTATTCCTCCTATATAGCTTAATTTTGTAAGCTTAAACAAATCTCTCCCTATTTCTCCCTTCCCCCCTACCCTTTAAATATTTGAATTTACACAGATTAGCTCAGGAACCAAGAAAATTTCAAATACCATATACTTTCTAGATCCCTGTGTTTACACCAAAATAAAGTGTTGACACTCACAGAAAAGGGAAACAAGGAAAAAAGGAAGGACCCTTCAGAGTAAATAATTTTTTAAAATTTGTAGAGACGAGTCTTACTATGCTGCTCAGGCTAGTGTTGAACTCCTGGCCTCAAGTAATCCTCCTGCCTCAGCCTCCCAAGGTGCTGGGATTACAGGCATATCACAGTGTTTTAAACCAGTGGACCATCTACTTTGAGAGGAGTAAAGAACATATCAAAGCTAACATATTATAGACATCGTTGGGGGACATTTTTTTGTAGACAAACTCCACCTTTCTCCAGTGAGCAAACAGAGGTGGCTGCAGTGTGTTGAAGGTAGTGTGTTGCACCTATTCTCATGAATCCTTATGCTGTGATATCTTGTTGAAGCTTGAAGCTGAGAAGTGGTAGGGACTGGCAGCTCCAGCAACTCCTACCTTGTCCAATAGCTACTAAACATTGTATATTTCATTATTTTGACATACATCATTTTACTTCCTTCTCATGGCAACCTCATGAATTAGGCATTATCTTTCATTGTGCAGATTAGAAAATTGAGGCACAGTTTCCCAAGGTTAAGTCAGCACTAGGTCTCAAGCTCTGGACTCCTTTGCTGATGCTCTTTCCATGACACCTCCTTCTGGCATTGTGCAGGATGAGGAATGCTCATCCTCACTCTTACACACACACTTCTCCTTGGAATTGACCATTTGGTATCGGTGTCCTGATGGGAACATATTATACATGACAGCAGACAGGCTGAAGCCAAAGAAGCCAGCAAAGTAAGGAGCAATGGAAAGTGCCTTGGGCTATCAGCCTAGTGTGGTTTAGCTTCAAATCGGATTCTGTGTGCTGCTTTGATTTGATAATAATAGCAATAATAGTATTTCATTTGTGCCTCACAACCATTTGCCAAGAGGGTTTTCCCATCCAAGATTTACCTATGGCTGAGGCTAAAATAATTTTTGACTGAGGCTCTCAGTTTGCGAGAAGTTACCAATTCATAATCAAATTCAGAGTTTCTTGGCTCCAAGTCCAACACTTTTAAAATAACCTCTTAAAGCTTATATGAACAAAAATCAGGTTCATTAGACAGCCTGATAAGAAAGGAGCTTATAAATTTTCCAGATCCTGCATGGAATTACATAATATGGTTAATCTGAACAACAAAAAGAACTGTATTAGGAATGACCCTTTAATGATAAAAGTGTAATGCCTCATACATAGGAGGTAGTCAAGAAATATCTGTTAAGTAAATGAATGTATGAATAAATGAATTCAACTATACTGGCACATTAGCATACCTTGAAAGGCTGGACAAACCAATGACAGGATTCACCGGTTCACAACTGACCAATTCTCTGAATACTAAGCATTAAATATCAAGTCTTCTGAAGTCATATGAAGCATCTTCTTACAACCCATTAGGGAGGACAGACAACTTCCCCAAATCCAAACAGTCGTGATTTGATTTCAGGAGCACACAGATGGTAGAAGGCCAGGAGGCAAGGGGTCTAAGCAACTATCAAAATCTTCCCTGGGTGACCCTCACTGAGAGCAGGAGGTTTAACAGACAGGCACTTTGCTCCCATGGCCCTCCAGTTCTTACAGCTGCAGCCACTTGACTTTGACCACAAACTCAGCCCCATCCAAGCCTCCTAGGTCAAAGTGCTGCTGCTAAAGGCTCTTTAAGGAGATAGAACTTAGTAGTCAGGTTCCTAAGGGTCAAGACTATCTTGCTTCCAGTCCAGGGCTAACCTTGTGCTTTTATTGAGGACTTACCTCATTCCTATGCTTAATCTTTTGCCACCTTTTATTTTATTCCCTTGAATGCAAGTCTCTATTTTGATAAACTGAGAAGTATCTTATGTTCTTCAAGCCAGGCACTGCCTTGTTCTTATCAACTCTGTAATAGGCATGGCAGACCTGCTTCAGGCTACTGTTGGTAACACTTCCAAATTCTGTCTCATGGAACAACTCTTCTCATTGCCAGCTCCCATCCTCCCTAGAGCTATCATGCTCTAACTTCTTTCTCCTATAGTCCCCCCTTCCCTACATCTATCCAATCAGTGGGTCTTGCTAGACACACTATTGCATTCAGCTGTCACTGCATTAATATAGACCTATCTTATATGTCATCTGATGATTATAATAGGCATTCAAAAATGTAATCTCTCCCCACAAGATGGTCTACATTGTCAGCACATGAATCTTCCCTGACCAATACCTATATGTATCCTCCCTATAACCCTGCTTAAAATATTTCCATGGTTCTCTACTATGTGTAGTGTGCTTGGCAGCATAATGGCTTCTTAAAGATGTCCTAATCCCCAGAACATAAGACCATATTAGGTTACATGGAAAAGGAGAATTAAGTTTATAGATGGAATTGAGATTTCTAATCAGCCGACCTTAAAATAGGTAGATTATCCTGGATAATGTGAGCCCAATCTAATCACAGGAGTAGAAGAGAGTAGCAGAAGATGGCTCACAGAAATATGACTTAACAGGCATTCAACCTGTGATTAGTTGTTTTGAAGATGGAGAAAGGGAACCACAGTCCAAGAAATGTGGCAGCCTCTAGAAGCAGGGGATGTCAGCTTACAGCCAGCAAGAAAATGGGGGATCTCTGTCCTAGAACTGCAAGGCAGTGGATCCTGCCAACAGCCCCAGTGAGCAAGGAAACAAATCCTTACCTAGAGCTTGAGTTTAGACCCGTGAGACCTGTGCTGAGCATATGACTTACAGATGAATAAGATAATAAATTTACGTGGTTTAAATCCTAAGCTTGTAGTAAATTTGTTACAGCAGAGATAGAAAACAAATACTAAGAGACAAAGATAAAGCTCTTCCCATAGACTGCCCTGGAATATGGCCCAGGGTGATGTCTTCAGCCCTAATCCTGGTTCTTCCTAGCTGCTGCTTCTGCTCCAAGAACACCAAACTTACTGTGACATCCCCATGATTATCTGCCAGCAACACTCTCCTTTGTCTGCTCAGCCTGGGAGATTCATCTCTGGCTCTAGAAAGCCTCCTAAGTGCCCTACATGTCTGTCCCTCAGTCTCCCAACATCCTGGCCTTGGGACCTCTTCTTTGTGCTCCCACGACCGCCTGAGACTGTAAGTCTCTCTCTTGCCATGTGACGCTCACTTTATCTGTTTATATGTCTGCTACGTGTCCCCGCCCTATTCCAATCTGTAAACTCCTTGAAAACAAGGATCTTACGCAACTCTCTGGTGTTTTAAGCATTTAGAAGAGTGCTTAGTATATAGTAAGGCCTGAATAAATGGTTTTTAAACAAAACCTTCTGGAATTCTCTGGCACTGACATTTAAAGTTAGCTCTAGAATATGTGGTTGTATTGGGGCAGTATTGTGGGGAATTGGGAGAAGGGGGATTATACAGAGCAGGCCTCATAGTCTACTTTAGGCTGAGATTATTTGATACTTAGGGAAATAAGAATCCCCATTACTAGTCATGCTTCCCAAACCAGCTTATCAGATTATTACATTGAGGCTTGGACCAAACCCTAATGATTATATAACAATTTATAGATATAGATAGATAGATGTATAGATTTGGAGGGAGGGATATCCTTAGGTCCCCAGATACAACATCATTTAATAGCATCCCTCAGACCCTCTGGATTGCACCTTTCCTTTCCTCATTCACAGTTCCTTCCTTTTTGTGAACTTGGGTTCTTCTGTTTACATCTCCAATGCTCGTATGGGAGTGTATCTAATATCTAAGTTGGGATCCCTCTTTCACTGCTATACATGCAAGAACTTCCCATTCTGATAGAAAGAGTGGTTCTGAACACCTTGCTAGAGCCTTTCTACAGAGTCAGGAAAAGGCAAGAGTCAGGAAAAGGTATTTTCTTCAATTCACATATTGTCAACTAAGCTGCAAACTTACATAACTTTGATGAAAAATTCTAGTGATAGTTTTAAAATGTCCTTTGCTGACTTCCTGGGCCTGTCCTCTTTGCAGGATTCAGCCCATCTGGAAGTGTCTTGGTGTCTGGCTGTGGGGACTGTGGGACAGCCAAGATGGGCCAGTGGCCATAGACAGGCAAACAGAGGAAGAACCAACCTGAACAGGCATAGTTCTAAATTTTTTCAGAGAGATGCATGCAATTACAGATCACAAACGGTCGACTTACACATGCATCGAGTGGTTCTGTGGGGGAATGTATCTTGGCCTTCCTTGTAGGGATCTACTTTGTCAGCTCTCAAAATGTTCATGGGGACCAGGCACGGTGGCTCACGCCTGTAATCCCAGCACTTTGGAAGGCCGAGGTACTTGATGTCAGGAGTTCGAGACCAGCCTGACCAACATGGTGAAACCCTGCCTCTACTAAAAATACAAAATAAGCCGGGCATGGTGGCAGGCACTTGTAATTCCAGCTACTTGGGAGGCTGAGGCAGGAAAATCACTTGAACCTGAGAGGCAGAGTTTGCAGTGAGCTGAGATCATGCCATTGCACTGCAGCCTGGGTGACAGAGCAAGACTCTGTCTCAAAAAAAAAAAAAGTTTGTGGGACTACAGAGAAATGGGCAGCTCCTGCCCACATCCAGAAGGTTCAATTTCTTGGTTCTGAAGGAAGGGCTTCCCTCTGCTCCTTTCATTGTGCTCTAGAACTCACCCCTCCCACCTCTTCAAGGTATTTGCTTCAGCAATTTCTACTCCATCTCTAGCATCACAATTATTTTCCTCCCAGCCAGATCATTTTCATCAACATATAGTAATGTTTTCCCAGAGAAAATCTTTTTGATGCCATGTTTGTCTTTAGCTACTGTCCCATTTTTCTCTACCCTTTCCAGCAAACTACTCTTGAGTTGTCTGTGCTTGGTGCCTCTCAATCCTCTCCTCTCATCCTCTCTTGAGCCCTTCCAATCCTGCTTTGGTTTCCACACTTACATTGAAACAATTATTGTCAAGGTCAAACATGACAGCCAATGGCCCCTTCTTAGCCTTCATTTGACCTATCAATGGCATTTTACATTGCTGAATTATTTTACTTGAACCATTTTCTTTGCTTATAGGACTCCCCTCTAACAAGCCATCCCCTACCCAGTTTCCTATGTTAATTTCTTATTTCTGTCCAACTTCTTACACAGGAGTTGTCCAGTATACTCTTCTCTGTCCACGTACACTCCCTTAGCACATTCATCCAATCTTAGGCTGCCAAATATGATCTGAACACTGTGGAGTATACTCTTGACTTTAGTGTGGATCTTTCCTTTGAACTCCAAACTAATTTGTTGAATTGCCTACTCACTATCTCCATGTGAATGTTAACGCACATCTCCAACTTAACATGGCTTAAACAAAGCCCACCTTCAAGCCTATTCCCTCCTAAGATGTCACCATCTTGAAATTGTCATGTTCTGAATCTTGTTCTCTTTCTTTCATACATCTAACCCATCATTCAAAGCTGGCTCTCCCTTCAAAATACATCCAGTACTTTGCCATAATCCCACCATCCTCACCTCCTGCACATCTGCCCCAGGTCCAAGCAAGTCATCTCTTGCCAGGCTGTGAACGAGCCTCATAATTGGGCTGTCGGCTTCTGCCTTTGTCTCTACACAGCAAGAGGGAGATCTTTACAAAGGTGGTTCTGATTCTAAACACAAAGCCAGAGTGATCTTTTCAAAATGTAAGTTTCATTTCCTGAATCACTCAAAATAAAAGCCACAGTCCTGACCATGGCTTTGAGGCTATAGGGGATTTGGTTTCTGTGACCCCATCATCCACCACATCTCTCCTTCCTCATTTTACTCAGCCATATTGACCTCCTTTCTCTTCCCAAAAAAATGAGAAGCAGGCTCCAGCTCAGGGTCTGGCACCTACCCTCTCCTTGGCTTGGAGCACCCTGTTCTTCTTATATTCATGACTCATTCTCCTGCTCTCCAGATTTATCCTTCAAAGTTCTTCACTCAGGGGACCCTTCCTTGGTCACCCTACATAAAATAGTCTTCCCTTTCCCACAGCAAAAGACCCAAACTTCTGCTTTTCTTCCCTGTAGCAAGAACAAAATATGATGGAGGGGGAAGAAAGAGAAAAATACAGAGAAGGGAAGGGAGATATATCAATATCACAAAATAACCTCCAATCACAAGAGAAACAAGAAAATAAGGAGGGAGAAGAGCCAATTTCATATGGGTTTGGGGCACATTGAGTGTGGGGGTGCAGGGAGGACTCCAAGGTGGAAATACCCAGTGGTCAGTTATTTTACCAGGTATGTCCCGCAGAGACAACGCTTTGAATTGCTGGAGCATGAAGGAAAACTGAACAGGTAGCCTATTTTGTCAAGACTGGACTTGAAGGACATGATCACACCACCAAGGATGATGTGAATCTGGAATGCAGCCCCTTATGATTGACATGCCATCATCAAAACCCCTTGTGTGTGCACAGCACTTTAGAGTTTGTAACTTGCTTGCATACATATGGCTTCGTGTAACCCTCCCCATCCTGTGATTTCACCGGGGCCGGCATTACACGTCCACATCACACAGGAAGAATGCTTGTCATGTAAGCCTACCAGAAGGGAAAGAGGCAGCTGGCAGCTTGCAGGAGCACCATCCTCAGCAAATGACAACAACAACAACAACAAAAACCAGCATACTTTTTAAATTAAAAAAAATACAATTCAACTGGTAGTCTCTTGGTGTATTCAGGAATCTGCATTATTCCCAGGTACTCCAGGGAATTCTTAGGCACGCTAATAATTGTCAAACAACCTCCATCTTTGTTGTTTATAGTTGATGTAAAGTGAACCCCCAAGTATATTTGTAAAACTCAGGCCACACAGGTTGCGAGTTATGAAACTCAGGCTACATTCAGCAGGGAGATTATCCCAACGACATAGCAGCTTTCCTGTCACAAGAATCAGATTGGCTCTAAGGCAACCTCCAGACCCTGCAGGATCCAGCAGATCTTCCCTGGGCTCCTATCCCATGGGAGCAATGAGCACAGGGTGATAAAGGAAGGCCCCGTGGAGCCCTGATTTCGTGCGTGTTATCTTCATTTGCTAGGTTATTCCACAAGCCAAGCATCCATTTCTGTGAAGCCCTGGCCACCTGCTGGTCTTAGGAGTAGGTGGTAGCTATCAGTGTTGAGTGAGAAAAGAACACCTCTTGGTCTGTTCTAAAGGCTAGCCAGAACAGGGATTACTGAACTTTTTCTCTAGCACGGAAAATAGTAAATATTTTCAGCTCCATGGGCCATCTGGTCTCTGTCACAACTACTCAGCTCTGCCACTGTAGCTCAAGAGTAACCATACACGATATGTAAACAAATGGGCATGGATATATTTCAATAACACTTGACATACAAAAACAGGCCATGGGCTGGGCTAGGCTGGGCTGCTGGCCCTACATTGCCAACCTCTGCACTGGAATCAAGAGAGACGTCCCATCTTCTTGATTTTCTAAACTAATAAAGGTGATATGAATAATTCGAAGCAAATGAAAATGTCTTTTAAAAAGCATAAAGCCCAGCATTCCCCACACTCACTATATAGCTTTGGAAAGCATTATACTATTCTTGTGGCCGCTGATTTAGCTTTCTAATTATGTTTTGCTCAGGATATTAATATGGGCTTACATTCTCTGAGCAGATCCCATTCGGGACTCAGGAGGAGCCCACAAGTGAACATGCAGAGCAAAATGAAAAAAAAAAAAACAAAACTGGTCTTGCATTAAAATCAGCCACAAGTAATTGAGAAAAGACTGCCTATAACCTGCCAGTGGGAATGAGAGATGCACTGTGAGTGGCTGTGTGTTTATTAAATTTGAAAATGGCATCTCTCACCTTCATTTACTTGGTTCCCAAAGTCCCACGTTCAAGCAGGTGAAAGTCACAAGGGCAGGGAGGTCTCTCCTGACCCAAGGAGGATATTATCCTGATGTGCACATTCTAGATCAGGGAAGCAGGCAATAGTGGAGAGTGTTAGCATTTGTTGATTGCCTATCACCTATTAGGCATGTTGTAAGTGGCTTTACTAATAATAACAGCTAATATTTATTGAGCCCTTCTCCTTACTAATTATTTTGCATAGGTTATTTCATTTATACCTCCCAAGGACACCACAGATTAAGTACTATTATTATACCCTTTTTACAAAAACTTAGATTAAATGACTTTCTCAAAGTCACAGAACTATTTAAAATAAACAGTCTGACTCCATGGTGCTCACTTTTAACCACTATGTTAAATTGCCCCCAAACTATCTATTTCACACACACACACACACACACACACACACACACACACACAAAACCTTTCTATAAGGGAGGTGTTAACAGCTCCACTTTGCAGATGAGAACACTGAGAATATAGGTGACATCTGCAGCTGAATACAACATCGGGGCAGCCCCAGATCCAGGTCTGTTTAACTGAGAGTCCATATTCCATTCACTGCCAATTGCTACCTGGTGACCTAGGCCGTGTCATTGACCCACCTAAACCTCCTGCCCTCTGCTATTAAATTGAGATAACAGTGTCTGTCCTGCCTACCTTCCAAGACTGGTAGAAGGCTTAAATAACAATCCTACACTTTCAAAATCATGTACTTTAAAAATGAGAAAGCATCGAGTAATTGCAGCTTATTGATTAGAGATAGGAGCTTTGGAGTCTAATAAATCTAAATCCAGCTTCTGAATCTGTCACTTGCCAGCTGGGTAACCTTGAGTGAGCTCCCAAGTCTCTCTAGTTTTACATGCTTTTATCTGCAGAGTGGCTATAATAGTATTACCTTTCCCAGAAAGTTGTTGTAAGTAAAAAATGAGATCCTGTTAGATCTTGCCACCTAGATACCCAAAGTATATAATTCTTTACCAATTTTATATTGACTAGAGAAATGGAAGAATTCAGAGGTTTTAAAACATGAGATTAAGAACTCTGGGAGTACAACTGCAATAAAAAATTAATAACTTAGAGAAAGAGACTTTTGGCAGAGGTCATGTCCTTGCCTCCTGCCAGATGACTCCTTTCTTCTTGTTCAGATACATCCACAGCTGTGGTCATATGAATACTTCTGCTGACACTATGAAAATAACTCACCTGGATTCTACTGAGTGATCTAATTCCATTAACTTAAAAACATATACAGCCATAAAGACTAGGCTTATAGCATTTATTGCAAGCAGGAGAGTGAGTGGGGAAGCCCAAACTTGGTTTCCCAATTCTGGAAATAAGGAAGTGACTGCAGACCCAACTCCCTTGCCTTTGAGCCCACTGACAGCCTCCCCAGACAAATAGAATAGATTAGGGATTCCCATAGATGTGTGCAGGCTTTGTCAGAGGTGAGGCAATTGGCCCACCAATGACAGAGACCCTGACCTGCAGAGTGTGTTCCAAAGTCATCTTCCTGCAAGTCATTTCATTCAAAGTTAGGACCAATTCCACCCCTATAAAAACAAGATGGTGGTTTGCTTCCCAGTCCAGGCCTCACGTAGCCTTGATTGAGCTGAGGAATAGCAGCCCTAGAGTAGAAAACTCATTAGGACTGCCAGTTTCAGCCTTTGTTTCCCCAGGAAAATGCGTTACATATTCCATAGCAAGGCAGGCATGAAGGCCCAGGGACGAGCTGAATTACCAGCTGCAGCAAATGAGCCATTCAGTACCATGTTTGGAGAGCCAGGAAAATTAGGGGGTCAGAGAAAATGAGACAATTTTTTTGTAAAGCACTAAACACATAAGAGGCACTTTTGTTATTGCTGTTGTGATGGAGATGATACAGACCATGGGGGACCAAGATTATGAAAGAGATCTTCCTCCATAACCATGAAGGCTGCTTTCCACTCTGTGCATTTTAGGACAAAAAAAGGACAATAATATTAGATATCCTTATCCTTTTGAGGACTTTGGAAAACTCTATATAATCTCTTTTACAGCAGTGCTGTTGGGAGATTAGCACTTTTCTTAAACACTGACTGTAACTATTAATATAATGTCCATTTTCATTGAGTACTGACTGTGTTCCAGATATTGTGATTTATATTGACTGTTTTGAGTATTTGTAACAACTCTGAAAGGTAAATATTCCCACTGTCATTTTACTGATGATGAAATTGAGACAACATCAAATTTGCTAACTGTCCCAAGGCCATGTAACTAATAAGTGTTTGAATTGGTATTAGAGCCCAGATCATTGTGACTCCAACATTTGCCTTTTTCTACCACATTATCACTCTGTTTCCTTAGCCTTTTTCCATTAGACTTTCTTTCTATATGGGTCAGTTGGAAAAAGCCATTTGCTCTGTGCTGAATTTAGAGCCTGCTAAGTTGTGTAGAAACATGGCTCTGTCTCTTTGACTAATTATCAAGAGTCATCGTATGACCCCACACACACTCTGCTCTGTCAAAGAGCTTGAGGAAAGGATTGCAACATGAGTGCGTTTTATGATAGTCCCTGGTGAAATCAGTGACCTTGGATAATGTTTCAGGATAATTCTTTAGGCCATTGTTCTATATCCACTTCCTTTACCAGCTGTCAAGGTAGTTCATATCATATTCTTCTTAATGGAATGATACAGTTCCACCTCCACCTTGCCACCACCAACATATACACATACATATTTTCACACTGCTTTCAAATAACTCTATATCAATTAGCTCTTTTAGTTCCCCTTATAAAGGAAGAGAAAGACATCCAGCAATGGAAAGTTAAAGAGATATAGTTTATAATGCAAGAGCTAAGTCACTTCTACCTCAGTCTTTGAGATGTGCTTCTCCTGGCTTTGAAAATTCACAGAAAATTTTAGTCAATCAATAAATCAATAAAATGGATGCCTCATCCCCTTCTATCCTATACTCCTGCAGTTGCTAAAATTATTTTGCAATATGCAAAGGATAGTAGACATGTTTTTCCCTGTAAGAGTATTTGCATAACCACTTCTAGTTTATATAAGCAGTGCACCTATTTATCCCATTTTTCTTTAGAGAAAACATGTTCTGCTCAGAGCCTGGCTCTGGTCTGCTTGGAGGCACATGATATCAACTTCTCCCAGCATGATTGTCATCTTAGCCTCAGTTTAATGTAGCTCCCTGGTCCTTGTGCCCTTGTGTTCTCTTATATCATGTCTTGCATTGAAATGCTATTTTTTTTTTTGCTGTGGTTCAATTTGTTACAATTAATGAACCAACCCATACATTATTATTATTTACTAAAGTTCAGAGCTTATATTAGAATTTTATGTGATATATTTTGTTTTATGGCTTTTGACAACAGTATAATGACATGTATCCATTATTATAGTATCATACAGAATAGTTTCACTGCCCTAAAAAATCCTCCATGCTCTACCTATTTATCTCTCCCTCCCCATACCCACCTATCCCCAGAACCTGGGCAACCAGTGACCTTTTTACTCTTTCCATAGCTTTGCCTTTTCCGGAATGTCATATGCTTGAACTACATATTATGTAGCCTTTTCAGATTAGCTTTTAAATAGTATTTTAACTTTTTAAAATCTGTGAAACTAGCTCTTAAATTCACTAGGAGTGGTCTACCAATTTGTATTGATTTTGCAAGGTCCCTAAACAAGGCAAAATCTACAGGGCTGATTTTACTGCTGCTATCGATTTCCGGGTTGCTGCAGAAATGTTTTGAAGAGTGAGGTGGTTTAGTATAAAAAATTGAGTTAATCATCTTCCCCAATTCCATAATCATTGGCCCATTCAAAGTCTGTCATTTTTGTTTGATTTTTAAAATTTATCTATCCATCCATCCATCCATTCATCCATCCTACTACTTCTGTACACTCTTAGGCCACTATTCTAATATGTTGAATATGAAACTCTAAATTTTATGTACTCTTGTAAAATTCATAGTATTTTTATTGCTGTGAGCATGTTATACATTTACTTAAATGGCACTATGTTAATAACATCATTTTGTTTTTATATTCTCCAACTGTTTCTGGTAAACAACATAGTTTGTTGCTTCTTCCTGCTAAATGGCATCCAGATGGATGTTTTCCATTTTGGCTTACCCATTCCTCAGCGATGGGCATTGGGTTGTTTCTAATCCCAAACTCCCACTAACAATGTTGTGATGAACAATTCAGAAACTTTACATTGTTTGAATGTAGTAACTCTTGAACAGTCATTGTTCCTGCAGCAAAACCAATTTGAAGGAGAATCCAGTACTTTCCTTTAACAAATTCAAGGAACAGTTTCATGTCTGCAAGGTCTTAAGGAAAAACATGATTATTTTACTGAGGATTGGGTAGACAGGGAAAGATGAGAATGAACCATTTACTGTCTTATCCTTATCTCCAGATTCCCCAACAGCAACTCTGCTTCAGTTTCCATGCTTTTTTTTTCCCTGTACCCCTAACATTTATATCCCTTTTCAAAAAAAGTGCTTTCACTCTCAGACCTCTTCACATTCCTCTCCCTGACCTGCAATTACAGGATCCTCTTAGGGTGATGTTTCCTTCTTAGAAAGGATATGTGTGCTGGAAGGTGGGGTTTCCCATGGGATTACAGTTATCTATCATATGTAAGTATACATATATTTGATTTTTACTTGATTTATTCTTTATCTTAATTTAATGCAATAATAAACACACACTAAAACTTTTACATTTATTATGGGAGAAATTAGTGGTACCTTATGCAAGATTTTCCATTTGAACAAGAACATAGGAAATTAAGATTGTTGCAGAGCTGCCATGAGTACAGTAAGCACACAATTGAAAGACTTCATCATAGTGTGCATCTTTAATTACTGCTTATGTTACTTTGATCATGCTTTACATGAATTAGCATAGATTCTTCTCTAATTAACCCAAAGAGGAAAATGAGATTAATTTCATCATGTGTGTATTGTTTATAAGTATTTATTATGTAGCAAGTATCTCTACGTTTAGTGATTTGCATACATGGTTTTATTTAATTCTCTGAAGAGCCCACTGAATCTTTTAAATCCCATTTTAAACATGAGGAGCCCTAGGCCTAGAATGGTGACACATTTTTCCGGGGTCACAGAGGCACTCCACCAGCAGAAGGTCAACCTGCAGACTTGCCTGTCTCTTCTACAGCTTACTGGTTAAATGTTTAAAGTAGAATAGTCCATTCAGTATTGAAGGAAAGAGTTCCACCTCCTTTAGCACTCAGTAGAATTTATAATCACCCATGCACAGATTTTGAGAGCCATAGGGTGTCTTGTAATCAGTGGGATGTTATTGGCAATTTGGGCGAGAAAATTCTTCCTCAGGCAGTAAGTCCTCAGCATCCCTTGATGTTTAGCATCCCTCAAAGTTGCCCACCAAATGCTAATAGGCATCTCAATTTATCTTCTCACATATCCCCCACAGTTCTAAACCTCACTTCTCTCACTTTCAGAGGAAGAAACTGAGGCACAGGAAGTGGAATAACTGAGTCACATGGGGTTTCACCTCTGGCTGAACTTCAGATTCAACCCAGGAAGTGCTTTTTAAAATACTGATGCCCTAACAGAGTAGTTAAGAAACCAGGTGTTAGAATCGTTCTTTCTAGTTCAAATCTCAGTTCCACCAACTTCAGGCAAGTTGCATCATATCATATATTAAAGTGCCTCGGCTTTAAAATGTAGTTAGTAGCATTGACTTCCTGGGATTCTTGTGAGGATTGTATGAGCTAATATGTGGAAAAGTAGCTGGCTAATAGTAATAATGAATATTTATTATTATTATTATTCCAGATTCCAAGTCTCCTTATTTGCTTACTGATATTCCTTCCCCTAAGCTTTCAATGATTTTTGGTGCTTTATTGACAAAACACAAACCTCAGGTCTGCAAACTCAGCCCTAAATCTACATGGAGGGTAGGAAGGAAGAACAAGTATGAAATGGTCTCCACAGATGAGGAAGAAGGAGCAGAAAAGTCCTTCAGGTACTGGATTGTCCTGGATAGTGTCCCTCAGTGGGACAAATGATTCAGTGAACTGCCTTGAAAAAAGAAGGGTCACTGACATCTATTCAGTTGGAGGTGTCTTGTGAAGGACACAGCCTGATAGCAGGGAAAAAATATGAACTTAAGAATCAAACCAGCCTCCAAATCTTAGTTCTGCAGCTTCTTAGCTGTGTAACCTTGGGCATGTTCCCTAAACTCTTTGAGTTTCATTTTCTTTGATGGAGATAAGACAACCTGCAATGCAGTATTATTGTGGGCATAAAATTAGATAATGAGTACAATGTTCTTGGTACAGAGAAAATACTCAATGGGCATTAGTTCCCTTCCTTCAAATGCTTCTCAGAAACTGTCTCTCCCTTGCTCTTAACTCTGGTTTTCCTTTTTCCCTTCACCTGCACCATCTTCCTTGACTCTCACATTTCTGAGCCACCCCAGAAACTTGAACACAGAGTGGAATTAAAGGCTACCATGTCAGACTCACAAATGCACAAGGATTGAAGAGGTTTAGGAGAACCGTTTAAGATATTTTGAAACTCTCCTGGATACCAAGAGAGAAAAGGCAGGCAGGAAAAAATTGCATAACACATTAAAGCAATTTTGCCTCAAAAAAAGAGGTAGCATGTCTTTTTTCCCCCTTGTTTAGCTCAGCTAGTCTTTTCACTGAGAGTTTCCAGCTGGGCTCACTCTGCAATATTATGGGCTGTACCCCATACTCTGAAGACAATAGAAAAGAAGAATTTTGGACTTCTGCTCTGGATCCCTAAGAAAAAGGCCTGGAAGAAGCTTCCACTTTGGACGTTGAGCTTAGAAGTGAGAGTACGCCAATGCCCACATTTTTGTGAATATGTGTAAATGTTCAGTTGAAGGACATCCTGAAACTGGGTCTGGTGAAACCCAAGGTGCAATAGCAAATTGTAACTTCCTGAGTCTCTGTTTGGTTTCCAAAACTTTGTCTTGTAATATCCCATTTGATCCTCAAATAATTCTAGAAAGGCAGTCTTCATGTTACAGATGGGGATACTGACACTCTCAAGAAGTTAAACTGATCTGCCCGGGGTCATGGAGAACAACTAGGTGACTTAAGATTTAAGACTCAAATCTAAGATGGTACCTTAGTCTGCTCAGGCTACATTAGTCAGGGTTCTCCAGAGAAATAGAACCAATAGGTCACACACACACACACACACACACACACACACACACACGGAATTTATCATGTGAACTGGCTCATATAACTATGGAGACTGAGAAGTCCCTTGATATGCTGTCTACAAGCTGGAGAATCAGGAAAGCTGGTGGTATAATTCAATTTGAATCTAGAGGCCTGAGAATCAAGGGAATCCATGGTGTAACTCCCAGTCTAAGGCCAAAGCCTAAGAAGAGGTGGGGGTGGAGTGGGTGCGGCAGGCTTGTACAAGTACCAGAGATACTGGATAAAGGCCTGAGATACTGGAGCTCTGATGCCCAAGGGCAGGAGAAGATAGATATCCCAGCTTCAGAAGAGAGAATGAATTCCCCTTTCTCCACCTTTTTGTTCTCTCTGGGCTCTCAACAGATTGGATGCCGCCCACCCACATGGGTGAGGGCGGATCCTCTTTACTCAGTCCACTGATTCAAATTCCAGTCTCTTTCAGAAACCCCCTCACAGACACACCCAGAAATAATGTTTCACCAGCTATCTGGGTGTTCCTTCACTCAGTAAAGCTGACACATAAAATAAACCATCACAGGCTGCTATAACAAAATACATGGAGTAGCTTATAAACAAGAGAAATTTATTTCTCACAGTTCTGGGGTTGGGAAGCCCCAAATCAAGATGCTGGCAGATTGGATGTCTGATGAGGGTCTATTTCCTAATCCGTGGATGGCACTTTCTCTCTATGTCCTTACGTCGTGGCAGGGGCAGATGAGCTCCCTTGAGTCTCTTTTATAAAGGCACTAATCCAATTTGTGATGGCTCCACTCTTATGAGCTAAATACCTCCCAAAAGGTCTCACCTCTTAATACCTACACCTTGGGGGTTAGAATTTCAACACACAAATTTAGGGGAGACAAACATTCAGACCATAGCAGATGGCTAGCTAATTTCCATTCTTAGTATTCCCATTTATGCCCGTCTTTATAAAATAGCATGGAAAACGTGAAGTCATTACTGCTCATAAATGTGTTCCTATTTCTCCTCTGAAAACTTGGGATAATTATATCTCTCTGGCTCCTGAAGGCATAGCCATATAACTTGCTTTAGCAAATAAAATGTGGGCAAAGTGATATATGCCATATCCAGGTAAAAGCATTTCATTGTCACTGAAAGACTCTAGACCGGGAGTCAGAAAACTGTGGCCTGCTGGCCAAATTCAGCCCACTACCTGTTTTGTAAATTAAATTTTATTGGAACATAGTCATACTCATTTTGTTTATTTATTTTCTAAAACTGTTTTCATGCTACACTGGCAGAGTTGAATAGTAGTGAGAGAGATGTCATGGCCTGCAAAGTCAAGAATATTTACTATCTGGATCTTTAAGCTTCCCAACCCCTGTTCTAGACAGTTCTTTCCTGCCTGGTGAGTATACCTGTGATACAGATATAAGATGATGGAGGCTTCTTCTAACTGCATTGCTTAGCTTTTGCATGGAGAACAGTTACCCTAAAGAGTTGCTCGACCCATTGTGGACTTTGTGTAAGTGAAAGATAGGTCTTTGTTGTGTTAGGCAACTAAAATTTTGGATTTTTGTTAACATGGCATCATCTGGCTTCGCTTGACTGACACACAAGCTGAGTCAGTAAATGCCGAGGATAAAATAAAAATACACTGATTAGAGTTTGTTGAGGTCAGGACGCATTGAAAAAGCTGGACGCTGAGTGATGGAAATGAACATAGCAGGGGTGGATGGGTGTTCCTGCTTTTGAAACTGGCACATCCTGTGATTTTAAAATGGAGAGTTGTGGGCCAGAGATTGTGGGGAAGTTTACATTGTTGATAACTCTGCCTACCAGGTTTAAGGTCAAGGGAATTTCCAGGTTACTCATTAGTAAGAAATAGTCATGTTTCCCTAAAAAGGTATGTAAATTAAGTTTCTGCCTAAAGATTTTGAGTACTGATGTGTGAAAGACAAAATAGGTTCCCAGTTCTGAATTGTTCAGGTAACACTCTGAGTGAATGTTCTGTTCCTTAGGCTTGACTATTTAATCTCTTATAGTGGTTGATGTTCAATATTGAACAACAGGTTAACTCTGATGTTGAGGCTAATGTATCTTTGTTGGAAGACTGACTCGTCTACACCAGGTTTAGCTGGTTATTTGCAGGTTACTCTTGGTCCCAGTGCAGCAAAATAAATCGGGGCTGCTTCAGTGGTTTTAGAATTCTCATAAGTGAATAAAAAAGGCACACAAAGAAATAAACATCTCTGCCACTTCTAAATCTGGTAAATCCCCAAACTCAAAGGAATTTTTGCCAGAATATCAGAAATGAGTTTCTAAACAGTTTGAGACAAATTCAGCAATGTTCCAGGGACACGGTGAACCTAGATGGAGGAATAATTGTGATCATAATGCATTCTGTCCTATGTTGTATGTCACATGCTTAGACCAAAAGGGCCAAGGGTAATGTAATTTAGACTTGAGATTCTGAATGAGGGCTGACCAGTATAAGCCCTTAGCTGTGTTCAGTGACAGTAAAGAATGGGCACTATGGATCCTAGAGGCATGTGTTACTTGGTGGGTGAAACAAACACATACCCAATATAACTCACAAGGCATTCAACTTACTGGATTCATAATATTTACCTCCTGTAACACCTATTTCCAGCCATTGTCCTGCCTCTGAGGTTGGTTCCATCAACTTCTGGTGTAGAGAAATGCAGACTAGTTCAGAGGAGAAAGAGGATATGAGTACACTTATGGGACAAGGCTGACATGGGGCATTACAGAAAGCATGAATAAAACTGGCTCCGGCTGCATCTGAGGAAGGGTTGCTGTTGACCAGTAGAGATGGTCGTGACAGAAACCTCGGACAATATAGCTGAAGAACTCCATAGACAATCCCTCTCCCAACCTCCACTGTTTTTTTTGTTTTTTTTTTTTTATGAGTTGGAATGTTGCTCTGACTCCCAGGCTGTATTGCAGTGGCACGATCTCTGCTCACTGCAACCTCCATCTCCTAGGTTCAAGCAATTCTCCTGCCTCAGCTTCCCGAGTAGCTGGGACTATAGGTTCACACCACAACACCTGGCTAATTTTTGTATTTTTAGTAGAGTCGGGGTTTCACTATGTTAGCCAGACTTGTCTCAAACTCCTGACCTCAGGTGATCCACCTGCCTTGGCCTCCCCAAGTGCTGGGATTACAGGTGTGAGACACCATGCCCGGCCTCCACTGGTTTTTAAAGAAACTACTTCTCGTTTACCACGATTCCAGAAGAAGAAATACGAAAATGCTCACCAAGTATACTCCTAAAATATAACCATTTTATCTTTGTCTTAACAACTGAAAGCAGCAAAGAACCAAGTACCTAGCTTGTGTCTTTAGAAACTTTTCTTCATGAAAAAAAATCATTAATAAACATTTCAGAAGACTTGCAGGAACAGGATTCAGCACACTACACATGAATGTAACTGGAGACCCAAATTCTTGTCAAGAGAACAATTGAGATATCTTGTAACTACAGTGGCCTCCTTAACACTCTATTAAACTCAGTTTGCTATCAACAGAGGGCTGCTTTTCTTTTTCTGCAATTAGGGTCATTTTCTTAATTATTTTAGCACATTACAAATATCCCCTTTGGATCAAGAGAATCTTCCACCAGCTTTCTTATTATTTTATTAATCCACTTTCTTCTTCTGTGCATAATCTAAGAACGCAAAAATAGCTCATGTGTTGGAATGCATAGATCTCAAGTGTCAAAATGTAACTGCTGAAGCCAAGTGGGGAGCAGCTTTAGAGGACGGAGGAGTGAGGAGACCAGGGCTTCCCCCAGCACCCGCTTGTCTCACAAGGCACAAGACAACTCTTGAGCTGCTTTGATATGGGAGAAACGTGGTTATAAGGGAGGAAGTGTGCACATTTCAGTGCATACTTAATTGTATTAAAAAATGAGAAACCAAACACACAGCAAAGGGGATGAGAATCAGGAGGAAAGATCCGGTTTCCATGACAACTGGAGAAGCACACACATCAGCACAGTGAGAGGTCTGACCTGGGGCAGTTGTGATGACAGCTTCACCTAAGGCCTGTCATCAGGTTTTCCCTTACTCTGTGTGACTTTTTCAGTCACCCTCTATCTCCCTAAAGTCTTGGGATGAATGGGGACTATGCACCTTCCTGCCTGCAGATAGGGATGGTGCTGGCCAACATCACTTAGCTTTTACTATTATAGAGGGAGATAGAAAATAGGAGTTTTCTTCAGATTATTTACCAACTCAAGCATCTGGATTAGAGTTCCATGCTGTCACTTCTGTGACCCTCGGGATTCCATATTCTCACCTCCCAGAGATAGACACACACAACCACACACACACACAACCACACACACATGCTTGCACATGCACAGAGAGTGAGTTTCTGCTAGGGTTTTTGGTTATGTGTCTCTATGGACGGCTGCACCCAAATCCATCACCCAACATGCACATCTTCTGATGCTCTTCATGATGCTCTGATGCTTCTTCACAAGGAATCTGTTTTAACCCTCAGAAAATTTCATCATGAAATCACTCTTGCAAAGCAGATTAATTAAATAAGCAAACCTCAACCCAGGATGCATATTAGAATCATGTGCTATTTTATTTTTTCTCTAAAGTTGAAAGAAAGAAAGAAAGAAAGAAAGAAAGAAAGAAAGAAAGAAAGAAAGAAAGAAAAGAAACCTTCTCTGATGCCGAAGTCCCACCTCTAGATTTGATTTAGCGTGGCTCTTAAACATCATCGTTTTTCAAAACACCCTCCCATGTTATTCTAATGTGTAACCTGAGTTGAGTATATTTTGCTAATTCATTCAGTGATGATTTACTTAGCATCTATTTGTGGGCTGGACTGTGGGCTAGGTCTTAGAGATCTGAAGATGAATAAGGCACCAGAATTTCCAGTCTACAAGTGGGAGACAGATGTGTAGGCAAGGAAATGCATGGAATCTTGTGGAGGTCTTAGGCTGGTCTGTAGGAGGTAAGTGAGAATATATGAGTAACTGGGTCTGTCTGGGGTCAAGAAAACATCATGCAGGAGTAGATGATGCCAGGGATCAGTATTAAAAGATGAATGAGGGCAGAAAGATCATTCTGGACAGAGAGGGTGGTGTGACAAATGGCACAGAGAGCATGACATGGGAACTGAAATAGTTTGATACCACTGACATGTAGGCTTGAGGGATGTTTTGTATTGAGAGATGAATATGAATTTGTGAAAGAAGAGGTCGGAAGAAAAGATATGGATTAAAGTATGAATGGAGAAAAGGATAAAAATTATCCCCACTGCAGAAAAACATGAGATATATGGCATGTAAAGGTCTAACGTAAATGAAATCCTAAAAAGAAGGACAGAAGAAAATAAGGAAGAAGCGATGTTTAAAGAGATAGCGGCTAATATATACGGAATTGACAAAAATATCAAGCCACAGATGTAAGTACTATGAAGCCCAAACAGAATAAATATAAAGAAAATAAATCTAGACCTACTATAGTAAAACTATTGGAAACTAAAAACAGAAGGAAAATATTAAAAACCAGAGAAAAAAATAAATATTACCTTCAAAGGAATAAAAGTAAAATTGGCAGCTCATTCAACAGAAAACAAAAACCACAAGCTTGACAACCATAGAGCGATATGTGCCATGAGTTAAAAGAAAGTAAATGCCTAAAATTGGCCATCAGCAGACCCCACTAAAGGAAATAGTAAAGTTCTTCAGAGAGAAGGAATATGATTCCAGATAGAGGAACAAAAATGCCAAAATTAGAAAGAACAATAGAAAAGGCAAATACATGAGGGAAAATTAACTGTATAAGACAATAATAACACATATTACATAATTTTAAACATACATTGAATCAAAACATATGGCAATAAAATTATGTAAGTTGGAAAGGACTAGGGTATAAGGGCTAATATATTTAAAGTTCCTGTACTGTCTGGAAAGTAGTACTAATTTATGTTAGATATCAACAAACCAGGGATATGTGCTATGATTTCTAAGGTAAATTCTAAAAGAAGAATAAAAAAGAGAGTAACGTCCAAGCCAAAGAGGAGGGCAGATGAAATAAAAACAAACAAAAAAAAACTCCAAGAGTAGTCAAGAAAGGAGAGAAGAGGGGAAAAAGGATATGTGGAACTAATAGAAAATGATAAATTTAAACTCAAATGTATCTATAATTACATTAATTTTGAACTAAGTTTTCCAATCAAAAGATAAATACCAGACTGAATGAAAAAAATAGAACTACTTCTATGCTGCTTACAAAAGAAAGAACTTAAATACATAGATACAGATTGAAAATGAAAAGAAAATTTCCACTTCTACGCATTTATATAAGAAAAATGAAGGCACATATTCACAAAAAGCCTTCACAATGTCTACAAATGCTTTATTCTTAACAGATCCAAACTGGAAACAGCTCAAATGTTCATCAATAAGAGAATGAACAAAGAACTTTGCATACCTACCGTTATACTACTTGTCAATAAAAAAGAACAAACTGGTGATTACATGTAACAAAAAGATGAGTAAATTCACCAAGTGTTAAAGAAACCAGACATAAAAGAATAAGGAAAAAAATAAACATATAATAATTTTAGTAGAGGCAGAGCATTCAGTAAAATTCAACATCCACTAATGAGAAAAACTTTTAACAGCTTAGTAACAAAGGATACATCTTTAAACTGATCAGTAATATATATGATGAACTAATATATACTTAATGAAGATATGACAAAAAGTTTATTTCCGAGAAGTCAAGCAAGAAAATAATGTCAACTACTTTATTTAATACTATACTGGAAGTCCTGCACAGCTAAAAAGGCATCATACTGGTGCAAAAGTAATTGTGGTTTTTGCCATTGAAAATAATAGTAAATATAATAAATGTATAGAGTCAGGGGAATAACAAATTAAATAGTCTTTTTTTGCAGATAGCTCGATTATACATGTAGAATATACACAAGAATTTTCATTAGAATAAATTTAAAAACTTAGCAAGGTTTTTAGACACATTGTCAGTATACAAAAATGCATTGTATTTCTTTATAACAACAACAGATGGTCAGAAAAGGACATCTAAAACATTTGATTATTTATAATAGTGTTAATAAGATCAAATACTAGGAATAAATCTAACAAAAGATGAGTAATAACTCTACCTCAAAACACTGTGCACTTTTATTGAGCGAAAATAAAGGAGCCATAAATAAAGGAGGGAAACACCATTCTCATGGATTGGGACATTTAGTATTGTAATGACATCAGTTCTCCGCAAACTGATCTATAGATTCAGTGCAATGTCAATTTAGATCCCAAGAAGTTTTGCTGTTTGTATTTGATAAGCTGATCCTAAAAATTATCATGAAAATAAAAAGTCCCAAGAATAGCCAACACAATCTTTTTTGGCACATCATGGATGAGGTGCCTTTAATTTTCACCCAGATATCCAAAGGGCTAAGAATAACCAAGACAATCTTGCAGAGGAAAAGGAAGAAGGGGAAGGAGGAGAAGTAGGAAAGATTTACTATAATCAATACCAAGATTTATTATAAAATCATAGCAATTAAGACAGTGCACACTAGTGCAAGGACTTATCAATAGGCCAGTGAAGCAATATAGAGACTCCACAAATAGAACCACAAAAATCAATACTTTATTTATTTATTTATTTTTATTTCAAGACAGAGTCTGGTTCTGTCGCCCAGGCTGGAGTGCAGTGGCGTGATCTCAGCTCACTGCAACCTCTGCCTCCCAGGTTCAAGCAATTCTGCCTCAACCTCCTGAGGAGCTGGGATTACAGGCACCTGTCACCATGCCTGGCTAATTTTTGTATTTTTAGAGGAGACAGGGTTTCACCATGGTGGCCAGGCTGGTCTTGAACTCCTGACCTCAGGTGATCCACCTGCTTCATCTCCCAAAGTGCTGGGGTTACAGGTGTGAGCCACTGCACCCAGTCAACACTTGATTTATAATAAAATTAGCCCCAGCAGAGCAATGGCGACAAGAATTGAGTTTTCAATAAGTGATTCTGTGTCAATTGGATAGCCATAGGAGAAAAAGAAACTCAGCCCTTTTTTCATACTATACACAAAAATAAATTCCAGAAGAATTGTAGATCTAGCTGTGTAAAGCAAAAATGTTTCTGGGAGATAAAATAGAATATTTTCATGACTTCGAGATAGGGTAGATTTCTAATGATGGATACTGAACTTTGTTAAAATTATGAACTTCTAGTCATCTAAATATTTAATTAGAAAGTAAATATTTCTAAATATCCTAAATATTTCTAATTTATAAATAAGAAATATAAATATTTGATTCATGTAAGTCATAAACCAGGAGAAAATATCTGCAGCACAAATAATTGACAAAGCATTTTTATCCATGATATATAATACCCACAAATCAATAAGAAAGCACAACACATTGTAAAAATGGGCAAGACAGTTGAACAGGCTCTTCTCAGAAGAGAATATTCAAAAGGCAATACAAATATTTAAAAGGGCTTATCTTCAAAAGTAATCAAGGAAATGCAATTACAACCACAAGGAAATCCTACTTCAATCTATTCATGGAGATGGAAATTAAAACCATACGATACTGCAAAAATAATCAAAAGATAAAACTCCAACAATAATGCCAAATGTTTAAAGGATGTGTAGCAAAGGGAATTCCTATAAACTGGTGGTAATATAAATCCGTAAAACTCCTTTGGAAAATAGTGTTGCATTATCTACTAAACTAAACACACACCCCCTATGACCTAGCAATTTCACTGCTATTCCACCCAATAGAAATGTGTGACTGTATAGATTAAAGACATAAAATAATGTTCATAGCAGGATTTTTCCATAATAACTAAAAATCTGGAAACAACCCCAAATATCCACAAATGTGACATATTTATAAAAAGGAATATTACACAGCTAGGAAAATGGAAAAACTATAGTTGCACAAAACAATAGGTATTATTTCGAATGAGATAATCCAGACCTGAAAGTGTATATAGTGTATGCTTCTACTTATTTAACTTAACAAAAATGAAATCTAATATATGGAGTGCTGTACTTTGGATGTTTGTTCCCCCAAACCTCATGTTGAAATATGATCCCCCACGTTGGAAGTAGGGCCTAATGGGAGGTGTTTGAGTCATGGGGGAATATCCTTCATAAATGGCTTGGTGCTGTCCTCACAGTAGTGAGTTCTCACTCTGTTTCCAAGAGTGAGTAGTTTAAAAAAGTCTGGCACCACCCACCTCCCTCTCTTACTTCCTCTCTCACCATGTGACCTGCACACGTAGGCTCCCCTTTGCCTTCTACCATGAATGGAAGCAGCCTGAGGCCCTCAACAGCAGCAGATGCTGGAGCTGTGCTTCTTGCACAGCCTGCAGAACTGTGAGCCAAATAAACCTCTTTTCTTTATAAATTGCCCCATTTCAGGTACTCCTTTCAAGCAACACAAATGAACTAAGACTGGGTGGAAAAGAAGCATAGTGATTGGGGAAGGGTATGGAATTGGGCTATTAGAATTCTCATAAAGTTCTATTTTTGACCATTTGACCAGGATGGTTGTTGCATTATACATTCAATATGTGAAAAGATCATTGATATGTATACTTGTGATTTGTGCACTTTCCTTATACTTAAGAATGTTTTTTAAAAGGATTTTCATTTGACTTAGAGTGTTTTTACCCACTTGAATTCTAGAATCATTACTGAAGATTTCAGTTATGATAATAGAAAGAAATCATGGGTGAACAAAACAAAACAATATCTACCATATTCTATGAATGTTTTTGATCTGAAGTTTTAAAATTTATTTTGATTTTATCATTATGGATAAGCTGTAAGCAAAATGATTTTACAACTTGTTTACTGGCCATACAGACTGAAGTAATGTTATAGAAAGTCAAGTTTGTAGATTTATTTGTACTTTACTCAGATATACTAAGAAATACAATATCTCAAGTTTGTAGATTTATTTGTACTTTACTCAGATATACTAAGAAATACAATATCTCATATTTCTCTGTAGCTGATATGGTCTTCTTTATGAGCCCCCATCCATTGAATTGCGGAAGAAAAAACAAAAATATAGTCTAATTTATTCAACTTAATTCAATGCCAAAACAAAAGCCTTTTTAGATAAGTTCTTGACATTTTTAGGTAATATATGCATTCTTTTACATTTCCTTTCTCTCTCCCAGATCTTCTCTTTGATAGCATCTGGGTGTCTGGAGGAGGGTATGTGGCTGATGGCAATGGATGACAGAGGTCTTAGAGTCTGCAGAGCAGACATTTATACTTGCTGCATAGTGGCAGGGCTGGTTTGTTCCCTTCAAGCACCACTAGTTCTATCCCTGAGCATCCTGCCTTGGCCTGCTGTGAAGCCCACCTGTGGTGTGCCACAGGATCTGGTCTCTCTTGCCTTGGCCTATGAGTTTTCCCAACATGACTCAGTTTCATCTTTGATATGTCTTATGCTGCATAGGCCTCCAACATTCTACCCCCCACTCTACAGCTGGCCCATGGCTTAGGGTTTCTATTTCACCTCTCAATACCACAGACTTCATGGTAGTCTCACAGCTCTCCACTCAGATATATTATGCATCCTCCCCTTTAAAGGCAAGCAGAAGTGGATAGAAATTTGGGAGTGCTAAATATCGGTCCTTCCTCTACATCTCAAATTATGGTGTGCAGCAAAATAGCTAATTTAATGATAAAGCTCATTAAAACAGAGATTGTTGGTCCCCACCTCAAGTTTCTGATTTAGTAGGACTGTAATGATGATGCTAGTCTGTTGACTTCGCTTTGAGAAACATTGCTTACACGAAACCAAATGACCTTTGATTAACTCACCCCCAGACTGGTGTGCCTGCAAGGTGACTTCCTTCCAAACTCCCAAATGTTAAGTGGGGCTATGTCCTCTCCACCTCCGACTGCTCCCTGACCTTTCCCTTCTTCCCACAATCTCTTGGGTCAGAATAGGCTAGGTTTTTGTTAGAGCTTGTTTTTTTTTTAATTTTCTTATCTATCTAGGGCTTCTGCAAGTATTTCTCTCATTTGAAAAGACTTTCTTCTCTTTTTTTCTCCTACATTATACTCCCCTTCTTCCCCATTCCAGACTTGAAAGAAAGCATTAGTGGTAGATGATATTCAAGAGAGAGAGATGAGTTTCCTGATAAAGAATGTAAATTAGTACTTCAAAACCTTAAATATACTTTAATAATAAAAATAATTTGAGGCAATATTGAGGGTCTGTGAAAATCTTTTTCCTTTTAAGTGAACCTAAACAATATTTAAGTTTGAAAACATGAAAGAATAAAAGAAAGACCAAACTTAGAATGAGGCAAGAACTTATAAGAGCTCATAGGAATGTGAGAATGCAGGATCTAGCTCTATCCCTCCAGAGCCTTTACTGGGGGCTGGTAGATCAAGACCAAATCTGAATGATGGCAGGGGAGCTTCTGTTCTAGGCCAGAGAGCACTGAATGTCCAGAGAGACTTTCATCCTGTGAGGACTCTGTCCCAGCAAGGATATGAAGACCTAGGACCATTCCCAGGCAATAAGCTCGATGGGTTCATGTGCTCTGCAGTGCTTAGGTACCAGAGAACAGGGACAGAACCCCATACCCAGAGACCTGGTGGTTGTCACCAGCCAAGTGTAGAGCAAACCCCAGTCAGCTGGTGAATGATATTAGATAGACTCTGTTTGACAGTCTTATGCCCAGGAAAGTGTGGGGTCTCAGAGAATGCACAGTATCTTGGACTCCAGAGGAAGGGATTCGGGCAACAGCTGGGCTGTCTCACAGGGTATTGGATGGGATTGTCCCTCTATTATGGCCAGGGGTGCAACCTGACACCACCAGCTCATTCTGACTCTTGTAATCTCTGGCAAGGGCTGAACAAATTCCAGCTCTGGGAGAGGAGCATAGCAACAGCTGCAGTGGGGCTAAGATGAGCGTGAGGATTGCCATGGGAAGTAGAATGCCAGGACTCCAGGTCAACCCTTTCCCCTGACATCCCAGGCCAGGAAATGAAGCTCTGCACTGAGAAATGTGGACTGGCATTCCTCCTCTATAGAGGCAGCAAAGTGGCAGCTCCTCACTCCTGCTGTGGCTGTCCTCTAATGTGGTTACCAGTCACTTTCCTGTCTCTTTCACAGAGTTGCCATATGAACCCAAATGCAATGACTCAGGTGAGAGCATTATTAAGCTCCTACGCAAATGTAAAGTGTGACATACTGGGGATAACCAGGTTTATGCTCTATGCCAGCTTTAATCCTTTGGCTAAGATAAATACTTTTTTTTTAACAGCACTTATGGCTTTTCAACTGAATCTCACACCAGCTCCTCCGGTGAGGACACCTATAGTCCTGCATTCAGCTTCCTCTTGAGTCAAATCCATTTCACATCATTTCCTCTTTTCAAATGAGAGAACAAGTTAATACTAGCATTTGGTTTAAGACACAGAAAGCAGCTCATATTTAGTGTTTGGAGATCGGGGGCAACACAACTCCTTGGTTTTTGGTTTAACACTATGTGTGGCTATTCCTATAGGGTAAGATGCTGAGTCTGGTGTGTTGGTGAGCAGGTATGGGGAGTTACTGTCTTTTAAAGCAAATGCAGCATAACCTCCTGAGCTAGCGTTGCACAGGGAGAGAGAGGTATGGACATGTGAACACAGTGCATGCTGTTTGACCTTGGCTCCAGTCTTTAAACCGGGCAGACTCTCCATTCACTATGCCATTGGAGCCATTGCAATAAAAGGGCCTCTTTTTGCTTTTCGCTGAACATTTTCTACATTTTATCATCTAATTTCTACTTCTGCTGCTCATCCTTTTTTCTTGTTTGTGTCTCAGCTTTTGATTTTTTGGCTTGCTTAGCTGTCTTATTTGTGCACACTCTTTGAACTTGATGGCACTAGTGAATTTAGTCCTGCCACTCTTCTTCCAGCTATTTACCTATTCCAGCTCTGGCATCTGGGACCCAGCCGTGGCATGCTCCAGCTTTGCTATTGCTGCTAGAGGCCTGTCTCAGTCTCCTGCAGTGGATGTAAGTACTTCCTTACAGAATTATTCAATCTGAGGTCAAAATTAATGGATCCAGGCTATAAGATAAATACTGCTATATTATTATATATCCAGCAAGAAATATGGCAGTGAGGGTTCCATTTATTCCTTTGCCCATTGTTTTAATCTCACCCACGTTCAACTTCACAGCTACTCTTTGCCAACTTGGAGACCATAGAGGGGCTGTTCCCCGCCTGGGTCTTCAGAGAGACTGGAGGAATTCCAGGAAATGTCAATGTTCAGGATTTCAAAAATCCTGATAGGAATTAAGTATTTATCAAAGATAATGTTTGTCTGCTCAGGCAAATTGGAAGTCAAAATCATTTGCTGTTGCTAAGGGAGATATCAGTTATTGCTGACAAGCATTTACAGGCGTAACTCCGTTGGCCTTTTATGTGACCCTGTGGCTAAAGAAATCATTAGAGAACTTCTGATCCGATGGTCATAATGGAAGATGTGGGCAACTTGTAAATTCTACCAACAGTGTCTTGGGTGACCATGTAAGAAATCCACTAAAATTATCTTCTCTTTCCAAAAAAGTACCCAAGAAGGCTCCCTAAAAGCAGCAGCATTAAATAATCAGTGAATCTATCTCTAATCTATATGTCATTCCTTTACCAGTTTTAAGAGCAGATATGTAGATTTAACAATTTTCTTACCTATGATTGCTTACTAATTTATTTATTTATTTTTATTTTTATTTATTTATTTTTTATTTTATTATTATTATACTTTAAGTTTTAGGGTACATGTGCACAATGTGCAGGTTAGTTACATATGTATACATGTGCCATGCTGGTGTGCTGCACCCATTAACTCGTCATTTAGCATTAGGTATATCTCCTAATGCTATCCCTCCCCCCTCCCCCAACCCCACAACAGTCCCCAGAGTGTGATGTTCCCCTTCCTGTGTCCATATGTTCTCATTGTTCAATTCCCACCTATGAGTGAGAGTATGCAGTGTTTGGTTTTTTGTCCTTGCGATAGTTTACTGAGAATGATGAATTCCAATTTCATCCATGTCCCTACAAAGGACATGAACTCATCATTTTTTATGGCTGCATAGTATTCCATGGTGTATATGTGCCACATTTTCTTAATCCAGTCTATCATTGTTGGACATTTGGGTTGGTTCCAAGTCGTTGCTATTGTGAATAGTGCTGCAATAAACATACATGTGCATATGTCTTTATAGCAGCATGATTTATAGTCCTTTGGGTATATACCCAGTAATGGGATGGCTGGGTCAAATGGTATTTCTAGTTCTAGATCCCTGAGGAATCGCCACACTGACTTCCACAATGGTTGAACTAGTTTACAGTCCTACCAAGAGTGTAAAAGTGTTCCTACTTGTCCACATCCTCTCTAGCACCTGTTGTTTCCTGACTTTTTAATGATTGCCATTCTAACTGGTGTGAGATGCTATATCATTGTGGTTTTGATTTGCATTTCTCTGATGGCCAGTAATGGTGAGCATTTTTTCATGCGTTTTTTGGCTGCACAAATGTCTTCTTTTGAGAAGTGTCTGTTCATGTCCTTCGCCTACTTTTTGATGGGGTTGTTTGTTTTTTTCTTGTAAATTTGTTGGAGTTCATTGTAGATTCTGGATATTAGCCCTTTGTCAAGATGAGTAGGTTGCGAAAATTTTCTCCCATGTTGTAGGTTGCCTGTTCACTCTGATGGTAGTTTCTTTTGCTGTGCAGAAGCTCTTTAGTTTAATTAGATCCCATTTGTCAATTTTGGCTTTTGTTGCCGTTGCTTTTGGTGTTTTAAACATGAAGTCCTTGCCCATGCCTATGTCCTGAATGGTAATGCCTAGGTTTTCTTCTAGGGTTTTTATGGTTTTAGGTCTCACGTTTAAGTCTTTAATCCATCTTGAATTAATTTTTGTATAAGGTGTAAGGAAGGGATCCAGTTTCAGCTTTCTACATATGGCTAGCCAGTTTTCCCAGCACCATTTATTAAATAGGGAATCCTTTCCCCATTGTTTGTTTTTCTCAGGTTTGTCAAAGATCAGATAGTTGTAGATATGCAGCGTTATTTCTGAGGGCTCTGTTCTGTTCCATTGATCTATATCTCTGTTTTGTTACCAGTACCATGCTGTTTTGGTTACTGTAGCCTTGTAGTATAGTTTGAAGTCAGGTAGCGTGATGCTTCCAGCTTTGTTCTTTTGGCTTAGGATTGACTTGGTGATGCGGGCTCTTTTTTGGTTCCATATGAACTTTAAAGTAGTTTTTTCCAATTCTGTGAAGAAAGTCATTGGTAGCTTGATGGGGATGGCATTGAATCTGTATATTACCTTGGGCAGTATGGCCATTTTCACGATATTGATTCTTCCTACCCATGAGCATGGAATGTTCTTCCATTTCTTTGTATCCTCTTTTATTTCATTGAGCAGTGGTTTGTAGTTCTCCTTAAAGAGGTCCATTCGCGTCCCTTGTAAGTTGGATTCCTAGGTATTTTATTCTCTTTGAAGCAATTGTGAATGGGAGTTCACTCATGATTTGGCTCTCTGTTTGTCTGTTATTGGTGTATAAGAATGCTTGTGATTTTTGTACATTGATTTTGTATGCTGAGACTTTGCTGAAGTTGCTTATCAGCTTAAGGAGGTTTTGGGCTGAGACAATGGGGTTTTCTAGATATACAATCATGTCATCTGCAAACAGGGACAATTTGACTTCCTCTTTTCCTAATTGAATACATTTTATTTCCTTCTCCTGCCTAATTGCCCTGGCCAGAACTTCCAACACTATGTTGAATAGGAGTGGTGAGAGAGGGCATCCCTGTCTTGTGCCAGTTTTCAAAGGGAATGCTTCCAGTTTTTGCCCATTCAGTATGATATTGGCTGTGGGTTTGTCATAGATAGCTCTTATTATTTTGAGATATGTCCCATCAATACCTAATTTATTGAGAGTTTTTAGCATGAAGCGTTGTTGAATTTTGTCAAAAGCCTTTTCTGCATCTATTGAGATAATCATGTGTTTCTGTCTTTGGTTCTGTTTATATGCTGGATTACATTTATTGATTTGCATATATTGAACCAGCCTTGCATCCCAGGGATGAAGCCCACTTGATCATGGTGGATAAGCTTTTTGATGTGCTGCTGGATTTGGTTTGCCAGTATTTTATTGAGGATTTTTGCATCAGTGTTCATCAAGGATATTGGTCTAAAATTCTCTTTTTTGGTTGTGTCTCTGCCCAGCTTTGGTATCAGGATGATGCTGGCCTCATAAAATGAGTTAGGGAGGATTCTCTCTTTTTCTGTTGATTGGAATAGTTTCAGAAGGAATGGTACCAGTTCCTCCTTGTACCTCTGGTAGAATTCAGCTGTGAATCCATCTGGTCCTGGGCTCTTTTTGGTTGGTAAGCTATTGATTATTGCCACAATTTCAGAGCCTGTTATTGGTCTATTCAGAGATTCAACTTCTTCCTGGTTTAGTCTTGGGAGGGTGTATGTGTTGAGGAATTTATCCATTTCTTCTAGATTTTCTAGTTTATTTGCGTAGAGGTGTTTGTAGTATTCTCTGATGGTAGTTTGTATTTCTGTGGGATCGGTGGTGATATCCCCTTTATCATTTTTTATTGTGTCTATTTGATTCTTCTCTCTTTTCTTCTGTATTAGTCTTGCTAGTGGTCTATCAATTTTGTTGATCCTTTCAAAAAACCAGCTCCTGGATTCATTAGTTTTTTGAAGGGTTTTTTTGTGTCTCTATTTCCTTCAGTTCTGCTCAGATTTTAATTATTTCTTGCCTTCTGCTAGCTTTTGAATGTGTTTGCTCTTGCTTTTCTAGTTCTTTTAATTGTGATGTTAGGGTGTCAATTTTGGATCTTTCCTGCTTTATCTTGTGGGCATTTAGTGCTATAAATTTCCCTCTACACACTGCTTTGAATGTGTTCCAGAGATTCTGGTATGTTGTGTCTTTGTTCTTGTTGGTTTCAAAGAACATCTTTATTTCTGCCTTCATTTCATTATGTACCCAGTAGTCATTCAGGAGCAGGTTGTTCAGTTTCCATGTAGTTGAGCGGTTTTGAGTGAGTTTCTTAATCCTGAGTTCTAGTTTGATTGCACTGTGGTCTGAGAGACAGTTTGTTATAATTTCTGTTCTTTTACATTTGCTGAGGAGAGCTTTACTTCCAACTATGTGGTCAATTTTGAATAGGTGTGGTGTGGTGCTGAAAAAAATGTATATTCTGTTGATTTGGGGTGGAGAGTTCTGTAGATGTCTAATAGGTCCACTTGGTGCAGGGCTGAGTTCAATTCCTGGGTATCCTTGTTACCTTTCTGTCTCGTTGATCTGTCTAATGTTGACAGTGGGGTGTTAAAGTCTCCCATTATTATTGTGTGGGAGTCTAAGTCTCTTTGTAGGTCACTCAGGACTTGCTTTATGAATCTGGGTGCTCCTGTATTGGGTGCATATATATTTAGGATAGTTAGCTCTTCTTGTTGAATTGATCCCTTTACCATTATGTAATGGCCTTCCTTGTCTCTTTTGATCTTTGTTAGTTTAAAGTCAGTTTTATCAGAGACTAGGATTGCAACCCCTGCCTTTTTTTTGTTTTCCATTTGCTTGGTAGATCTTCCTCCATCCTTTTATTTTGAGCCTATGTGTGTCTCTGCACGTGAGATGGGTTTCCTGAATACAGCACTCTGATGGGTCTTGATTCTTTATCCAATTTGCCAGTCTGTGTCTTTTAATTGGAGCATTTAGTCCATTTACATTTAAAGTTAACATTGTTATGTGTGAATTTGATCCTGTCATTATGATGTTAGCTGGTTATTTTGCTTGTTAGTTGATGCAGTTTCTTCCTAGCCTCGATGGTCTTTACAATTTGTCATGATTTTGCAGCGGCTGGTACCGGTTGTTCCTTTCCATGTTTAGTACTTCCTTCAGGAGCTCTTTTAGGGCAGGCCTGGTGGTGACAAAATCTCTCAGCATTTGCTTGTCTGTAAAGTATTTTATTTCTCCTTCACTTATGAAGCTTAGTTTGGCTGGATATGAAATTCTGGGTTGAAAATTCTTTTCTTTAAGAATGTTGAATATTTGCGCCCACTCTCTTCTGGCTTGTAGAGTTTCTGCCAAGAGATCCACTGTTAGTCTGATGGGCTTCCCTTTGTGGGTAATCTGACCTTTCTCTCTGGCTGCACTTAATATTTTTTCCTTCATTTCAACTTTGGTGATCTGACAATTATGTGTCTTGGAGTTGCTCTTCTCGAGGAGTATCTTTGTGGTGTTCTCTGTATTTCCTGAATCTGAATGTTGGCCTGCCTTGCTAGATTGGGGAAGTTCTCCTGGACAATATCTTGCAGAGTGTTTCCTGAATCTGAATGTTGGCCTGCCTTGCTAGATTGGGGAAGTTCTCCTGGACAATATCTTGCAGAGTGTTTTCCAGCTTGGTTCCATACTCCCCGTCCCTTTCAGGCACACCAATCAGATGTAGATTTAGTCTTTTCACATAGTCCCATATTTCTTGGAGGCTTTGTTCGTTTCCTTTTATTCTTTTTTCTCTAAACTTCCCTTCTCGCTTCATTTCATTCATTTCATCTTCCATCACTGATACCCTTTCTTCCAGCTGATCACATCGGCTCCTGAGGCTTCTGCATTCTTCACGTAGTTCTTGAGCCTTGACTTTCAGCTCCATCAGCTCCTTTAAGCACTTCTCTGTATTGGTTATTCTAGTTATACATTCGTCTAAATTTTTTCAAAGTTTTTAACTTATTTGCCTTTGTTTTGAATTTCCTCCTGTAGCTCAGAGTAGTTTGATCATCTGAAGCCTTCTTCTCTCAACCCGTCAAAGTCATTCTCCATCCAGCTTTGTTCCATTGCTGGTGAGGAACTGTGTTCCTTTGGAGGAGGAGAGGCACTCTGCTTTTTAGAGTTTCCAGTTTTTCTGCTCCGTGTTTTCCCCATCTTTGTGGTTTTATCTACTTTTGGTCTTTGATGACGGTGATGTACAGATGGGTTTTTGGTGTGGATGTCCTTTGTGTTTGTTAGTTTTCCTTCTAACAGACAGGACCCTCAGCTGCAGGTCTGTTGGAGTTTGCTAGAGGTCCACTCCAGACCCTGTTTGCCTGGGTATCAGCAGCAGTGGCTGCAGAACAGCGGATTTTCGTGAACCGCGAATGCTGCTGTCTGATCGTTCCTCTGGAAGTTTTGTCTCAGAGGAGTACCTGGACATGTGAGATGTCAGTCTGCCCGTACTGGGGGGTGCCTCCTAGTTAGGCTGCTTGGGGCTCAGGGGTCAGGGACCCACTTGAGGAGGCAGTCTGCCCGTTCTCAGATCTCCAGCTGCGTGCTGGGAGAATCACTGCTCTCTTCAAAGCTGTCAGACAGGAACATTTAAGTCAGCAGATGTTACTGCTGTCTTTTTTTTGTCTGTGCCCTGCCCCCAGAGGTGGAGCCTACAGAGGCAGGCAGGCCTCCTGGAGCTGTGGTGGGCTCCACCCAGTTTGAGCTTCCCGGCTGCTTTGTTTACCTCAGCAAGCCTGGGCAACGGTGGGTGCCCCTCCCCCAGCCTCGCTGCCACCTTGCAGTTTGATCTCAGACTGCTGTGCTAGCAATCAGCAAGACTCCATGAATGTAGGACCCTCCAAGCCAGGTGCAGGATATAATCTTCTGGTGCGCTGTTTTTTAAGCCCATTGGAAAAGCGCAGTATTAGGGCGGGAGTGACCCGATTTTCCAGGTGCCGTCTGTCACCCCTTTCTTTGACTAGAAAAGGGAACTCCCTGACCCCTTGCGCTTCCCGAGTGAGGCAATGCCTCGCCCTGCTTTGGCTAGCGCACGTTACGCTGCACCCACTGTCCTGCACCCACTGTCTGGCACTCCCTAGTGAGATGAACCCGGTACCTCAGATGGAAATGCAGAAATCACCCGTCTTCTGTGTCGCTGACGCTGGGAGCTGTAGACCGGAGCTGTTCCTATTGGCCATCTTGGCTGCCAGCCCCGATTGCTTACTAATTTATAAAATCTGCTCATATAAAGGGTTTTTATTTGAAATCAGTGCCATGTGGTAGGTAAGTTTTATCAAGTCCATTCTGCAAATGACAATATTGGAGCTGCAGTTGGCAAAGTGGCTGGCTATCTCCAGTAGGCATGTAATTATTTCCTAGTAAGCATGAGACATCTTGAGCTTAAGGGCACTGTAGACTCCTACAAGTAAATCTGGGCATTTCAGAATGATTTAAAGCTCTAATGATTTTGTTGCAGTAGCTGGAAAGATGATCACTAAATGACTTAAGCCAACAAGCAAAGTAAATAATGAAAACACTTAAGAACTAAGGCTTTCCAAAAGACAGAGGCAAGTTTTTATTCTAGCATTTTCTAAACTATGCCTCAAGAACATTAATGTCCCAAGATATGTTAGTAGATATTCCAAGGGTAAGAAGAATTCTGAGGTCAAACAAGTTTTGAAAATACTGACTATCATATGTTTTTATTAAAGATGAATATATTAAAAGTTCTGAGCACTTCTACAGTAAAGAAACACGTTCAAATTTGTTTACCAACAGTTCCCAAACTTATTTGACCATGGAATGACTTTTTGCCATACAATTACTGTTGCCAAAATGTGGAATACATGTATTCCAGCATATGGGTTGATAACACTAATTTGGACCAAAAAAAGTGGAAAATTGTCTCCAGTTTACAACAAAGAACAGGGCTAGGAGAAGAAATCAGTGGCCGTGGTCATTTGCTGTCATTCTGCAATATTCTATGACCATGTGATTTTTAAAAAGACACAATAGTGAGGTACTGTCTGACTCAACTCAAAGATGACTATCTCTAACTTGACATTTCTAGTTTACAGTGATTTATAATCATTAGATGGGGTATAACCTCTTTGAAGAAAGTATATTGGGAGACTTTCTGCCAGCATGGTTGCACTTGAAGTCCCCCAGACTGCTCCTGGCTTTGGAGATTCGCTAGAGGGACTCATAGGATGCAGCATAGTGTCCTCCTCACAGCTAAAACTCATTTTCTCAGCAATGAGTATGGCAACACCTGTGAAATGTTGTATACCAGGGAATCTTATTAAAGACTCAGTGGCCAGGGCTTTTATTAGGGCTTGATCACTTAGAGGCCCTCCACCTATGATATGTCAAAATTTCACAATTCTGGAAGGAAAGTAGGTTTTCAACATAAACCCCATGGCTTGTACTGTTGTAGGCACAGTGAACCACTATTACCAGTTTTGGGAATGGTGAGAAGCCTCCAGATACTAGCCAAGGGCTAACTTTGCAAACAGGCTTCTGTAAGGACGGTATTCTCAGACTTGCTATACTAACTCTTTTTTGAGTGATGATAGATGATTAAAACAACAAAATGCTGGATGAAATGTTGAAATCTCCTTTGGAAGTGCATCATGGATCTAAGACTATAAAAAGCAATCTACAGAGGCCAAAAATCAAGTGAAAGAAGAAACCTGGGAGGTAAAGAAGAAACAAAGCCATCTTTTGCCATGAAGGTTCTGCTGAACTTAGGAGAATGTGAGCTTCTGCTTTGACAATCATGCAGAGTGCCAGGGAGGCTTAGGGAGGGGAGGAGATAGAATCCAGGGTTCACTCCAGACGGACGGTCTAGTTAACAGAATACTACTATAAAAAGTCAGTACCTATACGGACTGCAAAGGACTGCATCTTCTTTGTTAAGAAAAATAAGAAAAAGCCTGCTGAACAGAAGATAACTGTAAGGAAATGTGCTGGTTTCTACCTTAGCATTGACTGGAAAGGAAAACATTTCTCTTAGAATTTGAAACCACAAGCCAGGCCTCATGCACCTTTGTGGTCCAAATGAAAGTTATTCTTGTGAGTTATCTATCTGCCTATCTATCTATCTATCCATCTATCTATCTACCTAATTAGATACCTGTGGGATATATATGCAGCTATTCTTGTGATATATACATAATTATATATGATATAATTATATGTTAAATATATAATTATATTATGTATATATTATATACATATCTAGATATCTATATATCACAGGTATATAAATATGTGATGTGCATGTATGTATCATTATATAATTATGTAATCTCTGATATATACCTATGTATAATTATATATGTTATACCATTATTATGTATATCACAGGTTATATAATTATATAACATATATAATTATATACCTGTGAGATATCTCACAGATACATATATATATATTTATGTGTCTATATGTATATCTCTCTCTCACACAGGTATATAATTATACATAGAGTGATACATACACACATATCTCACGTCTATCTATCTATCTCTCACAGGTATATTATTATATTTAGAGATGGTACAGTTTGATAGTGTTCCCAAGACAGGAAAGAGCTAAAAAATATATAAATTCTCTCTGGAGAAACATGACTTTGATCTAGTCCTTAAAATTAAATACCCTCAGATAAGTTCCAAGAAAAATAGCAACTTGCAATCAAATATCACAAAATACACATAGAAACAAACCATCCTGTGAATATCAGCAGTACAAAAATAGCTGAATCTGACTTATAAATATTTTAGACATTGGAATTATCAGACACAGAATATAAGTTTTATGTTTAAAGGAATAAACAAGTTTTAAATATGAATTAAAAATAAAAAGATTTAACAAATGACAAAGCAAAATTTAAAAAGAGCCAAATACAATTTTAAAAAATGAAAACCATGGCAAGGGAAATTAAAATCGTGACAGAAAATTAGACACAGCCAAATAGAAAATTAGCGAATAAAAAGTTAGATAAAAAAATTATCTAAAATATAACACTAAGAAGCAAATCTTTGGAAAATGTGAACCTAATATTAACAGATATGGTAATAATTTAACAAATATTTTAATAACAATTCCAGAAAGAAAGGTCAGAGAGAATGGAATGGAGGCAATGTTTCAAGAGAAAATAATGGGTCAGAATTTTCCAGAATTGTTAAAAACATAAGCTTCAGATCCAGGAATCACAGCACATCTCAAGCAGGATAACCTTTACAAAATGTAATGGAATAGCAGAAAAACAAAGGAAAAGGAAGACCTATTTAAAGCAGCCATGAAATAAAAATGAAAATACAACTTATCAAAAGTTGTAGGATGCAGCAAAAGTAGTGCTTAGAGGAAAATTTATAGCTTTTAATGCATACATTCAAAAAGAAGACATTTCCAATGATGAATAGAATGGTAAAGATATTTTTTGTAAACTGTCAATGATGCAACCATTCTAGAAAAAACACTGAATTATTTTTTCTATTTTCTCTATATTGAAAATACTGCCAAAAATGTAGGAGAGAGTGTTATAGAGACATATAGAACAGTTGGTTAACACAAATATTCTGCAATCACAATATATGTGGTATTGACCAGCTTTTCAAAGTTTCTAATTTATTGTGACTTCCAAATAAATATTGAATTGCCTAGTTAATTTTGGATTCATAATTTTGCATTATTTTTCTTAAAGAGATCCTCTCTTCCTCCCTCAGTTCATATAAACTTCAGCTTCTCCAAAGCCTGGCCTCATCCTAATACCAGTAGTGACATTAACGCCGGGCCACCAGGAGATAAAACAGCCAAGCTGTATCTCAAGAAACTGGACAACGTAGAATGAATACCTTGGAGAATTTACTATAGTCTAGCATCTGACTATAGTAGTTCTACAGGCTCAGATCTGATTTTGTTAATACATCCTGAACAGATCCATCTCTCAGAAAGAGACTCATATTTTCTGAGCTCATGAGACTGATGTATTAAATTAGGATGGCATTTAATTTATTTATAGGGAGAAATTACTATCATAAGGGTCAGAAATATTTGAAGTACATCTGTTCAGTACATTTTCTTTCTGTAGAAAACTGCATAGGAAGCCAATAAATTTATAATGAGAAATCATTGACAGAAGGGCTAGAAATACTTGAAACTGGAGGAGGGACATGTTCTTTCCCTGAAGGCAGATCTGCCTGGAAAACCAAATTCTAATGAGAAGTTTACTTGATGAGCATGCTAGATAAATTGCATATTTAATGATATCAGACTAAAATTCTGTCTTGAATGTTTTTGTCAATGGGATCTGCATATTTAAGACCACTTGGCTACAAACCAATTCTAGGTATTGTTCTGTTAGTGGGACTGGAACTACCCCAGGTCTTAATATTGAGGATACCCCTTCCACCGACAATGTTTAGATGTGACTTTCCTTTTCTCTAAGCTTTTATGGCTGGACTTTTTTGGTCATAAATACTGTTACCTGTAAGAATATGTGAACTTTATTATGGATCTTAATATTTCATTTGCTGAAAAGCATACTGTATTTTTTTTAAGAGACAGAGTCTCAACTGAGGCTGGAGTGCAGTGGCATGATCACAGCTCACTGCAGCCTCCAACCCCTGGGCTCACACTATCCTCCCATCTCAGCCTCCCAAGTAGCTAGGACTACAGGTGCACATCCCCATGCTTGGCTAATTTAAAAAAATTTTTTTGTAGAGACAGGGTCTTGCTATGTTGCTTAGCTGGTCTCAAACTTCTGAGCTTAAGTGATCTGTCTCAGCCTCCCAAAGTTCTGGGATTACAGGTGTGAGCCACCATGCTCAGTCATACTGTATTCTTCATGTATTGGGACTGTCCCCTAGCAAATGTCACTCACAACATTTTTTTTAATTATCACAATCTCCAGAAATGGCCTAATGTATTATGATAAGGACATGACCCAGAACATTTTGGCTTACCTCTTCAGTATACTATCATATAGTTCATAAGATTTAATATGTTGTAAACTAGATTGACAAAAATAGAATGCTTATGTTAAATGTTGAGTGAATAAAAGGCACACAGTGCAATTGCATATATGAGACATATACCAAATGTAAACAATTATGTAAGCTTTAGAATTAGTTGGTTATGGATAAGAATCAAAAAGGGTAACTTCTTTTATTAAGAATTTTATTTATATGGTTATAATCTTTATGCATCTAAATCATTTTCTAAAACCTTTACTTCTTTCTATTAATAGAAAAAAGCAGTTATCTGAATTCTAGTTGATGTAAAAGGGTAGTTATCTGGATTTCAAAAGTATGAAACAGAATGTAGTCACATATTGTCACAAGTATTTGAAAACTAGGTTTTCACTGATATCCATTCATTTGGTCATTTGTTTGTTAAACACTTTTTAGTAAAGGCCTATTATGGATCCAGGGCAGATCATCTTATGGATGAAAGCATGGACATCCTACTAATTAAGAAAAGGGCAGATTTACCTAGTCCCAGAGGCAATCAACTGGAATAGACAGAAAATTGCCTGAAGTAGGAAAATAAGATAAAAGACTTTGAAATGTGGCCATCAAGTGGTTAAAATTCATTATTGCATCTGAAGATGTAAATTAGTTTGTTCTGGGAAGTTAGAGGTGGAATTCATGGAAAATCCAAGCTCCAAAAGCCAAAAATAAAAATTCTGACTCGGCTAGGCACGGTGGCTCACACCTGTAATCCCAGCCCTTTGGGAGGTCTAGGTGGGTGGATCATTTGAGGTCAGGAGTTACAGACCAGCCTGGCCAACATGGTCAAACCCCATAATCCCATCTCTACTAAAAATACAAAAATTAGGTGGGGGTGGTGGTGGGCATCTGTTATCCCAGATACTCGGGAGGCTGAGGCAGAAGAATCGCTTGAACCCTGGAGGCAAAGGTTACAGTGAGCCAAGATCACGCCACTGCACTCTGGCCTAGGTGACAAGAGTGAAACTGTCAAAAAAAAAAAAAAAAAAAAAAAAACTAACTCAATGTAATCTCTCCAAAATTTGGGAGACCACAGTCTGCTTAAAAAGAACCACAGCTTATGAGTGAGAACATGCATTGTTTGGTTTTCTGTCCTTGTGTTAGTTTGCTGAGAACGATGGTTTCCAGCGCCATCCATGTCCCTGCAAAGGACATGAACTCGTTCTTTTTTATGGCTGCATAGTATTCCATGGTGTGTATGTGCCACATTTTCTTTATCCAGTCTATCATTGATTGGCATTGGGTTGGTTCCAAGTCTTTGCTATTGTGAACAGTGCCGCAATAAACATACGTCTGCATGTGTCTTTATAGTAGAATAATTTATAATCCTTTGGGTATATACCCAGTAATGGGATTGCTGGGTCAAATGGTATTTCTAGTTCTAGATCCTTGAGGAATTGCCACACTGTCTTCCACAATGGTTGAACTAATTTACACTCCCTCCAAAAGTGTAAAAGCGTTCTTATTTCTCCACATCCTCCCCAGGAGTTGAACAATGAGAACATATGGACACAGGGAGGGGAATATCACATACCAGGGCCTGTCGGGGAGTGGGGGCTAGGGGAGGGATAGCATTAGGAGAAACACCTAATGTAGATGACAGGTTGATGGGTGCAGCAAACCACCATGGCATGTGTATACCTATGTAACAAACCTGCATGTTCTGCACGTGTACCCCAGAACTTAAAGTATAAACAACAACAACAAAAAAAAAAAAACCTAAGCTAGTGAAGGGATTGACTTGTTAAAATAAACTTGTTAAATATACAATCTGCAATTTTCAATATAGGTCAGCCTTCACCAATAGTTAATGAAAAGTTGTGGAAGTTTCACTTTGATCATCAGAGAAACAAATGGACTAACCCTAAGATACTACTTCCCTATACCCCCTCCCCCTGAAAATAAAATCAATCATGGGTTCTATGGGTTCTGTTTCTTAAATATGCCTGGAATCTGTCTGTTTTTATTTACTCCTACAGCCACTGTCTTTTACCAGGATTACTGCATCAGTTTCCTGCTTGAAGTCCCTGCCTCTGGTTTTATACCCAGTTCCTTCTCCACCTTACTATCAGTGTGAGTGTCCTAAAACACACCAGTGATTCTCCATAACCCTTAGGTTAAGTGAAACAGTAAACAGCATGACTTACCCGGTCTTTTGTGAACTGGCCCCTCCTATTTCTCTAACCTTTTTTATTTCCCTGGCTGTGTCATACTCCCTCTTTCTTCTGAGTCTTTTCACCTGTTCTTCTTCACAAGCTTGGTATACTGCAGTACCCTCTTCTGTCTACAATACCTTGTTTTTCTTATGGCTTGCCATCAATTACACAGTGTGTTAATAATCCCTTTACTTGTCTATATCTCTACCAAGACCATAATGTTGGTTGAGACCATGGTCATCTCAGTAACCACTGTACCCCAGATACCTCCCAGAGACTAGGCGCTCAATAAATATTTGTTGAATTAAATAATCCAATATAATATGTTTCTAGCACATTGGAAAAAAGGATACTTATTGTCTGAGGATCTATTTTCTGCCATAACTTATCCCAGGGATCTTGCAACATAATTTTGTTAATCCTCAATACTACACTGTGTGATGATAATATTCACCACGTATTGAACACCTGCAGAGTGCTGGGTTCTGTACTATGTACTTTTAAAGAATGTCAGACAACAGCCTTCATTTGTCCCTTTTTTCAAAAGGCAAAATTAAGGTGCAGAAGGGTCCCTTAACAAGTATTTATACAAAGCTAACGAAAATTACAAAGTTGTGGCTGGCATGGTGCCTCATGCCTGTAATCTCAGTGCTTTGGGAGATTGAGGCAGGAGGATTGCTTGAGCCTGGAGCTTGAGGTGACAGTGAGCTATGATGGTGCCACTGCACTCCAGCCTGGGCAATAGAGTGAGACCCTGTCTCAAACAATAATAAAAATAAAGTTACAAAGCTGAATTATCTATTTTCATACCCCTCCCTGTGTCTCAAAATTAATGATGTCACAGCCCCACTCTTATCTCGTCTCTGCCTCCCACCCTGACTTTAAAACTGCCGTGAGTCCTTTTCCTAGTCTTATGCTTAGAAACCACCCTTCTGACAGAATCCTAGCCTTAGAGGCAAATTGACCTGGAAGGAACTTGGGAGACAAATTAAACCAACCCTCTCCTAACAGAGGTGAGACCACTGAAGCCCAGAAGAGTAATTTTCCCAAAGCCTCTGAGTTCCTTCTTAGCTGGTCAAATAAGGTTTTCCTACTTGCTGTTATTTCTTAGGGTATGATATTATTTGGCTCTGTCCCCACCCAGATCTCATCTTGAATTGTAGCTCTCAAAATTCCCATATGTTGTGGGGGGACCCAGTGGGAGATAACTGAATCATGAGGGCAGTTTCCCCCATACTGTTCTCATAGTAGTAAGTCTCACAAGATCTGATAGGTTTATAAGGGATTTCCCCTTTCAGTTGGTTCTCATTCTCTCTTGTCTGCCAACATGTAAGACGTGCCTTTACCCTTCTGCCATGATTGTGAGGCCTCCCCAGCCACATGGAACTGTGAGTCCATTAAACCTCTTTTTCTTTATAAATTACCCAGTCTCAGGTATGTCTTTATCAGCAGTGTGAAAACAGACTAATACAGTAAATTGGTACTGGGAGAGTGGGACGCTGCTCTAAAGATACCCCAAAATGTGGAAGTGACTTTGGAACTGGGTAACAGACAAAGGTTGGAGCAGTTTGGAAGTCTCAGAAAAAGACAGGAAAATGGAACTTCCTAGAGACTTGTTGAATGGCTTTAACAAAAATGTTGATAATGATATAAACAATGAAATCCAGGCTGAGGCAGTCTCAGAAAGAGATGAGGAACCTGTTAGGAATCGGAGTAAAGATGGTTCCTGCTGTGTTTTAGCAAAGAGGCTAGCAGCATTTTGCCCCTGCCTTAGAGATTTGTGGAACTTTGAACTTAAGGGAGATGATTTAGAGTATCTGGTGGAAGAAATTTCTAAGCAGCAAAGCATTCAAGAGGTGACTTGGGCTTTTTTAAAAGCATTCAAGTTCAAAAGGGAAACAGAACATAAATGCCCAGAAAATGTGCAGCCTGAGGATGCGATAGAAAAGAAAAACCCATTTTCTGAGGAGAAATTCAAGCTGGCTGCAGACTAGGTTAGTTAGGTATGCATAACTAATGAGGAGCCAAATGTTAATCACCAAGACAATGAGGAAAATGTCTCCAGGGCATGTCAGGGACCTTTAAGACAGCCCATCCCATCACTGGCCCAGAGGCCTAGGAGGAAAAAATGGTTTCATGGGCAGGGCCTACAGCCCCCCTGCTGTGTGCAGCCTAGGGACTTGGTGCCCTGAGTCCCAGCCACTCTGGCCATGGCTAAAAGGGGCCAAGGTACAGCTCGGGTCATGGCTTCAGAGGGTGCAATCCCCAAGCCTTGGCAGCTTCCACATGGTGTTGAGCCTGCAGGTGCACAGAAGTCAAGTATTGAGGTTTGGGAACCTCTGCCTAGATTTTGGGGATGGATGGAAATGCCCAGATGTCCAGGAAGAAGTTTGCTCCAGGAATGGGGCCGTTATGGAGAACCTCTGCTACGGCAGTGCAGAAGGGAAATATGGGGTTGAAGTCCCCACACACTGTCCCCACTAGGGCACTGCCTAGTGGAGCTGTGAGAAGAGGGCCACCATCCTCCAGGCCCCAGAAAAGTTGATCCACCAACAGCTTGCACCGTATGCCTGGAAAAGCTGCAGACACTCAACATCAGCCCATTAAAGCAGCTTGGAGGGAGGCTGTACCCTGCAAAGCCACAGGGGCAGAGCCACAAGGGTGGGTTCCAAGACCATGGGAACCCACCTCTTGCATCAGTGTGACCTGGATATGAGACACAGAGTCAAAGGAGATCATTTTGGAGCTTTAAGATTGGGCTGCCTCACTGGATTTCAGATTCACATGGGGCCTGTAACTCCTTTGTTTTGGCCAATTTCTCCAATTTTGAATGGCTGTATTTACCCAATGCCTGTACCCCCATTGTATCTAGGAAGTAACTAACTTGCTTTCGATTTTACAGGCTCATAGGTGGAAGAGACTTATCTTGTCTCAGATGAGACTTTGGACTGTGGACTTTTGAGTTAATGCTGAAATGAGTTAAGGCTTTGGGGGACTGTTGGGAAGGCATGATTCATTTTGAAATGTGAGGACATGAGATTTGAGAGGGGCCAGGGCCAGAATGGTATGGTTTCGCTCTGTCCCCACCCAAATATCATCTGAAGTGCAGCTCCTAGCTCCCATAATTCCCACATGTTGTGGGAGGGACCCAGTGGGAGATAATTGAATCATGGGGGTGGTTTCCCCCATACTGTTCTCATGATAGTGAGTAAGTCTCTCAAGATCTGATGGTTTTATAAGGGGTTTCCCCTTTCACTTGGCTCTCATTCTCTCTTGCCTGCTGCCATGTAAGATGTGACTTTTGCCTTCTGCCATGATTGTGAGGCCTCCCCAGTCATGTGAAACTGTGAGTCCATCAAGCCTCTTTTTCTTTATAAATTACCCAGTGTCAGGTATGTCTTTATCAGCAGAGTGAAAATGGACTAATACAGGGTATGTTTAAAGTTTCAGTAACAATACCACTGGTTGCCAGTATTTTTAAAATACATGGTTTTCACATTTTATTTTCATGGGATCTACATAAGAAAGTTATTTAAAATGTGGATACTGAGTCCTTAGTTTGGTGGTAGGGCTCAGGAATGTGTATCTTATAACTAGTGCCTCTGGTGATTCTGACTCAGGTGCCACAGGGACCCCAATTTGGGAAACTGCTTTAACCACTCCTCGAGTGTGGTTCTTATCACATTCTTTTAAAATGGGTGAGCCGCTGCTTCCTACCAGATTGTGTCTCTCCTGAAGGCAGGTGTTAGGTCTCACTGCTCCACCCCCTATTTGATGAGACCTGGGCAAACCTTCTGAATCAGTCCCAGGTAGGTCCAGGGTCAGGAGTCCTGATACTAGGTAGAAAAAAAAAGAGACTGTCTTAAAGCTCAGTATAGATCTGGTCTAGAAACATAGCCATGATCAAGTTTCAGAGACCTAAATGAAGCTGGAGGAGGAAGATGAAGCCATAGGTGAGAGGCAGAAGCTTCTGAGAATGTGTGAGGAAGGTAGGCTTAGGTACCAGGGGTCAAAGTGGGACAGCAAATGAAATAAGAGTGACTAAGACTGTCGCCTATGAAAGCCATGTTGTGTGTGTGAGGGAGAGAGGAAAGGTGTCTGCATGCATTCATCTGTGCCTCCCTAGTGCTTATTGCAGGACTGGGCCACACAGGGTTGCTGCCTTGTGTTCTGATTCCTCAGGACAGGTGGCCAAAAGCTCTGCCTTCAATCTATTATGTTTCATTCCTTCTTTTTTAATGATAAAAGGAGGACTTACTAACCAAAGAAAACAGAGCAGCAAGGAGAACCCACAGATAACCCAACGTCAAAGCCACAGGGAGAAAAAAATGGACAGATGACCTACTGGAAAGAGGCTCTGTTGCTTTTCCCCTAAAAAGTGAAAGAATGGCAACTGCCTGGAGCATTGTTCTGGCAGACTTCAGCGAGGGGCTTTGTTCAGTCTCAGGGGATGTTTCAGGAGGAGCTCCTCGAGCAGTCTCCCTTGAGCACAACAGAGAGAAGTTTGCTCCCCACAGTGCCACTTTGCTGGTGTCCATCACCACACTCCATGTGGCAAGCTGTAGTGGAGGCTGTGGAGGGTGCAGCGAGGACTTCAAAGGAAAAGCCGACTATAAATAATCTGGTGACAGAAGGCTAGTGCTGTCTGTCCCTTCCCTTCCCTCATCACGTCAGCAGACAGCGGGGGGAGGCCAGAGACTTCAGAGTGGCTCCGTGGCTCTTCTGCCTGGCTCTCCTACTTGAGAGATAACAGCACAACACTAGGGAAACTCAGCTGCTTATGGTCACTGTCCTGGTACCAACTGTTCTTTGTGGGAACCCTCCTTATCCATGCCTGTGTTCATCACATACCTAAGATGCTCGCACAACAGGGGCTGACGCAGCAGGGTTTAGGACACAGCCGGGTGCTCATGATGGCTCTGAGAGAGGTGGGAGGAGGCAGCATAAGGAAGTGCAGACTTCCTGGCCCACAGGTGTGTCAGTGCACTCAGGTTGGCTGTGAACACCTGGAGGGCTGGGAGCCAAAGTACCGTCAAATTCCAGAATCTACATGATCAGCACTAGGTGATCAATTAATGTTGGCTGAAAACAGAAATGGTTGATGATGAAATAGCAGGATATAAAATGCATTCTGAAGCTTAAACGCCACTTCAGAATTGCCAAAGTCACAAGAGCTATGCCCGGCATGGTGTTAGTCTCTTTACTTGAATCATCTTATTAACTACCAAGACCTTGAGCTGAGGAAACCGAGGATTGACATAGTACTTTCCTGTAGCCTTGTCTATTGTTAAACAGTTAATCACTAACAGATAAAGGATCAGTGCTCAAGGAGCCCTTTGCAAAGCCCTCCACTCTGAAGTACTGTGCTATCCCATCCCAGTTACATCTCAGGTCTATGTGGTTTCATTCTTGAATAAATAAGTACAAGTTCAAATGTCACCCCATTTTACAATTATTTTCTCATGGGGCATCTGTTTGTATGAGAGTCAAAGTCGTTTCTCTGAAGTTTCCCTGCTGAAGAAAAAGGCATTCTGAAAAATTCTTATTGGAGTGATGTTTAAATTCATAGATTTGATTGAAAAGCTAGAGCAAAAAACCACCAAAATGCTTAGGAGGTGGCAGGGAAGGAGGGTAGTGATCAGTGCTCTAAAGCACAGCTGTCTGGGAACCTGCAACTTTTTGAAACAAGATTTAGGGACCTGTGGTGGGGAAGCAGACTTCAAGGCACGTTCCCACCTTATTAGACTGATAAATAGAATGCTACTCTTGCAGGGCAGGATATGTTCTTGTTACTTTTGTCAGTACAGCTCCTAAAGAGTAAGGTTATCCTTCTCTATCTTTCTTTACAGAAGTAAGAGAGGGGAAAGGAACAAAGATGATGTTTACTTCAAAATTCACATTAACAAAAATATCTCAATAGCAAAAGTCACCTCTTCTTCCATTCCACCCCCTCAGCACTTCTGTCTAGTTTTCACCAGTCTGATTTTAACTCATGGGAGACCAAGCTAAATCCAGCAGCAAGGTTTTCGTACACCAGCCGGAATGACTTCAGAGTTGCAGGCGAATGAAGCAAACTCCCCCAAATGCAGCCCTTGAAAAATCAGATAAACACTGTTCTTCATGTGCTGGGAAAGCTGATGAACAAAAATGAGAAGCCTTGAAACCTGATAAAATTACTTCCCTGAACCCCTGTGAGTCCTTCCCTCTGGGAAGAGAGGAGAAAGGAGGAGAAAATGTCTGACACGCACAGCAAATGGGTCATCTATTTGTGAGTTGTGTGTGAGATTTCCTGTGGGAGGGACACTAAGTGATAATAGGAACACCTGTCTCGGTAATGCCAACACAGAACTTGTCTATCAACACTTGCTTCATCTCCAGCTGAACTTGGTGTTGTTTTCTCTGTAGAGGCAGCTGGAGTTTAGTGAAGAGAGGTGGACCAGCTTCGAGGAGGCTGGACTTGGGTTAGAGTCTTAGCATATCTCTGTGACTTTGGTCTGATTATTTGAGACAATGAATTCTGGAGAGACAAGCAAGCCAACAGACTTCTGCTGAGATATTAGATGGCTTTACTATCTTCAACTTAGCCCACAGGAATCAGGGCAGCCCTGTCTCATGTCACCTCTTAAGCTGCATCTTACATCATGCTTCCTTCTCCTGGTTCTTTATGATTCAGGCACACTGGCCTTTTAGTACCTCAAACTCCGCTCATGTGACATAATGCCCTGCACATACTCTTTCCTCTATCTGAAGAATGGATACGCCACTGTCACCCCAACCCCACAACTCTGCGTGCTGAACTCTGACTCATCACCCACCTGGTGAAGCATTCATTCATCCCTGTGCCAGGCTAGTTATTGGCTCCCATGTACAGCATCTTGGAGCTTCATTTCCAGCATGCTCCAGAGCTGTAATTTCATATTTGCTTGTATATTGTACACGATCATAAGCTCCATGAAGTCAGGGATGTGTCTCTGTTTTGCTGAATCCCCAGTTTTGACACTTAGCAAACAGTAAATAGCTAATAGTCCAGTCACTGAGTAACATTTACTGAGCCTCAGTGTCCCCTTTTGTAAAATGTCAACATTAATACCTGTTTCACAGGATTATGTCACAATTAAATGTGTTAAAGTATACTGAAGTCTATAAAAGCACCTAACATGGTCCTGGTTTCCAGCCTCATTGCTCCAGTGAATGTGCTCCTGTTAAAATCACCAAAGACCTATGGATAAGACAAATCCAAAAGTTACTTCTTTGTTTCTGTGGTGGAGACAGTAGTGCTCACCACATCCAAAATCCCATTGTGTCCCTTACATTTCTTAGTTTCCTTGTAAACAGTCAGAATCATGTGACTAGTGCTGGTCAGTGAAATGTGTGCCAAGACATTGTGTCAGCATTGTCTCAGCAATATCTCAGCATCTCAAACTTAGCGTGTCCGGGAGTAAATATGTTACATTTTCTCCTATTCTCTTTTAGATGGAGGCAGTGATGTGCTCATGTGTGGTCTCCAGCCTCTTTTCTTCCATCCCAGTGGCTAGGATGGTTCAGGATCCATATGCTGTGGTTATAAGATGGGGAAGCCTCAGCCGTCCCAGGTCCTTGAGTAACAACATGGAGTATCAACCAGCAATGGCCGTATAATACAAGTAAGAAGTAAACCTTTGTTTTCTTAAGCCAAGGGGGTTTTGGAGTTAATTTGTCATTGTAGCATGTACCTAATGAATACAGACCTTATCATACTCCACTTCTGCATCATTTAGGATTCTTATCCAGAACAATCTCTTTGGAATAATTTACATCTCTGGCTTCTGGAAGTCCCCTCTCTCCTTATTCTCTTCCCTCTCAGACATTGTCTCAGTAGCCTTGAAGCTCTTCTCTTCATCTACCCATGTTCCTTCAAGAGATTGTTCCCTAGGGCTTTTTCCTTGGTTTCTATTTTCTATTGCTCTCCATACTTTCCATAAATTATTTTATAAAGGCCTGTATCTGCAACAATCAAATTTATCCCAACAGGCTCTAAATTTATATTGCCAGATCATTCCTTTCTTTTGAATAACAGGATCATATGTTTAATTACCCCTTGGACATCTGTGCCTGGGTGTTCCCATAAGCATCTCAAACTTAGCATGTCCAAGAGTAAATATATTACATTTTCTCCCAATCTCTTTTCTTCCTATAATCTACATTAACCTAAACACCACAGTATGTTTTTCAATACTCTGGGTGCAATTGCCATAAATACACCACAAACTAGTACAAACAAAAAGAAATATACCGGTTTATATAATAACTAGAGTGTTTAGGGGATGGAACTGGCTCTGAGGCTTCTGAGAATCCAAATGCTGTCTCTATATATGGACCTCTATATATGTCCGGTGCTCTCTTCTCCCTCTCTCTCTTTTCTATGTCTCAAACTCTTTTAGTCTTTTGTAATGGGGAAGTGAAAAAAGTGGGGGCAGAATACATGGCCGTAGACTTTTCTAGCTTAATATTATCCCAGCTTAATGACCTCAGGAAAAGAATAAAGCCACTTTCTACTGGTATCTGTATATAAAATATCAGGGAAGAGCCTGATCGCTCCTTGGCAAATCACTGTATGCAGGGGATTAGTGAACTAAGATGGTTATAAATGCATCACAAGCCCTATTCTAGAGCCAGAAAGCCTTGTACGGTTATTGATAGAGGCTACACAAGGGCCACATGGAGTGGAGAGTTATTCCAGTGGAAGGGGCACTATTTGTAGAGGGATGACAGAATATTGAGTGGACTTCTGTTTTATCTATTCTCCAGCTTAGCTTGTACTTCTCCTTACTCACAAACTCTACATTCCAGCCATGGAAAACCCATCAGTTTTCCCAACACACCAACTTGATATATGACTCTACTTCCTTGGACACTCATTTATCTTTTCTTGAAATGCTGAGATATCCCAAAAATGATTTGGAAAACTCCTACTCATCCTCAAGAGTTCCCTTGGGAAGCCTGTCCTGATTCTTGAAAGGAGACATGATCATTGCCATCTAGGGCCCCAAGTGCTTTTTTGTTTTTTTGTATGCATCTACTACAACACTTATACCATATGAGAACATTCCTTCATACAGCAATCCTTAGTACAGTATTTGGGCACTTTGAGGGTGAAGTGGATCATAATCATGTTTGCAATTTCCATACCTACATGGCATTCTTGCTTGAATGGCACAATAAATATTTGTCAAATCTGAACCTAACTGTGCAATAACTCACCTCTTTGAGTGCACTCATTCATCTATTCATTTGGGAAATTATTGTTTTGTTCTTCCTGTGTGCTAGGCATAATTCAAAGTGATGTACATACATAGACAGCAAGACTGATGAGATGCAGGCCCTCAAGCAGCTTCTATTTTAGTAGTGGGAAACAGACAATAAATTCCTAAATCAACAAATAAAAATATTTTTTCAGACAATGAGGGAGATATGAAGAAAATACAATAGAGTAATGGGGCAGAGCTTGTAAAGGCTGAGGAATACTTTAGTCATGGAATCTGAGTGATAGTGCCTACTGATAATTAGGCAGCCCTGCATAGGTCTGGGGCAGAGAATATATATCAGGAGCAAAAGGTTTGATGAGTGTGCTTGGGGAACAGAAACAGGCCAGAGTGAATGCAACATGGTGAGCCAGGGAGAGGCTGGTGGAAGATGAGGCATGACAGGTAGGCACAGTCAAATTATGTAGAACTTTGAAGAACATTGGATCTTGCTCCACTTGTCAAAGTAAAGTGAAGAGTGAGCAATGACATGATCTGCTAAATATCACTGTAGCTGTTGTGTGGAGAATGAACTGGTGTATACTGGATGAATGTGAGTTTAAAAGGCATGACTGAAAGCCAGGTTCCTAAGAAGCGGGGCAGTGTGTGGGTTCAAGGGAAGATGATGGTAGATTAGAATAGGGGCATGGCAGACAATGTTGTAAGACTAGGCCAGATTTAGAGTGTGGAAAAAATATACATATATGTGTGATATGGGTTGGCTGAGTCCCCATCCAAATCTCATCTTGAATTGTAGTTCCCATAATTCCCACATGTCATGGGAGGGACACAGTGGAAGGTAATGAAATCATGCGGGCAAGTCTTTCCCATGCTGTTCTCATGACAGAGAATAAGTGTCACAAGATGGTTTTATAAATGGGGTTCCTCTACACACACTCTCTTTGCCTGCCACCCTGTAAGACATGACTTTGCTCCTCTTTGCCTTCCACCATGATTTTGAGGCCTCCCCAGCCACGCGCAACTGTGAGTCAATTAAACCTCTTCCTTTATAAATTACCCAGTCTCAGGTATATCTTTATTAGCAGCATGAGAACAGACTAATACAATGTGCTTCTCCCAGTTTCCCATCTAAGCAGACCCATGATCACTCCTTTCTCCCTATATGAACAAGCAGTAGAGGGCTTTCTTCATTCATCATTCACTCACTCAATAGATATTTATTGAGTATACCCCAAATTCAATTCTTCAGGCTAAGAGCCAGAGAAGGTAGTGTTTAGTAAGATCAACACAGCCTCTGCCATTCTATAGCTTGCAATTTTGGGGGGAGGGCGGGCATTAAACAAGTAAATATTTAGATAAATTAAGCAAATATCACTGTGATAAGTGATTTAAAGGAGAATTAGAAGACTTAAAAGAGGACAAAAAGTGATGTCAAAATATGACCTGAAGGATGAGAAGGAAGTATGTCAGTAAAGAAGAGAAATAAGAGTAGTCAAGGTGGAGGAAATCGAACTTGCAGAAGCTCAAAGGGGGGAAGGAGAATGTACTTGGAAGAAATGAGAAATGACTTGTACTGAGTCCTCCATCATGAGGCTGTCTGGGTAGAAAAAGATGAGGAAAATAGAGGCCAGATTGATTGGGCCTTGTAGGTACTGATAAGGAGACAGGGAGTATTTTTTAAATTCAGATTTTTAAATTTGTTATTATTTTTTACTTGACATATATAAATTATATATATTTACAGTATATAATATGATGTTTTGAAATAGGTGTATATTGTAGAATGACTAAAGCAAGCTAATTAATATATTTGCCTCATATACATCTCATTTTTTTGTGTGGAGAACACCCAAAATACTCTTTTAGTAATTTTCAAGAGTAAAATACATTACTCTTAACTTTAATTATCATGTTGTACAATATATCTCTTAAGCTTATTCCTCCTGTCTCTTAAACTGATTCCTCCTGGATAACTGAGATTTTATCTCCTTTGATCAATATCTCTCCAGTCCTTTCCTCCAACCTCAGCTCTAATAACCACTATTCTACTTTCTACTTCTAGGAGTCTGAATTTTTAGATTATACATATAAGTGAGATCATGTCATATTTAATTTTCTGTGCATGGTTCATTTCACTTAACATAATGTCTTTTGGATTCATCCATGTTGCCACAAATGTTAGGATTTTCTTCATTTTTAGAGGCTGAATAGTTTTACTTTGTGTATATGTATCACATTTTCTTTCTTTATTCATTCATTGATGAACAACTTAGGTTGTTTCAATATCTTGGGTGTTGTAAATAATGTTGCAATGGACATGGAGTGCAGATATCTCTTTGACATACTGATTTCATTTCCTTTGGAGATATACCCAGTAGTGGGGTTGCTGGGTCATATGGTAGTTCTAATTTTATTTTTTTAAGGAAGTTCCATACTGTTTTCCATAGTAACTGTACCAATTTATGTTCCTGCCAATAATGTACAAAAGTTCCTTTTTTTCCACATTCTTGCTGACACTTTCCTCTTTTTTCTTATAGCCACTATAACAGGTGTGAGGTGGTACTTCATTGTAGTTTTAATTTGCATTCCCTAATGATAGTGATGTCGAGTGTGTTTTCTCATATTCCTGTTGGCCATCTGTATGTCCTCTTTTGAGAAATGTCTATTCCAGTCCTTTGCCCATTTTTAATTGGGTTATTTCTTTTCTTGCTATTGATTTGTTAGAATTTCTGAGATGGAATCTTGAGTTGTACAACGGCAAGCCATCAAGGCATTTTAATGTAGCACTGAAGAAAGGTTTTTTTTTTTTGTTTTTTGTTTTTTTTTGTTTTTTTTAGCATGTGTGCTGGCAGAGTGTCATGGAAGACCTGAGAAGACTTCTTACGCATTACTGTATCCCCATCTGCACATGCAGATGGAGAAATTCAGCATGCAGTGAAACATTCATTTTTATTGCCCTCAAGTCTCCCAGGGAGAAAGGGGTTTGGAACACAAACGGAGCCTATGGAGGGAAGAGTAAGATCTGGTGTGTTACAGCAAAGCACAGGCTCTGGGGTCATACAAACTTCCATATAAATCCTGCTTCATCATTTATTGAATGCAAAGTTAGGCAAGTACTCAATTTGCTTGAACCCTGTTTTCCATCTCAGCATCATAGGGATGACAAATCTATCGGTTAGGAAGCTTTGAGCTGCAGGTCACACACACAAACAACACCCTGATTTACCTGAATTGATACAGAAAATTTATTATCTCACACTGCAGGAAGTTTTGAGGTAAGAAAAGTAGGGTTGGTGAATTAGCAACTCAACATCATCATGCCCTTGGGGTTTTCTCCCCTCTATTTTCTCTCTATCCACTTTAGTGCTTGTCAGACTCCCCTTACTGTCATAAGAGGTAGTAGTCATTCCAGGCATCACATACAGGCATAACAATGACCAGTGGAGGAAGAGGATGTTTTCTTCCTGTGGACTCTAAGTCAATGAGGAAGCAACCCTTTTCAGAGTTCCTGTGCAGTCTGCTTTTCATATCTTATCAGCTAGAATTGTGCTATATGGCCGTGCCCATCACTGGTAAGAGTGGCTGCATCATTATAACTGGCTTAGTTTCATGATGATTCACCCATAAGGCTGCAGTTTGAGCCCGCTTCACTTGCAGCATAAAACCACAAAAGTAAAGTGGACAGTTCAACTAAAATTGTTAAAAATGGAGAGGAGGACAATGACTCGTTGAGAAGGCAATCCATCAATATCTAATAAGTTAGTGTCTATCTTCCAGAGTTGTAGTCAGTATTTGTGATAATGTCTCTAATAAATGGTGACTTTTATTACTATTTCTTTTTGTTTGTTTCTGATGCACGGTTTCACCCTGTCACCCAGGCTGGAGGGCAGTGGTACAATCGTGGCTCACAGCAACCTCAACCTCCTGGGCTCAAGTGATCCTCTCGTCCTAGCCTCCCAAGTAGCTGGGACTACAGGTGTGTGCCACTGCATCCAGCTAAGTTTTTGTTTTTTGTTTTTTTTTTTCTGGTGGAGACAAAGTTTTGCCATGTTGCCCACACTGGTCTTAAACTCCTGAGCTCAAGGGATGTGCCCACTTTGGTCTCTAAATTGCCGCTGGGATTACAGGTGTGAGCCACTGCACCTTGCCTATTGTTATGATTTCTAACAAGTTCTTTGCAAGCCCTTTAAATCTATCTGTGCAATTACAAGTCTGTCTTGGTAATCATTAAAATAAATCCTCAAGGATCTCTATTGACTAGCCTAATAGGAGACGCTATTTGTAATTAAACATGATGGAGTGGAACTAATATTTTTTAAAATATGTGCAGTTAAGACTTTGCCCAAATCTAGTCCACAATCTTCCACTTCCTCGAGGTTAGTCTGATTTTACTCATCTTTTCATATACAGTTGCTGTTAAGGATATGAGCACTAGAGTTAGATAATTCTTATTTTAAGTCTTGCCTCTCTCATGTACTATTAATGTTAGTTACACTTTTTAAATCCTCAGTTTTTTTCATGTTTAATGCAGGGATATTATCATATTATGAAGAATGGGAAAGATTAATAACACATGTAAAAATTTGTGGAACATAGTGTATGCTCAACAATATTAGCTCTTTTTGTTATTATCTAGCTTGTATAGTGGGCAAGAAGATAAAATGAGATAATTCATTAATAGCAATGGCACATAGTGAATTATTAATATATAGCATCTATTATGTCTTCCATAAGCCAGAACAGTAACTGCCTTTATTAGTACTATGGAGTTTTTTTCTACATTTTGATTGGTGGAACCCTGCCACTCTAATCATGCTACACGTATTAATTTTTCAGACAAAACACATGGTTAGTGTTTCAAATTACTGACTACTCCCTTCAGGGCCTGTCACGTTACACTAAATGGTCTGGTGTGGTCATTCACCAAACTAATAATTAAATGCTGGAATTTTGCTAAAACAAGTTATAAGCAAAAGATACTAGTCTTCAGCCTATACCCAGAAATGGGTGTTTTGGAAACTATATACTTTATCCTTTTAAAGATTTGACTTGTCCTTAATCACCCCTAGCTGCCTGTATTTATTGAATTCCTCAACCCTGTAAGCTCTCATGTTCACTGCACAAAGAGTAGTTTCCCTGCATTTCATTATTTAAAAAAGAAAAAAAAAATATCTTTCACAAGGGGTTTCAATGGATCCTGACCTAATTAATGTCATTCTGACGTAAACTGCTTTAAATTACTAAGTAGAGAGAGCCTTTGTGGTGAAGAATAACACACTAGTTGTGCCAAGAGGGAAATAAGAGTTTAAGAATGGGCTTTTAAAGTGGAATTAAAGGAAGATGGGATGGGGTGTTGCTGGAAGAACTAAGGTCAATAATGGCTCTCCAGTTTCAAGTCAGGAGAGAAGCTGGCACAGTCAGATTTAGAAACTGAAGTTTCAGTCTCTCTTCCTCTAGTTTAGTACCCTCAGACTCCCCACTCAGCCATACTAACCAGTGATGTCCCAGGAAGCAGCTGCCAATCATTGCAACCTCATTACCAGGAGCCTCCTGAGAACCCTTGCCTAAAAGGCTTCATCCAATGACATACTCAGAATGAGAGTAATAGATGATTGTCAATCTCTTCTAAGTGGTTATAAGGACCAATCCACAAAATAAAAATGCAAACTATGGAATGGGTGAAAGTATTTGCAAATATTCTCTATCTAATAAGGGGTTAATATCCAAAATATACAAAGAACTTACATAAGTTAATAGCAAAAAGAAACAAAACACACCAAAAGCCAAATCACATGATCGAAAAATGGGCAAAGGGCTTGAATAGACATTTTTCCAAAGATATACAAATGGTGAATAGGCATATGAAAAAACGCTCAGTATTACTATCACTAATCATTGAGAAAATGCAAATCAAAATCACAATTAGATATCACCTCACACCTGTTATGATGGCCATTATGAAAAAAGAGATAAGTACTAGCAAGAGTGTGGGGAAAGGGGAACTCTCCTGCCTTGTCCCACCAACCCTACTCATGGAAGTGTAAAATAGTACAGCCATTATGAAAAGCAGAATGGAGGTTCCTTAAAAAATTAAAAATAGAACTCTGTACAATTCAACAATTCCACTTCTGGTACATACCTAAAGGAAAAATCAATATCTCAAAGGGATATCTGCACTCCTATGTTCAATGAAGCATTATTCACAATAGCAAAGATATGGAAACGATTTCAGTGTGCATAGATGAATGAGTGGATAAAGAAATGGTGGTACACATATACAATGGAATATTATTCATCCATAAGGAGAAAATCCTGCCATTTGTGACAACATGGATAAACCTGGAGGACAGTAGGCTAAGTGAAATAAACTAAACCCAGAAAGACAAATACTGCATGATCTCACTTATATGTAAAATGTAAAAAAGTCAAAATAATGCAAGTAGAGAGTAGGATGGTGGTTTCCAGGGGCTGGGAGTGGGGGAAATTGGGTGATGCTGGCCAAAGGGAACAAAATTTCAGTTATAAAATTAAAAGTTTTGGGAATTGATATGGATTGGCTCTATGTCCCCACCCAAATCTTATCTCAAACTGTAATCCCCATGTGTGGAGGAAGGGACCTTGTGGGAGGTGACTGGATCATGGGGGCAGTTTCCACCATGCTGTTCTCATGATAGTGAGTGGTTTCTTATGAGATCTGATGGTTTTAAAAGTGTTTAGTAGTTCCTCCTTCACACTCCCTCTCTGTCCTGATGCCTTGCAAAGAAGGTCCTGCTTCCCCTTCCCCTTTCTCCATGATTATAAGTTTCCCGAGGCCTCCCCCGTGATATGGAGCTGTAAGTCCATTAAATCTCTTTCCTTTATAAATTACCCAGTCTCAGGGAAGTTTTTTATAGTAGAGCAAAAACGAACTAATACAGGAAATTGGTACTGTAGAGAGTTGGGTGCTGCCATAAAGATAACCTAAAAATGTAGAAGCAGCTTTGAAACTGGGTAACAGGCAGAGGTTGGAACAGTTTGGAGGGCTCAGAAGAAGATAGAAAGATGTGGGAAAGTTTGGAACTTCTTAGAGACTTGTTGAATGGTTTTGACTAAAATGCTGATAATGATATGGACAATGAAGTCCAGGCTGAGGTGGTCTTAGATGGAGATGAGGAACTTAATTGGGAATTGAAGCAAAGGTCACTCTTGCTATGCTTTAGCAAAGAAATTGGTGGCATTTTGCCCCTGCCCTAGAGATCTATGGAACTTTGAACTTGAGAGAGATGATCTGTGGAACTTATGTTTAAAATGGAAGCAAAGCATAAAAGTTTGGAAAATTTGCAGCCTGATCATGTTGTAGAAAAGGACAACTCACTTCCTTGGGAGGAATTCCAGCTGCAGGAGGTTGCACAAGTAATGAGAGCCAAATGTTAATAGCCAAGACAATGGGGAAAATGTCTCCAGGGCATGTCAGAGATCTTTGTAGCAGTCCCTCCCATCACAGGCCCCAAAGCCTACTAGAAAAAGATAGTTTCATGGGCCAGGCACAGGGCCCCACTGCTCTGTGCAGCCTCGGTACTTGGTGTCCCCCTGCATCCTAGTTGCTCCAGCTCCAGCCATGGCTAATAGGGGCCAAGGTACAGCTCAGGCCATTGCTTCAGAGGGTGCAAGCCCCAAGTCTTGGTGGCTTCCATGTGGTGGTAGGTCTGCAGGTGTGCAGAAGACAAGAGTTGAGCTTTGGAAACCTCCGTCTAGATTTCAGAGAATGGATTGAAATGTCTGGAAGTCCAGGCAGGAGTGTGCTGCAGGGATGGAGCCCTCATGGAGAACCTCTGCTAGGGCAGTGCAGAAGAGAAATGTGGGGTTGAAGCTCCACACAGAGTCCCCACTATGGCACTGCCTAGTGGAGCTGTGACAAGAGGGCCACCATCTTCCAGACCCCAGAAAGGTAGATTCATTGACAGTTTGCACTGTGTGCCTGGAAAAGCCACAGGCACTCAACACCAGCTCATGACAGCAGCTGTGGGGGCTGTACCCTGTAAAGCCACAGGGACTGAGCTACCCAAGGCCTTGAGAGCTCACCCTTTGTATCAGCATGCAATGGATGTGAGGAGCTTATTTTGGTTAGGAGATTATTTCAGAGCTTTAAGATTTAATGACTGCAAGTTGGACTGGCATGGAATCTGTAGCCCCTTTGTTTTGGCCAATTTCCTCCATTTGGAATGGGAGCATTTACCCAATGCCTGTACCCCCATTGTATCTTGGAAGTAACTAACTTGCTTTTGATTTTACAAACCCATAGGTGGAAGGGACTTCTCTTGTCTTAGTCAAGACTTTGAACTGTGGACTTTTGAGTTAATGCTGGAATGAGTTAAGACTTTGGAGGAATGTTGGGAAGACCTGATTGGTTTTAAAATGTGAAACAGGCATGAGATTTGGGAGGGGCTAGGGGTGGAATGATATGGATTGAATCTGTGTACCCACCCAAATTGCATTTCGAACTGTAATCCCCACATGTCCAGGGAGGGACCTGGTGGGAGGTGATTGGATCATGGGGGTGGTTTCTGCCCTGCTGTTCTTATGATAGTGAGTTCTTATGAGATCTGATGCTTTTTTTAAATGTTTGGCAGTTTCTTCTTCACTATCTTTTTCTACCACCTTGTGAATAAGGTGCCTGCTTCCCCTTCTCCTTCCACCATGATTGTAAGTTTCCTGAGGCCTCTCCAGCCATGCCAAACTATGAGTCAATTAAACTTTTTTCTTTTATAAATTACCCAGTCTTAGGAAGTTATTTACAGAAGTGTGAAAACGGACTAGTACAGGCATCTAATTATGTATAGCATGGGTGGGGATGAGTGCATTAATTAATTTAATTGTGGTAACCATTACACAATGAATATGTATATCAATCATCACATTATGAACCTCAAATATATTCAATCTTTGTCAATAAATACTTTAAAATAAAAAAAGAAAAGAAAAATAAAAACATAATCCTGACAAAGGACCAACACTAAAAAAAAATCTGTATAAGGGGATGATGCTGACTTTGTAATCCTAAACAAAACAGTATTCATTCCCTGGTACTGAATACATGATTGGGATTTTTGAGCAACAGGAAGGGATGGAACTAGTCTTAGCTAAAGAACCAGCAGCATTTGCTAAAAGTCCTCTCAAGCAGAAACTTTATTTTTCCAACTTCCATATATTCTGGGATAGGTAGGTGATATGCCTTGGCTCTGTGTCCCCACCCAAATCTTACTGTGAATTTTAATAATCTCCACATGTCAAGGGCAGGACCAGGTGGAGATAACTGAATCATGGAGACAGTTTCCCCCATGCTGTTCTTGTGATAGTGAGTGAGTTCTCATGAGATCTGATGGTTTTATAAGGGGCTTCCCCCTTCACTTGGCACTAATTCTCTCTTCTGCTGCACTGTGAAGACGTGCCTTCTGCCAGGATAGTAAGTTTCCTGAGGCCTCACAGATACGCAGAACTGTGAGTCAATTAAATCTCTTTTCTTTGTAAATTACCCAGTCTTGGGTATTTCTTCATAGCAGCATGAGAACAAACTAATACAGCTAATACCAGAGGTAGGGTCAATAACCTCCTGGCTCCTCATTCCTATTTTTATAGTTACTTCTATTATCTCTTGAAAACCCTCTATTTATTTGAGGTTCCCTCCATGTGGATATACTCTCTTTGTTGCTATCATTTATCTAGTCATTTGTAATATATTGTAAAAAAAATTAGCTCTTGGCTCATGCTTCTCCTCCTCATCTGATTTTTTGCATCATTCTTACTGATATTAACACCCCTATGTTCCATCCAATGCCCCAGCCTTTCTGTTTTTCAGCTCTGAAGACCTCTACCACTACACTTGCAACACTCTTCCTGAATTTCCCATCCAATATTATGCTCTGGGTTTGCCGTTACCAGGAAGACAACTCCTTCCAATGACTAAGTATCTCATGTTTGATCATCACTTCCTATGCTTTTAGCCCACCTTCTCAAGTTCCATAGGAACAATAATTCTTCAGTCTCTTCCTGTCATACAAGCCACTAATCTCACCTCTGAAGAGGCATACTTCCTCCTAAATGGCTAATCCCTCCCTTTGTTCTCTGATGCCTATCTTTTCTTGTCTCCTCAACTGTTTTCCTTTGCCCATCTCTCTTTCTCATACCTTTTCCATCTTTATCTCTTTACTGGCTCATTCCCATCATTTCCTAGGAGTAGATTCTCTCATGACTCTGGTCTCAGCTTATGTAACCCATTTGGAAAAGCCCTGCCTGGTCCTCTTATTTAAATAGCCCTTCCTCTACCGTCACTCTTGCTCCCTCCTATGATTTTGTTTTGCTTTCTTTATAGTACTTACTACTCTAATGAATTATCCTTCAGTTAATTAATTCACTGTTTGCTGCTTATTGTCTTACTCACACAATAGACTATAAATCCCATGAGAAAAGTGATATTGCTTGTCTAATTCAAAGCTCCATCCCCAAAGTGCGGAACGGTGCTGAAACTTCATGGTGCTCTATAAATATCTAATGATTAAATAAATGAATGGCATCTTCCATTCCCTCAAATAAAACACTCTTCTCTTAAATTCTCATACTTCTGTCACACTCATGCCATTTCTCTATTTCCCTTCAGGGTCAATATTCCAGATGTACCACGCAAAGCCTCTGTTTCTATTTCTTTGTTTTCTCAACCTATACTTGACTGGCTTTCCCCTCCAATTTACCATCTCCGTGGTCAGTGGCAACAATTACCTCTTGCTGCCAAACTCAATGGCCACATTCCAGTTATTTTCCTTTTACACCTGGACTGTCCTATAAGAAACAGTGTTTCAATAAGAAAATCAGATCTGCATTGGACAGTGCAGATGGAAACCATTTCCATCAGCACACAGAGTTCTATTGTACATCCTGCTCCAGATCCCTCAGCAGCATTTAGTATTCTTGTAGTTTGACTCCTTCCTCACTACACTTTTCCTTCTTTTTCTCCTTTGAAGAGTTTTTCTCTTTCAATCTATCTTTAAATATTATAACACCTCATGGCTAAGTCATAGGCTATCTTACCTATCTCTCCAAATTCTCTTTAGGTAAATGCATTTATTCCTATTATTTTAAATGTCTTCTATAAGCCATTAACTCAGGAATTTATATCTCCCACCTTCTCTTTTGAGTTCCAGATTCATATAACCAATGGTCTACTTGATATCTCAAATCTTACATATCTAAAAGCAAGTTCTTGATTTTCTCCCCAAGTATGTTTCTCTCTTCAGTCTTCATTGTCTCAATAATGGCACTACCATATACCCATGGCACATGCCAGAAACCTGCAACTGCCTGATTCCTCCTTAGACTCCAGGCCAGACCCTGTAAGTCTTGGCTCCTCCTCCTTCACATCTACTTATATACTCTATACTATATAGAGAGTCCACTATACACACACACACACATATATATATACACACACACACACACACACACACATATATATACATACACACACACACACACACATGTAAATATATTCCCCTACTATATATGCCAGTCACACACACACACACACACACACACACACACACACACACTTATTATCCCCTCTCTAGCATGAGCCATCATCTTGGCTTTCCTGGCTAAGACAGGCTCACCTTACTCTTCCATCAAATACTATCATCATGGAACAGCCAGCATAACCAATTTCAAAAGAAAATCATATCCTGTTTTCTGCTTGTTCCTCACTGAATCTAGAATGGAATCCAAATTTATTTACATAACCTCCATTCCCTTTAAGACCCACACCTGCCTGTATCTGCAACTTATCTCATGACCTTCTTTCCCAGAAACTCCTTTCCAGCTGAACAAAACATCTTTCTGTCCCTCAAACACACCAAGTTTTTTTACTGTCATGGAGCCTCCACACACTGTCCACACACTGTCTCCACACATCCTCCCTGCATTCTGTCCCTGGCTCCTTTTTCCAGACCCCTCTTCCTCAGCACAATTCTCAGACCACCTGTTTTCCCTAGCTTCTCCTTTGAGGTAATGTAACTAGAAACATAATAGATGACACACTGTATCCTATATTTCCTGTCTAAGGAGATACCCCAGTTTTTCTTTTTCAAATTAGTACATATTATAATAGTTACTTATTTACTTGTTAGGCATTGCCTGTTTCCTGTACTAGATAGTGGGTTCTGTGAGAGCAAGACTGCGTCTATTTTATTTACTAATTTATACCTAGGTTCTGCACATACTCAGGTTCTCGTTAATATTTGTCAAAGAATTAACAGTGGAAATAGAAGATGTTTTTTGATGGAAGACAAATCTGGGTTTGACTTCCTGCTCTAATCTTACCGGGGTGATCTTGGATTAAAACCTGAATAAGGTTTTTTCTTTGTTTTTTGACACCATTAAATGTACTTAAAAAAATAGAATTGGATACATGTTTTTAAAAAACCTCTCTGAGCCCTAGCTTTTCAATCTATACAGTGTATGCTGATAATACATAGCTTGCTAGACTGTTGTGCTTGGAGTGTAATATGCACTCAAATGTTTTTGCATTTCCTTCACCTTCTCTTAGATGCAAAAAAAAAAATATGAAGAGAAGGGACTGGGAAGACAAAATGGAAACGAGAAGTCAACAAAGGTCTCCCCTTTATTTTTTTATTTTTATTTTTATTTATTCATTTTTTGAGATGGAATTTCGCTCTTGTTGCCCAGGCTGGAGTGCAATAGTGCGATCTCAGCTCACTGCAACCTCTGCCTCCTGGGTTCAAGCAATTCTCCTTGCCTCAGCCTCCCAAGTAGCTGGGATTACAGGCATGCGCCATCATGCCCCGCTAATTTTTGTATTTTTAGTAGAGACAGGGTTTCTCCATGTTGGTCAGGCTGGTTTTGAACTAGCAATCGCAGGTGATCCGCCCACCTCAGCCTCCCGAAGTGCTGCGATTACAGGCATGAGCCACTGTGCCCGGCCAGGGTCTCCCCTTTAACTGACAAAAAGTCAACTTGGTCCTGGGTGTAATCAATGTATTCTGGGAGAGGAAAATCACTAATCACTAGGATGGACGCATTTCTCAGTGAGTCAAAGTCATGGAATCATTGACTGTACAGAGTTCAGTTCAGGAAAATAAAATAAGAAAAAAATTCATTCTACTTTGGTCAGATCTAGACCACAGTTGAGCCATTGTTTCTGTCTTTTACTATCAGGATTGACGCTGGATGATTGTCTTCATCTTAGAGAACCTGGGTTTCTCCATCTGTAACATGGGAATGATGGGATCTACTTCTAAGGTATCATTATGATTGAATGAGAATAACATTGTAGACTGCTCAGCACAGTGCCTAAAAAACACTTCCAGATATGCAGGAGATGTGAGTTTATTTTCCTGCCCTCTCACAACTGTAATGAATCTTTACAATATTCCACTGCAAGTTGGTGATAAATGCTCTGAAAAGTGATAACAGGCAAACCTAGAATCACAATTTAGAGTAATAATAATAATACTAAAAAATAAAAAATATTCCCTTCTGTTCTCCAACTCTTTTTACTGAAGTATAAATAAAGCCTTTTTCAATTGTTACTTAACTTTCAGCTTCACAAGTTCCTAGTTAATTTCTTTTGCTAACGCAGGTTGTGTGACCATGTACTTTGCTGAACTCAATGAATTTGCCACCACTGCAACTGCTGACGGAAATGACCGAATTTTTGCTTGCATGCTTCAAATTTAGCAAAAGATCATGACACTTAGATATTTCTTCAGGGAGTATTAATTGTAGGGTGAAAGTGACGGCATCCTATTTAGGTTGTCTGGAAAGTCAGAGAAAGATTAGAATTTATAGTTACTATGGTAGCTAATTATACGTTCAAGAATATGCTAGTTGCTGTTTTAAAAAAGGCTTTGATCATAGATGAGACCCTTGTTGGGGGATCAAAGAAAATAAGAAGGTAGAATTTGCCAACTTGAAAAATACCTGGCTACTAAGGCCAAATTTCTCTATGGATAGAAAGTCATCTCCAGTTGTTTTCTTCAGAGTATTAAGGTTTACAAGAAGTTCCTAATAGCGTTGGAATAATATTATAAAATGTTAACCCTTGTGTTTTCACCTTTACTCTCTATTTAACACATGGGTCTCCTTTATTCAAGGAGATGGGCATCATTCATCACATTTATGGCTTTGATCAAAGGTTTGGTCCAGATTATACCAGGACAAGACACTTCTGGCAGAAGATTCCATTAGGGAGAACTAGTTTTCCTACAAACACTCTCATCACTGTAGAAGTCTAGGTGAAGATCTGAGCTCAGGAGGTAAGTCGGGTGGAAGGAGAAGAGAGAGCTGGAGCTGGGTCTGGAGGGCTCTCCATTGTGCCTCTTCTCTGTGGATTGAGTCCTGGGATGGGTCAATGAGGGAAGGGACTTGTGTTTGCTTTCTCACTGGAGCCTGGGAAAATCAGCAAGGTCTGGCAAAACCTACCTAGGCCCCCAAGTCTTGTATGGCTCCAGAATCATGTGAAAAGCGTTTGAAAACTCCCCTGAGAGGGAAGCAAAGGGTAGAAGGAGCCTAGAAGGCCGTAAGGAGACAGTCAGATTGAGAATGGTGCAGTTTATGGCCAAAGAGTGGAGAATATTGCAAGGCTAAACAGATAACAATGACCAGTAATCAGATACTTACCTCCCCATCTCCTATTCCCCATCCTTTCCTGTTTTGAAAGCCTCTTACAATTTAGATCCACCCCAAAAAAGAAGTAAATTCTTATTTAAATGAGGTTAATCCTAAAACGCCTTTAAAAAATTATTGAATAAGACTATCTTTTCTGTCACATAGGGATTAAGTAGGATTCTAGAAGAATAAAGTACCTTGTTTTTTGCATACCTGAATGCATAGCTACTAAAAGTAAAGTTAAATTTCAGGTGGACCACTTATACCTATTCTGAAAAGGAAATAATTTCAAGTCCACAATCTGAAGTTCTAACTTTTGCCATATGTTTGAAAACATGGCGGATCCAGGAAGCCCATTCTCATTCTCATTCTCATTACCTATCCAGAGATATTTCCAAAAAGATGCACTCCTTCATGTCACATTCTATCTGATATATCTGCTGTGGGTACCCATAATTTATAGAATTATAAATTAGGGTGGGTGCAGTGGTTCACTCCTGTAATCCCAGCACATTGGGAGGCTGAGGTGGGCAAACCACCTGAGGTCAGGAGTTTGAGACCAGCCTGGTCAATGTACTGAAATCCCATCTCTACAAAAAATACAAAACTTAGCTGGGTGTGGTGGTGTGCACCTGTAGTCCCAGCTACTCGGGAGGCTAAGGCAGGAGAATCGCTTGAACCCAAGAGACAGAGGTTACAGTGAGCCAAGATCACACCATTGTACTCCAGCCTAGGCAACAGAGCGAGACTCCATCTCAAGGTTAAAAAAAAAAAAAAAAGAGACTTCTTAGTATGCCATCCAATGTTCTCAAAGATCAAACCCTGTCTTTCCTGTCCAATATCACATAAAATTCCTCAGGATAATCTAAATTAACTTCTACAAAGGAAGTGCCCCTTCTTGACGCTGTAGTGTAATTTCACTTTCCTATGTTTTTCCCATTTTTTATTCCTTTACTTTGCATTGTCCCCTGAGGGCAACTCTTTAATATTTAATAGGGTGGGCTTTGGAATCTAACAGATATGGATTCAAGGCTCCAATCTGTGGTTGTCTCACTGACTAGCTAAGCAACTCTAGACAAGTTTCCTCTGATATAAACTTAGGGTAGACTCTAATGTATGAGATGGTTTTGAATTATAAATCAGATTATGAGTAGAAAAAGTTAATGAATGATGCCTACCACCTAGTAATGCTTAAGAAAAGGAGGGGGGCGGCTATTAACACAATTAACAATTCAAAAGAAACCTTTCTTCTCACAATTGTTTATTTACTCAGCTTGCCAGGTAGGCCATATGTTCCCTGGTGGTAAGAACTCCTTCAAAATCTGCACTGTCTGGCATTTACTAGGCATTGAGTAAATGCGAGTGAAATGCATGTTTGTATGGATATTTAAAACCCAGTTTAAACTACATGAATTTTAACATATCTGAGAATCCCGCTCTGATCCCTCAGGCAGAATTAACAGCTCCTTCTTCTGGGAGCTGCTAATGCCACTATATGCCTCTTATTTCAATTTGCTTTCTTACATGTGGATTACATGCTATTTTCCAGTTATTTATATCCCACTTATTTAAACATCTCTCAATAAAATACTGGATACATTCTTGAAATACAACTTCTTCATCTTGTTAGCCAACCACTCTCTCCTTGAACTTAAAACTATCACTGAACTTAAAATCAGAGCCTGGGGCATGATAGGTGCTTACTTAATGCTTGCTAAGTTATGCTGAAAACCTCAAATCATCTTTCCCATTTGTAGTGAGTCAATAGCATCCTGTCTGTACTTGAAGAGCAAGGTAGGGTGGGGACAGGAAGGGGGAAAATTGCTGTGTATGTATTTAGGACACTCTGTCTCCACACCCCAGCACGGCTGAGCAGGGCTATCCTTGACTCCACAGGACAGCTGGACTCAACATGAGAGGAGAGCTTTCACTTTTGATCTTCAAGATAATATTTTTAAATATAAAGCAAAAAGAATTTGAGATAATGTGCATGCTGTCCTTTCAAACATGCCATATGGAATCTGAGGCCCTTGGGTTAAGAATTACAAGATACATTTACTAAATAAAGACAGCCAGGCTCCTGCAGAGCCAACAGGGAAGGACACAAATCATGGAACCACAGTAAAACTTATACTAGAAAAAAAAAAAACAGCAAGAATTAACCCAGGAGTCCCAGCCTCATGCCCTCAGCAGGTCAAATCATACTAACTTCCACTTCCATTTCATTTCCTGCACTATCACTAAATATTAATGGTCCCCAGATCCCTAATGAATCAGGTGTGTAGAAGATAGTATCCCTATTTGAAAAAGTAGCATTCTTATTTGAACCAGCACTTGTGATTTTCAGTACTGACCATTCATGCCTGTACAGGTAGCCAGCTAAGGTAAAGGTTTAGCAAGGTTATTCCAGGTCCTAGTGGAGGATGCTCACCACAGGCTAGCTATGGCGAATTAGGACAATTAAAACACACACACACACACACACACACACACACACACACACACACACACACCCTGTATTCCATTTTGCCTGGGTGGGTCAGTGGGTCTGGGGTTGTAATCATCATCCCAATGAGTCTTCTGTAAGTTCTTTCAGGTTCAGGCTGAATTCAGTTGCTATGTCAATACATTCTCCCCAAACTTTCCACCTACGGTCACCTCCCTGAACACCAAACCTGGTTCTTCTGTACAAATTCTTATCTAGAACTGAGCCACCAAAATGGATTGTTTTATGATATAAAGAAAAGCAATTAGGACAAGACTCTAAGATGTCTGGATAATGAGAACTCTCCTCAAGAATCTGTTTGTAGAGTATAATTCTCAACACTTTTCATAAGGATAATGAAATTGGAAAGCATGCTGGAAGAGAAAACTTCAGGGTCTCACAAATCCCAAGTGCCTAGAAAAGTCTATGATAAAACATACTATGTAGATCATGTGTATGTGTTTGGGAAGAGGCATGGTTAGCTCAGACATATCACCTCGGTTTTACATTTAAGATGGTGTTGAAGTGTCTGATTCTGGGAAGATATGCAACATACAGCCTGGATATATACAAGACTCCATCACTAATCTCAAATCATCTAGCATGAATTTGTGTGAGCTCCCTGTGTATACAAGGTTAGCAAGAACTCCCCTACATTTTATCTATGCCTCAGTTTCCCGACCACTGTAGTTGGGCATACTTTTATTGGATGGCATTGGAAAAGAAAAAAAATAAACTTTTCACTTAAGATTGCATCTCTAGTCCATAAAAATGTTAAGAGAGGAAGTGGAAAGGGGATCAAACTCCCAGGAGGAAGGAGAATGAAGGGGGAGAGAGATACACAAAATCAGCTCATCAATCCTTTTCTCTTATTGATCTTAAGCTTTTCAAAGCTGATAGTTGGTGGATATTATTAAATGTATATATATATATGCTGGGCACGATGGCTCACACCTGTAATCCCAGCACTTCGGGAGGCCAAGGTGGGCAGATCACCTGAGGTCGGGAGTTCAAGACCAGCCTGACCAACATGGAGAAACCCTGTCTCTAACTAAAAACACAAAAAAATTAGCCAGGCCTGGTGGCAGATGCCTGTAATCCCAGCTACTCAGGAGGCTGAGGCAGGAGAATAGCTTGAACCCGGGAGGCAGAGGTTGTGGTGGGCCACGATCGTACCACTGTACTTCAGCCTGGGCAACAAGATTGAAACTCCGTCTCAAAAAAAAGAAAGTATATATATTTAATATATATACACATCCAGAAATTTGTCCATCCATGTAAACACAAGGCTTACTGCTTTGAGAGAGGAGATTAATATAAAAGATATCCAAGAAGGAGCAAGAGACTATTCAGGAGCTAAACATTCCCCAGTAGTCTGACCTGTGCTGCCAGTGTTTAAGTTTATTTTCATTTAGTTTCCCATGCTCTCTAGGTAGCTATGCTCCAACAGGTGATGCCATCACAAGGAGTATGATGCAGTTTTATTTACAACAAATTTGACCCGGGAGGGGAGCAACCAGGATTTTCAGGGTTCAGCTCACTACATACTACTGACCAGGAGCCAGGCCCATGAGGGCAGCCAAAGAGGAAACCCAGTCACTGGACTGGGAGAAAAGCTTTTGATAATAATCACAACGTGGGCCAGGCGCGGTGGCTCACACCTGTAATCCCACCACTTTGGGAGGCCAAGGCGGGCAGATCATGAGGTCAGAAGATCGAGACCATCCTGGCTAACACGGTGAAACCCCATCTCTACTAAAAACACAAAAAATTAGCTGGGTGTGGTGGCGGGCACCTGTAGTCCCAGCTACTCGGGAGGCTGAGGCAGGAGAATGGTGTGAACCCGGAAGGCAGAGCTTGCAATGAGCAGAGATCATGCCACTGCACTCCAGCTGGGCGATAGAGCAAGACTCTGTCTCAATAAATAAATAAATAAATAAATAAATAAATAAATAAATAAATAAACTAAATGCCATAAATTGTAAGAACTTGAATAATCCTTAGATACTGTTGCATGCCTGCCCCCATTTCATTTGTAGTGTGGCCATCATCTCTGTTTGCCTGGAAGTCTCCATGTGCACAAATTGCTCTGGCACAGTTATTAACAGCAATTCCTCTTACTGTAGGAAGTATCCTGGTTTGGATAACAAATTATCTGGTCATCTATGCATTTGGCAAATTGAAATCTGAGGCCCAAAGAAGGAAGACAAATTAGTGGCAGGGGGAACAGAAATAGGAATGGATTATAGGTTGGTTTGCTGTGGCCAAGAACAACAAAAATCAAAACAAACAAACACAACCCAACTGCCACACATTGCATTAATACTACCTATGTCTCTGTCTGCCTCTTTGACTAGATTATAGGGTTGCATCATAGCATCATATTTCTCAATGCCAATCCCGTATCAGGTATTTGATCAATATTTGTTTGACTGTTACATTTATTAACATACTTTCATGTATATTGTCCCATCTAATTTTCCACTGACAATAACATCCATTGTAAGATGGATATTATTAAATAAAGATGAGAAAGCTGAAAATCTGGGATGTTAAACACTGAGAAAGTTAATAGCAAAAACCACTGAAACCCAGGTCTTCAATGTTTCTTTCCATTACATTATGCTTAGTGTTAGAAGGAGTCTAAATGTAGAGGGAATGTTTGCTTAGAGGGATGGAGCCCGGAAGAGCCAAGAAAAATGTGGCAGGAGAGAAACACGGCTGTGGGTCAGAGATTTGATTACTGGACCAGCAAAATTGTTTTTTGGAGCCCTGTAGCTTCTTCCAAGATGGCTGCTTCTTTGAAGAGAGGAAGCACATCATGTGTTGTCGGCAGCGGAGTGGAAGGGGGGTTTGGACGTAGCCAGGATGCCGCAAGGGCAGAGTTTCAAAGTACAGGCTAATGTAGAACTGAATGGACCTACACAGCAGCAAGACTTGGGGCAGGCCGACAAGGGTTTCCCCTCACAAGGGCTTCCATATGGCACATCCAGGGCTCCATTCAAGAAAGTATCAAGCCTGGCATTTTCCCGGCTGTTTACTCAAAAAAAAAAAAAATTAAGGCTTAGCATTTTGAAAAATGTATTTCTTGGAGACAAATATATTTTGGCCCAATTCACATCCCACTAGTACTCACCACACAAAGTTTCCAGTTCTATCCCCAGGCCGCAGCACTGCTGTACCATGAAGGATGATATTTTATTTATTTAATTTGTCTCTTTTTTTCTTAAATAATCCCCCTTTCTAGCTCCTTTAGCAACTAGTCGGTTTGTATTCTTTTGTCTCTACATTGTCCTCTTTGCTTGGACCCATGAAGTCAGTGTTATGTCTGCTTACTTCCAGGAAAACTTTTTCATTTTCAGTAATGAAAAAAATACTACCTGGCATGGAGCTATAGATGTCCTGTGGGACCATCGGAAGCCTCCTTGACCTCTTCCTGGTCCAGATGCCATCAGGATTCAGCCTGCCGTAGGCTACCCTAGGAAACAGAAGATGTACACACTTGTTCAGAAGGGAGATAACTAAACATTGGAAGAACATCTTTTTCTCCTGCCTCAAAGTACTCTGTGTGGATTGTGGCTTCTCTCTCTCCTTTTCCCATTTTACCCTCCCCCCATCACCTTGAGTAAATATCTGCCAGTCCCATACAGAGTTATCAAAAGAAATAAAAGAAGATTTCTAATAAATTCTCACACCATGACACAAATCCCAATCTTCAACAACTGACATTTCTGGATCTTCCATCTATGTTAGGGGAACTAATAGGGTTCCTCCTGGGCAGTAGAGGGCACTGTGCCTTGTACCTTAGGAATCTGACCACAGTTAATAGAAACATATGTTGTGGCTGCTTCCCCAGCAAGAGCATCTTTTGTATCAAGAGGTCCTCTTGGTTCATCTTGCTGTCATGATTCCATGGAGGCAACAACAATGACACTAATGAAAGGTGATAGTTCTTTAATTTTCTTCTTCCAAAAACAGTCAGCTTTGGTGGTGAGGGACCTGGACTTTGGAAACTGCAGACTTTGACTCAAATCCCGAGTCTGCTACTTCCTGGGTCTGTGACCTGAGGACCCAACTTCTCTGAGTCTAGATTTCCTCATGTGAAAAGTGGAAAAATCGGCCGGGTGTGGTGTCTCATGTCTGTAGTCCCAGCACTTTGGGAGGCCGAGGAGGGTGGATCACAAGGTCAGGAGATCGAGACCATCCTGGCTAACACAGTGAAACCCCATCTCTACTAAAAATACAAAAAATTAGCCAGGTGTGGTGGTGGGCGCCTGTAGTCCCAGGTACTTGGGAGGCTGAGGCAGGAGAATGGCATGAACCTGGGAGGCAGAGCTTGCAGTGAGCTGAGATTGCGCCACTGTACTCCAGCCTGGGCGACAGAGCAAGACTCCGTCTCAAAAAAAAAAAAAAAGTGGAAAAAAGCAATATTTATTAACTGGGCTGTGGTGAGGATCAAGTAAGACAATACAGATGCTTGCCTTCGGCACCTAAACATGCAATCAGGGTAGCTGTTGTTATTATTAAAATTACTAGTTTTGTAATATAATCAGGAGGAGGCAAGACTCTTCCGTGTTCTCTGAGGCCTCACCTTCTTGTTACTTTCTCCTATTCAACGCGTTGCCTACCCAAGTCACACAAGGGTTTAGTTAGTTCTAGGAACATTCCTATGAGTGTTGCAAGAGAGGTGCCTTAGGGAAGGGATGGCATCTCACCATAGAGGGCAATGATGATTCAGGAGGGCCTCTCAGGGTTATTTTGAGGGGACAGAGGATCAGTCCAAGTACAAGAACCCTTATTCCCATTCCAGGCTCAGGATTCAGAGTCAAACCATAATTATGTCGTGCCTCACTAGGGGTGCTATGGATGAATGTGGAGGTTATGCACTGCATGGTAGTCTATAGAAAGCTATGGCCTCAGGACCCAATCTAACCTCCTGCCTATTTTTGTAAATATGGTTTTGCTGATATATAGCTATGTCTATTCACCTACCTATTGTTCATGACTACCTCCCCACTACAATGGCAAAGCTAAGTAGCTGCAACAGAGATCATACAGCTCTCAAGCCTTAAAATATATATTATTTGGCACTTTACAGAAAAAGTTTGCAGACCCCAGTGCTTAGTTTTTTAACCTAGTGTACCCAGTGGATGCTTAAATCATAGTTGTTGAATAGATGAATGAATGAATGCATGAGTATAGACTCAAATACCAACTCAAAACAGTCAAGCAATTATTCCTAAATAAGTTTTAGTGAAGAAGATAAAAAGCAAAACAAAACAAACTTTGTAATGAGGAGACTTAAGTTCTAATTCCTACTCTGCCCCTTATTCGTTTGTGTGGCCTCAGATCAATCATTTCCCATCTTTGTATTCCAGTTTCTTCAATTGTAAAAAACATAACCCTAAGCCCATTTTATTGGAGCTATAATATTGAATAAAATAAAATCACAAATGTCCAAGCATCATGTCCAGTGACTGGCACGTAATAGGAGCTCATCAAATTTTTGAAGTCAAAGCAAAGAGAAGGAGGAATCCTTTGCTTCTGAATAAAATGTCTTCCCTGTCACACAGGAGTAAACAGAGTAATTCATACATTTAATTGGCAGATGTCATGGAAAAAACTTCAAGGAGCATTCTACACAAAGACTCCCAGGCTAGTTTGTGTTCAAACAAACCAGACAGCCAGCCCACAGCCGGAGCCAGGAGCCAAATATTTCAGACACCATCAGGGCTGGCTGCTTCAAGCTAGGCTGTTCCGCATGCGGCTGGAGCCAGGCCACAGGAAGTCCTTGGTGTCAGCTCTCTAGAGCCTAGGGAGGCTTCAGCATTTTCCTGTTCCTCTGTGTAGACCACTACTCAGATAAGCGAGATAGGGAGAAAGGAAGGGGGGGTCTCCGTTTATAAAGGCAGCTGCTGTCCCAGCTGAACAAGAATGCACAGCTGTTTGGGGGCTGTCTCCAGACTAGCATGCCTTTTGTTTCCATCTTCTTCTGGGGCAGGGCTGGGGATGGGGTGGGGTGAAAGTCTATCATAATGTTTACCTTGGGGGATGCTTTGCCACATCTCCGCCCAGATCTCATTTTATGGTGTGTGGAGTTTTATGGACCAATTTAACGTGGGAGAGGAGACGAGAAGGCTGATGTGCGAACTGAAGTTGAAGAGTCATAAATTCAAAGGAAAATTATTCCAGAATTATAAGCCCTACTTACCAGTGTCCAAGGGTAATAGCCACTGTTCAGGCAGGGGTTGGACTTCCAAAGTTATTTCAGGGGCCATTTGTAGGACAAGCACCCTTTCATTTCATTTGGATGGATAAATATTTTTAAATGGGGTCTCCTAAATTGTTAGGATCCAGCCAAAGTCCCCAAATTCTGATCGCCCTGAACACCCAAGTACTCTTTTCTCAGGACAGTTCGCTTAGGAAATAAAATCATACAGAAAATGATTTACACTTTATCTGCACAAAATAACAACCAGGCCTACAGTTTGGTTTGAACTTGAGACCCAAGGAGATTTCCAAAAAGCCTTTTGATTACTGGGTGTTGGATAAGATATAACAAAGCCAACTTACAAAGTTACCAGAGGATACAAGGCAGAAAAACAGATATTTTGATGAAACCTTGGTCTTGCACATTTCTCTGTTTGTAGCAATAGCCTAGGAACCTATGTGGATGTTTTTGCACAGAGCTGCAGAAAAGCCAGAAAATATAAGGGCTAGATGAAACAACTGATCCAGCCAAAGTTATACACAACAGTTTTTTCATCTTTATGTTTCTAAACACCTGGAAAAAAATACCTAAGACATTTTAGGATCATAATGAGGAAATAAAAGTCATTCTGAAGTCCTCTGAGCATTACCCCAACACACCCCTCCCCAGAATACCTGTTGCCTGTCACCGTGTACCGCTGGCTTTTCCAGGGTCCTTTCTTGCAGGCATCCGATTTCCGCTGATTTTTCAGCAACAGCCCCACCAGTTTCTCTAAACATAACATCTCTCAAATTTCTCATGCAAGACATATCATAATTAATATTCTCAAAAGCAATGACAAGCCCTATCCTTTCATGTCTGCTGGTTGCTGTTGGACAATGTCGGGTAGCCCTCATGCAAAATGAATAGTGGAGCTGCTGAAAATCTAGACAGTAAGAAGACTCTCTTACTGGTATTACCATAGCCTCACACCTGACTTGAAAAGCCCTCTGCCAAAGCCCTTTCCTTCCTAAATTTTTATTAGATTTTCATTTAAGAACTATAGAGAGTATTTTACCATTACCAGAGGTGGTGGCTTACGTAGGCACAAAGTCATGAAAAAAATTCACCATCCATCTCTACAAATTCATGCATTTTGTATCCAAAGCATAATGAAATATTCTTCTGCTTGCCAGTGTTTAAGTTACAGGTTGGAAAACATTCAAAGAGCTTGAAATTCAAGCTGATGAGATCATGAGAGGACAGGGAATGCAAGCAGCCCTGGCAGACATTCAAAATGGATCTTCTCCATATGAGGTGTTGAGACGCATTGATAAACGGCAGAAAGTACTATTGGACTTCAAGAGATTAGAATAGAATCTAATAAGTAAATGTTAATAATTGATAATGTCCCAGGCTTTAGCTTCTATAGTTAATTCATGGTTGTTCTTTATTATTTATTTATTTATTTTTATTTATTTATTTCTGAGATGGAGTTTCGCTCCTGTTGCACAGGCTGGAGTGCAGTAGTGTGATCGCAGCTCACTGCAGCCTCTGCTTCCCAGGTTCAAGTGATTCTCATGCCTCAGCCTCCTGAGTAGCTGGGATTACAGGTGCATGCCACCATGTCCAGCTAATTTTTGTATTTTTTGTAGAGACAGGGTTTCACCATGTTGGCCAGGCTGGTCTCGAACTCTTGACCTCAGGTGATCTGCCCACCTTGGCCTCCCAAAGTGCTGGGATTACAGGCATGAGCCACCGCGCCTGGCCAGTTGTTATTTTATAAATAAATACATAAAGTAAATGGGGATATGAATGGACCAATGGCGATAGTGTGCCCTGAAAATGGTTGCTATAAATCTAGTTTGTATTGACTGTGTTTTCTTTCTTTCTTTTTTTTTTTTTCTTTTTTGATGCTCTGGCATTTGGGCCCTTCATCCTAGATAGATTGCCTCTTCCAGGCTAGCTAATTCCTAGAGATAGCAAGACTCCTCTGGGAGTGCACCTGTGTTATACAAACCAACCAATTTGGAGCTCACAACCTCAACTATCTCCTTTATCAACTTCTCACACACTAGGCCAATACCCTCTCTGTCCTAAATTACTCCAGGGACTGGTACTAGACAACTGGGGACCAGTCTTATAGCCCAGAGCCCACTGAAATTATTCAAACTATCCAATCCTAAACTTAACAGTGTACCTACTCTGCCTCACCCAGTCATTCCCAGGAGAACCCCAATAGGAACTCTGGGCATGCCCTGCCCCCTCCTGCTTCTGTCTCCCAGCTGATTTTGTGCTTCCCAATGTCCTGCATGGCATGTCCTGACTTCTGTGTCCAAGGATCTGTGATTTGTGAATATAGGCTTCTTCCTTGATCACAATCATTTCTGTCTGTGTGTCTTACCATATTTGACTTAAACAAATCTCAGGTACATTTTTAGAGCAATTTTGTGCAGTGAAGACCCAACTAAATAAAAACTGAGTAGAACGTGGATGGAGAGGAAGTTCATTGGGTTTCCAGAGCAGTAAAGTCCAGATGGTTAGTTATAAGAAGGCATCTGTAATGCAAAAGAAAAAACAAAACAGCTGAGCTGACAGAAGTCATGCAGTGTTATAGTGTATGTGGAGAAGGGGTGCAGAGGACTAGAAAGAAAGATGAGTGGAAGATGATACATTTTCCATCATTAAAATTAAAAGCCTTCCCAACATGAGCCATTGGGTCTTTGAATTGGGAACAATTAAAAGAAGAAGCAGGGGGAGGAGAAGAAAAAGGAGGACGAGAAGGAATGAGGAGAAAAGAGGAAGTGGGGAATTTCAGAAAAGGGGCACCGTTAAAGTCTTTGCTCTCAGGCATGCCTCTGGTTTGTGGTGCCATTTCATCACATGGTGGGAGTGCCCAGGAGGCAGAACATTGTTTGCTGGGTTACTTCTCCAAGCTTTCTGCCCAACTCTGATGTGGTGGTCTGCTTCCAGTTAATCTAATGTTTATGGTTGAACTCCACTGGCTACCGTGAAATGCTTGGTTGATTCTGCATTCACCACGAGATGCCTATCATCCCTGCACATCCGCTCTTGTTGGCTTCTCTAACACCTAAAGAAAGCAAACTTTCCTGCAGTTTGAAAGAGATCTGTGCAGAAAAGTTCATTTGGCCCTGCATTTTCTTTGCCCATATGTGTTTTCAACTAAAGGAGACCAGTCCTGAGGCAATTTCCACAAGTACCTCCCTTTCTGTTTCTTCTGAACCAGTCATCCACAAGGATCTTTGTGGCATGTCCAGTGGAGGTTCTAAGAAATAATAAAGACTTTCTAAGAAATCAGTCTACTTAACACTTTGAGTTTTTGGAACAAAAATCTCTGCCTCAGAAAAATGTGGTGGAACTTGAACCCATTATGTAACAATGAAAGCCAATAAGGTCCTGCCTTCTCCGTGGTTATGGGATGGTGATGAAACTTTCATAGGGAAGATATGTAACTTTTAATTTTTTTGTAACTCAATTTCGATTTTGAACCCAAATTCTAATAAGGTGGCAAAAAAATCAGTCTCAGTCAATTCAGTAATTCAATCCCTATGCCCTTCCTTTTGCAGAGTTTGTCTAAGTTCCTCAGAGGTTTATGCATTGCTAAGGTGATGGCCACTGCCCATGCTAGTCTCCTTGGAGATGCCCATTTCCCTTCTGATTGTCTGTCCAGTCCACTGGGCCCTTTCCATTTGGATTCTCTATACTATTTCTCAGTCACTTTTGGGGGAATTTTTCTGTTGCATCCAAATCACACTGCATATGGAGAAAATCTAGGAGGTTATCTCAAGTCCTATCAGCCTAGACTCACCACACTGTGCACCTCCAGAAATATGCCTCAGCAGTGAAATATAAGGACCCTCAACATACTGACCTGAAGTCATTCTCCTCTGCTCACACCAGGTTTGGCCCAAGAAGCCCAGCACAGAACTCCGCTCACCCCAGGAATGGCCAGCGTCTATATACTTGACATGTCCTCCCTTACTTTTCTCCTCCCCATTCTGAGGAGAGGACTCTATTATTCGAGGATAATAGAAGCCTGGCTTCTGCTCCTCAGCTATTCTTTTAAAATCTACTCTTCACATGCTTGTGTCCTTTCTATTTCCCTCAGTATCCAGACTTTGGAAACTCAAAAGCCAGAGGAAAAAAACGTGTGTGAAACTTGTGTATGTTGAGTGGTTGGGGGAAATAGTTGGTTGGGAGAAAGACCAAGGAGTAACAATAAATAACAATAGAAAACCCACTGGGTACTATCAGAAAACATACAATACCTCTAGACTAAAGCTCAGCTGCCTTCAGGGACTTAGAATGGGACCTACAGAAAGCCTTGTCAGAACAAATCTTGTTTTCTTTTTCTGAAATTTAAAACTTTTTCTTGATGCAATTTTGATTCAGAGCAAACAAGAATGAAAGGATTGAAGTTAAAATCTAGATTTATTTTCTGTCAATGTTAGACACATCAGTACTTAAGTAAGTGCTGCTAGGTGGGTTTCCCGAACCAGCTCCCTTCCCTTTCCATCATCAGTCTCTTTTTCTTTCTCCAGTTCTTACACACATACATACACACACACACACACACACACACATACACACACACACACGACACTGCTCCAGGTGGCAAAGAAAACAAACCAAGGCAGATTTCCTCAGCCTGTTTTCTAGCCAGTTGATTATACAGCACACGTCTTCTGCACACTTGGTAGTAAAGACATGTTTTCCACTTGTCACACAACTTTTGAGACCCTTTAAATGTAAGAATTATGAAAAAGATTGGCACATTTGCTGAGGGCATTAAATTAGATGACCTCTAAGGTTGCTTTCCTACTCTTTTCATCATTCAGATGAGAGAAAATGTCATTTCAGGAGAATAGACTGTAGGCAGTTCTCAATTATTCATGGGGGGCATATTAATTTTCCTAGTAGATTTTTTCCATTTTGATTAAATAAGCTCAGAAAGAGCTTTTAACACTTCAGTAACCTTTTCTACTGCCACCCCCAAAAGTTCTGGGTGCCTGGGCATCTTTTTTCTGTTTATCTCCATTTATTCACCATAGAGAACAAATCCCTCACCCAAAACCATTTTATTAGTGACCCTTAAGATTCTTGCTCTCACTCTATGAATTTTCTCTTTTATTTTAATAATCAGAAATGTATAAATAAAAATATTAAAACCTCTGTCTAGTTCTATCTTCAAATGTAATTACTGTTATCTGTTGAACATATATTCTTTGAAAATTTTCTATGCTTATATAAACACATACACATGAATTACTGTGTGTGTGTGTCTATGCGTGTGTATGAATGGAATTGTGGCAGACAATGTCTTTTGATAAGCCGACAGCCATAAGCATCAAACTTCCACCTTCTAGCTAAAAGAACCCCCATTTTCTAAGACAGAAAGAAGAGATCTCTTTTTTCTGGTTTGAGGTTTTTGTTTGTTTTGTTCTTTACAACTGAGATGTAGCATGCATACTGCAAAGTTCACAAATCTTAAGTACAATGAATGTTTACATATGTATGCAGTCATGTTCCACCACCCAGCTCAGGAAACAGATTACGTGCATCACCACCCGGAGGCGTCATTGTACCCCTTGCCGGTCAATATCTCCTGAAGGTAACCCCTATCCTGGTCTCTATCACTGTAGATTAGTTTTTCTAGTTCTTAAGTTCATATAAATTAATAATATTGTATATAATCTTTTGTGCCTGACTTCTTCCAGCATTCACATAAAATTAGTTTATGTTTTATTGCATGATTCAGTAGTTTATTCTTTTTCATTGCTGTGTGGTTTTTTGCTACATGCATATTTCACAATTTATTCATTCTCTTGTGAATATATTGAACACCTTGGCTGCTTCCATTTTTGTGATATCATGAATAAAGCTATTGAGAACATTTCATGATATATAGTTTGTGATATATAGTTTGGTGAGTATATGGATTCATTTCTGTGAGTGTATACCCTAAAGTTTTAAATTTCAGAACAAGAAATTTCAAAAGTTGCAGAACGAATTTACATTTCCACCAGCAATGTATGAGAGTTCTACTTGCTCTACATCCTCACCAGCATTTGATATTGTCAGTCTTTTTATTAACTACTCTGGTGGCTATAGCGTGAATTTCATTGTAGTTTTTATCTGTATTTTCTACATAAACTTTAATAACCTTTTCACGTAAGTTTCTTGACCATTTGGATGTCTCATTTCTGAGGTACCAAAGGCTTTGGTCCATTTTTAATTATTTTTCTTTTTCTTTTTAATTTATAGGAACTCTTTATGTCTTCCAGATCCAAGTCCTTCATCAGATATATTAATTATAAATATTTTCTCCCAGTCTCTTTGTACTCCTTAATGATGTCTTTTGATGAGCAGAAGTTTTTCATTTTAATAAGGCCCATATTATTAATATTTTATTTTATGGCTAGTGTCTTTGAGTTCAGAGATCATTTAATTTTAGGGCAGCAGGCTCCTCCTCCAACTCTGTGGATAGATCATGAGACCTCTAAGCTGGCCATAGAATTCCATTCTCCTTTGTATGGTGCTTCTGCAGGCTGCTGTGCAGGCAGATGTGACGATGTGCCTTAGTTCCAGACTATGAAATTAGGGCAACTCTGATCAGGAATTCAGGTACACATATTGATCTTCAACTTATTTTTCTCTTAATATATCATAGACGTCATTGTAAGTTAATATATTCAATTCAGATTTACTTTTCTCTTTAAGGGTCCCACAGAACTCCATTCTGGGTGTACCATACTTTATTTATTGTTCTTCTTATTTTTAGACATTTAGATTGTTATCATATTTCTACTAAACAATGCTGCAATAATTTGTATACACATGTCTGCCTAAGTACTTGGGCCTATTGATAGGAAAGATCCATTCTTAGAAATGGAATTGCTAAGTCAAAGTGTCTGCACATTTAAATTTGGATAGACATTGCTAAATTGGCTTCCAGAAATGTCATTCCCATTCAGATTTTCACAAATCGTATGTTAGAGAACCTGTTTTCCCACACAGATGACTGCATAGCAAGTTACTAATTTTTTAAATTTATACAAATTTTATAGACAACTGAATTGTATTTCATTGTGTAAATATGGACTTAAAATTATTGATAAGTTTGCTAATGTTTTCCTGTCTTGTGCTATTCATTTGCATGTGTGAACTACCTATTCAAAACTTTTGCCCACTTCCCTATGGGGCTATTTGTCTTTCGTATTGCAGCATTTCCCATGGCGATTATTGTTCCACTTATTTTAAAGGTTGTCTGGGCAAAACTGAATCCGCAAGATGACTCTTCTCTAAACAGGTTTAAAACATGTGGTTGGGCTAATCTGAACTGGGTCTTTACCAATGTTAATTATATATGCTATAAATATTTCCTTCTTTTAACTTTGCTGTGAAGGATTTTACTATACACAAGTTTTACAAGTTTCTATATAAACAAATCTGTCTGTCATTATGCTTCTTAGCTTAGTGGTAGTCTTTGAAAAGCCTCCTCTCTCACAAGATTCTAATAATAGTTTTCTATCTTTTCTCTCCTCCAGTTATTTTGTATGTTTTAATCTTTTATTTAACATTTAACATATATCTATTCAGTGCTTAGTATGTGCCAGGCTGTGAACAGTGATAAATAATACAAAAATTCTCAACTCTCATGAGCTTTTAGTTTACTGGGAAGACAGGCAATAAGCCCTTATGCAGATACATAGTATGTCAGAAAGTGATCAATTCTATGCAATAAATGAAATAGGTCAAGGGGAAAGATGAGCTTATGTGTAGGCACCTTAACTGGGAAGCACAGGAAATGCCTCTCGGAGGAACTGATATTTGGAGAGACCTGAATCCTTGGAAGAATCTAACTTATAATGACATTATGGGAGAGGGGCCCAGACAGAGGTGACAGATAGGGCTCAGGTCTTGAAGCAGAAGTGAATTATGTCTCATGCCTGTAATCCCAGCAGTTTGGGAGGCTGAGACAGGTGGATTGCCTGAGTTAGGAGTTCCAGAACAGCCTGGCCAACAAGGTGAAACCCATGTCTACCAAAAATACAAAAATTAACCAGGCATGGTGGTGTGTGCCTGTAATCCCAGCTACTTAGGAGGCTGAGGCAGGAGAATTGCTTGAGCCTGGGAGGCGGAGGTTGCAGTGAGCTGAGATTGTGCCACTGCACTGCAGCCTGGGTGACAGAGCAAGAGTCTGTCTCAAAAAAAAAAGAAGAAGAAGTGAATTACATATGTCCAAGAGACAGAAAGAGTCCACATTGGCAGGACAGCAAAGAATAAACGGGAGGTCAACGATGGGACCAGAGAAGCCATCCATTAGCCACTTCAGTTTATCGTCATTTCATCAGAAAACTTTAAGCAGAGTACTAATGTGAAGTGAATCATTTAAGGGAACAAAAGACACTGGAGCCTCCTTGAGGGAGGAGGGTGAGAGAAGGGAGAGATTCAGAAAAAAAATTGAGGTACTATGCTTAGTACCTCGGTGATGAAATAATCTGTCACCAAACTTTTGAGTTTACCTATATAACAAACCTGCATGTGCGCTCCTGAATCTAAAATCAAAGTTTAAGTATTTAAATATATATGTGTGTTGCATGTTTATAGCAGCACAATTCACAATTGCAAAAATATGGAACCGTTTTCACACTGCTGATGAAAACATACCCGAGACTGGGCAATTTACAAAAGAAAGAGTTTTAACTGGACTTACAGTTCCACATGGCTGGGGAAGCCTCACAATCATGACAGAAGGCAAGGAAGAGTAAGTCCCATTTAATGTGGATAGTAGCAGGCAAAGAGAGGAGAGCTTGTGCAGGGAAACTCCCCTTTATAAACTCATCAGATCTCATGAGACTTATTCACTACCACAAGAATAGCACAGGAAAGAACTGCCCCCATGATTCAATCACCTCCCACTGGGTTCCTCCCACAACACATGGGAATTCAAGATGAGATTTGGGTGGGGACACAGCCAAACCATATCATTCCACCCTGGCACCTCCCAAATCTCATGTCCTCACATTTCAGAATGAATCATTCCTTCCCAACAGTCCCCCAAGGTCTTAATTCATTTCAGCATTAACTCAAAAGTCCACAGCCCAAAGTCTCATCTGAGACAAGGTAAGTCCCTTCCACCTATGAGCCTATAAAATCAAAAGCAAGTTAGTTACTTCCTAGATACAATGGGGGTACAGGCATTGGGTAAATACAACCATTCCAAATGGGAGAAATTGGCTAAAACAAAGGGGCTACAGGCCCCATGCATATCTGAAATCCAGCTGGGCAGTCAAATCTTTAAGCTCCAGAATTATCTCCTTTGACTCCATGTCTCAGATCCAGGTCATGCTGATCCAAGAGGTGGGTTCCCATGGTCTTGGGCAGCTCTGCCCCTGTGGCTCTGCTGGGTAAAGCCTCCCTCCTGGCTGCTTTCATGGGCTGGTGTTGAATATCTGCAGCTTTCCCAGGTGCTCGGTGTAAGCTGTCAGTGGAACTACCATTCTGGGGTCTGGAGGACAGTGGCCCTTTTCTCACAGCTCCACTAGGCAGTGCCCCAGTAGGGACTCTATGTGGGGGCTCTGATCCCACATTTCCCTTCCACACTGCCCCAGCAGAGGTTCTCAATGAAGGCCCCACCCCTTCACTAAACTTCTGCCTGAGCATCCAGGTGTTTCCATACATCTTCTGAAATCTAGGCCAAGCTTCTCAAACCTTAATTCTTGACTTTTGTGAACTCACAGGCTCAACACCATGTGGAAGCTGCCAAGGCTTGGGGCTTGCACCCTCTGAAGCCATGGCCCAAGCTCTGTGTTGGCTCCTTTCAGCCATAGCTGGAGCAGCTGAGACACAGAGCACCGAGTCCCTAGGCTATAAGAATTAAAGAAAGAGAAAAGAAACATGAAAGTGGCTTGGCAGTCAAGACAGGTTCATTTTAGAGAAAACAAACCTGAGAGGGGCATCTGGCCAGGTTAGGTCAGAGGCACACTCTCTTACAGACTAAGAGTTTTTAAGGATTCAGGGTGGGAGACCTTATCAGAGGTGTGGGCTGCTTCTGTATCTCTTTGTTGTGCTTATCTGGGAGAGAGAGTTGTGTGTCTGTTCCCATACATCCTTGTGCAGCTGCAGGCATACCCCCTGAGTCTGCTTTTAGCCTCCCTATCTTAGTGCACCCGAAGGGAGAGGAATGTGCTTATTAAGGCCCACAGTTTTACTGGGGCCCATGTATGAGGGTGAAGTTGGGCAGTTACCCAAGAGACTTTCCCCCCACCTCCCTCTGTGCCCAAGCTGTCTTATCTGTGTCCTACTGTCTGCTCTTTCTGGCTGTTTGTAGTTAGAAGAGAAGTGATTTCCTTGAAATGCATGAGGCTAGAAAGGGAGATGGAACTTAAAGTGGTGGTGTTTTTCTGAGATGATGGTACTTCTGCTCTGTCATAGGCTGCACACAGCATGGGGACCCTGGGCCCGACCCAGGAAACCATGTTTTCCTCCTAGGCCTCCAAGCCTGTGATGGGAGAGGCTGTTGTGAAGACCTCTGAGGTTCCCTGGAGACATTTTCCCCATTGTCTTGGGCATTGACATTCAGCTCCTCGTTACTTATGCAAATTTTTGCAGCCAGCTTGAATTTCTTCTCAGAGAATGGGATTTTCTTTTCAATCACATTGTCTGGCTACAAATCTTCTAAACTGTTATACTCTGCTTCCCTTGTAAAACTGAATGCTTTTAACAGCACTTAAGTCACCTCTTGAAAGCTTTGCTGCTTAGAAATTTTTCCCACCAGATACCCTAAATCATCTCCCTCATGGTTAAAGTTCCACAAATCTCTAGGGCAGGGGCAAAATGGCACCAGTCTCTTTGCTAAAATATAACAAGAGTCACTTTTGCTCCAGTTCCCAACACGTTCTTCATTTCCATCTGACACCACCTCAGCCTGGGCCTTATTGTTTGTATCACTATCAGCATTTTTGTCAAAGCCATTCCACAAGTCTCTAGGAAGTTCCAAACTTTGCCACGTTTTCCTGACCTCTTCTGAGTCCTCCAAACTATTCCAACCTCTACCTGTTGCCCAGTTCCAAAGTCACTTCCACATTTTTGGATATCTTTTCAGCAACATCCCAGTCTTTTCAGTGCCAATTTACTGTATTAGTCTCTTTCCATGCTGCTGCTGAAGACATACCCAAAACTGGGCAATTTATGAAAGAAAGAGGTTTAATTGGACTTATAGTTCCTCAAGCCTGGGGAATCCTCACAATGATGGCAGAAGGTAAGGAGGAGCAAGTCCCATCTTATGTGGATACCAGCAGGAAAAGAGAAAATAAATTGTGCAGGGAAACTCCCCTTTATAAACCCATCAGATCTCATGAGACTTTTTCACTACCATGAGAATAGTACAGGAAAGACCTGCCCCCATGATTCAATCACCTTCCACTGTGTTCCTCCCACAACACATAGGAATTCAAATGAGATTTAGGTGAGGATACAGCCAAACAATATCACAACCCAAATGCCCATCAATCAACAAGATAAAGAAATTGTGGTATATATAAACAATGGAATACCACTCAGCCATAAAGAAGAATGACTTAATGGCATTCGCAGCAACCCGGATGGAATTGGAGATTATTATTCTAAGTAAAGTAATTCAGGAATGAAAAACCAAATATCGTATGTTCTCGTTCATATGTGAGAGCTAAGCTATGAGGATGCAAAGGCATAAAAATGACAAAATGGGCTTTGGGGACTCAGAGGGAAAGGGAAGCAGAGTGAAGGATAAAAGACTACAAATTGGGTTCAGTGTATACTGCCCAGGTGATGGGTGCACCAATCTCGTAAATCACCATTAAAGAACTAACTCATGCAACCAAATACCACCTGTTCCCTAAAAACCTATGGAAATAAAAAATAAATAAATAAACGTGTGTGTGTGTGTGTGTGTGTGTGTGTGTGTGTGTGTGTGTGTGTGTGTATCAGGACTTCCACTTCCAACTAGGATGAGGTAGGTCACAGCGGGCCAATGATTCCAATGCAGTAAGAAAAAAGTCATAAATTATTATCATTATTATTATTATTATTTGCGTACTTTTAAATTTTACTTTAAGTTCCAGGATACATGTACAGAATGTGCAGGTTTGTTACATAAGTACACATGTGCTACGGTGATTTCCTGCACCTATCAACCCATTATCTAGGCTTTAAGCCCCGCATGCATTAGGTATTTGTCCTAATGCTCTCCCTCCCCTTGGTCCCCACCCCCTGACAGGCCCTGGTGTGTTGTTCTCTTCCCTGTGTCAATGTGTTCTCATTGTTTAACTCCCACTTATGAGTGAGAACATGTGGTGTTTGGTTTTCTGTTCCTGTGTTAGTTTGCTGAGAATGATGGTTTCCAGCTTCATCCATGTCCTTGCAAAGGACGCAATCTCATTCTTTTCTATGGCTGCATAGAATTCCATGGTGTGTATGTATCACATTTTCTTTATCCAGTCTATCACTGATGGGCATTTGGGTTGGTTCCAAGTCTTTGCTATTGTGATTAGTGTGCAATAAACATACGTGTGCATGTGTCTTTATAGTAGAATGATTTATAATCCTTTGGGTACATACCCAGTAATGAGACTGCTGGATCAAATGGTACTTTTGGTTCTAGATCCTTAAGGAATCACCACACTGTTTTCCACAATAGTTGTGGAACAACACAGCCTCACCAGCATCTATTGTTTCCTGACTTTTTAATAATCACCATTCTGACTGGCATGAGATGATACATTATTGTAGTTTTTGATTTGCATGTGTCTAATGACCAGTGATGTTGGACTAGAGAAGCAAGAGTGAACAAATTCAAAAACTAGCAGAGGACAAGAAGTAACTAAGATTGGAGCAGAACTGAAGGAGATGGAGACGCAAAAAACACTTCAAAAAAGTAATGAATCCAGGAGCTGGTTTTTAGAAAAACTTAACAAAATATATAGACTGCTAGCCAGACTAATAAAAAAGAGAGAAGAATCAAATAGACACAATAAAATATGCTAAAGGGGATATCACCCCAATCCCACAGAAATACAAACTACCATCAGAGAATACTGTAAACACCTCTACATAAATAAACTAGAAATTCTGGAAAAAATAATACATTCCTGGGCACATACACCCTCCCAAGACTAAACGAGGAAGAAGTTGAATCCCTGAATAGACCAATAACAAGTTCTGAAATTGAGGGAGTAATTAATAGCCTACCAACCAAAAAAAGCCCCGGACCAGACAGATTCACAGCCGAATTCTACCAGAGGTATAAAGAGGAGCTGGTACTATTTCTTCTGAAACTATTCCAAAGAGTTGAAAAGGCGGGACTGCTCCCTAACTTGTTTTATGAAGCCAGCATCATCCTGATACCAAAAACTGGCAGGGACACAACAAAAAAAGAAAATTTCAGGCCAATATCTCTGATGAACATCAATGCAAAAATTCTCAATAAAACACTGGCTAACTGAATCCAGCAGCACATCAAAAAGCTTATCCACCACGATCAAGCTGGCTTCATCCCTGATATGCAAGGCTGGTTCAACAAACACAAATCAATAAACATAATCCATCACATAAACAGAACCAATGATAAAAACCATATGATTATCTCAATAGATGCAGAAAAGGCCTTCGACAAAATTCAACATCCCTGCATGTTAAAAACTCTCAATAAAGTAGGTATTGATGAACTGTATCACAAAATAATAAAAGCTATTTATGACAAACCCATAGCCAATATCATACTGAATGGGCAAAAGCTGGAAACACTCTCTTTGAAAACTGTCACAGGACAAGGATGCCCCCTCTCACCACTCCTATTCAACATAGTATTGGAAGTTCTGGCCAGGGCAATCAGGCAAGAGAAAGAAATAAAGGGTATTTAAACAGTAAGGGAAGAAGTCAAATTGTCTCTGTTTGCAGATGACATGATTGTATATTTAGAAAACCCCATTGATTAAGCTCAAAAACTCCTTAAGCTGATAAGCAACTTCAGGAAAGTCTCAGGATACAAAATCAAGCTGGAAAAATCACAAGCATTCCTATACAACAACAGTAGACAAGCAGAGAGCCAAATCATGATGAACTCCCATTCACAATTGCTACAAAGAGAATAAAATACAAAGGAATACAACTTACAAGGGATGTGAAGGGCCTCTTCAAGAAGAACTACAAACCACTACTCAACGAAATAAAAGAGGACACAAACAAATGGAAAAAAAATTCATGCTCATGGATAGGAAGAATCAATATCATGAAAATGGCCACACTGCCCAATGTAATTTGTAGATACAATGCTATTCCCATCAAGCTACCATTGACTTTCTCCACAGAACTAGAAAAAACTACTTTAAATTTCATATGACATCAAAAAGAGCCTATATAGCCAAGACAATCCTAAACAAAAAGAATGAAGCTGGAGGCATCACACCACCTCACTTCAAACTATGCTACAAGGCTACAGTAATGAAAACAGCACAGTACTGGTACCAAAACAGATATATAGACCAATGGAAGAGAAGAGAGGCCTTGGAAATAATGCCACACATCTACAAGCATCTGATCTTTGACAAACCTGACAAAAACAAGCAATGAGGAAAGGATTCCCTATTTAACAAATGGTGCTGGGAAAACTGGCTAGCTATATGCAGAAAACTGAAACGGGATCCCTTCCTTATACATTATACAAAAATTAACTCAAGATGGATTAAAGACTTAAACTTAAGACCTAAAACCATAAAAACCCTAGAAGAAAACCTAGGCAATACCATTCAGGACATAGGCATGGGCAAAGACTTCATGACTAAAATACCAAAAACAATTGCAACAAAAGCCAGTATTGACAAATGGGATCTAATTAAACTAAAGAGCTTCTGCACAGCAAAAGAAACTATTATCAGAATAAACAGGCAACCTACAGAATGGGAGAAAATATTTTCAATCTACCCATCTGACAAAGGTCTAATATCCAGAATCTACAAGAAACTTAAACAAATTTACACGAAAAAAACAACCCCATCAAAAAGTGGGCAAAGGATATGAACAGACACTTCTGAAAAGAAGACATTTATGTGGCCAACAAACATATGAAAATTATTTTTAAATCATATTTTTTTACAAAAGCATCAGTTTGGTGAGAAATTAAATCACATTTTAAGACATTGGAAAGATGTATAAAAAATTACTAGAGAACCTAAACGTTTATAATAGAGGATATCCCAGTGACCGAAAGTCTATCAAAAGGTTTTGTGCAACAGTAATCTTCAGGGAAATGTGAATTAAGACCACAACTATATATCAGTATGTACCCACCAGGATGATTATAATTTAATATCATTGACACCACCAAGTGTTAGTAAAAATGTAGATTAACTTGGACTCTTATGCAATGCTAATGGCAATGTAAATTTGTAAATCTGGCCTTTGAAAATCTCATTAGCTGTATCTATTTTTTTTTTTTTTTTTGAGATGGAGTCTCACTTTGACTCCCAGGCTGGAGTGCAGTGGCGCAATCTCGGCTCACTACAACCTCCACCTCCATGGTTCAAGCAATTACCCTGCCTCAGCCTCCTGAGTAGCTGGGATTAGAGGTGCATGCCACCATGTCCAGCTAATTGTTTTGTATTTTTAGTAGAGATGGGGTTTCACCATGTTGGCCAGACTGGTCTCAAACTCCTGACCTCAGGCAATCCACCCGCCTTGGCCTCCCAAAGTGCGGGGATTACAGGCGTGAGCCACCATGCCCGGCCAGCAGTATCTATTAAAGCCAAACATGCTTACCTCAAAATAGCAATTTCCTCTTCCAGAAGCCCGAATCTTCCTGGTATTTTGGAAAGGGACACAGGGGAACTTTCTAGCATGTTGACAGTGCTCTATATTTTGGTTCAGGTTACAGGGTGTATATGTTTGGGTGACGGTAAGAACAGAAGCAAGACAGCTAGTTTGGAGGCTTTTGCAATAGAGATTATTGCAGCTCGGAGTAAGGTAAAATGCACACTGGAGTGGCTAATAAGTGGTTGGATTGGGGATATATTTTTGTGGCAGAGCTTTCCAGTTAGATTGGAAATGGGTGGTTAGGGAAAGGGAATAAGTAAAGATTTTTAAGCCATTTATAATTTGTTTTGTGTAAGTGTGAAATAAGAGTTTAAGTATTTGCTCAACTACATGTTCCAAATACGTTTATTGAATAATCTATTCTTTCTTCACTTAATACATATAAGAATATATATATTCATATGCATATATAAAATGCATCTATTTCTGGACTCCTATTTGGTTTCTCTGATTTAATTATCTACTGCTGTTCAATATCACCTTTTAATTACTGTAGCTTCATAGCACATTTTAAGCATTGGCAGACAACATTTTCAATTATTCTCGTTTTTCAAGGCATGGCGATTCTTATGCATTAATTCCCCTGATGAACTATATTGACTAACATTAATTTAGCATTAATTGTATGCTAGGCAAGTAATTTATATGTATTAACCCAATTTAATCTTCCCAACAAAATAATATCAATATTATTATTAATATTTCCATTATACTTATGAGGAAACAGAGGCACAGAAAGTTTAATAACTTGTCTAAAGATACAGAAATATGCCATTCTGAAATAGATTTGAACCTGAGTGATCTGGCTCCAGAGTCCATTCCAGTACTCCATATTGACTTAGATGAGTTTGATCAATTTGTGAAGTTACCCGCAACAGCCCTGTTGTTTATTTAAATGGAATGTTATTTTATGGGGATCTTCTTTCACGTTTTAAGTAAAATTTTACGATTTTTCATTATAATGGTCTTCAGGGACAGACCTCATGTGGGCAGGCCGACTTGAAGACTGTTTGAGCTGAGAGATGGAACACCTGGACAAGCAATTTCTTTGTGACCACTCAGAAATAGGAATGGTTACCTTCTTCCTCCTCCTCCGCTTCTCTTCCTTCTCTTTCTCTTTCTTATCTTTATTCTCTCTATTTTCTCCCTTTAACCTTTAATATCCAAACTTAGTTTTATTATTTGTTGTTTTGCAGTTGCTTTTCTTTTTTATTTTTTACTTTGTAATTTTAGGCTTACAGAATAGTTACAAAATAATACAAAAAGCTCCCATATACCTTTCACCCAACTTCCGCTCACATTAGTATAATTATGGAAACTTAGAAATTAATATTGATACAATACTATTAACTAAACTAAAAACTGTATCCAGATTTCACAAGTTTGTCCACTAATGTTTGTTTTGGTTTAGGATTCCACATTGCATTTAAATGTCAGGTCACCTTTGTCTCCTCCAATCATTTCCTCAGTCTCTCCTTGTCTGACCTTGATAATTTTGAAGAGGTTTGATTACTTATTATGCAGAATAACTTTAGGTTTGGGCTTACCTAAAGTCTTGCATGATTATATGAAAGCTATGCATTTGTTTTTGGAGGTTTGTCAAGACGACAAGAGACATGACATGACCTCATTTTGTCATATCAAGAATTACATAGTGTTGACATGTCTTATCTCTTGGTTAATATGTTTTTATCACTTGGTGCCTACTTCTCTCTTTGTGATTAATAGTTTGGTGGCAGATACTTGAGACTATGCAAATATCTTGTTTCTTTTCAAATTTTGCCTATAAATTTTAGCATCCTTTTGTGGACCTTTCTTGCAACAGTTATTTTGGTGTTCTAATGGTGTTTGGAGCTGAATTATTATTATTATTATTATTATTATTATTATTATTATTTTACTTTAGGTTCTGGGATACATGTGCAGAACTGAAGGTTTATTATATAGGTATACATGTGCCATGGTGGTTTGCTGCACCCATCAACCCATCATCTAGGCTTTAAGCCCTACATGCATTAGGTATTTGTCCTAATGCTCTCTCTCCCCTTGCCCCCCATCCCCCAAGAGACCCCAGTGTGTGATGTTCCCCTCTCTGTGTCCATGTGTTCTCATTGTTCAACTCACAATTGTGAGTGAGAACATGCAGTGTTTGATTTTCTGTTGCTGTGTTAATTTGCTGAGGATGATGGTTTCCAGCTTCATCCATGTCCCTGCAAAGGACATGAACTCATTTTTTTTATGGCTGCATAGTATTCCATGGTGTATATGTGCCACATTTTCTTTATCCCGTCTATCATTTATGGTCATTTGGGTTGGTTCCAGGTCTTTGCTACTGTAAATAGTGCTGCAATTAAACATACGTGTCTTTACAGTAGAATGATTTATAATCCTTTGGGTATATACCCAGTAATGGGATTGTTGGGTCAAATGGTATTTCTGGTTCTAGATCCTTGAGGAATGGCCACACTGTCTTCCACAATGGGTGAACTAATTTACACTCCCACCAACATTGTAAAAGCATTCCTACTTCTCCACATCCTCTCCAGCATCTGTTGTTTCCTGACTTTTTAATGATCATCATTCTAACTGGTGTGAGTTGGTTTTGATCATTGTGGTTTTGATTTGTATTTCTCTAATGACCAGTAATGATGAGCTTTTTTTCATGTTTATTGGCCACATAAATGTCTTCTTTTGAGAAGTGTCTTTTCATATCCTTTGCCCACTTTTTGATGGGGTTGTTCTTTTCTTGTAAATTTGTTTAAGTTTCTTGTAGATTCAGGATATTAGACCTTTGTTAGATGGGTAGCTTGCAAAAATTTTCTCCCATTCTGTAGGTTGCCTGTTTATTCTGATGATAGTTTCTTTTGCTGTGCAGAAGCTCTTTAGTTTAATTAGATCCCATTTGTCAATTTTGTCTTTTGTTGCAATTGTTTTTGGTATTTTAGTCATGAAGTCTTTGCCCATGCCTATGTTCTGAATGGTATTGCCTAGGTTTTCTTCTAGGGTTTTTATGGTTTAAGGTTTTAAGTTTAAGTCTTTAATCCATCTTGATTAATTTTTGTATAAGGTGTAAGGAAGGGGTCCGGTTTCCGTTTTCTGCATATGGCTAGCCAGTTTTCCCAACACCATTTATTAAATAGGGAATCCTTTCCCCATTGCTTGTTTTTGTCAGGTTTGTTGAAGATCAGATGGTTGTCGATGTGTGTTATTTCTGAGGCCTCTGCTCTGTTCCATTGGTCTATATATCTGTTTTGGTCCAGTACCATGCTGTTTTGGCTACTGTAGCCTTGTAGTATACTTTGAAGTAAGGTGGTGTGATGCCTTCAGCTTTGTTCTTTTTGCTTAGGATTGTCTTGGCTATACGGGCTCTTTTTTGGTCCGATATGAAATTTAAAGTAGTTTTTTCCATTTTGTGAAGAAACTCAGTGGTAGCTTGATGGGAATAGCATTGAATCTATAAATTACTTTGGGCATTATAGCTATTTTCACAGTATTGATTCTACCTATCTGTGAGCATGGAATTTTCTTCCATTTGTTTGTGTCCTCTCTTATTTCCTTGAGCAGTGGTTTGTAGTTCTCCTTGAAGAGGTCCTTCATGTCTCTTGTAAGATGTATTCCTTGGTATTTTATTCTTTTTGTAGCAATTGTGCATGGGAGTTCACTCATGGTTTGGCTCTCTGTTCGTCTATTATTGGTGTGTAGGAATGCTTGTGATTTTTGCACCTTGATTTTGTATCCTGAGACTTTTCTGAAGTTGCTTATCAGCCTAAGGAGTTTTTGGGCTGAGATGATGGGTTTTCTAAATATACAATCATGTCATCTGCAAAGAGAGAAAATTTGACTTCCTCTCTTTCTATTTGAATTCCTTTATTTTTTTCTCTTACCTGACTGCCCTGGCCAGAACTTCCAATACTATGTTGAATAGGAGTGGTGAGAGAGGGCATCCTTGTCTTGTGCCAGTTTTCAAAGGGAATGCTTCCAACTTTTGCCCATTCAGTATGATATTGGCTATGGGTTTGTCATAAATAACTCTTATTATTTTGAGATGTGTTTTATCTATACCTATTTTATTGAGAGTTTTTAGGATGAAGGGGTGTTGAATTTTATCAAAGGCCTTTTCTGCATTTATTGAGATAATCATATGGTTTTTGTCATTGGTTCTGTTTATGTGATGGATTATGTTTATTGATTTGCATATGTTGAACCAGCCTTGCATACCAGGGATGAAGTCGATTTGATCGTGGTTGTTAAGCTTTTTGGTGTGCTGCTGGATTCAGTTAGCCAGTATTTTATTGAGGATCTTCACATCAATATTCATCAGGGATATTGGCCAGAAATTTTTTTGTTGTTGTGTCTCTGCCAGGTTTTGGTATCAGAATAATGTTGGTCTCATAAAATGATTTAGGGATGAGTCCCTCTTTTTGTATTGTTTGGAATAGTTTCAGGAGGAATAGTACCACCTCCTCTTTGTACCTCTGGTAGAATTCGGCTGTGAATCTGTCTGGTCCGGGGCTTTTTTGTGGTTGGTAGGCTATTAGTGCCTCAATTACAGAATTTGTTATTGGTCTATTCATGGATTTGACTTCTTCCTGATTTAGTTTTGGGAGGGTGTATGTGACCAGAATTGATCCATTTCTTCTAGATTTTCTAGTTTATTTGCATAGAGGTGTTTAGATTATTCTCTGATGGTAGTTTGTATTTCTGTGGGATCAGTGATGATATCCCCTTTAACGTTTTTTATTGTGTCTATTTGATCCTTCTCTCTTTTCTTCCTTATTAGTCTGGCTAGTGGTCTATTTTGTTAATCTTTTCAAAAAATCAGCTCCTGGATTCATTGCTTATTTGAAGGGTTTTTCATTTCTCTATCTCCCTCAGTTCTGCTCTGATTTTAGTTATTTTTTGTCTTCTGAAAGCTTTTGAATTCATTTGCTCCTGCTTCTCTAGGTTTTTTACTTTGATTTTAGGGTGTCAATTCTAGATCTTTCCCACTTTCTGATGTTGGCATTTAGTGCTATAAATTTTCCTCTTATCACTGCTTTAGCTGTGTCCCAGATATTCTGGTAAATTTTCTCTTTGTTCTCGTTGTTTTCAAAGAAATTATTAATTTCTGCCTTAATTTTGTTATTTACCCAGTAGTCATTCAGGAGCAGGTTGTTCAGTTTCCATATAGTTGTGCAGTTTTGAGTGAGTTTCTTAATCCTGAGTTCTAATTTGATTGCACTGTGGTCTGAGAGACTGTTATGATTTCTATTCTTTTGCATTTGCTGAGGAGTGTTTTACTTCCAATTATGTGGTTGATTTTAGAATAAGTGCTATGTGGTGCTGAGAAGAATGTATATTCTGTTAATTTGGGGGTGGAGAGTTCTGTAGATGTCTATTAGGTCCACTTGGTCCAGAGCTGATTTCAAGTCCTTATTAATTTTCTGTCTCAATTATCTGTCTAATATTGACAGTGGGGTGTTAAAGTCTCCCACTATTATTGTGTGGGAGTCTAAGTCTCTTTGCAGGTCTCTAACAACTTGTTTTATGAATCTGGGTGCTCCAGTATTGGGTGCATTTATATATATTTAGGATAGTTAGCTCTTCTTGTTGCATTGATCCATTTATCATTATGTAATGCCCTTCTTTGTCTTTTTTGATCTTTGTTTAAAATCTGTTTTATCAGAGACTGATTGCAACCCCTGCTTTTTTTTTTTTTTGCTTTCCATCTCCTTGGTAAATATTCCTCCATCCTTTTATTTTGAGCCTATGTGTGTCTTTGCATGTGAGATGGGTCTCCTGAATACAGCACAGTGATGGGTTTGACTTTTATCCAATTTGCCAGTCTGTGTCTTTTAACTGGGGCATTTAGCCCGTTTACATTTAAGGTTAATATTGTTGTATCTGAATTTGATCCCATCATCCTGATGCTGGCTGGTATTTTGCACATTATTTGATGTGGTTTCTTCACAGTGTCTTTGGTCTTTATATTTTGGTATGTTTTTGCATTGGCTGGTACCAGTTTTTCCTTTCCATATTTAGTGCTTCCTTCAGGAGCTCTGGTAAGGTCATCCTGGTGGTGATAAAATCCCTCAGCATTTGCTTCTCTGTAAGGGATTTTATTTCTCCTTTGCTTATGAAGCTTAGTTTGGTTGGATATGAAATTCTGTGTTGAAAATTCTTTTCTTTAAGAATGTTGAATATTGGCCCCCATACTCTTCTTACTTGTAGGGTTTCTGCAGAGAGATCCACTGTTAGTCTGATGAGCTTCCCTTTGTAGGTAACCTGACCTTTCTCTCTGGCTGCCCTTAACATTTTTCCTTCATTTCAACCTTGGAGAATCTGACAATGTGTCTTGGGGTTGCTCTTCTCCAGGAGTATCTTAGTGGTGTTCTCCGTATTTCCTGAATTTGCATGTTGGCCTGCTTGCTAGGTTGGGGAAGTTCTCTTGGATAATATCCCGAAGTGCGTCTTCCAGTTTGGTTCCATTTTCCCTGTCACTTTCAGGTACACCAATCAAATGTGGGTGTGGTCTTTTCACATAGTCCCTCATTTCTTGGATGCTTTGTTCAGTCCTTTTGATTCTTTTTTCTATAATCTTGTCTTCACACCTTATTTCATTAAGTTGATCTTCAATCTCTGATGTCCTTTCTTCTGCTTGATTGACTTAGCTATTGATACTTTTATATGCTTCATGAAGTTCTGTGCTGTGTTTTTCAGCTCCATCAGTTCATTCATGTTCTTCTCTAAAGTGATTATTCTAGTTAGCAGTTCCTATAGCCTTTTATCAAGGTTCTTAACTTCCTTGCATTGGGTTAGAACATGTTCCTTTAGCTCAGAGGAGTTTGTTATTACCTACTTTCTGAAGCCTACTTTTCTCAATTTGTCCATCTCATTCTCCCAGTTCTGCACTCTTGCTGGAGAGACATTACAATCACTTGGAGGAGAAGAGGCATTCTCATTTTTGGAATTTTCAGCATTTTTGCACTGGTTTTTCCTCATCTTCATGGATTTATCTATCTTTGATCTTTGATGCTGATGACCTTTGGATGGGGTTTTTGTGTGGGGTTCCTTTTTCTTGATGTTGCCATTATTGCACTCTGTTTGTTAGTTTTTCTTGTAACAGTCAGGCCCCTCTTCTGCAGATCTGCTGGAGTTTGCTGGAGGTCCACTCCAGGCCCTGTTTGCCTGGGTAGCACCAGCAGAGGCTGCAGAACAGAAAAGACTGCTGCCTGCTCCTTCCCCTAGAAGCTTTGTCCCAGAGGAGCACCTGCCTGATGCTAGCCAGAGCTCTCCTGTAGGAGGTGTCTGTCAACCCCTGCTGAAAGGTGTCTCTCATTCAGGAGGCACGGGGGTCAAGGACCCACTTGAGTAGGCAGTCTGTCCCTTAGCAGAGCTCGAGCGCTGTGCTGGGAAATCTGCTGCTCTCTTCAGAGCCAGCAGTCAGGAATGTTTAAGTCTGCTGAGGCTGCGCCCACAGCTGCCCCTTCCCCCAGGTGCTCTGTCCAAAGGAGATGGGAGTTTTATCTATAAGCCCCTGACTGGGACTGCTGCCTTTCTTTCAGAGATGCCCTGCCGGGTGAGGAGGAATCTAGAGAGGCAGTCTGGCCATAGCGGCTTTGTCTTGCTGTGGAGAGTTCCGCCCAGTCTGAACTTCCCAGCCTCCTTAACACTGTCAGGGGAAAACCACCTACTCAAGCCTCAGTAATGATGGATGCCCCTCCCCCCATCAAGCTTGATTGTCCCAGGTTGACTTCAGACTGCTGTGCTGGCAGCGAGAATTTCAAGCCAGTGGTTCTTAGCTTGCTGGGCTCTGTGGGAGAGGGACTTGCTGAGTGAGATCACTTGGCTCCCTGGCTTCGGCACCTTTTCCAGGGGAGTGAGCGGTCCTGTCTCGCTGGGGTTCCAGATGCCATTGGGGTATGAAAAAAAAAAAAACTGCATCTAGCTTGGTGTCTGCCCAAGCAGCCTCTCAGTTTTGTGCTTGAAACCCAAGGCCCTGGTGGGGTGGGCACACGAGGGGATCTCCTGGTCTGCGGGTTGTAAAAACTATGGGAAAAGTGTAGCGTCTGGGCCAGATAGCACAGTCCCTCACGGCTTCCCTTGGCTGGGGGAGGTAGGTTCCCAGCCCCTTGCACTCCTCGGGTGAGGTGATGCCCCAACCTGCTTCTGCTCACCCTCCGTGGGCTGTACCCACTGCCTGACCAGTCCTAATGAGATGAACCGGGTACCTCAGTTGGAAATGCAGAAATCACCCTCCTGTGTTGGTCTCGCTGGGAGCTGCGACCGGAGCTGTTCCTATTCAGCCATCTTGCCAGATCTTTCCTGAAGCTGAATTATTTTGCACCAATTTCTTTGCCTGGTAAGCAAGAAAGCACAAAATCAGAGTCTCCAAAATAGTCTTGATTGGGGTGAGAGTACTATTATTTTCTAATTAAATGAATCTTTGATGTCATTTATAGCTGTAAGTTCTTTTGTTTATTTGCATTTAGCTTGAAACTTTCTTTTTTCATTTCTGAGAGTTGACTCTAAGGTGAGAATGAAAATATGAACTTGCACAGGTTGGAGCCAATATAAGAATGCTTATAAAATAGTCAAATAAAGAAAAGTAGAAAATAAACTCCCAGATTTAGAGGCAATAGTGATTCCTCTGAAAATTATTTTAAAAATTCAAACGTTCAATAAAGTTTAAAGAATTTTACAACGAACACCCATATTCACCACCTCCTTTTGTTCTATGACATCCCTCTCTACATCCATCAATTCAACTTGTTTTCTGATGCATTTTAAAATAAATTGTAGACATCTACAACACCTAAATACTGCAGCATTTATATGATTAGAGATCAATATTTATTATTTTTCATTTGATGTACATTTAAATACACAAATATTCAGCATACATTTGTTGGATTTTGACCAATGCGTATACCCAAATAACCCATATGCCCATCAAGACATATACATTGTCATCACTCCATAAATAAAGCATCATTCTTCAGGCTTCTTCCCATTCAATCTCCACTCCCATTCCACAGGCAACCACCATTCTGATTTCTTTTGTGTCAAAGATAAAATTGCCTGTTAGAACAGGCAATGTAATCACAGGGTATGTACTTTCAGCATGAATCTTTCTCATTCGAGGTTTTAAAGATTTACCTATGTTTTTTCTTCCCTTCTGTTTCTAAATAGTAGTCCTTTGTATGAATATATCATAATTTATTTACTCATATACTTGGGATATTGGCCATTATGTATATAGCCACTATCGACCTCCTTGTACAAGTATTTTTGTGTTCATATGTTTTTATTTATTTGGGGTAAATCCAAGGATTGAAATTGCTGGATCATAGTTTAGGTATATGTTTGGTTTTATATGAAACTTCCAGATATTTTTCCAAAATAATAGCACAATTTAACAAATCTTACCAACAAGGTATGTATGAGAGTTCCAGTTATTCTTTTTGTTTGTCTGTTTGAGAGAGAGTTTCGTTCTTGTTGCCCAGCCTGGAGTGCAAGGGTGCAATCTTGGCTCGTCCCAACCTCTGCCCCTCTGGGTTCAAGGGATGCTCCTGTCTCAGCCTCCTGAGTAGCTGGGATTACAGGCATGCACCACCATGCCCAGCTAATTTTGTATTTTCAGTAGAGATGGGGATTCTCCATGTTGGTCAGGCTAGTCTCGAACTCCCAACCTCAGGTGATCCACCTGCCTCAGCCTCCCAAAGTGCTGGGATTATAGGCGTGAGCCATCATGCGTGGCTGCATGAGAAAGATTTTTTAAAACCCCATATAACCCCTTAATATGATAGATACCACTTAATAAATAATACTTTATTGAATCCAACTTCTTTAGCTCATGGCATGAATGGTTAACCGCAAACAAACCAATTCCTAAATTCTTTGTGTTCCTGGGAAAAGGATAATTCAGTTGAAACTTTGAAGATACTTAGTAGTCTTAAGGGCATGAGGAGCTCAGTGAATAATTGACAGAGGAAGGGAAGAACCTCCCAATATGTAGAAAACTTTCAGAGTAAAGTCATGAGCTGAACCAGTCAGCTTCATCCAAATCCCAGAAAACTGAGTTTCAGATAAGTTTTAGTAATATTATTATAAATACAAAATCAAGCAGGTACTGCAATGTTGATGAAAAACTGCTTGGTATAACAGATTATAAACTAGTTAATGGCATAACTCATTTTGTTACCCAAGAACTTTATAATTATCATGAAAGTGAGAAGCACAGACCACATTCTAAATAATATTGTTAATCAAGCACCCATAGAGTTTGAAATGAAATAATAAAAACCTTTCTAGACCTAAGATTCTACCTGGGCTCTGGATTTGGGGAAACGGCTTCTTCACTGAGCTGCTGCAGATTTCATTTCCTGTCTCTGCCCCGGCACCTCGTCCAGTGGCTCAGGGCCCACTCTCTTACCCTTGTAACTTCTATTTAATCAGACTCCTACTTTCCCGTGTATCATTTCTTTGTCAGTCTTTTAATTCTTTCCTGTTCTCTGTGGGATGGCACTGGGGCATATTACTCCAAGCTAAACTCAAGGAAGGATCTCTTTTGCTGCAAAATTGGTTTTCTACAAAAAAAAAAAAAAAATTCTATCAGAAGCCGGTTATTTCCATATTCTAGCTGAAAATCCTTCTGTAACAGCTTGGAGGCCAGGCACGGTGGCTCACGCCTGTAATCCCAGCACTTGGGGAGGCCGAGGTGGGCAGATCACCTGAGGTCAAGAGTTTGAGACCAGCCTGACCAACATGGAGAAACCCTGTCTCTACTAAAAATACAAAATTAGTAAGGTATGGTGGCACGTGCCTGTAACCCCAGCTACCCAGGAGGATGAGGCAGGAGAATCGCTTGAACCCAGGAGGCAGAGGTTGTGGGGAGCCAAGATCGTGCCACTGCACTCCAGCCTGGGTAACAAGAGCAAAACTCCATCTCATAAAAAAAAGAGCTTGGAGTGTAAAGGAAAAGGCGAATAGGTGGAGAGTCATAATAAGATGGCACAATCTATTCCTCCTGTCTACCTGACACTCATACCCTTTGGCCAACATCTTTCCATTCCCCTTCACCCCCATTCTCAGCCCCTGGTAACCATCATTCTGCTCTCTGCTTTTATGAGTTTGGCTTTTTTTGATTCCACATGAGTGAGATCATGTGGTATTTGTCTTTTTGTGCCTGATTTATTTCGCTTAGCATATTGTCCTCCAGGTTTACCCACATTGTCGCAAATGACAGAATTCCTTCTTTGTAAAAGCTGAATAGTATCCTATTTTTTTCTTTTCTTTCTTTCTTTGTTTTTAGTGGTGTATTTCATTGTGTGTATATCCTAGTTTCTTTATCCATTCATCCATTGCATACCCAGTTAATTGCATATCTTAGCTATTGTGAATAATGCTGCAATGAACATGGGCATGCAGACATCTTTTTGACAGACAGTGTTCCATAAATATATACAATTATTGTTTGCCAGTTAGAAACTTAAAAAGTAATTTCTAAAAACGTACAATTCAGTTAGTATAAAGAGTACTTTCTCTGGAGTTAAGATGCTTAGATTCAAACCAAAGCTCTGCCAGTAACTGGTCTGTGACCATGGACCAGATTTTTGGTTTTTTACTTCTTTGAGCCTCAATTTACATAGATATGCAATGAAAATAATAGTAGTAGTTACCTACCTCATATTATTATTTAAAGTTTTATAGGATGAAATTATTGCTACAAATACATTAAACATTTGTGGGTGTCTTCTACATGTCATGCTCTGTACCAAGCTCTGAAAATATACAAATGCATAAAAACAAGACACATTCTGGAGTTGTTTATTGTCTAGTAGGTACTGAAATGGCCTACCCCCGATTATGGCATGCAGTGGATATTTGATTAGAGCTATATAGTTCTGAATGAGATAATTTTTGTCAGGAATTTATAAAAAAAGAAAGATAATTTGAGATCTTTTGAAAAATCAGGATCCATACATAGAGTTTTTAGGGCAATTCCAATTTTTTTTTTCACTCTAAGTAAAGTTATTCTGATCTTAATAATTGAAAGAAAAGGTCTTTATTTGTGTTTTGAAATTCTCCAGAAAGCAAGCGCAAATACTAGGCTTGCCATAATGTGTTGATGAGCTATTCTTTGCCTAAGAAAGCCATGCAAGCCATTTGCTCTCAGAGGATGAACTTGGCTTGTCTGGAAAATGAGTGGTCATCAGCTATCTCATTGTCCACTGCACCTCAGGACTGAAAGGTAAGAGAATCTATGTTGTAGAATTCCAACACCATTGAATGTTAGAGCAGGCAGGCACCTTTATGAACACCTGGTCCACTGTCTCGTTTCAAGTGTGGAAACAGGCCCACAGAGGGAACTAATTTTCCTGTACCATGATGGTTATTATATCTTTACTGGGGGAACAGAATTCAATGACGGGAATGAAAATTAAAGGCACACCTTTTAGTGTATTAGAACCACATCCCAATTAACTGAGTTTCAGCACACAGCTAAAAAAGGAGGCTTCTCTAAGCCAAAGAACAGAATGAAACTGGAAAAGAAGTGCTAAATAATGTATCTTAAAGATATACTTTTTGAAATCTCTGGGTATGTGTTTATTTATAAATGGCCACAGGACAGACATTACTTCCTTACCTGATTGCTTATCCAAAATTAATCATTTTTTTTCAAAAACCACTTTGAAGCAGCTTAAATGTTTCCTTGCCTGACATTTGCCTGAGTCATCTCCAAACCCTATCCCACTGTCACAAACACTTTCCTCTCTTCTAGTTCGTTCCCTTAAGTATCTCAGTCTAGTAGGGGATGTTTCATGAAGTAGCCAGAGAAAAGATACATTTCATATGATTCCAAGGAGTTTAGCTTGAATTATCTACCATTCATACTCCTGCCAAAAATGATTGGTAAGAAAATTGATGTGCATAGATAAATAATGTAAGTAAGGAGCATGCTAGGCATCAATTTCTCTGTTTTCTAAGCTCTATTCCTGTATCATCTTGAATACCAGGAAGCTATGCATCTGGACTGAGGTATTCTATACTGAGTACCTGGTTGTTTCATCATCTATTTAAGTCTTATACTTTAGGGTATAAAAACCTATACATATCCCCTGCTAGCATAACCATTGTTATTTTCTTAAAGGCTTAAAAAAAAATCTGTATACATACAGTCACTTTCCTTCCAGAACATCCTTTCAGTGTCCTAGCTTCAAAGTTTCTAAAGGTGCCAATGATCTTCATCTCTCCTCCATTTTTAACTCCCCTCTTATGGTATAGCAATCAGACATCATCTTGGCTGCAAGTACAAAATGAAAACAAAACCCAAAAACCCTGACTTTCTATGGCTTATTATGAGGTTTAATTTTATCTTGTAATAAGCAATATGGAAGTAGATGATCTGAGTTGGTGCAGCTGTTTATCTATGACATCAAAGATCGAATGTTCTTCAGCCTATATTCCACCATTCCCAGCATGCAGGATTTTCAACTTAACATAGCCAAAACATCACCTGCTCCTCCAGGTATCACTCCTGGATTTCAGGTAGAAAGAGGGCATGCAATACTAGCTGCATCTATCCCATTAAGTCAGAAAAGTAAAAGCTTTTCTAGAAACCTGAACAGACATATGCCTCTCTGTAGCAAATACGTCACATGTCCCCTCCTAGAGGCAAGGGATGCTGGGAATATTGCTTCCCCAAACAATATAGGAGTTTAGATATCCTATGATGAACCAACCAAAACTTTACATTATATCCCTTCCAGGCACCTGACCCCTGCTGTGGGGATGAGAATGACTTTATTTTAAATGCTAATCTGCCATGTAACTTCAGACTAACCCTGAGTCTGGGAGTGCCTCTGAAATGTCTAGTTGATGTATTATTCTTTATGTAGAAACACTTATTCACTCTAAGTTTCCTCCACAAGAACTCTTGATGCCATTGCAGAAATCATAGGTGGTGACACACATAGCCACCTACATATTCTTTCCAGAGCACGTATGCTTTCCCCAAGATATAAGCCATGAGCCTGAGGGTTGCAGTGTGGATCTCTAACTGTCTTGTGGCCACCAAGACCACACTTCTGTCTGTAAGTTCTAATAAATAACCCAAAAATGACAAACTAGATTTGTTTGCCTTCTTCTTTGATTTCTCAGCTCCTTCTGCATTTGAGGGCCACTTTGTATATACCGCCCTTTCACAGAACACCTGTCATTCCTACCTTCCCCCTCAGCGGACGATTATGCCAATAAACATCACTGAGCACCTACAATTTGCTAAGTTCTAAGGACAGAATGATCTATAATAAGACAAATGTGTGAATATGGAAGCATAGATAACCGTTCTCTTCCTCACTTCTTTGATAGCTTAGAGAAAAGGGTGCAGGAAATAGATGACAAAAGCTCAAAATTATGGGATACATTCCCCAAGAATGGCAGAAAAACAAGAGTAACTACAGTTCCTAAAGAATAACATTCTATGCCTCCACATTAGCATTAAGTGCAATATTTGCCCTAAAAAATTTGAAAAGATTTTGATAATTTTCTATAATTCCAAGTTGCCTAAGGCATAAATTACTGGCCACGTGCAGTGGCTTACTGCTGTAATCCCAGCACTTGGGAGGCTAAGGCAGGAGGATGGCTTGAGCCCAGGAATTCAAAATCAGCCTGGGCAACATAGTGAGACTCTCTTTCTACAAAAAAAAAATAAAAATAATAAATTATTAATTGTATTCTTGCAATTTAAACTTCATTTTTTAAATATCAAACTACCTGAACTGAGTTGCTGTTGAGTGGCTGGTATGCCATTATATGTTTTGTATATAACAACTTCTATCATTTACTTTTGCAGTTTGTCTTTCTTATTTCAGAGACCATCATTTTATCTTCAGGCCTAAAATATTTCCTGTGGTATTGAAAACAGCATAGGCTCTAAGCATTGTGTCTATAGCGTTCAATAATTAAAGGTACCCTGAACAAGGACATGTAGGAGTGCTAGTTACAAAATGTGTAAAATGTTCTCAATGAAGGGACCAGAAGGATTTTGTACTCCAGGGGCTGCAAAATTGAGTCAATTCAAGGGACAGGAAGATAATGTAAATGATTCATATCATGAGAAAAGGATCAACTATGGCAAACTAGAGAGCAATACCTATATAACCAACCAACCAACCACCTAAAAATATGTTTCTAATCAATCACAACATGGCAGATTGGGCCTGTAGATTATTGACCTCTGATTCCAAGGCTTAAGAATGTGATGTGAGTTGCCTGGGGTTTCACAAAATGTAGCTGCCACAGCCAGAACTCTAGCCCATGTCTCCTAAGGATTCATTCAGTATGTGCTTCCTCTTACTGCCATACTTCTCTTTTGTAGGTTGTCCACTTTCCCTAGAAAAGGGGAAGAACTTTGAGGACCTGTTATGTGCTCCAGACCTGCTTTTAATCTTCATCATATATTTGAGATTGTTGTTAATAGCCTCATTCTTCAGATGAGACAACTGAGATGCAGCAATGTTAAGTAACTTATCTGAGATTGACCTATTGATCTGTGGGCAGCGTAATTAGGTGTATATTTTGCATCCAGATCTTTGTGGACTTGAAGTTTATGTTTTTTAACTGTATTACATAGTCTTCATGAAATGCACCTCACCTCCAGGAAATATAAAGTAGTTTAAGTGCCTCAAAGTAGCAACTAGTAAGTAATCATTTTAGAAATGAGATCAAATGTGTATTAAGAATGGCTATCAGTTTCATAAATCCTGGTGATAATAATGAAAAAGAGACAGGGTTCTTTTTATAATCCTTTTTAAAAATAATTTCTGCTTTTACTTTACATCCAGGAGATACACATGCAGGTTTGTTATATGGGCATACCATGTGATGCTGAGGTATGGGGTATGACTGACCCCATTACCCAGGTAGTGAGCATAGTATCCAATAGTTATTCAACCCCTTTTCTCCTCCTTCCCTCCTCCTTTAGTAATCTCCAGTGTCTACTGTTGCCATCTTTATGTCTATGTTAACTAAATGTTTAGCTCCCACTTTTAAGTGAGAACATGCAGTATTTGGTTTTCTGTTCCTGCATGAATTCACTTAGGATAATGGCCTGCGGCTGCATCCATGTTGCTGCAAAGGGCATAATTTCATTTTTATGGTTGCATAATATTCCAGTGTATATATACTACATTTTCTTTATCCAATCTTGTGTTAATAGGCACCTAGGTTGATTCCATATCTTTCCTATTGTGAATAGTGCTGTAGTGAACATTTGAGTGCATGTGTCTTTTTTGATAGAACAATTTATTTTATTTTTGATATATACCAGTAATGGGATTTCTGGGCCAAATGGTAGTTCTAAGTTATCTGAGAAATCTCCAGATAGCTGTCCACAGTGGCTAAACTAATTTACAGTGCCGCCAGCAATGTATAAGCATTCCATTTTCTCTGTAGCCTTGCCAGCATCTGTTGCTTTTTGACTTTTTAATAATAGCCATTCTGACTGATATGAGATGGCATCTCATTGTGGTTTTGATTTGCACTTCTCTGATGGTTAGTGACACTGAGCATTTCTTCATGTTTCTTAGCCACTTGTATATCCTCTTTTGAGAAGTGTCTGTTCATGTATTTTGCCCACTTTTTAATGCTTTGCTTGTTGAATTGTTTAAGTTTTTATAGATTCTGAATATTAGATCTTTGTCAGATGCATATATTTTCTTCCATTTTGTAGATTGTCTAACCTGTTGGTAGTTTCCTTTGCTGTGCAGAAGTTCTTTAGTTTAATTAGGTCCCACTTGTCAATTTTTGTTTTTGTTGCAATTGCTTTTGAGGACTTAGTCATAAACTCTTTCCCAAGGCCTGTATCCAGAATGGTGTTTCCTAGGTTTTTTCCTAGGATTCTTAAAACTTCAAGTCTTACATTTAAATCTTTAATCCATCTTGAGTTAATTTTGTATGTGGTGAAAAGTAGGAGTTTCATTCTTCTGCATATGGTTAGCCAGCTATCCCAGCACCATTTATTGAATATGGAGTCTTTCCCCATTGCTTATTTTTGTCAACTTTGCCAAAGATCAGATGGCTGGCATTGTGTGGCAGATGGCTGGTGTTGTGTGAATTTATTTCTGGATTCTCTATTCTGTTCTATTGGTCTACATGTCTGCTTTTGTACTAGTACCATGCTGCTTTGGTTATCATAGCCTTAGAGTGTAGTTTCAAGTTGGGTTATGTGATGCCTTCAACTTTTTTCTTTTGGCTTAGAATTGCTTTGGATATTTGGGCTCTTTCTTGGTTCTATATGAATTTTAGAATAGTTTTTCCTAATTCTGTGAAATATAATGCTGGTAGTTAGATAGGAATAGCATTGAATCTGTAGATTGTTTTGGGCAGTATGGCTTTTTTAAAGATACCGATTCTTCCCATCCATGAGCATGGAATGTTTTCCCATCTGTTTGTGCCATCTCTGATTTCCTTCTACAGTGTTTTATAGTTCTCCATGTAGAGATCTTTCTCTTTCTTGGTTAGATGTATTCCTAGGTATTTTAATTTTTTATGGCTATTGTAAATGGGATTGTGTTCTTAATCTGGCTCTCAGCTTGCATATTGTTATTGTATATAAATGCTACTGATTTTTGTACATTTTTTTTTAATATAAAACTTTACTGAAGTTGTTTATCTGTTCCGGGAGCCTTTTGATAGAGTCTTTAGGTGTAGAATCATATAGTCAGTCAAGATAGTTTGACTTCTTTTCCTGTTTGGATGCCTTTTATTTCTTTGTCTTGTCTGATTGTTCTGGCTAGGACTTCTGAGAAAGGATTCTTGATATTGTTGTTGCTGCTGCTGCTGCTGCTTTTCTTTCACATGTTCAATTCTCATTTTTCTAGACCTGTAAGCTGCATTCCACACAGGCGATCTCTCCTTCCTGTCATGCTCTTGAAACACTACATTTGCTTTCTGGACAGCAATCTTTGTTTTTCTCCTACCTCTCTGGTTACCTCTTCTCAGTCTCCTTTTTTATGTCCATCTTATCACTCAAAACAGTGGAGTAGGCCATGGTCTAGTCCTTGTTCCTCTTTTTTTTTTGTCACATATATTCAACCCCTAGATATTATTATCCAGCCACTCAGCTTTATTAAAACGCAATCTATACAATCATAACTTTCACGTTTATATTCCTAGTCCTGACCTCTTTCCTGAAGTCTGGCTGGTAGAGCTCCCCAATCTCTTATCTGAAAACATACCATGCAGATGCACTTTAAAATGAATTTTTTTCAGATTTTATAAATTTATATCACAGAACACCCCCATCTAGGTCTGGGGCAGCATCCAATATTCAAATACATGGATGTTTCTGCAACAAGCACACCAAATTAGATGAACAATACTGAGAAATTGCCTCATGTCAATTCAAGTGACGTTTACTATCAAATGAGAAATAAAATCCACTTCTAAACTTTTCCTCTCCACCCCTATCCTGCTTTATTTTCTTACATAGCACTTACTAACTCTTGACATGTACTGTCTTGTTCATTTGCTTAAGGTCTGGCTTCCTCAAACCCAATGCAAGCTTCATCAGAGCAGGGACTTTTATATTGGTTCCTAGCTCTCTCCCCAATATCTACAACAGTGCCTGACACATATTTGGTGCTCAGTAATTATTTCATGAAGGAAAGAATGAATCCCCAAATACAGAGAGAGATGGCCAAGTGAAACACTTCCTTTTCACCCGATTCTGCTGGAGTGTGACTGAATGTTGGATTCCAACAGGTTCAATGTCACAGTTCACAAAAATTGCCCTTCTTGTCACCTTCACTGCTTTAAGTAACTTCGAGTAACTGTTGGCCAGAATTCCAAGGACCTTTAAATATTTACTAATTATATCCCTAAGTTCATTTTAAAAATAAGTAACTTGAAGCCCAGAGAGGCTACAGAACTAGTTCCTGGTTACCAGAGACCAATCTCTAGCAGAATTGAGACCAGAACTCTGGCTCAAGAGATCTTTCATCTCATTTATTTCAGACCTCCACAGATACAAAAAGTATTCATGGAATGTTGAATGGCTCTGAAATTTTAATAACCTGGCTTATTGAACTATTATAAGAAACCTGTAACCTTTTTGTCACTAAGCAATGAATTTTGTTTTCACAAGAAATACGGAACTTAATTCTTTTAGACCATAAAACATCCCTTACCTTTCTTCCTAGGATAGGGCATTTCAATCTGTAAAAGATTCAGAAGTAAATGTATATTAAAAAGAACTGGATAGTGCTGTTGTATTTCAACTTAATGCATTTGTCTTCAAATGCCATTCCCAAATTATGTTAATTATTATATATCTATATATGATGTAAAATTATATATTTTTATAAATATCCAAGTGCTGTACACATCAGACAATGTACACAGTATTACATATATAATATACAGTGCATATATATATATATATATATATAAAACCAGGATGCAGAATTTTCTTGCTCTCTCACTTACCAACTATATGAGCTTTTAAAAGTTACTTAATTACTTTGTGTCTCACTTTTATTATGGGAGAAATAGTAATATTAACAATAACTATGGTAGTATTTGTCCTACTTATCTCAATGGTTTGTTGCAAGTTTGAAATATAATAATATTCCTCACTTTGTACTATGAGGTGTAGTTTTCTAAATCTAACATCAACTACTAAATGCAAGTATTGTATACCAGTTAAGATCATAGACTATGGATCCAGATTGTCCAGTTGGAAATTCTGGCTCTGCAATTACCAGCTATGTGACCTGGAGCAAGCTGCTTAATGTTTCTGGGGTTTATTTTCCCCATCTATAAAATAGGGATTATAATAATAGCTACCTCTAAAGGCTGTTTGAAGTTTAAATGTATTGATATATGTAACATGCTTAGACCAATGCCTGATTCCTAGTAAATGCTAAGCATTAGTGTGACTGTAATGCAATTAAGAAACTGTTATTATATTTAGCAGATATACACAGCCAGATATAGAGCTATTGTATTAATAAAAATATTGCATTTATGTGGTTATACTCAGATGTAGAAAAAGAGTCATAGCTACGTAGCCAGTGAACTCAGTAGCTCTGTTATTTTTATTGCTTCTTAATGGAGACCACAGAAGTACATGGGAAATATGAGAGTGTGGTTCCAGCAATCTACTATAGTTAAGTTCATATTGCAAATCCCTTAAGTATATCACTAACTTTCCATATTGTTAGAATTTAGTCCTTGCAAATGCAGCCACTGCTTGGGCAGGATGTAGCAGCTGCCCAACAGGTGTTGAGAAATATGAGAATTGAGGGAGAAACCATAATTCCCTGCAGGGAGCAGACTCTCTTTTAATGCTTTATTGAGAAAAAAAAAAAGCAAAGTAACATAAAGGAAGCAGCATTGTGCCTAAAAATGAAAGTTATACTTTAGAAATGAAGGTAAAGCAAAAGATTCGCCCTCTCCTGGGAGGTGAACTTTTTCTAAGTCACCTCAGACTAACAGGAAATTGGCTTTGTTCTTAGCATCGCCTTGGCTAGAAAGTTTACCATCTCCCTTGACTTTAATGCAAACCATCATGACAGGAAGCTCTGCATTTGCTCTAAGTCCCTCCTGCTGTGAGTTACTGCAATGTTTGTGTTTGCTTATTTCAGGCACACAGTGGAGGTGGGAGAATCCTCCTCATGATCAAAAGCATTTTTTCCTTTCCTAGGAGAAAGATTATTTGACGTCTCATCCAATTCACTTGGACACTTTTCTTTGGCTATTGTGTTTTAAGATTGCACTGTAGATGTTTAGCCAGTCATTTAACTTCTCAGAGCATTGTTCATAAAGAATATTTGATGACTGATCACATCATTTACAGAATCTATAACATTTTAGATTATGTGTGCCCAGCATTGAGCCAGATACTACTGAAAGCATAAAAGAAATATATGGCTTTCAAGGAATATAAAACTTTCATGGAGATTTATACACAAAGAAACATTTAAGAGCAAAACAAGAGAGTATACAGTAGATGGCTTGGCTAATTGCCTGTTTTCCTTGCTAGAAATCTAACTATATGTCTTGTTCTATGTTACACCGTAGGGCCTATCCAGCACAGTAGCTATATCATAGCAGGCACTCAAAGACTTGTTGAATAAATGAACGGATGTAGAGATGATGATGTAATAAACATTACTAGCTATAAAAATTATTAAATTTTGAGGTAAAATAACTCCTCTGGAAATCAAGCCTAAACAAGTAATATAAAATAAAGAAAACAATTGCAGAGATAGTTCTAAATGCTCACCAAGACCATTTTCTCTTCTCTCCAGGTACATAGCAGGACTGCCTCTCCTAGCATCCCTTGCAGCTAGGTGAAGTCATGTGACTGCATTCTGGCCAATGGTGTGTGTGCATAAATCTTGCATATCCCTTCCAAGCAGACTCCTAAAGCCTCCTTTGAAATTCTTCATGCTTTGTTTTTTCCTTTATCTGTCTCCTGAATTTTGAGGACCATCCGAAACCTTTGAAATCCTAGAAGATGGCACAGCCACCAGATGAAAGAAGCCTGATCCCTAACTAATGTGTGGAGCTGAGTGGAGGGGAGCAAAAATGATGACCCTGGGCTGTGATGTGAGTGACAAATAGAAAAAGACTTGTATTTTTTTAATACATTGAAATGTTAGTCTATACTAACCCATATGATTGTATTAGCAAAAGATATAGATAGCAGCATTATTTATAATACAGGTTGAATATTCCTTATCCAAAATGCTTGGGAGCAGAAGTGTTTGCATATTGGTTCTTTTCAGATTTGGGAAAATTGGCATATACATAACGAGATAGCCTGGGAATGAGACCCAAGTCTAAATATGAAATTCATTTATGTTTCATATAAACCTTACACACAGAGTCTGAAGGTAATTTTTTATAATATTTTAAATAATTCAGTGCATAGAATAAATTTTGATTGTGTTTTGACTGCAACCCATCACATGAGGTCAGGTGTGGAATTTTACACTTGTGACATCGTGTCAGCACTAAAAATGTTTCAGATTTTGAAGCATTGCAAATTCTGGACTTTTGAATTAGGGATGCTCAATCTGTAATAAAAAAGCATCAACTACCATTTGGTAAAGACAAACTACCAAAGAGAATTTTAGTAAAGAGTATGAATTATTCATAATGTAATCCATTCATGAAAAGCAATTGTTGTGAACATTATGTTGTAATATAAAAAAAGCTAACATTTTGATGTAAAAATCAGACTGTTGTAGATGCATTCTTATATAATTCTTATTCATAAGCTAAAAATGCTTGTAATATTAAAACACAGGAAGTAAATACATCACAATGTCAACTACAGTTGTGTTAAAACATATAGATTGAGGTGATTGGTTTTTCTATTCTTAAATTTTTTATTTTTAACACTGTGGCACCTTTGCATTATAATTTAGAAATATAATTTTTTTTTAAAAAAATGTTATTTTGGGCCAGGCACAATGGTTCATGCCTATATTCACAGCACTTTGGGAGGCTGAGGTGGGAGGGTCAACTGAGGCCAGATGTTTGAGACCAGCCTGGATAACAAAGTGATATCCCATCTCTACAATTTTTTTTTTAATTAGCTAGCATGGTAGCACATTCCTGTAGTCTTAGCTACTTGAGGGGTTGAGACAGGAGGGTCACTTGAGCCCAGGAGTTCAAGGCTGCAGCGAGCTATGATCTTGCCTCTACACCCCAGCCTGGTGACAGACACTCTGTCTCTAAAAAAATAAGATAGGTTATTTTTTAAAGTGAAGTTAATTCTCAGATGGCAATCATACAAACCGTGAAGGCTTTTCCTCCTCTGAAATGGAGGGACCCACAGAGTCAGAGGAAACGTCATGGGAAGGGTATAACTAGCGTGGGACTTAGAAGGATAAAGAGGACTGACTTAGCAGAGAGAAGCAAATCATGTTCCAGGTAAATAGAGGAGGATTACAAGGTGGAAATGAAGGGCTTGAGGATATAAAGAGAGTCTGAGTCTGCCCCAAAATTTCAAGATATTGGACTGAGTAACCTTTTGGGGGTGTTCTGAGAGTTCTCTTCTTGCCACCACATTCCAATGATCCATTATTTTTGCAGAACTGCAATTCTGTCCGCCCATAAGCCAGATGCTTGGGCCTGCTCTTTTGGAAGTGGAGACTTGCTTGCAGGGTTGCATTCATCTCTGAATTGAATTCCCATTGTAGGGTCCCAGTGAAGTCAGGACCAGCAACAGTGCTACTCTCTAACTTGAGATGTTGACCTCAATCAACTCAGCAGTCTAACTGACTAAGTAATGTATAAATTAAGTAGAACGCATAGACTGGTTAAACAGAATTTTTCGATCCAGACTCATTTCTGTAGCTCATTTTCCTTATGCACTCACTAAACCTTGAACTGGAAGCAAACATGTGACAGACTCAGAGTCTGTCTTCACAGAGCCAACAGACTTGGGAGAATGGGATGAGGATGGAAAGCTAAAGAAACACCGCTTATTGAATATTCACTCTATGCCATGGATAAGACTGAGGACTTTGACAAACTCTTGTCATATCCTTTTTGAAATAGGCACTGTCATCTCTGTCCTACAAATCAGAAAATAGGCTTAGAGAAGCTAAGTGATTTTTTGAAGGTCACACAGCAAGATGCAAGCTGCCAAGATTAAATTGAAATCTAAGTCTGTCTAAATTCATTTTCTAAGAAGTTTCAATAGAAGCCAAATATCCTCATGATACTAAAGAAAAGAGGGAGAAATGAATTATTCTGGGAGTTCAAAAGAGATTCCAAAGGTAGGACTGGTAGAAGGATGTGAAACAAAGGGGCGGCAGTTTTTGTTGCTGTTATAAATAGATGGATATTTGGTGCAGAGTCTTAGTTTCAAAGCAAAGCTGTTGCTTTGTGGGTTACTTGGGGAGGGCTTAGGGGCAGCTGCCCAGCATTAGTTGGAAATGCTCAGGCCAGGCTTGAGTGTCCCTCAAGTCTCCTTTCTCTATTTGTGAAGGCCGGGTATGCCTTTGAAACTCAGCCTTCTAAAATCCTGTCTCTCCAGGCTTGGAAACAGGCTTGTCAGAGGCAAACAATCAAGACGTGTTTAGTCACCCCTTCACAAGTAAGCATTTTAAAAGGTACGACTAATCCATTCCAACTCCTCATAAATGACAAGAGCCTGCCCATTACCACAGTTACCAAATCAGCACTCTGAGTCTCCATCCATTTCCTTGCCTGTTACAGGACACTGAACGAGAGGATGCAGCTGAGCAGGTGAGGTGAAACCTCTTTCTGCTCCACTCACAACGCCGCCTCAGCCCCCGGTTGTATTAGAATCTTAAGCCACCAATTTGCAGAGATAAAAGTAAATCTATTAATTAGCTAGGACAATGGGACTGATGTCTCATAACGGAGGGCACAGCCACATTAATCAGTCAGTACAAGGGTCAGGAGACCTGAGGACCCACACATATTTAGCCATTCATATGATCTTTCTGAAACACAAGTCTGACAGCAGGCCTCCACTGCACCTAAATATGTATTGATTCCAATCTTCACTAGCAGATTATCTCCAAACTCCCTAGTTTGACATAAAGCACTCAGCAATCAGTCCATAGCCCACCCTTTCAATCTCATGGCTCCTTCAACCGTAAGGCTTATCTCAAGTGTCCCCTCCTCCAGGAAATCTCCCTGGTTCTATTCAATCTACTTTCTTGCACCCACTCATAACACATTTCATTTTGCTGTAGCTATCTTTTAGCTTGTCTGTCTCCCCCACCTGTGAGCAACCAAAGGAAAACAGTCTGCATTGTTCTCATCTTTCTTTTCTTTTACAGTGATTAGCACCCTACATGATATGTCGTAGGCATGTAATAAAATTTGAGTAAATTATGACTGTGCCTTTCCTCACTGTTGGTTTCAGCAACTCCAAATACCCTGGACCATTCCTAGAATATGCTCTGCATCCCATGACCTCAGTGCCATTCCTGATTCTCTTCCTTTCACCTGAAATACCTTCAACCCACACCCCCACACCCCCCACTACACTCTGTTTGAAGAAACTGCAACCATCTTTTATTTACTTCACCTAAAATGCTGCTGGAAATCTGAAGCCTTCTATGACTCTCCAAGGCAGATCTGGAGACCTCCAAGGCAGAACTTGTTGTTCTCAATCTAGGATTCCAGTTCTTATTCTTGGGCTCTGGTTAGCTGAATGTATCTGTCTCATCCATAGATTGCAAATTCCTCCAGGACGAAAACCAGTCCTTACCCATGTTTCTGTTCTACATCTGCCATCTAAGCAGATGCTTAATACTCTACGTGGAATTAAATAATAAAGTGACCAGCAGTCACTAAAAATGATCTTCAAATCAATCTGTCTCCCTGCAGAAATATTGCCTGAGCCTCCTCCTCTCCTAACCCCTCACCTAGCAATGAGACCTTGTTTTGACAGCTCACTTCACTTCTCACACCTGAGCTGCAAGCTTCAAGCAGTGGCTCAGGGAGGATAGGAAATGTGGTGAATGATGCTTTCTCCACTCAGGATAGAGGCAGGATTGGTTTTAAAGTGGTTGCCATTTGGAGCAGCAGCCTAAGATCAATCACTATCCTTGTTCTTGCCAAGCTGTGAGCAGTTTTTGTTTCCGATCTGCCTGTCAGGAAAACATGCTTCTCTTCGTAAACCTGTCTTTGGGCTAAGATGATTGAAAGGGAGGTGAGGAGAAAAATGAAAAAGAAAAAGTAGAAAAACCAAACAAAAAGGTAGGGAAAAATACAGTCCCCAAAACCTTCAGTTTGATTGAAAAAACCAAAACAGGAGTTTTGGGTTCAGTTAAGCTTATTCTTTGCTACTAAACTACCATGTAATCTTGGAAAAGTTACTTACTCTGCCTAAACCCCCATTTCTTTATCTACAAGGATGGATTGAGGACTAAATGAGATGATCCATGTTTCAAATAAAAAGCACTGAACAGTGTCTAAGAAGGTGCTCAATAAGTATATATTTTTGTCATCGCCAAGTTGCCAGCAGGAATTACACCATCATATCATGTTATATTTATGACTTAAGTCAGCTTCCCTGGAGCAGACTGAGAAAAGATTTGTGTACCAGTAACTAAATTATAAAGTGCTCCTCAGAGGAGCCTGTGAGGTATTGGGGAAGTAGGGTCTGGAAGGAGAAGAAGCCAAACCAGCACAGGATTTTAGGCAAAGTCTCAGGTTTGGTCTTCACAGGGACACTGGAATGTCAATTACATCTAGAGGATGTCCCAGCTCTGGAAAAAGGGGCTGCACTTTCATATATTCTCATCCTTAGTCATTGGCTAAGGTTACCCTAAAGGGATACACACTTCAAGGGACTCTGATTCTTGAAGCCTCAGGTAAAACAGCCCCAGTAACACAAGAGTGGTCTTTGCAAGAAAGCAAGAGCTACTGACCTTCAGGAGCAAAGCACACACATGCCAACACATGGGCACCTGGAAATGGTAAGAGGGGTCTGAGGACAAATGGATGCATCACTGTCTGTGTCCAGGATGCTTTGAATGAGGCACTTTTAAAAAAACAGTTTTATTGAGGTATAATTGATGTATAAAAACTGCACATATTTAATATATACAATTTTATGAGTTTGGACATATGCAAACACCTGTAATACCATCACCATAATCAAAGTAATTTATGACAAACGCACCTGCCAGCAATAACTTAAGCATGCCTTGAGGACAACCCTGTATCGCAGACACACCTGAATATAGTTTTGAGTTCCGAGCTAAGGAATCCAGGAGAGGCCAACTTGGAGAGTTATTCCTTATCTATGAGGAAAAACTGAGCCCCCGACCAATCCCACGGAATGCAGTCCATATGGGGGATCAAGGCCCTTTGTTTTGAGTTACGTGAAGGTTGCCAGGTGGAGGTTGTTAGGGGAATGGTATTAAGTTAAAATGCTGTATAAACTGCATGCCTTTTGCTGCCTACCCCGCCACAACTGGACTATGCAGTTATCCTGTCCAGCCTGCCACCACTGAACTCTTTCTCCTGGATATAAGTCCCCAGAAAAACTCCATGTCTTGTTTGCAGTCCCTGGGTCTCTTCTTTGGGCTCTTCAGCCTTGTACCATCCCCACTGGAGTTGACAGGGTTTCAGCACAACAGTAATAAATATACACATCACCTCCAACAGTTTCCTTGTGTCCTTCTGTGTTGTGGGGGGTAGAGGGGTATTTTTGTGGTAAGAACATTTAACATGAGATCTACCCTCTTAAATTTTTAAGTGAACAGTACTGTATTAACTATAGGCACTAGTTGTGTAGAAGACCTCTTGAGCTTATTCATCATGTGTAACTGATATGAACAATATATACTCATTGAATAACTCCTCATTTCCCTCTCCTCCTATTCCCTAGCAACCACCATTCTGTTTACTGCTTCTGTAATTTGACTATTTTAGACACCTTATATAAGTGAGATCGGACATTTGTCCTTCTTTGACTGACTTATTTCACTTGGCATAATGTCTTCCAGGTCCATCCATGCTATTCCAAATGGTAGGATATCCTTTTTAAGGCTGAATAATATTCTATTGAATGCATATACCCAATGGACATTTGGATTGTTTCCGTATCTTATATATTGGGAATAATGCTGCTATGAACATAGAAGTGTAGAGCTCTTTGAGATTCTGACTGCAGTTATTGTGGATATATACCCATAAGAAGGGTTGCTGGATCATATGGTTGTTCCATTCTTAATGTTTGTGAAACCTCCCTCCTGTTTTCCACAGCAGCTGCACCATTTTCCTTTCCCACCAATAGGGTACAAAGGTTTCAATTTCTCTGCAGTCTCACCAACATTTGCTGTCTTTTATTTTTTTGATAATGGCTATTACAGCAAATGTGATATCTCACTGGTTTTGATTTGCATTTCCCTGATTCTGAGTGATGTTGATGGAGCACTTTTCTTATAACTGTTGGCTATTTGTATGCCTTCTTTGGAGAAATGTCTATTCAGGTCCTTTGCCCGCTTCTTACCCAGATTACTCAGGGTTTTTTTTTGCCTTTGAGTTATAGGAGTTCCTTATATATTTTAGATATTAACCCATTATCAGATATATGTTTTGCAAACATTTTCTGCCATTCCATAGGTTGCCTTTTTATGCTGTTGATTGTTTCCTTTGCTGTGTTAAAAACTTTTTAGTTTGATGTAGTCCCACTTGTCTATTTTTGTTTTTGCTACCTGTCCTTTTGATGCCATGTCCAAGAAATTATTGCCAAGACCAATGTCATGAAGCTTTCCTTGATGTTTTCTTCCCATAGTTTCATAGTTTCAGATCTTACATTAAAATTTTGAATCTATTTTGAGTTCATTTTTGTGTATGGTGTAAGATAGGGGTCTAATCTCATTCTTTTGCATGTTGATAGCCAGTTCTTTCAACACCTTTTATTAACAAGACTATTCTTTCTTCATTGTGTATTCTTGGCACCCTAAGCACTTTTTCCTGCATTATGCAGTTGATCCCCACTACAACTCTGTATTAGATAATATGAGTATTATTAAGCCTGCATGGCAGACAAGTAAACCGAGGTTCAGAAAAGTAACATGATTTTCTCAGTCACCTAGTCATGCAGAGATGGAACATTGGCACCATTTCCTGATTCTTTGGTCCTTTTGGGAAAATCCTGAGCATTCCAGGGATCTCACAATTCTTGGTAGTAACTCCACTATGAGTTCATGAATGCTGTGAAAACACCATTTGGGGTACAGATGGTTGTGCATAAGGCTTATAAGGAGATATCTTTTTTATTTATAAGAATATTGCCTGTAATCCCAACACTTTGGGAGGCTAAAGCAGATAGAACACTTGAACCCAAGAGTTTGAGACCAGCCTAGGCAACATGGTGAAACCCTGTCTCTACAAAAAATAGATAAATACAAAAATTAGCTGGGCATGGTGGCACGTGCCTGCAGTCCCAGCTACTCAGGAGGCAGAGGTGGGAGGACTACCTGAGTCTAGGAATTTGAGGCTGCAGTGAGCCATGACTATGTCACTGCATTCCAGCCTGGGTGACAAGCTCTTTTAAAAATGTATATGTACACTTCTGTTCATGTATGTATTAGTGTGTATGTGTCTATGTATTAGTCTGTTCTCACACTGCTAATAAAGATATACTTGAGACTGAATAATTTATAAAGAAAAAGAGGTTTGATGGACTCAGAGTTCCACATGGCTAGGGAAGACTCACAGTCATGGAGGAAGGAAAAGGAGAAGCAAAGGCATATCTTACATGGCAGCAAGCAAGAGAATGTGTGCAAGCAAGAGAATGTGTGCAGGGGAACTGCTCTTAATAAAACCATCAAATCTCATGAGACTTATTCACTATCACGAGAACAGCACAGAAGAAACCCACCCTCATGATTCAGTTACCTCCCACTGGGTCCCTCTCACGACATGTGGGGATTATGGGAGCTATAATTCAAGATGAGATTTGGGTGAGGACACAGCCAAACCATATCAGTCTACATGTGTGTGTGTTTGTGAAGTCATATCCACCAAAGAAGAAAGACCAAAAGGATGTTAATTTAAAATGTTAACCATAGGTTGAGAGGTTAGAAAGTGACCCGAAGAGGATGGCCTGTGGTACTTCTAGGGAAGAGCCATCTGTCATGGCAAGTGCTAAGAGAACAGAGAAAATAGTAGAGTGTCTCCAGGGAGCAGTGGACACCCAGTCCTCTAAGCTTCTGAGGTTTTCTGCATCATGACTTAACTGACACTGAGTAAAGAAGAGCTCCCAGGGCACCATCTCGAGAGGGAGCAGCTTTGAGATGGGCCTGTGAGAAGGGCCCTGATGTCTGCTCTTTGCCCATGATCTCAGAGCTGCTTGACCTTTTGCCACACGTATGGAATGGAGGTGGGGGATTGGTGAGGGAGGGTGACTGTTTTTTTAATTCCAAGGAAATCAGTGGAGAAAAAGTCAGCACAGAGTCATAGTTGAATGTCTCCATCCTTCTTTTCTCACATCCCACTCCTGCCGCCTAGGTAGCTATTGGGAGGAGGAACAAAAGCACATTACTCCCAAGAAACCATAACGCTCCACTGTTGTCCTTTATTAGTTCCTTACTAGTTTCTACTGAGGAAGAAAGTTAAATGACCTCACTTAGGGCTTAGAAAGCCAAATCCAATTCAGGAGATATTCCTATATTAATCAGATAGTTCCAACACACTTTTAACTTCCTTAAAGTGCTTTCACATCTATGATTTTATTTGTAGACAGCTCTGCAAGACTGGCCTTGAAAAAAAGAAAAGCCAGCAACAATCAGTAGTGAGAATGAAAAGAAGAAAATGAGCCCAAGCAAGACACTGAACTCTAGACCAGGCTTCTCAACACAGCTGCACATCAGCACCAGCTGAGGAGGCTTCCAAGGTCCCCACACCCAAGCTGCAGCAAAACCACTTAAATGAGGATGAAGTGGGTGAAATCCAGATTTCAATAATTGTTAAAACCCTCAGATGATTCCAGCATAAAGACAGGTTTGAGAATCTCTATGCTAAAGGGAGCTAACTAGTCAAGGCATCCACATCTGACATTTTGTAAGAACCAGATGATTAAACCTACCAAGAAGGGGAGATCTTGAGTTAGTCATTCACCAAATATTTATTAAGCACTTCCTAAGAACAAGGCACCATGCTCTGTGCTCGGGGGACCCAAGATGAAACTCCCCAGGGTCTATGTTGTCTGTACCCACAGTCTTGGTGGGGAAGAGTGGTAGATAAAAAAAATAACTGAGAATAACTGTGGTCCTTCCTGAAATGGGAGATGTTGGGCAGGGGGTACAGACTTGCAGTTATAAAATGAAAAAGTTCTGGAGATCTACTGCACAGCATGGTGACTGTAGTTAATTATATTAGTCCGTTCTCACACTGCTATAAGGAACTGCATGAAATTGGGTAATTTATAAAGGAAAGAGGTTTAATGGACTCACAGTTCAGCATGATGGAGGAGGCATCAGGAAACTTACAATCATGGCAGACGGCAAAGGGGAAGCAAGGCACCTTTTTCACAAGGTGGCAGGAAGGAAAAATTAACGCGAAAGGAACTACCAAACACTTACAAAACCATCAGATCTCCTGAGAACTCCCTCACTATCATGAGGACAGCATGGGGGAAACCGCCCCCATGATCCAATCACCTCCACCTGGTCTCTCTCTCTCGACACGTGTGGATTATGGGGATTATAATTCAAGATAAGATTTGGGTGGAGACACAAAGCCTAACCATATTAATAATGTATTGCATACTTGAAATTTGTTCTTACTATACCTACAAAAAAAGGTAACTGTGAGGTGACTGACATGTTAATTCATTCGATTGTGGAAGGTATTTCACAATGTATATCAAAACATATACCTTGAAATTATAGGATTTTTATTTATCAGTTATACCCCAATAAAGCTGAAAAAAGGACATTGTGTGGGGTATGGTGATTCTGGTATGGGAGAGCATATCAGGGAATGAGGCTTAGGAGTATGGAGTGTATGGCAAATTCTGTTTGTGCGTTTGGACCTATCAGCCATGGAGAGGGCACATGTCTGAGAGTACTGTAAGCATAGGAAACATTAGTCCTTACCTTATCCTCGAGGACCCATACTGGGAAGGTGAACACACACATACATAATCACACGCTCACAACACATGCATGTTCCCACTTATTGAAATCAGCCCAAATGTAATGCCCAAACCCAACTTTCTGCAAATTCCCAGGGATATATGTGCTCCATGATTATTCCTATATACAAATTTCTCTTTCTGATAAACCTAAATTCTCTTTTTCATTTCATTCCCCTGGCTGGTACTTTTTCTTTTGTTTGGTACCAATATAGATGATGAGGTTTTTGATTTTCACCAGAATCTTTCATGCCAACATCTTGTACCCTTAGTAGACTTTTTGAAAATTGGGATGATAGAAAGCATTTATTTATTTATTTATTTTTAGAGACAAGGTCTCACTTTGTCACCCCGGCTGGAGTACAGTGTCATAATTATAGTTCATTGTAACCTCAAACTCCTGGCCTCGAGTGATTATCCTGCATCAGCCTCCCAAAGTGCTGGGATTACAGGTGTGAGCCTTTGTGCCTGGCTGGAAAGCATTTGTATTACAGAGAAACAAAAGTTAAAATGAAAGTTTTAGACATCCTTGTTTTCAAAGTCCTTGGCCAGAAGCCAAGATGGCCAACTGGACACAGCCAGGAGGAGCATCTACCAATGAGAGACTGCCAGTCTGGAAGACAGGTATACTCCAAGCAGATCTTTGGAGGGAAGGCATTGAGAGTTGATGGAGGGAGGATGTAGACACTGGGTTGAAGAGGGAGAAAGCTGGAAACACTGCACAGTGCTGCTGAGTGCTGGGACTAATTCCTGGCTCCCAGCAACTCCTTGGGAAGGGGTGAGTTGAACAGGCAAGGGGTAGCTGACTCTTGCCACAGACCTCTGGAATCCTAGCCGTAGGAGACCCCATGAACCCCGCAGACACTTCAGCCAGCAGGGAGAGCTGCTTAGAGGGGTGGCAGAGACAAGACTTCAGGCTGTGCAGAGATCAGAGGGTTTGACATGGAAACAGCTGCAGTGGAGCATGGCCAGGAATGTCCATCCCCTAAGGCTCACCATGTTCCTCTAGGAGACTTTAGCCTTTGGGTGACTCTTGGACCTGGGCAGAGAACAGTGGTCTTGCCAGTGCCAGTCTGATCTGAGTGCTCCCCTGTGTGCCAGCCTTTCCTAGGGTCCCAGCCCAGCCTGGCCATGCCTGCTTGCACCGTAGCCTCAGATGCCCAAGCAGGGTGCTTTCCAGGAGCCCTCATCATAGCTCCTTCATCAGAAGACCCCGCCTAACTGTTAGGTAGCTCCTGCTGGCCAGCCTGTGCTAATGTGTACCAGCCACCCACAGCCTTCCTGCACTGCAGCCTCCCCATGTCAGTTTGCTGGCATTCACTCACTCACACCTCACACCCCAACTGCTTTACTGGCATACATGAATGTGTGGACCTCACCTCCCTTCCCCTGCTTGTGCTCATGTGAACACACACCCTACTCCCCCCACCACCCTGCCTCTGCCAGTGCCATACTCCTGCCAACATTCAGACATCCCACCACACTGTTGCCACCAGCATGAGTGTGAGCACAGATGCCATTGCCCTGTCCCCACTGGCACTATACTCCCATTGCAACACTGCTGCCACCACCATCAGTGTGAGCACATGCAAGAATGTCACTGTTCCACTGCTGCCAGTGTGAACGCATACATGGTGCCACTACCCCACTACTGCAAGGGGCCAGAGAACAAAACAGGGCCTAGCACCAGGCCCCCAGAGTTAGAGCATACAGCTCAGGAGTGCTAAACTGAGATTTGGCCCCTGAAGTCTTCCAGAAATGAAGCCAGACAACTGAATCCACCTGTTGCCACAATCAAACCCCCAAGGCACCAAAGAAGATAAAAGCAAAACCCCATTCAAAGGACAGCAACTTCAAAGATTGAAGGAACATCAACACACAGAGAGGAGAAAGAACCAGTGCAAGAACTCTAGCAACTGAAAAAGCCAGTGTCTTCTTACCTACAAACTACCACACTAGTTCCCCAGGAATAGCTCTTAACCAGGCTGAAATGGATGAAATAACAAATATGGAATTCAGAACATGGATAGGAAAGAAGATCATTGAGATTCAGAATAAAGTTGAAACCCAATCCAAGGAATCTAAGGAATACAATAAAATGATACAAGAGCAGAAAGAGAAAATGGCCATTTTTAGAGAGAACCAAACTGACTTTACAGAACTGAAAAACTCACTACAAGAATTTCATAATACAATTGCAAGTACTAAGAACAGAAAAGACCAAGCTGAGGAAAGACTCTCCGAGCTCAAAGTCTGGGTCTCTGAATTAACTCAACTGGGAAAAAAGTAAAGACAAAAGAATTTAAAAGAATGAACAAAACCTCTGAGAAATATGGGATTAGGTAAAGGGACCAAATAGAGGACTCATTGACATCTCTGAAAGAGAGGAATAGAAAGCAACTTGGAAAACATATTTGAGGATATTGTTGAAGAAAATTACCTCAAGCTCACTAAAGCAGCCAACATTCAAATTCAGGAAATGCAGAGAACACCTGTGAGATACTATACAAGATGACCATCCCCAAAACACACAGTCATCAGATTCTCCAAAGTTGACATGAAAGAAAAAATATGAAAGACAGCTAAAGAGAAGAAGGCAGGTTAACTACAAAGGGAACCCAATCAGGCTAACAGCAGACCTTTCAGTAGAAACTCTACAAGCCAGAAGAGACTGGGGTCCTATATTCAGCAATCTTAAAGAAAAGACATTCCAACCACGAATTTCATATCTACCCAAACTATATTTCCTAAGTAAAGGAGAAATAAAATCCCTCTCAAACAAGCAGATTTTAAGGGAATTTGTTACCATCAGACGTGCCTTACAAGAAGTCCTTAAGGGAGTGCTAAATATGGAAATGAAAGGCCATTACTGGCCACCATGAAAACACACTTAAGTACGTAGACTATTGACAGTATAAAGCAACTACACAACCAAGTCTTCATAATAACCAGCTAACAACACAATGACAGAATCAAATTTGTGCATATCGATATTAACCTTGAGTAAAAGGGCTAAATACATCCAATTGAAAGACAGAGGGGCAAGTTGGATTAAAAAGCGAGACCCAACTGTATGCTGTCTTCAAGAGATCCATCTCACATATAATGACACCCATAGGTAAAAATTAAAGGGATGGAGAAAAATCTACCTAGCAAACAAACAAACAAATTAAAAACAGAGGTTGCTCTTCTAATTTTAGACAAAAAGAATTTAAACTAAGAATGATTTAAAAAAAAAAGGAAAAGAAGGGAATTACATAATTTTAAAGGGTTTGATTCAATAAGAAGACTTAGCTATCCTAAATATATATGAACCCAACATACGAGTGGCCACATTCATAAAGCAAATCTCGAGAGGCCTGCAAAGAAACTTAGATAGCCACATAATAATAGTGGGAGACTTCAACACCCCACTGGCCATATTAGACAGATAACTGAGGCATAAAATGAGGGCAGTGGCAGGCCATCTGGGGCAGCTGCTGCCATCATGCTGGCTGCAGTGGGGAGGTGTGAGCAGTAGCAGCAGGAATGGCTGCAGGCGTGGCAGTGGTGGCAGTGGGTCCCCTGTGCCCTGCATAACCAAGACGGCCAACTGTGTGGCCCCATTCTCTCACTGCGGGGTGGAATCCACTTCCAGTCCCAGAGCCTCTGTTGCTCTGGGCCCTGGCCCTGCATTTCTGCTCTCGCCCACTGCCACTGCAGGGAGAGTGTGGGAAGGAGGCAGACGGCCCTGGAGCCCACCCCTGCGAACCCCCTACAACCTGCCACCCTGGGGGCCACTGAAATGGGGCTGGGCCAAGTTGCCTGCCAATAGGGGAGCAGTGTGGTCAGGCAGAGAGGGACTCTGAAGCAGAGATGGGCCAAGGGCAGTCCTCTGCTTGCACATGGAGTGCGGGGGCTGAGCCTGGGGCATGAAGCTGGGGCCATGCCTCAGGGGCCTGGGACAGGAAGTGGGAAGGTTCCTGTGCCTCAGGAGGTGGCTTTGTGGGGGGCTGCCCTGGGCCACGTCCCTGGGGTCTGCCTCATATCGGGGTGACCGCAGAGCCTGACACTCCTGACAGCCAGGCCCAGAGCCCACAATCCACTCCCAGATGTGCCCCCTGGGCAGGGCCACAAGCCAGGTGATGGGGAGCCCTGTGCCTCCCCTGAGCACCAGGGCCATGGGGGAGCTCATGGTGATGTCACCCCTGCCCCAGACACCAGCCCAGGCCCAACAAAGACCTGGAGTCCCCACACCAGGCTGCGAGGGGGTGCAGCCAGGGCAGCACAGTCCATGGAGGCATTGGGAGCAGGGATAAGTGGGATCCCCACCCCTTCTAAGTTGGTGGGGTGGGAGCTCCATGAGCACAGCTGTGGCTGCCCCAGGTGCAGCTGCAGACCCAGGCATCTCTGCACTCCTGGGGGTCCTGGGAAAGCCCCCCTTACTGCCACAGGCTCAGAGGTATTATTCCCACGCTGGGCCTCTTCCCACTGTCCCATCCTCTCTGATCATGGAGCAGAGTTCAGACCAAGCACAAGCACTGTCACAGCCTGGCAGGGTGTGCACACACTTGGGGCAGCACTGACATGCCAGCCCCCTGCTACTTCAATCCCCTCCAGACTTTGTGCACCAACAAGCATGGGAGGGAGGCCAAGGGATTGCTGAGAACAGCCCAGACTGGCCTGCAGGTGTCCCTGGGCATGAATATTCTAGGCGCCATGAACAGCAGCAGGAGGCAGACAGGCTTCTAGATGGAAGGGGGTGGGTCCTCAGTGAAGCCCTACCTTCAAGCTGGGGAGGGCCTGAAGCCTGGGGACCAGGCTGCCTGTCCCACAGACCAGAGGGGGAGCTTGTGGTGCTTTACCCTGGGCCCACTCATGGCCACCCATGGACCACCCAGCATGTACTTTCTCCCCTCTGAGATCCATAAAAACCCCAGGCTCAGTCAGACTTGAGGAGAAGATGGAAAGATGATGGGATAGACAACAAGATGACCTGCCTGCAGAGAGGAGCCACCCACTCTAGGGCCTCCTCTCTGCTGAGAGCTGCAGAGACAATGGAATGATCTGCCTACAGGGAGGAGCTTCCCACTCCAGGGTCTCCTCTTTGCTAGGAGCTGAACACTTGTTGGGACACCTGGTTGTGGAAAGGAACTACCCAGTACTCACTGTGGGTCTCCTCTGAGCTGTTCTATCTCTCAATAAAGCTCTTCTTCATCTTGTTCACCCTCTACTTGTCTGCATACTTCATTCTTCCTGGTCACAGGACAAGAACTTCCCCAGTACCAGCCGGGGAAGCTGCTTGCAATGCTCTTGATCCAGCCACAGCCTCATAGAGAGCTGGTGCCCATGCCAGCACCTGGAGCTGCCTACCCTGCAGCAGCAGCCAACATGTCCGACTGCACAGTGGCAGGACTCCATGCTCACTCACACACCCCTCGCTCTGTGCCTGACTTGCAGTCTCCCTTGGAGATGTGGCATCCAGGCTGGTGGCGTGAGCTGAGCACAGCCTGCCAGCCTGAGTGGATAAAATGAACCTAGTGGGCCCGAGCAAGACTACTGTCCACAGAGGCCAGAAAAGATTCCATAGCCAAAACTAAGAAAGATACTTGAGACCTAAAGTCAACACTTGACCAAATGGACCTAACAGACATCTACAGAACTCTCCACCCAAAAACAACAGAATGTACATTCTTCTCATCTGCACATGGCACCTACTCTAAAATTGAACACACACTTGGCCACAAAATAATTCTCAGCAAAATTTATTTTTTTACAAAAGAAATTATACCAACCGCATTATCAGACCATAGTGCAATAAAAATAGACCTCAATACTAAGAAGACCACTCAAAAGTGATACAATTACATGGAAATTAAGCAACCTGCTCCTGAATGACTTCTGGATAAATAATGAAATTAAGGCAAATATCAAGAAATTCTTTGAAATTAATGTAAACAAACGTACAACATACCAGAGTCTCTGGGATACAGCTAAAGCAGTGCTAATAGGAACGTTTCTAGCATTAAACACCACCCACATAAAAAAGTTTTAAATATCTCAAATTAACAACCTAACATGACACCTAGAGGAACTAAAAAAAAAAAAAAAACAAAAGCAAACCAACCCCATAGGTAGCAGAAGACAAGAAATAATCAAAATCAGAGCTAGACTGAATAAAATTGAGAAGCAAAAAATCATACAAAAGATGAACAAAACTGGAAGTCTGTTATTTGAAAGAATAAAGAATAAGATCGAGAGACTGTTAGGTAGACTAATAAAAAAGAGGGAAGATCCAAATACACAATCAGAAATGACAAAGTGGACATTACCACTGACCCCATAGAAAATTTTAAAAACCTTCAGAGAGTATTATGAACACCTCTATGCACACAAATCAGAAAACCTACAAGAAATGAACAAATTCCTAGAAACATACAACCTCCCAAGATTGAAGCAGGAAGAAAATGAAACCCTGAGCACATCAATAACAAGTTCTGAAATTGAGTCAGTAATAAAAAGCATGCCAAAGATACAAAGCCCAGGACCAGGAGGATTCACAGCCAAATTCTACCAGATGTGAAAGAAGAGCTGGTACCATTCCTACTGAAATTCTCCAAAAATTGAGAAGGAAGAACTCCTCCCTAACTCATTCTATGAGGCCAGAATCATTCTGATATCAAAACATGGTAGAGACACAATAAAAAAGAATACTCCAGGCAAATAAAATATCCTTGATGAACAGAGATGCAAATATCCTCAACAAAACACTAGCAAACCAAATCCAGCAGCACATTAAAAAAAAAAGCTAGCCCATCATATTGAGTAGGCTTTATCCTTGGGATGGAATGTTGGTTCATGGCAATGTATCAAATCAATAAATGTGATTCATCACATAAACAGGACGAAAAACAAAACGCACATGATCATGTCAATAGATGCAGAAAAGACTTTTGATAAAATTCAGTATCCCTTCATGCCTCAACAGACTAGGCATTGAATGAACATACCTCAAAATTATAGGAGACATCTATGACAAACCCACAGTCAACATCATACTGAATGAGCAAAAGTGGGAAGCATTCCCCTTAAGAACTGGAACAAAACAAGGATGCCCACTCTCACTACTCCTGTTCAACATAGCACTGGAAGTTCTAACCAGAGCAATCAGGCAACAGAAATAAGTAAAAATTATCCAAATAGGAAGAGAAATCAAACTACCCCAGTTTGCAGATGATATGATTTTATACTTAGAAAACCCCGTAGTCTCTGCCCAAAAGCTCCTAGATCTGATAAACAACCCCAGTAAAGTTTCAGGATATAAAATCAGTGTATAAAAATCAGTAGTATTTCTATAATCTAACAATGTCCAAGCTGAGTTCCATATCAAGAATTCAATCCCATTTACAATAGCCACAAAAAAACCAAATACATAGAAATATAGCTAATACAGGGAGGTGAAAGATCTCTACAAGGAGAACTATAAAACACTGCAGAAAGAAATGAGAGATGACACCAATAAATGGAAAAATATTCCATGCTCATGGATAGGAAGAATCAATATTTTTAAAATGGCCATACTACCCAAAGCAATGTACAGATTCAATGCTATTTCTATCCAACTACCAATCAAATTATTCACAGAATTAGAAAAAAATTATTCTAAAGTTCATATGGAACCCAAAAGAGCCCAAATAGCCAAAGGCATCCTAAGCAAAAATAGCAAACCTAGAGACATCACATTACTTGACGTTAAACTATACTGCAAGGCTACAATAACTATAACAGTATGGTATTGGTATAAAAACAGACACATAGACCCATGGAACAGAAGAGAGAACCCAGAAATAAGGCTCCATACCTGAAAACTTCTGATCTTTGGCAAAGTTGACAAAAACAAGCAATGGGGAAAGGACTCCCTATTCAATAAATGGTGCTGGAATAACTGACTAGCCACATGTAGAAGACTGAAACTGGATCCCTTCCTTGCACCATATGCAAAAGTCAACTCAAGATGAATTAAAGATTTAAATATAAAACCCCAAATTATAAAATCTCTTGAAGAAAACCTAGGAAATAACATTCTGGACATAGGCCCTGCCAAAGGTTTCATGAAGAAGATGCCAAAAGCAATTGCAACAAAAACAAAAATTGATATAATGGGAACTAATTAAACTACAGAGCTTCTGCATAGCAAAATAAATAAATAAATAAAAGTATTAACAGATTAAACAGACAACCTACAAAATGGAATAAAATATTTACAAACTGTGCATCTGACAAAAGTCCAATATCCAGAATCTATCAGAAACTTAAATTAACAAGCAAAAAACAAACAACCTTATTAAAGAGTGGGCAAAGGACATGGGTAGACAGTTTTCAAAAGAAGACATACTAGTGACCAACAAGCATATGCTAAAATGCTCAGTATCACTAATTTAGAAAAGTGCAAATGAAAACCACAATGAGATAACACATCACACCAGTCAGAATGGCTATTATTAAAAAGCCAAAAAAATAACAGACGCTGGCAAGGTTCTGTAGAAAATGGAATGCTTATACACTGCTGATAGGAATATAAACTTGTTTACCCATTGTGGAAAGCAGTTTGGTGATTCCTCGAAAAACTTATAACAGAAATACTGACCCAGTAATCCCATTACTGGGTGTATACCTAAAGGAATATAATTCATTCTACCATGAAGAGATGCATGTTTATTGCAGCACTATTTGCAATAGCAAACACAAGGAATCAACCTAAATTCCCATCAACAGTAGACTGTATAAAGAAAATGTGGTGCATATACAGCACAGAATACTACGCCACTATAAGAGATAATAAAATCATGCTCTTTGCAGCAACATGGATGCAGCTGGAGGCCATTATCCTCAGTGAACAAATGCAGGAACAGAAAACCAAATACCACATGTTCTCACATATAAGTGAGAGCTGAACATTGAGTACACATGGACACAAAGAAAGGAACAGTAGACCCTGGGGCGCACTTGAGGGTAGAGGGTGGGAGGAGGGTGAGGACTGAAAGACTACCTATCAGGCACTGTGCTTATTACCTGAATGATGAAATAATCAGTACACCAAACTCCCACAACATGCAATTTATCTATAGAACCAACCTGCACATGTACCCCTGAAACTAAAATAACAGTTAAATAAGAAAAGAAAAATAAAATGTATCTTGAATAAGATCCTGAAAAAATAAGTAGATAAAAGTCCTTGGACTATGCCTCCGTAGAAAATCTCTTACTGGTCACATTTCTGGAAAGGTTGCAGCCTCCTGCTCTGTAGCTCAACACTACTCACTGGAACACACACACATTTTTATGCTCTTTTCATCTTAATTACCTAACTTAATTATGCAGAATGGGTCAGCTGTTGTGAACTCTCCACCCTCTATTGGATTATAGGTCTATTTTTTAAAATACCATTTCATTAATGTGCCTGCTAAAACAAAGGTTCATCTACCCTTGGACTCACTTTTTATCAGCACAAAAGAAATGTGAGAAGCTTTAAAATTTTTATCTTTCCTGTTCTTCCATCAGTCTCTGTAACTGGAAGAAGAGAGTGTAGATATTTATTTCCCTGCTGATAGAGATTACGCTATCCCACTCAATTAGAAGGCAGTAATAACTACAGTTTTTGTTTAAATAAATGTTCTTTCAATTCCATTCAATAGCAAATACCTCATTGTCCATAGAGAGGTTAAGTGACTTGCCAGCAAGCCTAATACAACAAAAGGAAGGCAACATTCATTGAGCATTTGCTGTGTGCTAGGCATCTTGTATAGATTAATTTGTCCTATGCCACACATTACACACATCTAAAAACTATTATTAAATGAATGAGTAAACAAAGAGGTTCAAATTACTTGCTTAGGGTTATTGATCACTATGCTATAGCCACATGTTTTAAACTGTTCAGTTTTTTTCTAATTCTTCATAGGGAGGTCAAATCCAAATACCCTTTATCGTTTACTCATTAGGCATTCAACAAAATTGCGAAGTAGTACAGAGAGTGTGTATATGCCCCACACCAATTTCCCCTATTGTTAACAGCTAACTTCACTATGCATATTTGTCCCAACCAAAGAACCAATATGGATGCATTATTAATAAAAAAAATCCACACTTTATTCAAATTCCCATAGTTCTTACCTAATGTTCCTTTTCTGTCCCGCGATCCCATTCAGGATACATTACATTTAGATGGCATGACTCCTTAGGCTCCTCTTTCTCCTCTTTGAGAAACTGTGATAGTTTCTCAAACTTTTATTGCTTTTTAATAGTCACAAGAGTTTTGAGGAATACAGATCGGGTATTTTGTAGAATATCCTTCAACTTGAGTTTTTCTGATGTTTCTCCTATGATTATACAGCACTTCGTGGAGAAAGTCCAAAGGAGAAGCTCCATTCTCATTGTACTATATGAAGGGTATCAACACAACATACCACTGTTGGTGTTAGTCTTGGTCATTTGGCTAAGGTGGTGTTTGTCATGTTTCTCCAGTAGACTTTTCTGCCCCCTTTTTTTTCCATACTGTACTCTTTAAAAGTGCTAAGGAGTACATTGAGATGTAGGAAATATGAAGAAGTAACCCATGGACTTTCAAGTTACCTCAAGAGTGGAGGGTAGACATGAATTTGCTCTGGTTGTAGAGAAAATGAAATTTATTCCAGCACTCCTTCTTTTGGGGGGACATTTTGGTATGATAAAGGGATACACCTTTGGCAACAGAAATTCCCTTAAGGGATGAACTCCTTGATAATTTTGAGGCTTAATCCAACATTTGTCGAGTGCCTCCCCAGTGCAAGATACTATTCTAGGTGAAGGGAGAGTGATGGGAGGAAGGGTCACAAAGATTTCTAATGTTTGTATAAAGCTCCTCATTTCACAAAGGGGTAAAGATGTGAGCTAAACTGCCATAAAAGCATGGATAGAAAGCACAGACATCATAAGATAAAGCCAGCAAGTGCTTTGGAGGCCCATGGAATAAGAAATATAATTCCAACTACGAGAAGTAAAATGAAGAGAGGTTTCCTGGAAAAAGATGAGCTTTGACCTGGGCATCAAAAACTTAATATGACTACATTAAAAAGGATTGGTTCAAGCTGAGGAAAGAACAGGAGCAAAGACCTAAAGGAATAACAATTATATGAATATTCTGGAAATAGCAAGTAACCTGGAAAGCCTGTGGCCCAGAATTTACCTGTGTGTGGGGATGCAGGCATTGGCAAGAATTAGGGGTGGAGCATTGGTGGAGACTAGATGGATGAAGGCTTTAATGCCTTGCCAAGAATTTTAGACTATCTTCTGTAGGTCACAAGAAGCATTTCCAAATTTTGGAGTGGTTTGACTGGTGTTATCCTTTAGGAGGAATGCTCTGAAGTATTTCTAAGGACAATTGTTGTGGTGAGGTAGAAGGGATTATCTGCAAGAGCATTTAGGAGCCCATACAATGGGATAGGTAAGTGTTGGTAGGTACTAGACGTAATACAAAAATTAAGTAAGCAATAATTCATCTACTTGGGGGAGTTATTCCCTAAATCAATACATGGTGTAATCCATTTTAGCCCCTTCTAGGTTTTCTGTAGTAGGAGTCAACATAATCTCTTATCTCTTTTGTTTTTTTTTTATCCTTCATAACAACCTCCTGAAGTAAATATTATTCATCTGAATTTTCCAGATTGAGAAAAAAGTGAGGCTCAGAAAAGCTAAATATCTTTTGCAAGGCCACACAGTGAGCAAGTAATGGAGACTGGATTTGAACTGTCATCAGAGTGACTCAGGAGTCTAACCTCTCAGGACATTCTGCATCAGAGCTGAGTTTATAGACTGGTCTCATATGTCCATGTGTGAATGATCTATTTATGGGTCACCCAGAGAAAATGTGTAATATCAGGCTGACTTCACCCTACCACCCAGCACGTTCCTGGACCGCCTCCCAGCTGGTGTCTACTTAGGGAACAAAAGCTCACTTCAATATTAGCCCAAGTCAAACCTAATTAGAAAGGCAAATCCACTCCCAGCCTTCCCAGTCCCAAATTGGTGGTACATGCCAAGCAGTAACTTTCCTGTGTTTTCTGCTACTTTAGTTTCTCAGTTCCAGTTTTGATTACCCTGTGTGATGCTCTCTCCAAAAACTGACCCATTTTCCCATTTTGTTTCAAGGTGAAAGTCCTCTACAGATTATCAAATACTAGTTGAATATTTAACCTTGCACTGGAACTCATCAGGCAACTTTATGCATTGATTTGAAAGACATTTTGTAAATGCATAACTTGTGCCAAGTTACAGGGGATAATGGTGACTATGGCAAGGTCTCTAGAAGATACACAACCTAGAGGGTGACACATGCTTTGTATTTTAACAACTGAAAAACTTAGTTATCCCTGATTATAATTCAGGTAGACCTTCCGATGTCTACTTTATGTCAATTAAGTCTTTCCAAAGCACCTGGTATGGACTGGGGTTTCTCAGCCTTGTCACAGTTGATGTTTTGGGCTTGTTAATTCTTTGTTGTGGAGATCTGTTCAGTGTACTGTGGAAAGTTTAGCAGCATTCTTTGTTTCTCTCCATTAGATGACAATAGCAATCTCCCCCATTCTCCCACAAGTTATAAAACTAAAATTGTCTCCAGATATCATCAAATGTCTCCTGAGGACCCTCAGTGAGGAACCATGGTCTAGACTATGCAATCTCTGTCTTCAGAAGCTATACGCAATCACAGCTTCACCATTGCTAGCATCTCAGTCAACTCTTATGGTGTTATTTATTAAGGCACTATGCTAAGTGTTTTTCATGCATTATCCCAACTAGTCCTCTTGATGAAAAAGTAGAATGATATGATAATCTTTTTATGATGGAATAAACTGAAGTTTAGCAATGTTAAGAAACATGCTTAAGTCATAAGCCCAGTACCAGGTAAAGCCAGAAATTATACCCAGGAGGAGACACTCTAACACCATTCTATGAGACTGCCCTTCCTATATACAACCTGTCACCTAACACGTGAAAAATTAGCAGCTAATTACTGAAAATTGACGAGGGCCAGGCACACCAAGGCTAACTTTTCATATGCAATACCAAATTGAGTACTCATTAAAAAACCACAATTTTATTCCCATTTGACTCATTAGGAAACTGAGGTTCAGACAACTTAAGTGACTTTTCCCCAAGAATCCAATGCTCATAAGTGGTGGAGTCTGGAGTGAAACCTAAGTCTGTCTGGCTCCAGAGAAAAGAAAGTTCCCTACTTCTCATAAGTCTCGCCACCCACCACCCACACAGGACACAGCCTATAGCTCCATCCCAAGTAAACCTGCAAAAAGGATTCTTTCAGCAAGGGAGACACAGCCCTGCCTTGGCCATTCTCCCCTTCACTCCTCCTCCCAAGCCCTGCTTTCCACAGCTCCCCCAGCCCATTGAAGGGTGTCCGTACTCTGTTTCAACAGCCTCCTGGGCGCTGCATACCCTATTCCAACACAAATAAGTATGTGGGTGTCTGGTGAGTGTTTTTTCTCACTGGGAGGCCCCGCACATCAGAGTGTGGATTTTGGTTTCAAGTCTTTCCTACCTTTTGGCCAACTCTTCTCTCACCTACTGCACTGGGCAGTCCCGCCTCCCTCCCAGCTTTAACTCTTTGCCAAACCCTGACTCTGGCTGGGAAACAGAAGGCTGCATGCTGCCCTCCTTGGATGTCGCCCTCTTTGGGTTCCATGAATAAGCCAACAGGAATGCTTCAAGAAAGCAAAGCCATCATTTTTCCACCAAGGGGAAAAAAATACACAACACTTTCATGGTTGTGCCCGAGTGAAAACACCCTAGGCCTCCTGCATGGTTGGTCCCTGGGATCAAAATGTGCACCAAATAGGACTTCAGAGGTGAAGTCATTCTGTCTTTCAATTCCTCTGTGTTTACCACTGGGACACTGAGGGAGTATGCCGGACCCAGATGCAGGAGTGGTGTTTGACCAACAGTCATCACCCACATCAATGGGAATTTAACTCACATAAAAATGAAGAAAAATGCCAGTAAGTGGCCCATATTAGGAAGAGACAAGCCTTCCCACCACAATATCCTTGTCATTTTATTACAAATGAGAGTCTGCATTTCCTTTCTGGACCTGTGGACTAAGAGGTTCAGGAAATCAGCTTGTGTGGCTGTCAGCACATCTCCTAATTCTGATTGATTCTTCAAGCACAAAAACTCACAAGGACAGCATAGAGAATCTTTGAGCAGCTGAAGGGGAAGAGCGGAGTGTGTGTGTGGACAGTGGTCCTCATGGGGGAACTGGCATACTTGCAAACTCTTAAGCCACCAACAAAGTAGAAGACAAAATATATGACCAGAGCTGGATGAAAATTTGATTGAGTACTTAAAAATCACTAAAGCATAACTGAAATACATATTATTTTAAGTTTTTTTAAAAGATGAGCTAAAAACAATTGAGGACAGGGGAATATAATAGAAGAAACATTGACTTTAAAATCAGTAAAACTGATTAAAATGCTGGATCCACCCATTGACTATAAACAGTGTCTATAATTGAAGAAAGTAGTTGTTAAAATTTATTCAGGATAAAGGAGATTTTTTAAATTATCTATTTAATTTAAAATTGTCTTGGTAACCTCAAAATTTTATTCACTTTTAAAAGCACTGAATTATGGCATTAGAAACAATTCAGTGAATCCTATCTGGTGAACCTAAGGTAACTAGGTTTAAGTAAATGGACTGTTCTCTGCAACAGATAAAAGTGAAGCTCAGAAGAACTTATTTTTTGTCCCAGGTCACACTAACAAATGGCAAATTGCAAAGTCAAGCCCAGCTCTGTCTGACCTATGCTCTTTCCCCATTGCCTGGCTCCTTCCTATATGGGGTATTGGCTATACCTTTCTGAACTGTGAGGACTCACCTTGGAGTGCTACTCCCAGTACTGCATATGAACTCAAAGCTCTTTATGCAAATGAGAATGCTAAGCATTGTTTGGATTAGCCATCCTCACTTGAATATCCAAGTTATTTTATGCAAGCCAACAACCACTCCTTTTTCATGTGATTTATAAGTAAAGAGAGTTGACATTATGCTAGAGATTAATTTTTGGCATGTGAAGTAGAAGCACTGAACTTCAATATTAGAAATAGTTTCAGTTCTTGATCCTGTCACTACCTGCTGGGAGACCATCAAAACCACTGCTGTGGAGATGGAGACCAACCTAACTAACACAGTGAAACCCCGTCTCTACTAAAAATACAAAAAATTAGCCAGGCGTGGTGGCGGGCACCTGTAGTCCCAGCTACTTGGGAGGCTGAGGCAGGAGAATGGCGTGAACCCGGGAGGTGGAGCTTGCAGTGAGCCGAGATCACACCACTGCACTCCAGCCTGGGCAACAGAGCAAGACTCCATCTCAAAAAAACAAAACAAAACAAAGCAAACAAACAAACAAACAAACAAAAAAACCACTGCTGTGCGTGACTCCAAGAGTACTTTTCCCTTTGTATTCTATGTCCTGGAACATAAATCCGGGGAGTACCATTTGCATGGGCTACTATGGGAATGGTATCCCTCCCACAAATTGTGCAATAGAGAGGGCCTAGTAACCTTGAACAAGTCGGCAAGCCTTTCTCGGTCTGAGTTTTTTCCTTGAGAGCAGGAATAGTTATGCCTACTTTTTGAGTATTAAATGAGATAAAGAGTATAAACTTCCTACAGTAGTGTAGTCTGTTTACATAGTGCCTGACACAGCACCTGGACCATTGCTGCTTGATGACTATACATTTGATTTAAATAAAGTTGAAATAATGTATTATTATTTGTTAACAATAAATTAGTCCAGTATATAATTTCCTGTCAGCTGTGGGCCCTTAAGTTCCTAGGACAAGCATATGGAGAAGAACGGCACAGGTGGAATGCTGTGGTGGGTGGCTTTGGCAGCCATGGCACAGAATGGCCCTGTGGACAGACAGTGAGGGTATGGCTGGTGGAGGTGGTGGGAAATACTAAGCAGGAAGTCAGGATAGGGCAGGAAGATACAATTTAAAGTTCTTCTTAAGGACTTCTCTTGAGCTTGAAAGAGAAGGAGCTTGAGGGAAAATTCTACCCTGTGCTAGTTAGTTCTTGCACTGCTATAAAGAAGTACCTGAGACTGGGTAATTTATAAAGAAAAGAGGGTTTAATTGTCTCATGGTTCTGCAGGCTGTACAGGAAGCATGAGTTGGCCTCAGGAATCTTTCAGTCATGGCAGAATGCAAAGGGGGAGCAAGCGCCTCACATGGCCAGAGCAGGGGGAAGAGAGAGAGAGGAAGGTGATATACACTTTAAAACAACCAGATCTCTTGAGAACTTTATTATGAGAACAGCACTAGGGGGATGGTGCTAAGCCATTAGAAACTGTCCCCAAGATCAAATCACCTCCCACCAGGCCCCACTTCCAGCATTGGGGATTATATGTCAACATGGTATTTGAGTGGGGAAACAGATCCAAACCATATCATACCCCACTGGACTTTTCATGAAGATGAAATCTTGTCCCATGTGGGGCTCTCAGAGTTGGGATGAAGGTCCCTCAACATACATTCCAAAGGGCCATGTTTGACCTTACCTATTACTGAAAAGCTGGTTGCTCCTTATGACGCCGAGAAGCCAGTTATAAAATAAGGTGAGAGGGAGGATCCAGGATCGAGATGGATCTTTACAAAGGCAATGATTGGCACCTAGGGCTGGTAATTCAGGAGATGACCCTTAGGGAGGACAATCCTCTTGTGACCCACCCAGTTAGACTGCAGCAGTAAATGCTAAAGAGGAATAAAAGCAGTTAAAATGCCTTTTGCATCACAAGAGGGAGACAAGTGGGTTCTCCACTGAGTCATAATCAGGGGCTTCCATTAAGCAGCCCGTTAACTCAGTGGTGAGGAAGCCCCAGGGGCCCACCTACAGAAACAGACACTCATAAAGAAGTCTCTCTGAGACACAGTTCAGCCTGCTCTGTTTCAAAGTGCACACCCCTGTCTTTTACTAGGTTCCTTAAAATGAGTCATGTCACTTACTTTGGCAACTACCACTGTTACAGAATCATCTTTTATTTGAACACCACTTGGAAGTGTACAATGAGTTTTCACATAATGGCTGAAAAAAGGCTAGAAAGACAGCAACTTACTGCATCACTGCTGTATACTGGGGACCTCACTAGAGGATTTGAGCCATTGTCCCATTTGACCCCAAAACCAAACCCTGGGTGGAGGTATCATTAGGACTCCCATTTTAGAGATGCATAAACTGAAGAAAAGAGAAGTTTAATACATTGGCCTGATTCACATGGCCTTTAGGAGATAGATTCTGGATTTGAACTCAGGTCTCTTTTCATGACAGCACACTGAGCACACTGTCACCCATCTGTAATATCATTAAATCCTTCAGCAGCTTTATGAAGTAGGGTTTATTAGCTTTGTTTTCCATTTAGAAAAGCTAAGACCCAGAGAAGTACCCCAGGTCACATTGCAAGTAAGAAGCCTAGGATTTTAATCCAGGTATTCTGATGCCAAAAATTGTGCTCCTTTCGTTATACCACAGCTGCTCTGACATACCACAGGACACCTTGGTGTATGTGGAGCAGAGAGTTCCTCAAGCCTGTCTTTACGAATGCATGTGAATGCATACATGCAGAAAGGAACATGCCACACAGAGACATAGAGGAAAAAAGAGACTACCAGTGTAACTGATTGCTAGACTCCAAAATTCTTTGGACTCCTTTGAAATCATAGGTTAGCAGGGCCATTCCCGAAAATGAAGTAAATCTGATGGCAGGAAATGTGGAGCTCTTGTCCAATGTCCTATTTCATTCTCATGAAATGCAATGCTTTCCATGTAGGTCAGCGGCTTGTGCAACTAGCTGCAGGCAGTGTAAGACAGGCTTGGGTCAGCCCCTTTGACAGTGCCAGGATCCCAGTGATAAGCTCAGCTTGCGGGGATTGCCTGATTGTGGTTTTGGTAAGAGCCAGGCAGGGGAAGGGGAGATCAGTGGCCAAGACCACTCCCCGAGCCATTCATTCTCCACACCATTACTCTTTCCAAGGCAAAGAGAGGACTGTGCATTCTGTTCTGTAATCTCCCACTTGGGGAAGCTATTGTCTCATATTCTGTAAGTTCACACACAGGGCATCTTGTTTTTTGTTTTTTGGGTTTTTTTTTAACTTTTATTTCAAGTTCAGGGGTACATGTGCAGGATGTGTATTTGTTACATAGGTAAACATGTGTCACGGGGGTTTGTTGTACACATTGTTTCATCACTCAGGTGTTAAGCCTAGTACGCATTAGTTATTTTTCCTGATCTTCTACCTCGTCCCACCCTTCACACTCTGATAGGCCCCAGTATGTGTTGTTCCCCTCTATGATGTTCTCATCCTTTAGCTCCCACTTTAAGTGACAGAAGTAGTTTAAAGCCTCTTGAGTAATCTATGCTAGAGAAAGACATGAAAGAAAACCTTTGTCAATGTAAAGGGCACTGATTTTGTTATCAGAGAGACCCGAGTTCAAATCCCATCTATTTCTCCTCCTGATATTGTGTGCACGTGTAACTTTAGGCAAACAAATTTGCCTTACCTAGTTACAGTTACTTTTCTAGAAAATTGAGATACTATTTCAGAATGTATAGGGTATTATAAATAATTTTTTGGAATAATACTTAAAGGACCAGGCAAATAGGGGCTTAGCACATTCTACTTTCCAATTCATTTACGACAACTTTGTAAAACAAATATTACTATCCCCATTTTTTTTCAGATGAGGACATTGAGCTCAGACGTTGTCACCACATATACAAATAACTAAAAAGTGACATCCCTAGGAAGTTCTTGAGCCAGAATTTAAATCAGTTTGGGAGGCTGAGGTGGGAGGATCAGCTGACGTCAGGTGTTCAAGACCAGCCTGGCCAACATAGTGAAACCCTGTCTCTACTAAAAATACAAAAATTAGCCAGGCGTGGTGGTGTGTACCTGTAGTCCCAGCTACTTGGGAGGCTGAGGCAGAAGAATCGCTTGAACCCAGGAGGTGGAGGTTGCAGTGAGCCAAGATCGCACCACTGCACTATGTCCTGGGTGATAGAGGGAGACTCCATCTAAAAAAAAAAGTCATCACTAGCAAGATGTCATTCACTTCAGAGTAAGACCTCCAGGATCATCGCATAGGGGTCCCTGTGCATGTGTGCTCATGGGAGATGGTGTTGGTGGCAAGGCTACTGAGGACAAAAGAAAAAGAGAACAAAATCCTGAAAGAGAAACATATATTGGGAGTAGTCTATATATTGGGAGTAGTTCCAACATTGGCCCAGACACAGGGTTGTAGAGAATCATTTTTATTAATATTTATGTATCAGAATGACTTAAGACTAAATCTCAGTGTGAAAGACATAGGCCCAAGTGCTTGGGAATGGAGAAGCAGGAGAGAGATAAGGGTAATATTTACTAAGCATTTACAATATAACTATGCTAGGTACTGTAGGTACATTATTATATTTAATTGTATAACAATTCTGTAAAGGTAATGAGGCTTCTAAATGCCTCCTCCCATTATTCATATTTCCCTAAACCTTTTAGAAATAGAGGCTCCCTGATTTTTAGCAGACCAACAATTTATTTGGACCTCCCTTGTGGCTTACTGTTGCCAAATGACCAAGTTTTAGCACAAAGACTATGAACATAACTGATATGTGTAACCTTTACATAACTCTCCTAAAAGCAAATTGTTTGCCTTCCACTTTTTCTCCCTCCTCTAGCCTATGAACTAGAGCTTGTCTTGGTGAACCAGCTTTAGATCACGTGACCAAAGACCACATCCTTAGGCAGTGGATCTCAACCAGGGAGTGGTTTTGTTGCTCCAGGAGACACTGAAAGTGTTCAGAGACATTTTTTTTCATTGTCACAACCAGGGAGAGAGTGCTAGTGGCATCTAGTTAGTAGGGACCGGGGATGCTGCTAAACATCCTACAATACACAAGGCAACATCCGTTCCTGCCCCCACTGCCCAGCGAAGAATTATCCGGCCCCAAATGTGAATAATGCTGAAGTTGAGAAACCTTGTCTAAAGGACAGTTGAGCAATAAGATGGAAGGAACAGAGCCTCTTGCACTCCCAGGACTGTTAGAAGAGAGCAAAACAAATATCCATCTTGTTTGACTCACTGTTGTTTTGGTCTCTGCCATGGCAGTTTAGCTAGCTAATGCAGGGCAATATTATCATTATTCTTCCAGCCTCAGAAAAATTAATTTTTCAAGGTCTCAATGTTAATAAATGGCAAAATAAGGATTAACACTCATGTCCGTTTGAATCCAACTCATCTTCTTATATTCTGTAATAACTCTCCCCCTTGATTGCCATGGGAGAAGAAGAGATGACAAGAAGAAAAAAAGAAGGAAAAACTGAGAATACCTTGGGGACCCACTGGAAAAATACTGGTCCAAGGGAGGGAGCTTCCTAGCTTGATTTTAGCACAATTACTAAAAGTATCGTACTGGCATAAAAACAGGCACATCAGCTAACAGATTAGACTAGAAAACCCCGAAATAGACCCATGCAATATGGTCAAGAAGGGCACCAAGAATACACAATAGAAATGAATAGTCTCTTAAATAAATGATTCTGGGGAAACTGTATGTCTATATGCAAAATAATGAAATTGGATGCCTATCTTACACCATACACAAAAATCAACTAAAAATAGAATAAAGTCTTAAACATAAGACCTGAAATCTCCTTGACATTGGTCTTGACAATAATTTTCTTACATGACAACAAAAACATAGGAAACATAGGCAACAAAAGCAAAAATAAAAAAGTGGATTATGTGAAACTAAAAATCTTCTGCATAATAAAGAAAACAATTAATAAAGTGAAAAGGCAACCAATGGAATGGGAGAAAATATTTGCAAACCATGTATCTGATAAGGAGTTAATTTCCAAAATATATAGGAAATTCCCACTGTTGGTGGGAATGTAAATTAGTTCAGCCACAGTGGAAAGCAATTTGGAGATTTCCTGAAGAACTTAGAACTACCATTCCACCCAACAATCCCATTACTGGGTATCTATCCAAAAGAAAATAAATCATTCCACCAAAAAGACATGCAAACTTGTATGTTCATCATGGCACTATTCACAATTGCAAAGATATAGAATCAACCTAGGTGCCCATCAGTGGTGGATTGGATAAAGAAAATGTGGTATGTATATACTATGGAGTACTAGACAGCCATAACAAAGAATGAAATCATGTTCTTTGCAGCAACATGGATGCAGCTATCCTAACTTAGGATAACTTAGGATGCATTATCCTAAGTGAGATAATGCAGGAACAGAAATACTGTATGTTCTCACTTATAAGTAGGAGCTAGACGTTGGGTGCTCATAGACATAAAGATGACAACCATAGAAACTGGGAACTACTAGAAAGAGAAAGAAGGGGGAGGAGCAGGGATTGAAAAGCTAACTATTGGGTACTCTGCTCACTACCTCAGTGATGGGATTATTCATACTGGAAACCCTAGCATCATGCATTATACCCATGTAACAAAACTGCGTGTGTAGCCCCGATTCTAGAATAAAATTGAAATTATTAACAAAGAAGCTCAATAGCAAAATCATAAGTAAATAAATAACCCAATTTAAAAATAGGCAAACGATCTGAATAGGTATTTCTCCAAGGAAGACATACAAATGGCCAAAAAGTAAAAAGATGCTCAACATCACTAATCATCAGGAGAATGCAAATCAAATGACAATGAGGTATCACCTAACACCTGTAAGGATGGTGTTGTTGTAAAAACAAAAAACAAATGTTGGTGAGGTTGTGGAGAAATTCAAACTCTTGTACATTATTGGTGGGAATGTAAATGGTGCAGCCACTATGACAACATTTTTCTCTATCTTGTTTCAAAACAGTGTCATCCTTCTCAAAAACTGTGCCATAGTCTCCTACTGATCTCTCTGGATTTACTGTTGCCCACGTCCCATCCATTTACCCCACAGCAGCCAAGGGTATCTTTTCTTTCCCAGCTTTCTCAACATATGATTGACAAATAAAAATTGTACATATTTAAGGTGTACAATGTGATTTTTTGTATACATTATATGCATTTTAAAATCGTGACCACAATCAAGCTAATTAATATATCAATCACTTTCAGTAGTTACTTTTATTTCTTTTTGGTGGTGAAAACACTTGAGATCTACTCTTTTAACAAATTTCAAGTATGGAATACATTATTATTAACAAAAGTTATCATGCTGCACATTAGGTCTCAGAGCTTATTAATCTCATAACTGCAAGTTTGTACCCTTTGATCAATTTGTCTCCATTTCCTAACCTTCTGACCCCTGTTAACCACCCTTCTAGTCTGTTTCTATGATTTCAACAATTTTAGATTTCATAGAGAGATCTCCTAAAAATGTCAATTAGAGCTTCTGTTCCAAGATAGAGGATTGAACCTGTACATTTACTCCTCGACCTTTGGAAGGCCACTTTGCAATGAAAAATTAGGTAAAAATTCATGTGCCTCCATAAAAACAAAAAGAATGGGAGTAAAGTCATTAGGAACAGAATGCTTCAACACCTGTCTGCAGACTCAAAGTTGATGGAGAAATATTGACTGGTATAACAGATTAGAGGAGAAAGCTGAACCCCAGAAGAACTCCAGACAGACTCTTGACTCAGAGATACCTGAGGTAATGGAGGTAGGCGGCATGGTAAACACGGGTGTGAACATGTGTACACAGACACTAACTACCTTTTTCCCTTCTCTGATCCTATGTCTACCACAAAACAGGCTTTTATATGCTTTATGGAAAAGGTAGTTGTTTCTTACTTTTAAAAAAGTGGAATAAAATGTAAAATATTGCTTCCAGTGAGAGAAGCAATGTGGCCTTGTGTTCTGGCACATTATGTGTCCCTCCATGCACAGCAGGACCCACTCCTACTACACTTAAAATGAATGCTATTAGTAAACAAGCTTTACTCCCAAACCCTGTCTCAGCTTTTCTAACACTTACTTCTTAAACATAAATGAAAAGTCCAGGATCTATTGACCCTTGAGGAAAACTTTCAGCATGAAGGAAAAATAGCAAGAAGGAAACCATTATCAAGTTAATCTTGAAGGAAATACATAATTCAGGAAACTGAAAAGGAAAACCAAATTAAATCTAATTACAATTCTCAAAAAACATCAAAAACTATTTCACCTATTAAATTAAGGAGAAAGGGACAATCAAATAATGAATCTTTGAAAATTCAAAATATGGTCAAGAAGAGAAAGAATGGAAGATTTTGAAAATTAAGGAAATCTCATATACTGTAAGAGCAAAAGGCAGTGAGAAAAAGTTTGAGAGACTGGAGGTCTACCACTTGACTAATAGGATTTTGAGAGAGAAATCTGGAGAAAAAGCAGGAAAAATCTATCAAATAAATAATAGAGGTAAATGTTCAAAAGTTAAAGAACATGAATATTCTCATTAAAAGGCCCCTCTGAGTACCTAACTTGGTGAATTTTTTAAAAGGAGCTACCTTGTTATCATTATGAAATATCAAAACACCTAGGATAAAAAGATGGTTCTAAGTGTCCAGAGAGAGGAAAAGCTAAAGGCAACAGTACAGCTGTAAAAGAAGAAGAGCCATGCTGGTCTCAGACTTCTCCTCTGCAACACTGCTCACCAGAAGAAGGTGAATACGGTCCATTGGGCAGAGGGGACTCCAACTCCAGCCAAACTACCAATTAAATGTGAGGATAAAATAAAAGCAAGGCTAGGACATTACTGCCAGTGGATTTTGTTCATAGGAAGTTGCTGGAAAGTTTAAATGAAGAGAGAAGAAAAAGTGGGATCCATAGAATCGTGATTCGAATCCAAGAGAGTAATGAAGGAAATTCCCAGGTGACAGCTGGTCATCAAGCCTAGAGAATACTTCAGGATTGAGCAGGACTCCAGAAGGGATGGAACTCAAACAAAGGAGGACTTTGCGGATTTGATGGAAACCTTGAGATAGAGATCAAAAGACCTTAGGGACATGATAAAGGTACAGAGGAGGGGAAAATTAGAAACCAGATGAAGGACAAGTGATTATGTAAGTAAATGTGCACATAGCACATTACTTGGCTCTGCAGTAAATAATATTTATATTATTTACTGATGAAGACACTGATGATATTTAAATTTTAGAATCAATCTATACACATGGCATGGAAAACTCATACTTACAGAACAGAATGTAAATATGATCAGTCTGACATTTTAAATGTAAATTTAAAGAAGACAACACGGGAAGTATGGAAGTAGAGTCTAAGAGGGCATAGAGGAGAGTGGAAAGAAAGAGGTGTTAATATCCCAGTCTTATAACTTGAGGGGTCTAGAGGAAATATCTATACTTGATAGAACAAAAACATGCTAACTTTATCTAACATTAAAGCTCAAAAATTAACTAATAGAAGAACTAAAAAGAGTGGTTAACTATTTTAAAGATTGTGATGACATTGAAGATAACATAAGAAAGCTGAGTCCTCATCTATCATACTAAGAACTTAATAAAGTCTAAATTTAATAACTAGAGATAATTTTATAAGCATTTTATTTCGATACAGTTAAGTAACTATTATATGCGTTCAAAAAAACCCACTAAACAAACAAAAAATCTGAAGAGATAAAGTGTTGCCTCTAAGAAAGAGAGCTAGGAATGGGAAGAATAAGCCAGAAGACTTAGTTTTTTCACTAGAAGCCCTTCTATATTTTAGGAAGGAATAAATCTGATCATCTGGAGCAAAAAAAAAAAAAAAATGAGAGTGGGTTAATTCATTGACTTCAAGACACAACAGAAATATGTGCCACAAATGAGATGAAAACATGGATGGTTCCATGTTAAAAAATCATTGATAAAAAAACAAAAACTAGATGGATTGTCCAGTTAGGCACAGCACTGGAAGAAATGGGAGGCTTTGATTAGGGGTAGTTTAGAACCAGTGTGAAGCAGTCAGGTATGGGGACATGGAGGTCACATGAGACCTGGCCCCATTGGAGATCTTATAAGAGTTGGTGAAAAATCCAAGCAAAGATGGCATGTTGGAGTATTGGGAGAAGTACGTGCTTTAGATTCAGGCCAGAGTTTAAATTTTACTTCTCCCTCTTGCTGGTTCTCTGACCTTGGACAAACTACTTAACCTAATCTCTTTGAGATTTAGTTTCCTAATCTCTAAAAAAGTGATAATAATGAAATTTTATGGGGGTTTTAGAGGACTAAAGGAGGTAAAGAACACAGAGCCCTACCATAATAACCGCCCACAGAACTTACCATAATAATTCCCATTCTGCTCTTCTTCCTTTTCATAAGAGATTGTTAGGTTATTGTTAAACTATTTACTAGTGTAAATGTGTCCTGCAAATCAAATAGACCTGCAATATGGATCAAGGTGAATGCAAAAGATCTGGACACAGATAACATCAAGCACGTTGAAAGGGGTAACTATAAATCAGTGCAACATGGTCTGAAGTCAAAGGAAGGAGCTTAAAACCAAATACTGCTAGAGACTGGGTTGACAAGAGTAGGATAACTGCTGGAAAGAAGCAAATAATAGCCTGGGGCTCCATGCTTAGGACTAATACGAAGAACAACAGATTTCTGGAAAAAAAAAAAAAAACCTGACAATCCTTCCAAACCTACCTTAGACAGGTCTAGTTTACAGCATGAAAATGATAAAGAAGAGGAAGAAGAGGGAAGCTGGGGGTCATGACACCTTTAAAATGTGCCAGACTAACATAGATAAACATCTGGATGAAGGACTTGGCAGAGCATCAGAGGAATCTGCAATATATGCAAGAGCCCAGAGGATGCTGAGTCAACAGGGACGTGTTATTGCAGTGGTCTCCAAACTTGCTGGTACCAGGGATGGGTTTTGTGGAAGGCAATTTTCCACAGATGTGGGCAGGGTGTGGTTTGAGGATGATTCAAGCAAATTATATTTGTTGTGTGCTTTGTTCCTATTGTTATTAGTATATACTCACCATAATGTAGAATCAGTGGGAGTCCTGAGCTTGTTTTCCTGCAACTAGATGGTCCCATGTAGGGGTGATGGGAGACAATGACAGATCATCAGGAATTAGATTCTCATAAGGAGTGCACAACCTAGATCCCAACAGGGTTCCGGCTTCTATGAGAATCTACTGCCGCCACTGATTTGACAGGAGGTGAAGCTCAGGTGGTAATGCCCACTCGCCCACTTCTCACCACCTGCTGTGCGACCTGGTTCCTAACAGGCCATGGACTTGGTAGCAGTCCATGACCTGGGGGTTGGGGACTCCTGTGCTATTGGGCCAAAAATGAATAGACCACAAGGTCATCAGCAGAGGATGTTCACAGAATGCCTAATGATGGTCTAGTCCAGTGCACTCCCAAGGAGTGGCAGGTGGGTGGGGGTACTCATGAAAATGGTCAGACATGCTATAGAGGAAAAAGGAGCTGCATATCATATTCACCTCCAACTTATAGTGGGGGAAAATTGGTCACCTTGTGCCATTGTTATTATCATCACTACCATAGGTGAGCTACAAAAGGAAATTGTGTCCTTAAAGGAGAATCAGGCTGCTGTTAAAATCAACGGTCTTTGAAGAGGCTGAGGATATAAGATCAATTGGAACCATGAAATGAATATTACGAAGAGCATCATGGAGAAATTTTAGGCTTACATATCAATCAAAAACAATGGAAAAAAAGGCAGGTTTGCTCAGTTTTCAAATGTTTCCAAGAGGATGGAAGAAGGATGGGATTTGGGGAAGACGGAAGGAAGAGATAGGCTTCTTGGTAGGTGTGGGCACACTGTGCATACCATACTTCTGAGAGTAGGACAGGAATCCTGATCTCACTGGAAAGAGTGAGCTGTGGTCTGGGCTACTTAGTGACGATATGGGTCCCAGCCAGGCTGTAATGGTGTTCTAAAATTTTGCTCTTCACTCAAGCTTCACATTCTTACAGGAACCATTCCTAAATCTCACAATACAAGTAAGGTTCTATTAGAGGGAAAAAAACAAACAAACAAACAAACAAACAAACAAAAAAGAGCCTCAAGGGAGATCTCTGGTTCAATAAAGAATCTAGTGGGCATTAATCAGAGTCAACCATGGATGACTCCAAACTCCCAAAGTGAAACTGTCTCTGTAGGCACAAAACTGTTCTCCTTTAATGAGAGAAAAATATAGCCATACAGATTTTCCACAAAAGATAGAACAGACAGGAGGTGAATATTTTTATTGTTAAATTACGTTGTCTGTGGTAGCTTTAAATTTCTCCATTCCTTTTTTTTTTTTAATTAACTGCAGTATTCTGGAAGGACATAGAGGTCAGGTCACAAGTTAAAAAAGATGGACATGTCTTCTTTTCATAGATTCCTCAAGGGTCATGAAGGAGTCAACTCTGGTACTAAGCGAGTATCCTTTTGCTAAGTAGACCTTGATTCCTTGGTAATTAAGGAAGGGATATTATGCAGAGTTGATAATCCAGGAATGTGGCCGGAGCTAGAGCTCTATTTGTCTGTATGACTCAGTATACCATAAACCTCTTAGCTGGACCCATCCAAAAGAAGAAAAGAAATGCATACACACATACTCCAAGCATACCCCTCTCAAGAGGCCACCCACAGGCAGTGACAAATTACCAAGACCCAAACTAACTGCCTTGGTCTAGGAATTCAATTGGAATTTAATTGGAATTCAATTAAAATGCTCTTTCTTGCTAAAAGCTTGAGTTGTGTGAATTGGGGGTCACTCTGTCCTGGAGTTGAGAGAGGAGGATATCCCCGAGGGCCAAGGGTGCTCAGTCAAGTCTGAACAAGGTCCAAGCTGGACATTGAATTAAAAGCTGTGTTATTCAGAAGTGGTTGCTTCTTAATCAGACAATGTTTCCTGGAATATTGAAAATATCCAAGGTCTTTTGAGGTCCTAGGGAAATGATATTTATAAAGTACATCAAAGCAATGGAAAAGAAATTACATAAAAACATGAAAGGTATGAAGATTATTTATTTAAAAGTAGACAAAAATATTTAAAAGGCTTAATTTCAAACTTAAAATATTAAACTTAAAATATTTAAAAGGCTCATGAAAGTTGGATGCTGAGTTATATGGCTGAGGTTCAGGTCATGTCAGAACATTGGAGGTCCTAGAAGACTGAGATGAAAAGATATCTTCAGCATTGAGCAGAGGTGAAGAGTCAAAACATAGGAGAACAGCCAGGCATCTGTTACTTGAACCTCACAGGAATGTGGAACCCAAAATGAAATTCCAATAATGAGGTCCATTCAAATTGCAAAAGATAATCACAAAGTATATTTGTAGGATAGCTGAAAGTCCTAATTTACCAATGACAATCCCATGTTATACCTATTGTCCCATTCAGTTTAGCATTTGTTTTGGAGTTTCTATTTTTAGCCAAATATTATTATTAATGTTCACATTAAAATAAGCTTGGATGGATTTGAAGAACTGCACTTTATACTTCTAGTTTCTGTGAGGTTCTCATTTACTAATGTATGAGATGTCTTAGCACCAAACATGGTTCTCAATTTAACCTGTGATTATGTCTGAAAGACAATCAATACTAATTCATCTCTCTTTTCTCAACTTTTTTTGGTCCTCCAAAAGCAGATCCTGAGAAAATGATTCTCATGGAAGTAATTTGTTTTGGAGGTGAAGGAAAATGCAACTCGAGGAGTAAGGATGTGAAACAAGGGAAGAAAAAGAGCAAATAAAAGGTGTAGAGTCAAGCCAGCTACTCTGAAGGCAACTGAAGCGTAATTGTGCTGGGAAAACTCTGGGAGCCAGTGTAAAATGCTTGCCTTCTGGTTATCCTACCCACAGTGTGAGGAAACTGAGATATGTATACCCTGACTTTGATCAGTCATTGGTTGAAGACTTCTTCCAAGGGGTATTAATCCCCTGGCACTCATTAGCTACACTGCAGACAGCAAACAAAGCTTTGGCAATAAGAAAAAGCCTTCAAGAAAAGAAATACAGGTATGTGCTACTCTGGACCAATGGGATAAAAAGAGGTGGTTTATGGACTGGGCACCAACAGCATCTCATATAGTTTTCCTCTTGCACTCTTTATATCCAAGTGATTTCATTATCTTTATATTTTACCACCTGTTCTATATTCCCCTTACCCTGATCCATAACTTTTGCTAGTTTCAGTCCTTTGTCTGCTAGGGTAGCCACACCTTCATCTCTGAGATAACTGAACTCCTGGCTATACCATTGCCTGGTCATTGTTGTTACAGTGTACACATATGTTTTCCACGGTACATTGAAGTGCAAATGGATGTCCCAGTGAACCTCTTGACTTCCACTTACCCACCCTGGTTGCGTTAAGTAACAGCAACTCAATATCTTCATGATAATCAGGGTTAATCATCTCTGACAGTATAGTAACTCATTATTTGTCTATTGTTGGTATATGGGCACAAGAAGCCTAAAATAAACAAGTAGGAGTTGTGCTTTTAGGATTAGTGAAGCTCTCTGTCCCCTTTTAGAAGCATCCTTCTCTGGAACCAAGAAGATTTAGTCCAATAAATTCTACAATTGTAGAGACAGAGAGCACATATCATACAAGTGAGTGACTATGAATGATGGTGAGAGGGATCCCTCCTACTTTTACCTTTTGGTTTCCAGACCCATACATCTATCTATAGGGTGCTCAGCACTATGAAATTGTTATTAGTTCAACATACATAACATATCTTGAAGGATAATACCCAGTCTGATGCCTTTGGGAGACAATTCCATTATTTTATCAGGCTACCAGCTTCTAGGTCACATTGTTTATGGTAAGCTCAATGGACCTCATAATGTATAACCTTATTGTACCCCCTTCACTGTAATATAGGTCTTTTGATCAAAGTCAGCGTCAGATTACATGACAATAAACCAAACAATGAGCCCTTGGATAGTGGTTCTAGTCAAGAAACTGAGGACAGGGAAGACAAACCCAACCTTGGATGATTGTTAATTCAATAGGGATAAATCACTGCCAGAGGTATATCTTAGTCGATTTGGGCTGATATAAAAGAAATATTGTAAACTGGATAGTTTATAAACAATAAACATTTATTTTCACAGTTCTGGAGGTTGGGAAACCCAAGATCAATGTGCCAGCAAATTCAGGCTCCACCTCTGAATACTTTCTTTTCTTTTTTTTTTTTTTCTAGTCTCCTCTTTCCTGATTGTTTTTTTATATACTTTAAGTTCTGGGGTACATGGTCTGCTGCCTTTTTTTCAGAGATGCCCTGCGTAGAGAGGCAGTCTGGCCACAGCGGTCTTGCTGAGCTGTGGTGGGCTCTGCCCAGTTCAAATTTCCTCTGAATACTTTCATATCAGGGATTAGGTTTAAAAATATGAAAGCCATTTTGGCCCATTCCTCCTAAACGGCCCTTCATGCTATGTCCTCACATGGTGGATGGGGCTAGTCAGCTCTCCAGGATCTCTTTCATAAGGGCACTAATCCATTTCATGATGATAGAGCCCTCAATCTGATCACATCCCAAAGCCCTCACCTCTGAATACCATCACACCTATGAATTTTGTTAAACACAAATATTCAGATCATAGCAAGATAGATGTGATTCAATGTTTTCAATTTCCATTAACTAATATCCTTCAAGATTTGTCCAATATATCTAGGGCTCAGCATGAATCTCTGCTGATAATAGGTTGGATGTTCATCAACGTCAATAACTAAATCAGTCTTAGTGAGGGAGAGTTCATCCTTTCGTACACATACATAGACCCCATCTCTATCGTCATGGCTGCTCTGATTGTGGGCACATTATACAAGCCCTTGAGTGACCCAAAACAGAGGCTGGCTGACCCCTACTGAACAGCTCATCTATCCAGCTCCTTGTTCGGTGTCTTCTATGCAATGGATACTCTCTGATAGGCATTAATGTGAAACATAAAGTTCTGTGTGCTTTGTGCCCACTGTACAGGTTCATCCACAGTCTTCTTTTCTAGACCAATGTCTCTGATTTTGTAACATTTCATCTTTGTAGTAATCTGGCTGTCAAGTGACCAGTTCTATAATTCCATTCTGAGGATCTACTTCCTAGGAACACTTCTGGTACTGTATGTCTTTACTTGGATTTCTCCATAATCAAATTCTGAGTAAAACAAAATTGATGTAAAAGCAGTTTAAGAGATGAAGGAAAAACTAGGAGATGAGTAGGAAAGTATGATAAGGGAAAACATCCAATAAGTAATGCATTAACAAACTGTAAGAACTTAGAGCTTAATGCTGCTAGTAAAATTCTGGGAAACCATTGCCAAACATGCCTTAGAATGATCTCCTCGGCCTGGCATGGTGGCTCACGCCTGTAATCCCAGCACTTTGGAATGCCAAGGCGGGTGGATCACGAGATCAGGAGATCAAGACCATCCTAGCCAACATGTTGAAACGCTATCTGTACTAAAAATACAAAAGTTAGCTGGGCGTGCTGGCATGTGCCTAAAATCCCAGCTACTCTGGAGGCCGAGACAGAAGAATCGCTTGAACCAGGAAGTTGGAGGTTGCAGTGAGCTAAGATGGCGGCACTGCATTCCAGCCTGGAAACAGCAAGACTCCGTCTCAAAAACAAAAAAGAATTCTTTCCTCAAGGGGAAAAAAGCTGGGGTATGTATATTTCAATCCCTGGCAATCATTGGTTGTGGGATGCTCCCACGTGTGTGGGGGGACTTTTGCACCTTAGATGACGGCTTCAGTGGAAAGAGATAGCCTTTAAGCAAAAAGATGCAAGAATTAGCAATTGGAAACTGGGATGCTGTAAAGTGAAATGGTAAAGGTTATGGGGATATGGACTGGAAAGTTGAGAGCATATGCTATACCACCCCTTTCCAGCTGCAATTAATTAGCATCTCCCTTTCATGGTCAGCATGATGGGCGGTCACTGGTAAAATGTATTGTGTTCTGACTCCAGAGGCTAGAGATAGCTAGCTTTCATTTTCCAGTGTCTGGGCCTAGTAGGTATTCAGGCCTGCTGTCCCTGCTGGCCACTTGGTGGACTCACACAAGTCAGTTTTGCCATGGCCTGTGCTTATCCTGGGAGATGTAGGAAGCTGCCAGACCACACAAGATTGAATTAGTGGAGAATGTAAGAAAATATAGGTTAAATATACATCAAACATGTGAGGGTAATAGAAGTATATAGACATTAATCTAAATATTTTTGATAGAGTGCCTTGTCATTTTTTATATATTAATTTGCAACTGTTTATTTTACTTTTTATAATGTTTATTTGGATGCAAAGCCTTTCCCAGCAATGAGCTTAAAAAATAGAAATGCATATTTAATAAAATTTAAATAATGAATTTCCATTTATCAAGAAAGTTCATCCTAAATATGTGACATGCATAAAATGTTTGTTGACATTTATGAATCACCAGTGGAGCTATAATGATGGTTATCACATGAAAACCAAAGACCCAGGTCCGCTGAAGAGGCACTGATATCTGCCTCAAAAGTTAGTAGTTACTGTATTGAATGAAAATAATCTAACACTGGATGCTACAAAAGGTGTGTGTCTATAACACTCTGTAAAACATGAATTTTAAGGCAAATAATTTAACTTTTACGTTCAGTTCAAATTTTCTTGTGCATGTAAGAAAGCTAATGTGATATCTATTAAAAATATTGGGTCCATCAGCAGAAGACCTTCATGAAAAGTTAAAATATGTCAGTTTTATGTCAGAGGGATGATTCAACTCAACAAAGTCAGTTAACTTAATTCCAATAACAATACTTTTTTTAGTCCAAATAACGGATGCAATGTAAAACATTTGGAGGTTCATCCTACCAAAAGTGAAAAATCTGACATTAGTCACTTGTATTAGTCTGTTCTCATGCTGCCATAAAGAACTGCCTGAGACTGAGTAATTTATAAAGAAAAGAGTTTTAATTGACTCACAGTTCCGCAGGGCTGAAGAAGCCTTGGGAAACTTACAATCGTGGCAGAAGGGGAAACGAACACGTCCTTATTCACATAGCAGCAGGAAGAAGTGCTGAGCAAAGGGGGAAAAGCTGCTTATAAAACCATCAGACCTTGTGATAACTCACTCACTATCACGAGAACGGCATGGGAGTAACCACTCCCATGATTCAATTACCTCCTACCAGATCCCTCCGATGACATGTGGGGATTATGGGAACTACAATTCAAGATGAGATATGGGTGGGGACACAGCCAAGCCATATTATCAGTTAAAAGTCAGCAGTGAAGATAAAATTTTCAGTTTTACAGTAATAATAGGAATACCAATTTTGGTGGAATATAGTATCATACTAAAGTTAAGAAACAGAACATGATGTACTTGGATCAGTTTGATACACACATAATACATTGTTGTGTCCAAAAAAACTGTGATTGCCTAACAATCAAATCAGAAGCTGCAGTTGTAAGAATTTACAAATATATATATATATGTGTGTGTGTGTGTGTGTGTGTGTGTGTAACATAACTGAACTAAAAAATTTTGTAATGGAAAGAATGTTGAATACAGGAAATGCAGCAACATAGAAATAGTTTCTTTCTTTGCTTCCCATCAGCAATAATATCTTAGAAATATTTGAGCCATTGAAGAATTAATTTGTGCATTAACCTAAGTTTCTTTCAATGATATTATATGTTTTTTTAATAAATGAGTCTTTTAAGTTTTGTTGCATTTTATTCAAAATTAGCTGAAAACATTTAATCAAAGTATTCAACAAATAAAGAGCCATTCGTTGAATTTCAATTTCAGCTTTTGGAAACTTTGAGCATATGGCAATTATTGAAAACAAAATTTGCAAGCAGGAAGTTAGTGAAATTTATGCCTAAGAAAGCAAAGAAGGAACACAACAAATTAAATAAGTGATCAAATGGTATACAAGAATTAATTTTGAATTTCATTGTGTTTTTATTCTGTTGATATTTGGGAGCAATCTTTTGATGGATTGAATGCATTTATATTGTATACTGAAATTAAATTAAATTGAGAAGGTTTATGATTTTACAATATCTAAATGTAGCCAAACATTCAAAAGGATCTATATACAAAAACAACTTATTTGATGAATTTTGTCATGTAAAAATATTTGTCAAAGAAAGGTTCCTCTAAATGAGGAGGAAAAGACAGCACTGTGACAATATTAGAGTAAAATTGTTATATATTTCAGTATACAGAAAATTTGAACTTCAAATAATTTCCATTTATCAGAATTTGCTTCATGCTTGACACTTACCTCAGCACCCGTGGACAAAACTTTTTTTTTCAGCTTTCTTGAAGTATAATGCAGAAATTAAAATTGTATGTATTAAAGTTGTACAACAGGCTGGGCGCAGTGGCTCACGCCTGTAATCCCAGCACTTTGGGAGGCCAAGGCGGGTGGATCACGAGGTCAGGAGTTCGAGACCAGCCTGGCCAGTATGGTGAAACCCCGTCTCTACTAAAAATACAAAAAATTAGTTGGGCATGGTGGTGCATGCCTGTAGTCCCAGCTACTCAGGAGGCTGAGACAGGAGAATTGTTTGAACCCAGCAGGCAGAGGTTGCAGAGAGCTGAGATCATGCCACTGCACTCCAGCCTGGGTGACAGAGTGAGACTCCATCTCAAAAAAATAAAATAAAATAAAGTTGTACAACATAAAGTTTAGGTATACATATACACATTGTGAAATGATTACCAAAGTCAAGTTAATTGCCGTATCAGGCACCTCACCTCACATCATTACCTTTTTTGTCTGTGTGGTGAGAATATTTAAGATACACTCTCTTTAGTACATTTCAAGTATACAACGTTATTATTAACTATAGTCACCATGCTATGCATTAGGTATCCAGAACTTACTCATCTCATAATTGCAAGTTTGTACCCTTTAGCCAACATCTCCCATTTCCTCACCCTCTGACTCCTGTTAACCATCCTTCTACTCTTTGTCTATGAGTTCAACTGTTTTTGATTTCACATACAAGTAAAAAAACATTTTCTTAGTTTAAAAGAAAATGGTTTATTTCCATAAGGATATCCAATTGATCTAAGCAACATTTATTGAAAAGTCCATTCTTTTCCCAACTGAACTCCAATACCACATGTCATAATTAACTGAAGATATATGGTAACTCTTTTTTTTTTTTTTTTTTTTTTTTTTTTTTTTGAGATGGAGTCCTGCTCTGTTGCCCAAGCTAGAGTGCAGTGGTGCGAGCTCGGCTCACTGCAACCTCCGCCTTCCGGGTTCAAGCGATTCTCTTGCCTCAGCCTCTCGAGTAGCTGGGACTACAGGCTTGCGCCACCATGCCCCACTAAGTTTTGTATTTTCAGTAGAGACGGGGTTTCGCTATGCTGGCCAGGCTGGTCTCCAGTGCCTGACCTCAGGTGATTCCCCTGCCTCGGCCTCCCATGATGCTGGGATTACAGGCTGAGCCACTGCGCACGGCCAAAGATACATAGTAACTCTTTGTATGCAACCATGTAAGTCCTCCAATTTTCTTCTTCTTCAAGGTTGTTTGAATTTTATTGGTTCTTTGTATTTACATATAAATTTTAGAAGCAGTTGTTCAATGAGCCCACATCCCAAAAAACCCTTTATGGTTTTTATTGGGATTGCATTGAATCTATTGAATGTATGAATCAGTGTGGAAAACAAATCTTAAAATTATGAGGGTTGTTTTGGATATATAAGCATGATACATCTCTATAATTAAGTGTCTTTAATTTCAGCAATTTTGTAGTTATCAGTGTGGAGGTCTTACACACCTTTTGTTAAGTGTATTCCTTAGTATTTGACGATTGTGATGCTATTACATATGGTAATGTTTTAAATTTTTATTTTTAATTGTTTGCTGCTAGGAGGTAGAAATGCATTTTTTATTGTTTATTGAACTTGTATTCAGTGACCTTGCTAATTCACACATTAATTTGAATATTTTGTTTGTACATTATTTCGGATTTTCTACATACACTTTCTGATATTTATAAATTTTATTTATTCATTTATTTATTTATTTATTTTGCTTTCTGTGTTAGCTAGGGCTTCCTGTACAACTTTAAACAGAAGTGTTAAGAGAAGACATTTTGTCTGTGTCAATAGATATTTGTATGGAAAAATGTAAAACACTGTTTCCAAAAATGAATTTAAGGTAGCTAATAGACCTAAATTTTAAAGTAAACTAGTTAATCTTCTAAAGAAAACACAAGAAAATATCTTCATTATCTTGCAGAAGGCAAAAAATTCTCAAACCAAACATGGAATATTCAAAACATAAAAGAAAATATTGAAAAATTGAAATTCATTATAATATAAAACTTTTGTTCATCAAAACACACCACTAACAGAGCAAAAAGGCAAGCCATAGAGTGGGAGAAAATATTCACAAAATAAACCCAATAATACTGTATTAAAGAGAGAGAGAAAGAAAAGAGAGAGAAGGACACATTGTGATAATCTTAAAAAATAGCAGAAAACGTCCCTGTCTGACAGCTCTGAAGAGAGCAGTGGTTCTCCCAGCATGGAGTTTGAGCTCTGAGAGTGGACAGACTGCCTCCTCAAGTGGGTCACTGACCCCCGTGTAGCCTAACTGGGAGACATCTGCCACTAGGGGCTGACTGACACCTCATACAGCGGAGTGCCCCTCTGAGATGAAGCTTCCAGAGGAAGGAACAGGCAGCAATATTTGCTGTTCTGCAGCCTCTGCTGGTGATACCCAGGCAAACAGGGTCTGGAGTGGACCTCCAGCAAACTCCAACAGACCTGCAGCTGAGGGTCCTGACTGTTAGAAGGAAAACTAATAAACAGAAAGGAATAGCATCAACATCAACAAAAAGGACATCCACACCAAAACCCCATCTGTAGGTCACCATCATCAAAGACCAAAGGTAGATAAAACCACAAAGATGGGGAGAAACCAGAGCAGAAAAGCTGAAAATTAAAAAAGCCGCGTGCCTCTTCTCCTCCAAAGGATCGCAGCTCCTCGCCAACAATGGAACAAAGCTGGATGGAGAATGACTTTGATGAGTTGACAGAAGTAGGCTTCAGAAGGTCTGTAATAACAACCTTCTCCGAGCTAAAGGAGGATGTTTGAACCCATCGCAAAGAAGCTAAATATCTTGAAAAAAGATTGGATGAATGGCTAACTAGAATAAACAGCATAGAGAAGCCCTTAAATGACCTGATGGAGCTGAAAACCATGGTATGATAACTATGTGACACATGCACAAGCTTCAGTAGCCGATTCGATCAAGTGGAAGAAAGGGTATCAGTGATTGAAAATCAAATGAATGAAATGAAGCGAGAAGAGAAGTTTAGAGAAAAAAGAGTAAAAAGAAATGAACAAGGCCTCCAAGAAATATAGGACTATGTGAAAAAAACCAAATCTGCGTTTGATAGGTGTACCTGAAAGTGACGGGGATAATGGAACCAAGTTGGAAAACACTCTGCAGGATATTACCAAGGAGAACTTCCCCAACCTAGCAAGGCAGGCAAACATTCAAATTCAGGAAATACAGAGAACACCACAAAGATACTCCTCGAGAAGAGCAACCCCAAGACACATAATTGTCAGATTCACCAAGGTTGAAATGAAGGAATAAATGTTAAGAGCAGCCAGAGAGAAACATCGGGTTACCCACAAAGGGAAGCCCATCAGACTAACAGTGGATCTCTCAACAGAAATTCTATAAGCCAGAACAGAGTGGGGGCCAATATGCAACATTCTTAAAGATAAGAATTTTCAACCCAAAATTTCATATCCAGCCAAACTTAGCTTCATAAGTGAAGGAGAGATAAAATCCTTTACAGACAGGCAAATGTTGAGAGATTTTGTCACCACCAGTCCTGCCTTACAAGAGCTCCTGAAGGAAGTACTAAACATGGAAAGGAACAACTGATACCAGCCACTGCAAAAACATGCCAAATTGTAAAGACCATCAATGCTAGGAAGAAACTGCATCAACTAGCGAGTAAAATAACCAGCTAACATCATAATGACAGGATCAAATTCACACATAACAATATAAACCTTAAATGTAAATGGGCTAAATGCACCAATTAAAAGTCACAGACTGGCAAATTGGATGAAGAGTCAAGACCCATCAGGGTGCTGTATTCAGAAGACCCATCTCATGTGCAGAGACACACATAGGCTCAAAATAAAGGGATGGAGGAAAATCTACCAAGCAAATGGAAAAAAAAAAAAAAAAAGCAGGGTTTGCAATTGTAGTCTGTGATAAAACTGACTATAAACCAACAAAGATGAAAAGTGACAAAGAAGGCCATTACATAGTGATAAAGGGATCAATTCAACAAGAAGAGCTAACTAACCTAAATATATATGCACCCAATACAGGAGCACCCAGATTCATAAGACAAGTCCTTAGAGACCTACAAAGAGACATAGACTCCCACTCAGTAATAATGGGAGACTTTAACACCCCACTGTCAATAATAGACAGATTGTCAAGACAGAAGGTTAACAAGGATATCCAGGACTTGAACTCAGCTGTGCACCAAGCAGACCTAATAAACATCTATAGAGCTCTCCACCCCAAATCAACAGAATATACATTCTTCTCAGCAGACATCACACCTACTCCAAAATTGACCACATAGTTGGAAGTAAAGCACACTTCAGCAAATGTAAAAGAACAGAAATCTCAACAAACTGTCTCTCAGACCACAGTGCAATCAAATTAGAACTCAGGATTAAGAAACTCACTCAAAACCAGACAACTACATGGAAACTGAACAACCTGCTCTTGAATGACTACTGGGTAAATAATGAAATGAAGGCATAAATAAAGATGTTCTTTGAAACTAATGAGAACAAAGACACAACATATCAGAATCTCTAGGACACATTTAAAGCAATGTGTAGAGGGAAATTTATAGCACTAAATGCCCACAAGAGAAAGTAGGAAAGATCTAAAATTGACAGCCTAACATCACAATTAAAAGAACTAGAGAAGCAAGAGCAAACACATTCAAAAGCTAGCAGAAGGCAAGAAATAATGAAGATCAGAGCAGAACTGAAGGAGATAGAGACACAAAAAACCCTTCAAAAAAATCAATGAATCCAGGAACCAGATTTTTGAAAAGATCAACAGAATACATAGACCACTAGCAAGAATAATAAAGAAGAAAAGAGAGAAGAATCAAGTAGACACAATAAAAAATGATAAAAGGGATATCACCACCAATCCCACAGAAATACAAACTACCATCAGAGAATACTATAAACACCTCTATGCAAATAAACTAGAAAATCTAGAAGAAATGGATAAATTCCTGGACACATACACCCCCCCAAGGCTAAACCAGGAAGAAGTTGAATCCCTGAATAGACCAATAACAGGCTCTGAAATTGAGGCAATAATTAATAGCCTACCAACCAAAAAAACTCCAGGACCAGATGGATTCACAGCCGAATTCTACCAGACTTACAAAGAGGAGCTGGTACCATTCCTTCTGAAATTATTCCAATCAATAGAAAAAGAAGGAATCCTCCCTAATTCATTTTATGAGGCCAGCATCATCCTGATACCAAAGGCTGGCAGAGACACAACAAAAAAAAAAAAAAAAGAGAGAGAATTTTAGGCCAATATCCCTGATGAACATCAATGCGAAAATCCTCAATAAAATACTGGCAAACAGAATCCAGCAGCACATCAAAAAGCTTATCCACCACAATCAAGTTATCTTCATCCCTGGGATGCAAGGCTCTCTTAACATATGCAAATCAATAAACGTAATCCATCACATAAACAGAACCAAAGACAAAAACCACATGATTATCTCAATAGAGATAATCTTACACCTTATACAAAAATTAACTCAAGATGGATTAAAGACTTAAATGTTAGACCTTAAACCATAAAAACCCTAGAAGAAAACATAGGCAATACCATTCAGGACATAGGCACGGGCAAGGACTTCATGACTAAAACACAAAAAGCAATGGCAACAAAAGCCAAAATTGACAAATGAGATCTAATTAAACTAAAGAGCTTCTGCACAGCAAAAGAAACTACCCTCAGAATGAACAGGCAACCTACAGAATGGGAGAAAATTTTTGCAATCTACCCATCTGACAAAGGGCTAATATCCAGAATCTACAAAGAACTTAAACAAATTTACGAGAAAAAATCAAATAACCCCATCAAAAAGTGGGTGAAGTATATGAACAGACACTTCTCAAAAGAAGACATTTATGCAGCCAACAGACACATGAAAAAATGCTCATCATGACTGGTCATCAGAGAAATGCAAATCAAAACCACAATGAGATACCATCTCACACCAGTTAGAATGGCGATCATTAAAAAGTCAGGAAACAACAGGTACTGGAGAGAATGTGGAGAAATAGGAACACTTTTACACCATTGGTGGGAGTGTAAACTAGTTCAACCATTATGGAAGACAGTGTGGTGATTCCTCAAGGATCTAGAACTAGAAATACCATTTGACTCAGTGATCCCATTACTGGGTGTATACCCAAAGAATTGTAAATCATGCTACTATAAAGACACATGCACACGTATGTGTATTGTGGCACTATTCACAATAGCAAAGACTTAGAACCAACCCAAATGTCCATCAATGATAGACTGGATTAAGAAAATGTGGCACATATACACCTTGGAATACTATGCAGCCGTAAGAAAGGATGAGTTCATGTTCTTTGTAGGGATATGGATGAAGCTGGGAACCATTATTCTGAGCAAACTATCGCGAGGATGGAAAACCAAACACCGCATGTTCTCACTCATAGGTGGGAATTGAGCAATGAGAACACTTGGACACAGGGCGGGGATCATCACACACCAGAGCCTGTCATGGAGTGGGGGGAAGGGGGAGGAGAGAGGGACAGCATTAAGAGAAATACCTAATGTAAATGACCAGTTAATGGGTGCAGCACACCAACATGGCACATGTATACATATGTAACAAACCTGCACATTGTGCACATGTACCCTAGAACTTAAAAGTATAATAAAAAAAATAGCAAAAGGTTTGAACAGGTACTTCTCAAAAGAGAAAATCTAAGTGGCCAAAAAGTAAATGAAAGGTGCTCAATGCATTAGTCACTAGGAAAGTACACATTAAACTACAATGAGACTTATTACCGTATACCTACAGAATGGCTAAAATTTAAAAGACTAACAATATCAAATGTTGACAGACATGTAGGGGAACTAGAACTCTGTTCATTAAGTGAACTACTTTGAAAAACGTTTTGGCAATATCTCCCAGAGTAAACAAATGCCTACCCTACCCAGAATTCCACATGCCAGTAGTAGGAATGTGTATATATAATATATACGTGAAATGACTTTCTATGTCCATCAGGAATGGTATGGCGTCTACTGGGTGCCAACCCTTTGCAGAGCTGAAGTAATGCCCTCCAAGATATGTTATATGCTGTAATTCATCATTCGGTATATGGTATTATTTACCCATAGTTAGAAGACATATGTCTGGACATCAAACAATGGAAATGGGAGTGGCTCCTTTCACTATTACCCCTAAAAATTCAATAGCAAAATTTTACAACTTTTGAACCATGCCCCAAAGAGTTAAAGAAACCAGTGACTAAGAGAAATTCTTGAATTTACAGGATGGCAGATAAAAAACAAAACAATTTGTCGAAACTCTGAAATTCCCTCAGCTTGTAAGATAACAAAACTAGCTGAAATTGTAACCAATATACCAACTGGAGTCTGCACAGAACAAGCTTACTGATATCACAGTCTGAACTTCCACCACATGTTTCATACTAATTTCCCCTGGATTTGCACATGTAATCCATGAAATAGCATGAAGAAATAACTGCATATGGCTGAGGACTTTCTAGACCTCCCCTTTTCAGTCACCAGTCATCTACTAATCCTAGCATCCACCACCTAAATCTTTCATAATAAAATTACTACCTAAAAGCCAGCACAGGGAGACAGATTGTAGCTGGACTCCTGTCTCGTTGGTCAACCTACAATAAAAAGCTTTTCTTTTCTCAAAAACCTGGTGTCATAGTTTTGGCTTCTAACCCATTGTTTAGTAAGCCCTTTTGCTCGGTAACACTTTGACCTCTGCTGGTTCAAAGATCTTAGTGCCTAGGAGGTGTGTGTTTCCACCAGAGTACATAAAAATGGTTTTATTAAAATAGAAGCTGAGACTGCCACCTGGCCACCTTGCGTTCCTCATGCCACTACATTGGGTAAACAATAAAGTTAGTGACTGAGATGACTGATCCCAACTATCAAGTGGAAATTGAGTTCTTACTCTGCAACAAGGCAAGGAGGAGTGTTGTATTTATTTTCTATTGTTGCATAACAAATTACCATGAATTTAGTGGCTAAAAACAATACCCACTTTTATAGCTCACAGCTCTGTAGATCAGAAGTCTGGCACTTTGTGGCTGAGTTCTCTTCCCAGGGTATCACAATGCTCAGAGAAACATCCCATAAATTGGTTCCAGATTGAGAAGGTATGGTGGATAAAGCGATGCTGCCTTGGGAAAATATCCAAATGTACGTACGTTTTCCTGGTTGAAAAAATGCTTAGTGTGCTGTGGCTGTCAATTTTGTAGCAGAGAAACTGAAAAGGTTTTGTTGTTGTTGCAATAAACAATGGTTAGATCACAAAACAGGTTGGGACTGTGGCTGATGAAGCAGAGAGCCTTGTTAGGAAACACAGGAATTATGTTTCTGCAGAGTGCTCCTTATACGCAGGTTCAAAGCCTGTCTCAGCTATTTGCTTATTTTGTGGTTAAAGAAGATACCGTCCCTCTCCAGACTCTAGTTTCATCACCTAAAATAACGGCATAGTCAAACTAGGTCATTCCTCTGCCCTATTTGCATGTGACCTGCAAGGTGAGAATGGTTTTTACTTTTTTTAAAATGATTTAAAAAAAAAAGAATATGTGATGGGAATATGTGGTCCTGAAGTCTAAAATATTTACTTTCTGGATCTTTACAAAGAATGTTTGCCAACATCTGAACTGGATCAGTAGTTGCCATCGTGGGCTTTTTTCTAAGGCAGAAAAGTACTAGTTTATATTAAACAAAATCTCATATGGAATCCCAGCAAAACATAAAACAAATAGGTAGAACTGCTCTGGTTGAAGGGATGAGAGGTTTTATTGGACTATTTCCTCAGCTTCCCCCTAGTTCTCCTCACACCTAAGTCTCTCTTCAGAACCTTTGGGCTCTACAGAATGTGGGTTGAAAACATTGATTCTAGAAGGACTCCAAGCTCTTCCAGTGTTAACATTTTGATATTGTTTTTCATATTGGCCAGTGCTGCCAAGGAACACTTTGGTCTCCCAAGAGCTGAAATTGGTTTAATAATATGGCCCAATAATTATTAATGTGGCACAAGGGTGTGAACAACCACAGAGCTCCAACAAAATTACAGAACTGTGAACAAAGCAATTAGATCTTTGCCCTCTTTCCCCAAGAGTTTCTATTAGCTTCCTGAAAGCGTCCATTTTACCCCTAAAATCAGTCTTGCTGAAGCTGAAACCACCCCCAGATACAGACCTGTCTGATAAAAGGGACCAGTTTGGACTTGTCTTTTCAGTTTGAAAAGCCTACTTTTTAAGTGTAAGAAATAAGCTTATACTTAAGCTTTTCTGAAGGGTTTTAAAATGCAGAAACTAAGTTTAATGGGAAATTCTTCCTAGGCTGTGTACAATTCACTCCTTGCCAAACCAGAGATAAATACCAGTTCCTCAGTTCATAGGGGCTTTCCTTTTTTGGTCTAAGGGGAGAAGTTATGCAGCCAGAGAGTTGTACAAAGGTTCGGTTCAACTGTCTTTCTGGCATATTCTTTGTGGAATCTGCCTCCAAGGTAATGGCGTATATCTCAAAGCTATAATCTTCCCACTAAGCCAGAGACTCTTCTGTGCTGAAACCTAGGAAGGAATGGGTGAAGTTGATTCTTCTTCTACATCCCTATCTCATATCCTGGAGATTCTAATGCTCTCCCAAGATTTCCATAAACTCCCAGGGAACTAATATTTTTACAATTACCTCTGGCTCTGACTTCCTGCCTCTACTCAACTCTATAAAGGGTAGATGGTTCTCTGTTTCTACCCTGGCATATGCTCAAACATAATTTCTATCAAAAGCCATTACAAATTTCACCAGGATGACAGTATGAGGAGTCTCTCTTCCCTTAGGTCCCAGTCAAGAGTCTGCAAAACCACTCCCCAGAGAAATATGCATAATTGATTGATACATATTTGGAGAGAAAGACAGAGACAGGGAGAAATAGATAGTATATAGATGTATTTTATCTATCTATTTATCTACCTATCTGACTATCGCCAACCGTTTAAAGTGTCTGGAAGTTATCCTAAAGTCTTGTAGAAATAAATAAGCATTTACACAAGAAAATCTACTAAAACTCAGTAAGACAAGTGAGGCATTGCATTGGAGCCAATGTCCTCCCCAGAAGCTGAGCAGATGCCAGTGCCATGTTTCCTGTACAACCTGCAGAACCTTGAGCCAATCAAACCTCTTTTCTTTATATTAGGTTGGTGCAAAACTAATTGTGGTTTTTGCCATTACTTTTAATAAAAGTGCATAAGAGAGCATTAAAGGTTGGAAAATTTACAACATGGCCATGTGGCAGAGAAAAAAAAGTTTTTCTGGAGAAGAATTTGGCCAGGCACAGTGGCTCACGCCTGTAATCCCAGCACTTTGGGAGGCTGAGGCAGGTGGATCACCTGAGGTCAGCAGTTTGAGACCAGCCTAGCCAACATGGTAAAACTCCATCTCTACTAAAAATACAAAAATGAGCTGAGCATGGTGACAGTCACCTGTAATCCCACCTACTTGGGAGGCTGAGGCAGGAGAATCTCTTGAACCTTGGAGGTGGAGGTTACAGTGAGCCAAGATGGAGCCATTGCACTCCAGCTGGGTGACAAGAGTGAAACTCTGTCTCAAAAAAAAAAAAAAAAGAATTCAAGTGGGCAGTGGAGCAACCACTTGCTAGAGATATTTGCATAACTAAAAGACAGCCAAGTGCTAATAGACAAGACAATAGGGAAAAGGCCTCAAAGGTATTTCAGAGAACTTCAAGGCAGCCCCTTCCACCATGGGCTCATATGCCTAGGAGGGAAGAATGGTTTTGTGGGCCAGGCCCAGGGCCCCACTGCCTTGCACAGCCTCAGGACACTGCTTCCCACATCCTTGCCTCTCCAACTCCAGCCAGGGCTCAAAGGGGCCCCAGTATAGCTCAAACTGCCACTTTAAGAGAATACAAACCATAAGCCTTAGCAGCTTCCATGTGATGTTAAGCCTCCTGGTGCACAGAGAGCAAAAGTAAAGGCTTGGTGGCCTCCACCTAGATTTTACAGGAGGTATAATAAAGCGGGTGCCCAGGCAGAATCCTGCTGCAAGGCAGGAGCCCCCACAGAGAACCTCCACTAGAGCAGTATGAAGGGAAAGCGTGGGGTTGGATGTCCCACACAGAGTCTACACTGGGGCACTACCAAGTGAAGCTGTGGGAAGGGGGGCCTTTGTCCTCCAGACTCCAAAATGAAAGATCCACTGTCAGCTTGCACCCTGCATCTGGAAAAGCCAGAAGCACTCAACAACCTGTGAGAACAGCTGTGGGGGCTGAACCCTGCAAAGCCACAGGGGCAGAACCTTCCAAGGCCTTTGGAGTCCATCCCTCACGGAAGTGTGCCCTTGGTGTGGGACATGAAGTCAAAGGAGATTATTTTGAAGCTTTACAATTTAATAGCTGCCCTGCTGGGTTTTGAACTTTCTTGGGAACTTTAGCCCCTTTGTTTTGGCTGATTTCTTTCCTTTGGAATGGAAATGTTTACCCAATTCCTATACTTTCATTTTATCTTGGGAGTAAATAATTTGTTTTTGATTTTATAGGCTCATAAGTGGAAGGGACTTGCCTTGTCTCAAACTAGACTTTGGACTTTTTTTTTTTTTTTTGAGATGGAGTCTTGCTTTGTCGCCCAGGCTGGAGTGTAGTGGCGCAATCTTGGCTCACTGCAAGCTCCGCCTCCTGGGTTCACGCCATTCTCCAGCCTCAGCCTCCTGAGTAGCTGGGACTACAGGCACCCGCCACCATGCCCGGCTAATTTTTTCTATTTTTTAGTAGAGACGGGGTTTCACTGTGTTAGCCAGGATGGTCTTGATCTCCTGACCTCGTGATCTACCCGCCTCGGCCTCCCAAAGTGCTGGGATTACAGGTGTGAGCCACCGCGCCTGGCCGAGACTTTGGACTTTTGAGTTAAAGCTGGAATGAGTTAAAACTTTGGGGGACTGTTGGGAAGACATGATTGTATTTTGCAATATGAAAAGGATATGAGATTTGAAGGAGCCAGGGATAGAATGATGTAGTTTGGATATTTGTCCCTACCCAAATGTCATGTTGAAATGTAATCCCCAATGTTAGATGTGGATCTAGTGGGAGGTGTTTGGATCATGGGGATGGATTTCTCATAAATGACTTGGCCCATCCTTTTGGTGATAAGTGAGTTCTTACTCTGAGTCCATACAAGATCTGCTCATTTAAAAGTGTGTGGCACCTCCCCACCCCTACTCTCTCTCTTTCTTCTGCTCTGCCATGTGAAATATCTGCTCCCACTTTACCTTTTGCCATGAGTAAAAGCTCCCTGAGGCCTCCCCAGAAGCTGAGAAGATGCCAGTGCCATGTTTCCTGTACAGCCTGAAGAATTGTGAGACAATTAAATCTCTTTTCTTTGTAAATTACCCATTTACAAAGCATATTTTATATAACATTGCAAGAACTGCCTGACACAAGTATCTCACTGAGAAGGCCAGGCCACAAATTTTACTTATCCCTCACCCAACTCCAAAATGCAGAGATTAAATTCTTGGTGAATATGCCCTAAAGATCTGGGTTTCCCTTCCTTTTCCCACCCAGCCTTCATGCATAGGATGAAAGTTTTCCCCCGAGCATGGAATACCAATAATGATGGGCCCCTGATCACTTTCATTCCAGCTCACTCAGAGTGCAGAAGTTTCACATTGAAAGAAGTAAGACAAGTAGACCAGAGGCTATTGCCCTACCAAATACCTAACATAGTGGATCAGAGATGTCTGTCCAGGGCAACAGGCAGTCCATAAGAGCAGAGAGCTTCAGATCTCTTCTCAAAGAAACTGACTGTTTGAAACAAAATGTGGGAAGTGTAAACCTAAGCTTCAAAACAATAGTTTCTCTGAATTAAGAGTGACAAGCTAAACCATAGGCCAGCTGGTTCACTAGAGAGAACCAGAGGGAAAGACAGTTTAGAACCCTCCTGGTGTCAGAAAACATTCAAAGATGGGCACTGAAACTTACCCTTCCCCAACCTTAATTGGATTAAGCCATGGAATAAATTTATGCCCCAGGGCATTTTTTAAAAAAATAATAGAGCCATCAGCGTGCAATTAGTTTAGCCTAACATGGATTTCACTATTCTTTCAAGTCTGTATTTGCTTTATGAATTTTGAAACTTTATTGCTGGGTACACACATATTGAAGACTTTTATATTTTCTTAGAGAATTGACCTGTCTATCATTACCTAGTATTTTTCTTTATTCCTAATAATATGTCTTGCTTTGAATGCTACTTTGCTTTATATTATTAATAATTATTCCCACTTTTTCATTAATGTCTGCATGGTATATCATTTTTAGCACTTTATTTTTAATCTGCATATGTTTAAATTAAGTTTCCTGTAGGCAGTATGGGGTCTTGTTTCTTGCCCATTCTGACAATCTCTGAATTTTAATTTTAAAATTCAATATATTGATATTAAGAGTGATATTAACATATTGAGTTAATATCTTCTATCTTGTCAGCTCTTTTCTGACTTTAATTACTTTTACATCCTTACATCATTGCCTTTGGAGCATTAATGAAAACCTACTGCATATTGGGGAAGGATTTAGAAAGAAAAACTCCTATATGTACAAGAAAAACAGGAATAGTGTGGAGTCCAGGCTACAGCTGTAAGAGGAGGAAGAGAAGACCATATCTATGATCCCCTAGGATACAATGCCTGCCATATTACTTTTATTAATAACTGCAAAAAACACAATGCCTTTTGCACCAATTTAATATTGCGTTCATTTTTTTTTCTTTCTGCTTCCTTATTTTTGCGACTTCTCTTGGGTTAGTTGAACATTGTTTATGATTTTATTTTATCTTCTTCTTTGGCTTATCCATTTATATCAATTACAAGCCAAGACATAAACAAGACTAGGTGGATTTATAAAGAAAAAGAGCTTTAATGGACTCACAGTTTCACATGGCTGGGAAGGACTCACAATCATGGCAGAAGACAAAGGAGTAGCAAAGGCACATCTTACATGGCAGCAGGCAAGAGGGCATGTGCAGGAAAACTGTTTTTATAAAGCCATCAGATCACGTGAAATTTATTCACCATCATGAAAGAACAGCATGGAAAAAAACCTGCCCCCTTGATTCAATTACCTCCCACCAGTCCCTCATAATCCCCAACACAAGGGGATTATGGGAGCTACAATTCAAGATGAGATTTGGGTAGGGACACAGTCAAGCCATATCAGGCATGCTACCTATGTGCACAATGGATTGAGGCAGATCCCCAGAGTCCCCACATATACCAGTGAGAAGCTGGAGGCAGTGGAACAATTTCCTCTGTTTCCAGGAAACCACAGAGGAAGGCTCTTAAACAAACCCAATGCATTCCCTTGATTTAGAGAAGTCTAGGACAGCAGCAGAATTTCCCCTGTGTCCTCACGGGTGGTAAAGAAGCAGATGAGACAAAGTCTAACTTAAAGTGATCTTATGGTTTAGAATAATATAACAGTGACCTGCTTGACCCATGACCAAAGGATAGTCACAATTATGTCTTTCTCAGTGGATACCAGTGTAGACCTGTTAATGACATAGAACTAATGAAGTATCCCCAAACACCATTCCAATGCACCACACAAGTCCCTAGAAAGCAGATGCAACTTGAAGGAAAGGAAGTTGGGTGGGGACTGAATTGACTTGAATTTATCTTTTGTCAAATGGTAGAATATGTACTATTAAGAGAAATTAAATGGAGTCACATAAAAATAGATAAATTACAATTCTTATCAACTGACTCTGTGGACCAAGATTCTTACCTGTTAAACATACAATGGCATTACTTCATGCACACAACTATGTTCCAGGCATCCAGCTAAGCACATTATATACGTTAATCCCCTTAGCAACCCTGTGACATAGATCCTGGTGCCATCTGCATTTGAAGGATGGAGAGATTGTGGCTTAATGAGGTTAAATAAGCTGCCTAAGATTTCACAGGTAGTGAGGGCAGGGCTGGAACTCAGCATAAGTCTTTACAATGATGAAACTTACATTCTTAACCACTAGAACCTAGTAACTCTACAGGGCCAGTGATAGGTTTCCTTTTCTTTACTTTCTGAGCTCCAGGGCATAATGTGTCTTTATACCTTAGAGCTCAGAAAGTTAAAAAAAAAAAAAAAAAAAAAAGGAAAAGACACCATATTCCCTTCTATAACATTTCTCTAGCTTTTCTGATCTGGCTTAAAAACAAAATTATCACTTCAAATAGTATCATATTGGATAAAATTAGTCTGAGTTACAAATATAAGTCTTTGAGGTCTTTTTAATACCAAATATCATTGACTATCATAGCTGAAAGAATTTTTTAGATAATCTAGCCTAGAGATTCTCAAAGTATGGTCCCTAGACCAGCAGCATCATCAACATGTGGGAAATGAATAGGAATGCAAATTCTCTGGCCCAACCCTAGACCTAATGAGTCATAAATACTGGAAGTAGAATCTATCAATCTGTGTTTTTGCAAGCCTGCCAGCTTATTCTGATGTATGATAAGGTTTGAGAATCACTATTCTAGTTCAATACTAGAGACCCACTGTGCATCAAAATATGTGTCAAGAAATGAGCTTAGGAAGTTTTGCAGGAGTCAGATCAAATTAAAAGATTTGAGCTATAACCTGTATGTAATAAGGTTGGAGGAGCTTTTAAGCAGGGAAGGCATATTTGGATTGGTATTCTATTACTTATTATACATATTCATCTATTCACTGACTCACCAAATATTTATTGAGTGCCTATATGTTGTGAGTCTTTGAGCTAATAAACTGAGCTCTTAATCTATCAGTAAAATTGGTTGGATGGATTGAGCAAGAATGAAAGAATAGGAGGCCAATTACAGGTTTATTGTAAAAGTTCACATGGGTGATGACAAAAGCTTGAACAATATGGCACTGGAGGAGTGAAAAGATTAGTAGACACTTGGTACATTACATGCACTTCTCTAAGGCTTTCATTTCTACCCAATTTGGTATGTGTCTTAGTCCATTCAGGATGCAGTAACAAAATATCCTGAACTAGGTACCTTATAAACCACAGACCTTTTTTTCTAAAACCTCTGGAGGCTGGGAAGTTCAAGATCAAGGCACTGGCTGGTTTGGTGTCTGTCTAAGGCCCACTTTCTGGTTCAAGAGGGAGTCTTCCTGCTGCTTTCTCACACAGTGGAAGGTGCTAGCTAGCTCTCTGTAGTCTCTTTTCTAAGGATGGTAGCCCCATTTATGAGAGTTCCACCCTCATAACCTAATCACCCCCTAAAGGGACCACTTTCTAATACCATCACCTTGGAAGAGATTCCAACCTATGAATTTTGGGGTGACACAAAGGTTTGAACTATAGCAGTATGAGGAGGTGGAATAAGGCTAAAATGACCTTGAGATTACCAACTGAGGCAACTGGGTGGAATACGGTGATATCATTAACTAAATTGGAAATAAGGAAAGAAGAGCACATGAGGGGGTGGGATGACCAGATACTACATGGTATGGGAGCTTCATCAACCCAATTGCAATGGCATGACCTCTGATGGGGCCCCATAGTGACTTGAGTCATTAGCACAGAAGATAGTCCAAATCCATTGAAAATATTCTTAATGAATAGAAAAAAAATCTTTACATTGAAATGAAATGCTGACTTTTTGTAGCTTCAACTCACTAGTCTTGTTTGGCTAGCAACTCAGAATAAATCTAATTTGGAGAGTCCCTAAAGCTGAATTCCCAAAGACATGGCTGTAAACCAAGTGTTTATACTCTAATCCTGTTGACTTCTAGTATCATTTGCCTTCATTTCTGAGGATCTGCAATTTGGCAATGATTTGTTCACACCCTAATTGTTTCTTTTTCCATTGCTTTCTTATTGACTGTTTCAATGATTAAAAATTGGACATTTTTATGTATCAAGAAAGCTTGCTGTTAACTCTAAAATCATCTCTTTTTGAAAAGTAAGTCATTATCCCCTTCTGTAGTCATCTTGTAAAATTCTCTTTTAATCGGGTGAAAATGAACAAACATAAACAAAACCCTTATGCTTACCTTTATTGAATTGTAGGCTATTTCTTCATCATTTGGCCTCTTAACATAGATTTCTCTTAGGTGTTTTATTCACACCTAGAGGTCTGTGTTTTACTGTCTCAAAAAATATCATTATCACAAATTTTTCTTACGAAGTAGCACAGTGCAGACCTCCAGGCTCCAGTTATCCTTCTAGCCCTAACATTTTTTACTGCACTCATCCTCCCTGGGCTAGAATAAAATCAACAGTTAAAGGTCTGCCCTTCAGATTCTCCCAGATCTATGAGTTGTTTTAGGTTTAAAGGCCAATTTTTACCATCTTGTTGAGAGGCTACTGATAATATTGAATAGAATACACATCTAGAAAACATCCATCGCTCAGTGCTTTTCCTGCTTTTTAAAACAAATGTTATTTTCTGATACTAAAATCAACACATATTCATAAGAAAAAAATGCAAAATAAATAAAGCTTACAGAAAAATATCAAGATAACCCCAACACAAAGAGAAACAATTACTGCATTTTATTGCAGTTTCTTCCTGAATTTTTTCTATGCATATATTTTTACAGTTAAGACCAGATATCTTTTCTTCTGCTTTTTAACTTTATATGGCACTGTATCTTTGCATTCAAATTAATATTTTAACATTATTTTTAAATAGCCACGAAATGGTCAATCATATGAATATATCAAATTCTAGCTTAACAATTCCTGAACTTCTGGTCGCTTAGTTATTTTCCAGTGTTTTGGCTGAAAAATTGGTGAAATCGGAGAATCTGCTCCATACCTCTCTCCTAGTTTCTAGTGGTAACCGGCAATGCTTCACGTTCCTTGGCCTGCAGAGACATCACTCCGATGTCTTCTTCCATCTTCACAAGGTGCTCTTCTTCCCGAGTGTCTGTGTGTTCTTCTCTGTTTCTTACAGGCACTTTCATTGGATTTAGGGCCCACCTTGATCTAGTTTAATCTCATCCACAATCTTGCTTTAATTGCATCTGTAAACATCCTATTTCCAGATAGCGTCACATTCTGAAGTTCTGAGTGGACATGTTTTTTGGTTTTTATTGGGAAAGACACTATAAAAACCTGTAACACAGGGGTTTTATTTCCTTAACCACAGCCGTGTGAATGCCAAGGAGACTGTCTGGCATGGGTTAAGTGTTTGCTAAATGTTGAACAAATTGAATTCCCTTTACTCAAAAATTAATTACAGCTGAGTGGTGACTGTTCCCTTTACATGGCATTCGGTCTATATCTCCTTATAAGGCCTACACTCATTCATGTCATGAGCCTTATAGGTGTATAGATTTAGGACCCCTGTTCATCAGGTTTATAGTACCTTTTTCTCCCACTGAAGTGGGAAGAAAGGATGAGGGAAAGTGGAGAGGGGAGAAATGCCCTGGGGAACTCAGGAAGGGCAATGCAAACCATAGCCAGCCAGCCTGGAGTGCGATTCTGGCTCTGTCGCTACCTTAATGTGAGTCCAAACTGACTCAGTTTCTTCATCTGTAACGTGGGAGTATAATAGTGTCTGTCACTTTGTTGTGAGGACTAACGAAATTGATTCTCATAAAGTGCGTAATCAAAAAGTACAGAGCAAACTGCTAGAAAATTGTTAGCTAGCATCCAAATATCTTTGTGCCCAAAGTTAATCCAACCTCCAGGAATGCAATAGGAATCAGAAAGATAGGAAACCTACAACCACGTCTTTTCAACCTTCCAATTAGAAGAGCCAAAGTATTTCTTATTAGACTTTGAGACAATCTCACACACTTAAACCAACATTTACATTTTTAAATGAGAACCACACCAGTCTGCTTCCTTATAATAACTTTCAGATGAGAAAGAGATTTTCTTTTTAAACTAAACATTTAATCATATTACAGTCATATTTTAATTACTCTAGGGAAAGGATAAAGAAACCAGAGAGTGAATCTCTTGGATAATGTATTTGTAGCTCTAGCTTGAAATTTTTTCCTACTGGGTTTCCAGAATCTCATTTTCTTTTCTCTCTTACTCCCACTTTGTCAATTATTAGCCTTACAAGCAATTTGGTAGAGGCTGAAAGGAAGAAGAAGATAATGATATTCAAATACCAGAACTTTCTCTTAAACAGCTTGCTAACATTTTTCATTTGATGCTATAAAATGTATATTATTACTCTCATTTTACAAATGAAGAAACTAAGACTTAAAGATAAGTTGAGAAGTAGCTTGCCCAAAGTTATCCAAATGTTATGTGATGGAGCTATTTGATATAATCAGTTTAACTTCGAAGTCTGTAATATTTATTATACAACACAATGTCCAGCAATTAAAATATAGTGTTATAAATGCAGTTACACACAGACAGACATGCATACACCACCCCCCCTACACACACAATTCAGCATGCATTTTTGCCCCAGTACTTTGGCCCATTTAAATACAACCTCTGTTACTAAAATGACTTTAACAAATTGCCTTATATTTTAATAAAGATTAGAAATTAGAGGAAAGGTTAGGAGACTTGCTAGCTTTGGTAATATTCACTTTGCAAAGAAGACAAGGCTCATTTGGGATTAGCACTTTTTCTCAAGGCAAAACCGCTGTGCCTCATGGTCCAAAAACCTTATTATATAAGCAGATTAATTTTAATAGGGCACATTGGCTCATATTGTTATTTTTATGCAAACATGTTTTGAATCACCACTTTAAAAGGAAACAACCTAATTTTCTTTTCCTTAAGCTTCTTTTTAATTTTCTCCATTCTGTAAACAAATGAGCTAGTATTGAATACTTGAAGGAATCAGAAAGAATAGGAAACCTAGAACCATGCCTTTTCAACCTTCCAATAAGGAAAAACAAATTATGTGACCAAAAATTGGCAAAAAATATAGCCAAAGACTTACAAGTGATGGGATAACTGTCTGTAATATATGTCTTGTGGAAAAGTTGTTTACATTCATTCTCTGAGGCCTGCCAAAGATTGCAAAATAAGGATCCTAAGTCTTACTGGGATTCAGAGTCCTTTTTTATCCATATATTTGTAGGAAATAAAAGTACAAATTTAATGAAAATGTCTCTATCCAACAATAAAGTGGGCTGCCTTGGGAAGTTTCCAAGTCCTGCCATTGAAGGTGACTGGGTCAGTTGGTTGAAAATGACCTGAAAGTGAAGCAAATACCCTTTAAAGGCATTCAAGGCCTCTCTGAGGTTTCTTCCAGCAACAACGTTCTTCAATTCACACAGCAATGGGCGTGCAGTCATCTATGCCAGATGGTGTTCTGTCTCTTCACTTTCAACATCAGCCAATTGACCCTAGTGACTTGAGCCTCTCCACTGTCAACTCTCTAGATCAGGAACCCTACAGGCCATGGATCAAATCTAGACACCCACAAGTTTTAGTACTGCCTATCAGCTAAGGATGGTTTTTAACATTTTCAAATGGTCAGAAAAATTCAAAAGAGGAATGGTATTTCATGACATGTAAAAATTATATGAAATTCAATATCTAGTATCCAGAAAGTGTTATTGGAACACTCCAACATTCATTTGTTCATGTATTGCCGATGGCTACTTTTATGTTACAGCAGAAGAGTTGAATAGTTGTGACAGGTACCATGTATCTGCAAAGCTGAAAATATTTGTTATCTGGGTCTTTTCAAAAAATGTTTGCTGATCCCTGCTTTAAAACACAAACCTATAAAGACAGACATTGTGGTCTTTGTTGTTTGTCTTTGAAGCTTTACTATTCAGCACATAGTGGCTTCAATGTTGTGGGTTGTTGAATGAATAAGTGAATGAAAGATGATCGTGTTCAAAATTTATAAAAAGTAGTTAAATCTGACTATAAACAGTTTCATCTTCTAGAGAGACCACCAAAAGCTTCTACCCTTCTTTCTAAACAAGCAGAGGTACATTGTATGCAAAAAAGGAGATTCAACCAGAGCTAATATTGAAGTATTGTGTACCTGTACAGCATAATGCCAAGCTTCTATTCTGATTGGCCTGGACCGTACCTCAGTAGTCATTAGCAATTTTGGACATCACCCTGGACACACTACAGGTTACTATCTTAAAAACTTATGACTTATTCAGACCATGCTAAATTCCCAAAATTCTTTGAGAAACTTTGTATTTTCTTGCCTTAATCAGTTGGCAAATTTAATTCTCCCTGGAGGAATAATTGGAGGGAATTATTCTTTCCTTTCAGCACAGAGAGAAAGCCAGCTCAGCAATCCAGTGACACTTGCTGCAGGTTGGATGAATGTCAACACCTCCTCCTCCCTCCACACAAAAAGAACATTAATACATGAAGCCACATTTAACAAAAATCTTGCAAACATTTCAGCAGCAACATTTTTGGAAACCCATTTTAGAATGTTAAAGTGTGTTAAAGATGCTTACACTAATTCTTGTCTCCCCTCCCAGCTTTTTTAAACTGTTAGCCACATAGTACTAATTATCCAGCTGGCATTTTTGCAACAGAAGTTTTCCAAGTTGCCTCCCCAATTTAAAGCTGTCAGGAGAAGTGCTGAAGACTTGCATTTACTCCTACAGCTTGGTGCTCTAATTAAAGCAATAAATACGGTTCCCTTCAAGGGAGAAGTAGGCAGAGAGGAAAGATCTCTTCCGATCCATTAGTCTCACAATGTAGTTTGCAGGATTTAAATTCCAATTTACGTAAGACCATGGAAGAACCTTTACGCAGAGACAGCAGAAGAGGCAGCTACTGGGTAGAGGTGGGAGGGAGGATAGATCCAGTTCCAAGGCAAGAGTAGACAGGAGATGGGATGTCCTCTGAGGGGCAAGGACAGCTGTCTCATGAGTTTTCTTATTGCTCATTAGTTAGAACCAGACTGATATGGTTTAGAATTACAGAAATCTCAGTGATCATTTGGGTCACAATTAGTATATAGAATGAAGCACACAATTTTTTTCATGTGTTTGTTTGATATTTGCTTTATTTTTATTTGAAGAAGAAAAATGATGAGTTAAAGTTCTTGTAACATTATTGCCTGATCTTTTTAAATAATTTTAGACATGGAGAACAGTAGAAAGAAGAAAACACCTTTGTCACCTTAAATCTTCCACCAAGAAATATCCATTATTATTGGGGGACTATCATCTCAAATACCATTTTTATATGCATAGAACAGTAATGGATTCGAAAACTTATTTTAAAAAGATCATGCAGTGATTTTGCATAAAAGCATTTATTTTAACTTGATTTTCATAGAAGGGGGAAAAGTATAATGACCTCATTTATTATTTTCCAAAAATATCCCTCTAAGACTGATGAAAGGCTATGTAGTAGTTGAAATCTATGTGTTTGATATTTTTAGCAAATTTCAGTTTTGACCCTATTACTCTAACAAAGAAAAATCTCACACCTTCTCCTACCTCTTCTAACTGCATTTTTAAATTTTTGAAGTAATTTTATTATGTTTATCATTATCTTTATTATATTTTGTCGCATGACTAATCTGTTCCATAAATATTATTTGCATAATTGGCTTATATTAGTTTTAGATTTAAAAAGATTCAGCACACACCACTAATACTTTTTTTACTATGGCTCCTTCAGTTCTCATTTAATTTTTTTTTTTTTGCTTTATGCTTTTAAAGCAGAACTTGTCAGCAAGTGCATGTATGCATTTGGGATAAGAAGGGTCATTTGGTGCTGAAATGCTTCATGTTTGAGTATATCTAATTGTTGTCTTATACTTGAAATACATACTGGCTCTATTCATTATTTTTAGACACACTCCTAGAACTTCATAGAAAGCTTTCAAAATTGAACACTTCCATGGGAAAGAGAAATGTCAATCTGGTTTCCCTTTTCTGGCTCCTGTAGGCATTTGAGTTTGTGACACCTGACTCTGGTCCAGATCTTTCCTTAGACAAAAAAAAAAAAAAAAAAAAAAAAAAGCCATCTAATTTTAAATACAGATTCTCACTAGAAGTGTATAAAAATACTTAATATTTGCCATTCTGATAAATAAAGAAAATTATATGACTCTACTGCTTTAACATGCATGTCTTTGATCTTCAGGATGGGTTGAATATTTTTTACTAGATTACTTGATAACTAGCTATATTGGTTTTTATAAAACTTAGCAGACGTCCATCTGGTCATTCACACCCAGATCATATATGTACATTAACATAATAATAATGTAACTGGATAAGTTTAATGAATCAACTGTATGGAGGTCAGCATACCATGTCAACCTGATTAGATCATTCTGAACCCAGAAGGGTAATATGATTTTTCCGAATAGCAAAATATATAGAATAATGAAATTTTATAACTAAACTACTGCAGGATATTCTAATAATACAGTGGTTTATAAACATTTTCAGCAGTGAAATCCTTTTTTTTTTTTTTTTGAGACGGAGTCTTGCTCTGTCTCCCAGCTGGAGTGCAATGGTGTGATCTCGCCTCACCACAACCTCTGCCTCCTGGGTTCCAGTGATTCTCCTGCCTTAGCCTCCCAAGTAGCTGGGACTACAGGCACACGCCACCATGCCTGGCTAATTTTTGTATTTTTAGTAGTGTCAGGATGCGAAATTCTTTTTAAAAAAATCTTACACCAAAACCTAGTCAGTAAAACAGATAAGGTAGGTGTGCTGTAAATAAAATGAAATAGGGCAGGGGGAGAATAGAATTCAGCCTGATTTTTCTCTTTCTGACTCTTAGGTAACTCAAAGAACCACAAGACCCTATAACTCTCAATTTGAAGATGGCGTGATAATTTTATACCCTGAACCTGTTCTCTGCTTGGGACACAGAACAAGGATAGATACACCATTCGGAGCCTGTTTTCTGACCACAGGAGAATGAACCAACACATTGAAAACAAACAGATCACCAGAAAATTTCTACTCTTTAAAAAATAGTCAGCATACTTCCAAATAATCCACATCAAAATAGAATTAACAAAAAATAATATAAGGTATTTGAGCTAAATAATGATGAAACTACTGCTATTAGATGATGTGAAGTAAAGCTGAAGCTATTAAGGATAAAATTTATAGGCTTAAAATGAATATATTAGAAAATATGAAAGTATCCAATCTAAAAAAGTTGAAAAAAACCTTACCCTAAGAAAATGAAAAAAAATCCAGAAATCTTGATGTGAACAAATTGATAGAAGACAAATTTATTAATATAAAAATTAAACAATAAAATGGTTCTTAAAACAAAACAGGCTAATAAAATTCATGGACTCAGCTAAAAAAGCTGATCAAAAACAGAGAAGGGGAAAACCCCTTAATATCAGACATTAAAATGAGGTCATCGCCACAGATAGATGTTGCAGATATTACTAGAAAATAAAAGGATATTAACAACTTTATATAAGTAAACTTGAGAGTTTTAGTCAAATTGATACCTTTCTAGAAATCCCCAAAACTGAAATGAGAAGAAATAAATATTAATAATTTCATATATATTAATTAAATTGATCTATAATTTAAATTCTTTCTGCTAAATAATCTCAAGGACTAGAAGGCTTTCACAGTGATTTCTTCCTAACATTTAAGGATGAAACACCACCAATTTCTCACACACTCTGGAAGAGATTAGGGGAGGAAATGTTTAGAGTTGGGGAGGGGAATATTCTCATCTCAAATTATTAGGTCAGCATAGCTTGATATTAAAATATGACAAGGGCATTACAAAAAAGGCAATTTAAATGTCAACAGGCTAATGAACATAGATGTAAAAATTGTTAAATCATTAGTCTAAATATTAACAATTAGAATTCAGTGGTATATAAAAGGATAATATAACCAAATGAGAGTTTATTCCAAGAATGCAAGTCAATCAGGTGTCTATTGAGGCAATAATATTGTGTGACAAACTACCCTTAATCTCAGTTGTTCAAAGACATAACCATTTGTTTCAACTTCAAGTCTGTAAGTGGGTTTTTTAGTTCTCTGGACTTGGCTGGCTTCTTCAAATATCTAAAGACAGCTGAGGGGAGTGTAGATTGGCTTAAAAAAAAGACTGAAGAAACTATTTGGAAGTATCCACTAATGCTGAACACATGCATATCCTATGAACTAGCAATTCTACACCTAAGAAATGCATATATATGCTCTCAAAAAATCTACAATATTGTTCATTCATAGCTGTGTTATTTGTAACAGCTACAACATAAAAATTATCAAAATATCCGTCTAGAGTAGGATTAATACATTATGGCATATTAATAGAAGAGAATTCTATTTAACAATAAAATAGTTGCTCTAAGCAACTGCTATGGTCTAAATGTTTGTGTCTCTGCAAAAGTCATATGTTGTAAACCTAACCTCAGAGGTGATAATATTAGGAAGTGAGGACTTAAAAAGGTGATTAGGACAGGAGGCTTCTACCCTCATAAATGGGATTAGTGCCCTTATAAAAGAAGCCCCAGAGATCTGCCTTCTCCCTTCCACCTTATGTGGATGTAGCTAGGTGTCATCTATGAACCAGAAATGAACCCTCACCAGCCACTGAATCTGCTGGTGCCCTGATATTGGACTCCCCAGCCTCCAGAATTGTGAGCAGTAAATTTCTGTTTCTTATAAGCCATTGAGTTTATGGTATTTTGTTATAGTAGCCCAAAAGGACTAAGACAGCAACAAAATCTATTATTAAACAAACTAAACCAGACACCCCCCAAAAGAAGTATCACATTATTTATATTAAATTTAAAAATATGAAAACCCACTCCATGCATTTAGAAGTCAGGTTAGTGACTCCCCACCCCCACCTGGAAAACTGTGACTGGAAAGAAATGCAAGGAAGACTTGGGACTTACAGTATCCTGTTTCATCTGGGGCCTGGTTATGTGGACATGTTCAATGTGTGAAATTTTGAGTTATGCACTGAAGTGTGCCTTTCTGTGACTATGCTATGCCTCAATTTTTAAAAGGTAATTTTATGATTCAAGATATATAGAAAATATAGAATATGTAAATATAAAATATAGAAAGCATAGAAAAGTCATACAGTGAAGAAAAAAATGCCATTAGGGATTGAATGACAGATCATTGAATGAGGGAAGATACTTTATACACACACACACACACACACACATATAAAAATATATATCATATATTATGTATGTATACTTACATATGTGTATATATATTTCTGGGTGAATATACATATTCATACATACACAAACATGTATAAAATATATACATACCTATGCATGTTTTACACATATACAACATGCCATATGTAATATACATATACATACATAACATGTATATGTTAAATATTTGGGTCTAGAATATACAAAGAAAAGGTAAATACAGACAACCATTACTTCAAATAAACCAAAGACTTGAACAGCCCTTACAAAAGATGAGGAAATTCAAATTCCAAAAAACATAATTTTAAAAGATATTCAGCTTCATTAGTCACCAGAAAAATATGTATTACAAATACCAAGAGCCTATACTACACATAAAGAATGGCTATAATGAAAATTATTGTCAATACCAAAAGACAGCATTGTTGTGGAGCAATAGGACTGTTTAGGCATTGCTGGTAGAAATAGAGATTGGTGTAAAATTTTGAAATAATGTGTAGTACTAGAAATACTGTGTGGTACTGTGCAGACTCTAGGACCAGCAATTCCACTTGTAGCTATATGTCAAACCAAAATGTTCTGTTTGCATATATTCTCCAACATGTATAGGAATGTTCATAGGAAAACTATTTGTATTAGCCAAGAACTGAGAAGAAAAAGTCTATTAATAGTAGAAAAAATAATCTATGGTATATTCTAATAATAAAATAAAGAATTAGGAGAAGGAACAAACTATTGCCTTACAAAAAAACACAGAAACATTTAAGTAGCACCTTATTGAGGAAAATAATATATTTTGCACTATTCTATTTATATGAAGTTCAGAAAACAGACACAACTAAGTAGTAAGTGTAGATAGATGGTGTTCACCTTTGTGGGAAGGTTTGTTGAGAGGGAGCATGATGGGGCCTCTGGGGTGCTGGCTACATAGGTGTGTTCTTCATGCTGTACACCTATGCTGTGTGCAATTTCCTGTGTATAGCTTATGTTTCAAGTTTTTTTAAGTAAATACTTGTGTAGGACAGAAAACCACCATAAGCAAAATTAAAAGACAAGTCATGAACTGAAAGATAATATTAATACATATATGTTAATGTTGTTATATTTATAACATATGTTATAATATGTAACATATAAATATACACGTTTTATATGTTAAAATATGTATATGTTATAAATTTGTTATAATTTAAATATGTTATGTTGACTATTAACATATTACTTATGTTAATGTATGTGTAACAGATAACACATAACATATAAAATATGCTATATATAATATAAATATATTTTAATATTATATGTGTAATATATAACATATAACTATAAATATGTTATATTTATAACATGTTATAAATATGTTATGTAAGTAACATGTTTTATATAAATAAATGACATATGTTACATAAACATATATGTGTTGTATACATAAGTTTATATAGATATATGTTATTTAAAATATAAATTCATATGTTAATATATTATAAACAGATCTATGACATATTAACATAACCAATAATAAAAAGACAACTGTTCTTTTAAAAATGTGATAAATATGTAAACAGTTAATTCGCAGGTGGTAATTGAAGGGACCAAAATCATTAAAACGTATTACACCTCCCCAGTTATCAGGGAAATGTAAATTAATACCAAAATGGGATACCTTTTTATGTTTATCAGATTTGCATCAATCTGACAATGCCAGTAAATGCTGAATGAAGTCGTGGATCAATGAGAAGTTTTGTAAATTCTAGTGTCTTAGCCCAGGCTGCTATAACAAAATACCTTAGACTAGGTGACTTAAACCACAGACATTTATTTCTCACAGTTCTGGAGGCTGGGAAGTCCAAGATGAAGGTGCCAACAGATTCTGTTCTTGGTAAGGGCCCTCTTGCTGGCTTGCAGACAGCTGCCATCACTCTGTGTGCTCACATGACCTCTTTGTGTGCATGCTGACAGAGAGAGCTCTCATTTCACTTCCTCTTCTTATAAGGACACTAATCCCATCATAAAGGCTCCACCCTTGTGATCTAGTCTAAACCTAATTACCTCCCAATGGTCCCATCTCCAGATACTATCATACTAGGGATTGAGGCTTCAACATATGAGTTTGAGGAGGGCACAGATAATCAGCCCATAATGGCTGGTTAGAGAATAAATTAGTACAATCACTTGGAGGAGATCTGCAGAGCTGTTTATTCAACAGTTTCACTCCTAGATGAATTCTCTAGAGAAATACTCAAACCTGGGTAGAAGAAAACATAAAATGATATTAAAAACACTAGGAATGAGTGATTAGAAATGACCAAAATATTCATCAATAGGAGAACATATAAATTAACTATTGTACAGTAAAATCTCTCTAAAATACAATAAATGAGGTTCAAACATTCAGCCAGGTAAAATAAGGATTTTAGTTATGAGATCTTGCAGTTCTTGGGTCTCACTCTCTATGGTTTGGCAGTACCTGGTGAAGTTGTATGACTCAGCTTAAATATCAATGGGAGTGTTTCTTGGCCTTATATTTGGAATAAAATTCCAGGAGAGTGGTTACAGTACCACGACTTTTCCAGTTCATTGTCACCTCCTTTTGTTTGAGGGTTATATTCAATGAAATTATGCTGAAAGGATACTGGAGATAAGAAGACATACTCTTGTCTTATTCTTCAAAGATAAATTCCATTGCACTTGAATTTCACACTTATTCTGAGATTCTAGTATATATTACTTCAACAGAATAGTATATAACACTTAAAATGTATGAACTGGAGCTACAAATGTCAAAATGGAAATATCTCAAAAATATAAAGTTGAGTAAAAAAATAAATTGCAAAACAATATGTAGAGTCTGATCAAATTTGATTTAACTCAAATTCCAAAACTTGTAGAATTATATTGTATTTTTTGATATATACGTAATAAAAGTCAAAAACAATAATGACACACAGCAGCTTCAGGATTGTAGCCTCCTCTGGAAGGCAGGGAGATGAGATCAAGATAGTACATACAGTGATTTTCAATTGTGGTTGTTCCATTTTACCTCTTTTAAAAAACTGGAAGCCAATATGGCAGAATATTAAGGTTTTTTGATTCAGATGGTAAATATATGTGGGTTTGTTATATCATTTCATTTAGTGTGGTTAAAATATTTTGAAATTAAAAACATAGTCAGAAAAAAAATAAATCCATTGCTCTGACCCAATAAGTCCCTTCATCTTATGAAGAAAACTGAGACCCAAGGATGTATAGAGTTTCCCCACAGCCTGTATTTTATTTTCTGTCACTCTTTGAGAAGGAAGGTTTCCATTATTATTTGTGAGCCAAGTAATTAAAGTTTAGACATAATATGTTAGATTACCCTCCTTTAAAACGAAAAGAAAAGAAAGCTGAATGTAGTAGAATAAACTCTGCAGTGTGGTTGGCCTCCAGTACTACCCAATATCATCCAATTCAACGTGCTAGCTGAGAGCTTGAGTGGGTCACCTTACAGACAACCTCCATAGTCCATTTCAGCTCATCTGAAAGCTCTGTTTTAGAAATATTCTAAAAAATCTTTAACTCTCTGAAACTGTCTGTGAAATGTTCTGAATTTCCTGGAGAAAGGGTCTATCGATAGCACTGATAAGATTCTCAAAGTCATTTATGCCTCAGTAATGACTAAGATGACTATGTCAAACAAACTTTCATCACTCTACACATAATCATACTTTTAAGAAAAAATAGGATCTAAGAGCTTTTTTGGCATCAATGGCCAGAGCTCCTTCCCCTTGCCCTAGTCCATTTTCATAAAATAACAATGCTTTTTCACATGAGTGATAGTTTGGATAGTTGAGAAGATATTGGTTTCCATATCTGGTCAATCATTAGAATCACCTGAGAGCTTTTAAAATAATTTATCTAAAAAACCTGAATCAGCAGAGTGAGAGACAGTGGTTCGTATTAAAAAGCAACAACCCTCTGCTTCTGTAGGTGGGTTTTAGAATCACTAAATTAGAACATGATGCCAATCAGACCAGTTTGATCCAATAGGATCAATGAATTTCATACGGAGAAAAATCTCTGACCAATGATAACAAATTATATCTTTAAAAGCTTTTCTACCATTAAGTGATTTTTTTATAGAGGAGAAAAATAAACAGAGGACTAAGTATAAAGTAAAAGTGGGTGAATATAAGTCATTTTTCTGCTACTGAGAAGATAACTGAAACCTACGTGCCATAGAAAGTATATGACAGAATCATCATCCCATAAAAAGCCCACAGGAGTTGGTTGGATCTTCGTAGATCTTTGCATAAATGCTAGGACGGGAATTAGCCTGCAAAGTATAACTGCAGTTTTTAAGCCTTATGCAAACTTTGTGAAACTGGAAAAGAATCTCCAAAAATGTATAATGTCTTGTAATACAAATGTCCTAACCCAATTTAACTGATAAACTAAAAATACAGAAAGTTTAAGCAAAGTACATATCATATCATATATATGCATTTTAAGAGCAGCTACCATTTATTGTTATTCCTTATACAAAAAGCAGTTTAATAAGCTTTTAGGTATTTGTATAATCTTTTGAAAATCGACACTCCTATGAAATAAAAACTATTCATTATCTCCTATTGTATAGATGAGGAAACAAACTGATATATTACAGTGATACAACTTAAGATTACCAACTAATTATTATCTATATAATTCCAGAGTAGGATTGCTTTATGACTTTCATAGGACCTAGGTACATTTGCTTTTGTGGGTCCCTTTCTCAATAAAAGATACTAAAGGTTACATTTTATGACCAAATTGGTATAAAAATGAGTATAATTTAGGCCACATTATATTCAATTTTGAATGGCTTTTCTGCATGATTTGACATGATCATGAAGTCTTTCTTATTTAAACTGTTTATATATAAACTAATAAATATAAACTTTAGTTAATATAAACCAAAATCCACTGTAATATGTCAAATTACATTGATAATTTTTTTGAATACAAAACCAGTCTTTGTATTCCTGGAATAAACTCTTCTTGGTTGTGGTATACTTTTATATGGATGAATTCAATTTGCTAAAATTTTTTGAATTTTTGAATCTAGGATAATGAGAAATATTGGTCTATAGTTTTGTTTTTTTGGCATTGATCTATGTCTATGTTTGGTCTTAGGGTAGTGTTCGTCTTATAAAATGAATTGAATCTTTCCTTTCCTTTTATTATTTGGAAGATATTGTGTAGAATTAGTGCTATTTTTTATTTCTATTTATTTATTTAATTTTGAGACAGAGTTTCGCTCTTGTTGCCCAGGCTGGAGTGCAATGGCACAATCTGAGCTCACTGCAACCTCCACCTCCTGGGTTCAAGCGATTCTCCTGCCTCAGCCTCCTGAGTAGCTGGGATTACAGGTGCCCGCCACCACCCCCAGCCATTTATTGTATTTTTAGTAAAGATGGGGTTTCACCATGTTGGCCAGACTTGTTTCGAACTCCTGACCTCAGGTGATCTACCCACTTCAGCCTCCCAAAGTGCTGGAATTACAGGCATGAGCCACCGCACCTGACTGTAGTGCTATTTTTTAAATGTTTGGTAGAATTTGTCAGTAAAACCATCTGGAGCTAGACATTTCCTTTTCAGCCATCTAATATGTATTTATTTTAGCTACTGTATTTTTTAGCTGCAGAATTTCTATTTTGGCTCTTTTTTTTAATACTTTCCAAACCTCTCTTGAGATCTTTGCCTATTCATTTACTTTTTCATCTTTTCCTATGCATCCTAAAACGTTATTATAATAATATGTAACTCCTTGTCTGCTTGTTGCAATATCTAGTTCATCTGTGTTTCTGTTGAATTATTTTTTGATGATAGATATTATTTTCTAGCTTCTTCACATCTCATAATATTTTATTGTATTAAATTGTGCATAGAATTACAATGGAGACTGAGTTATACCACTATTTTTTTTTATTTATTCCAGTAAGCATGAACTGTTTTCTATGTGTGATAGCTAAATTGAGAGAGTGATCATTTACATTTTATTATGAGATAAGTTAATTTGGGATTGGACCCCAGCATTAGAAAGTCAAATACATTTCTGGTTAGCACAATTCCCAACTTCCAGCTCTGTTGCTGTAGGCCCTGATGATTCTGGGTTTGCCTTTCATTATCAGTGTTTTATCCTGAAGCTGGTAAGGGGTTGGGCCACAGTTATCACCTTTGGATTGAATGGGTTAAGGCCAGTTTCCAAGCCTAAAGAATGATTGAGAGTGAATAAGTTCTTTCTGGGTTTTGGTCCTGCCTTCACTGCCAGTTCACAGCAAAATTGTGGAGGGGGTAAGTATTAGAAAGAATAATTATTCAAGCAAATTATTAGTGCATGAGGAGTTTTTCTGAATGTAATCTGTCCCATCTGCTCTCATGATTGCCATTAGTTCCACAGGTTCCTCTGGACCTAGTAAGGGTAAAACTTTCTTCTCCCTCTGCCTGTATACAAACCCAACCAATTACCCTCCTCCCAGAAGATGCCACTAGCTACTTCTCACCTATGAGGTACTATCTCTCACTGTAAGTTAATTCTTCAAAGCTTCCTTACACACACTTTTCTTTGATAGTCTGATAGGTAATATGATGGTTAATTTTATGTGTCAACTTGACTAGGCTGCAGGTTGCTCAGATAGTTGATCAAACATTATTCTGGGCCTGGCACGGTGGCTCACGCCTGTAATCTCAGCAACTGGGGAGGCTGAGGAGGTCAAGAGTTCAGGAGCAGCCTGGCCAACATGGCGAAACCCTGTCTCTACTAAGAAAATGCAAAAATTAGCCGGGTGTGGTGGCATGCACCTGTAGTCCCAGCAACTCAGGAGGCTGAAGCATGAGAATTGCTTGAACCTGGGAGGTGGAGGTTGCAGTAAGCTGAAATCTCACCACTGAACTCCAGCCTGGGAGACAGAGTGAGGCTCTGTCTCAAAAAAAAACAAAAACAAAAACAAAAACAAAAAACATTATTCTGGATATGGCTATTTGGAGATGAGATTAACATTTGAATTGGTAGACTGAACAGTAGATTGCCCTCTGTTTTAATATGGATAGACATCATCCAATAGGTGAAGACCTGAACAGAACAAAAAGGCTGACCCCCCCTTGAACAAGGGGGAACTCTTCCTGTCTGACTGCTTTGAACAGAGACATTAGTCTTTGGACTCAAACTGAAACATCACCTCTTCTTGAGTCTTTAGACTGCCAGCTTTCAGACTGGAACTTACACTACCAGAGACTAGGTAATTTATAAAGAAAGGAGGTTTAACTGACTCACAGTTCCACATGGCTGAGGAGGCCTCAGGAAACTTACAATCATGGTGGAAGGCAAAGAGGAAGCAAAGCATGTCTTACATGGCAGCAGGAGACAGAGAGAGAAAGAGTGAGGAAATGCCACACTTAAAACCGTCACCTCTCCTGAGAACTCACTCACTATCACCAGAACAACATATAGGGGAAACGCCCCCCTGATCCAATCACTTCTCACCAAGTCCCTCCCTCAATACCTGGGGATTACAAGCAAGATGAAATTTGGGTAGGGCCATGGAGCCAAAACACATCAGGTGACTGGTCATGTCAGATTGAATCCCAAATAGTGATCAAAATGTTGAGAGTTTCAAAACTACATACTTGGAAGTATTTAACAGAGAGAAGAGAATAACCAGAAAATGATGGCTATTTTTAAATGACCATAAGACTGTCCTTACATAAGATGTTAGGTTTGTTCTTTGTTGTTCTAGAGGGCAGAACTAAGGCCAGTGAGCAAAAATCTAGGGAGGCCTATTTTAGTCTCAGTGAATTCATTCAATAAATGTGCTTTGAAAGGCTACTACATGGCAATCACTGTTCATGACACTTGAGATAACACCATTGAACAAAGAAGACAAAATTCCTGCCCTATGGAATTTACAGTCTAGCAAGGAAAATCTAAGTAATGGGAATCTAAGAACTCAATGGCAGGAAAATGACTTGTCAAGAGTGGGAAAAATGACTCTTGAGTAGCTGAGACTCCTGGCAGAATCTTGATAATTGTATAGCATATTTTGAAGGAGATTTTTAAATCAGAACAGATTTGAGTCAGGTGACCTCTGAGGTTTCTTCTCACTGTGAGAGGCTCTGAATCTTTGACAATATAACTACCTATAAGAACTATCATGGACTTTGCTATAAGTGTTCTCTGAGAATTAGAGTGACTTAATTTCTTCCTTGGATGCCAAAAGAGGGGGTTTATCACTCTCAAACAGCCATTCTATGGCAGTAATTTGGTTCTTACACATGATGTACCACACAGACACTGCTTGGCCACCTTCCACCTGTCCTTCATATCTTAGCTAGAAGATCATTTCCCCTTTCCCTGACCCCTAATGCTAAATTAGATCCTCTTTACACTTTATCTTACCCTTTACTTTTCCTGCAAAGCGCTCACCTCTACTTGTAATTTCACCCCCTTTATGTGTGATTATTGATGTAGCAGCGATATCCCCACGAATCCTCAAGGCCCATTAGAGCAGGGAGTGTACCTGTTTTCTTCACCACTTTATGTGCAGAAGCCACCCCTGTCCCTGACACAGGACAAAGTGCAGTGAATCTATATTTGGTGGTACATGATGGGTGAATTGAGCAGGATATCTGGAGAACAGGAAATTTTCATCTTTAAGTTATCAAGAGCATTGGGTGATGGTTTCACTGTGTAAAGCCACAGAGAAAGGAAGGAGTTCCCCAGGGTTGGACTTTTTCACAGATTCCTCTCTATTCTTATATATCTAGAACTCTGGAATGTCAGAGATGCAGGAGACCTTAGAATTTACTTAATGCCTCGTTTGACAGAAAAGAAAAACCTGAACCTACAGAGAGGAACAGGCTATGAATATGCATGAATCCATGGATACACAGGGCGCATTTCAAGAGCACTTTCTCAGTAATATTTGGGAACACACACACATACACACACACACACACACACACACACACACACACACACACCCCAACCCTCTCAAACCATCCAACTTAAGTTTGAAATTCATCCTAAGCTGTTGATCCAAAAGTGGCTAAAGATGGGAGAATGGGGGGAGGGGGTGTTGCTGGGCTGGTGCGGAGCCAGGGGCCTCACGGGGGGGCTCGGCCCTCACACGCCCGGGGTCCCGGGGGTCCCAGGTGCTGAAGGAGGCCGCAGGGCCCGCCGCGCGGAGCTGAAATGCTGACAGGCCTCTGACTGCGCTGGGCACCACAGTAACTTTCCGAAACCTCCCACGGCGGGGTGGGGGAGGGGAAACCCAAAATCCCAAATATAATTTAATTTCCAGGGTAAACATTTTCCTGTGAAAATGGCCAAGGCGTTCCTCGAGGCGAGGCGGCCCTCTTCGGCAGGACCACACTGCCCCCTTGAGCATCCCGCGGAAACCCTCCGCAGAGTCGCTGAGGCCCGCGGACGCCGTCCTGGGAGCCCGCGGGGAACGGGGATGGAGAGACGCTAGGGCCTGGCTGCACCACGGAGACGGAAGAGGCTGAAGTGGTATCTCTTCTCAAGTGGGCACATAACCAAAACATTAATTATTAGGGACGTTCCGTTTATCTTGAAAGACCTATGAGCAAAGTGCATTACTGGAAGTGGTCAAAATAAACACCTATTGGCTGAGCTGAAGGCTAAAAGGGAACCCTGCTCTAAAGCATCTCCTCTAAGATCCTGCTCCAAGTTGTTCAGCATTTATTAAATGTTTAGTGCACGTCAGAAGCTGTGCTAAAACCGTGTTAGATGTCTTTTTTTTTTTTTTTTTTTTTTTTTTTTGATGGAGTTTTGGCCTTGTTGCCCAGGCTGGAGTGCAATGGCGCATTCTTGGTTCACTGCAACCTCCGCCTCCCGGGTTCAAGGGATTCTCCTGCCTCAGCCTCCCGAGTAGCTGGGATTACAGGTATGTGCCACCAAGCCCGGCTAATTTTTTGTATCTAGTAGAGACAGGGTTTCACCATGTTGGTCAGGCTGGTCTCCAATCCTGACCTGAGGTGATCACCCGCCTCGGGCTCCCAAAGTGCTGGGATTTTAGGCGTGAGCCACCGCGCCTGGTCTATATATTGTTATTTAACCTTTATAACAACCCTGTGAGGTGGAAGTTACCATTTTCTGGATTTTACAGAGGACAAGGACAGAGACTTTGAGAGTTTCAGCAAGTTTTCCATAATTATATCAGTAAATGGCTGAGCAGGGATTAGATTCTATGTCGGTGAGTCTATACTGGAATGTCAGGGAGAACCTAAATGATAATTCTGCCTGTCCGCGGTATGAATTTGGGCTGGCTACCTCCCCTTCTCCAGATCTTCTATTTCTCCTCTGTAAAATGAAGGTCCTGCATTTGACCTCAAGGGTTAAAACTCTAAGCTTCTATGAATCTATGGCACTGGCAGCTTAACAGGAATTAGTTCAATAGATTGGCGAATCAGAAGCACTGAAAAGAGCCTCAAGATGGGAAAGTTTGGACAAGCAGTAGTGTAGCAATGGAGGTCAGCTTTGCACAGGACACAGTGCTGGGGACCCAGAGCCTGGGCAAATGGAATGGATGCATAAAGAAAGGAGCCAGGTCCAGATGTGTGTCCTATAATTACACAGATTCCACCTGCTTTCTAATTTGCACACAAAATGGCCTTGCACAGATAGAGTTGTTAGCTGGTCCATCTTAGATCAAAGACAAACTATTCTGCCATGTTACAAGGTGATAATTCCATTTATAATACGATGTCTATGCTGGTTGGAGTTTATATGAAGACAGTGGGGATGTAGCGTTTAAAAACTGTGGAAGTAAATGGAATTGAAAAGCCATTTATCGCTTCCTCTCTCAAATCTGTCTCCTGTGGGTTAGGGAGAAAGTCAGTAGGCTCTCATGGTAAACTGCTGACCTTGGAAAATTGCTTCTTAAAATAATAGTTATAACTTTCTGAGCTCCATCTCTGTCACTGACATTAGTGTAATGATTGCCAGAAAGTTCCCAGATTCATTACCTTGTGGATATTGCAATATTTGAGACCTTCAGTGCTTCAATTTAATTTCATATACACACATATACATTGAGCCACTATATATACTAAGAACTATTACTCTATTCTGGAAGCTGGGGTAAGAGATCATTTCAATTTTACTCTCAAGAAATTCTTAGTCTTTGGCATAAGAAACAAAAAGAGCAACTGTTAACATTTCAAGCTGGTAAGAGTCATGCGAGAGGTTTGCCTGGGGTCTTATGGGACTCAGATCCCTATTCAGTCTGACTGAGAAAGAAAGGTTAGAAGAACTATGCGGAGGAAGAGATAAATCCAGTCCGGTGAGTGAGGGCAGGAAGAATGTTCTAGACAAAGGAACTATCACGAGCAAAGACACTGCCGCATGAAACACCACGGTTTATTCGTGGAACTGCATAAAGTTGTTCTGGCAGCAGGAAGGATGCCTGTGGGACAGTGGCACAGGATGAGTCTGGAGAGGTAGATGGGGAGGGGGGCAGATCAAAAAGACTTCCTAGTGCTTCATAAGCCATTTGAATCTTATCCTAAAAGAAGTGTGAGGCCTCTGAAGGATTTCATGCAGTGCAATCATCCTTAAACATAATCAGAAAACATTTTAAATGCCCTCATGGCTAAGACCTGAAAACAAACAAGATCAAGACTAGAAGAAATAAGATAATATAACATTATTATAATATAAAATATTATCAATATTATACCTTATTACACATCATTAATATGACAAGTAGTTAGAATTTTTTTAGACTGTTGACAATTTCTGGACTTTACCATTGTAAGATGAACTGGGTACATGTAATATAACCTGTATTTGATTTTTAATGTGTTTACAGGGCCATGATAGCATCTATGAATCAGTGTCTTGGGTTTAGAACACTCTCTTACAAAGAGTAAATAATTACTTTTTATTTGTGTCTTCTCAGCTTTGGCAGGACACCGTCACACCACATGTGCTTTCCAGGGCTTGTCTTATTTATGTGTCTTCTCTCTTTGCAGTTAGTTGGTCTACAATCAAAAACAATATTCCCATGGTTATAGACAGGAGGAGCCCTCTTCCATCCGCCGCTGCCTCTATGAAATTCCAGCATCATTTTTCTGGTTTTCATTTGGAAACAAAGCCACTGAAGAGTATTTTGAAGAGTCTGAAATCCATAAAACAGAGAGCAAATAAACTGAAAATAGAACCGGAAAACTTATTTGTTCTTTCCCTTGAGTTCTTGTGCAGACTAGGAATTATGATGCAACCTGACTGGCTGACCATAAATTGTCCAATTTCTTCACGCCTCCAAGCTGATGCCAACCTGTCATCAAGATCTGGTCTTGATCTCTCCAGTCTGGTTCTTCACTTTTTAAACTAAAGCCTGGCTCTTTGCAGTCTCTTTCTGATTAACTTAGGATCTGGCTTTTCTCAGTCAAATTTCTGCCCATTCAAGAACTGATATAACAATACACAATTTCCTGGGACTTCCAACATCTCAGTGAAAATAAGGCAATGGAAAAAACACGTAACTTAAACCAAACAGTTCCCATTTGCTCTGAAGTTCAAGAGCCAGTTCTGGATAATATACGCCTCTACTTATTCAAGTGTACCTTCACTGTAGACTTTCCTGACCCTCTTATTTAAAATTGCAACCTGCCCCCATGCCCCATTCCATTTGCCCCACACTAATTTTTGTGTATCTCTTATTGTAACTTGTTTATTATAGTTATTGTTTATTGCCTGTTGCTCCCCTCAACCCCAAAAATGTAAAGTTCACAAGGACAAAGACTTTTTCTTTTTTTATTCATTGAAGTATTTTAAGAGTATATGAGAGTACCTTGTGCATAATATATATTCAGTAAATGTTTTCTGAATATGGGAGGTGTACTTATATATTTTTTCTATATACACACATACTCAATCTATATCTCAATAAAGAGAATTAGCTAGATAGGTAAATAGAGGTTCAGAGGGAGGGAGGTAGGTAGACAGAGATGGTTTTGTGTTTATATGGGAGTATAGGAAAAGGTATAAGGAGAGAGAACATTAAAACAGTCAGCCAGAATGAGAATCACCATGTCATATCTCTAGAAACAATGATTTCTGTATGAGTAATTTGCATACCCAATCTAAAAATTCCTTGTGGAATCACAGAGGACTGATTGGAATTGAGATTCTTCCAGGAAATGCAGGATAGTCTCTGTGCTCATTATTTTGATCTCACCCAAGGTATGACCGCCCCCTCCTCACTTGGAATATTCACCCGAGATCCAGAATTATAGATCCTAGAGAAGCTTCAAAACCACAGACCGTGGCATTAAAGAGGTAAAGGAGAAAACTGGAGAGCTCTTCTCAGTGGCAATACCAAAGTAGTGACTCAAGAATGTTTTATCACATCTCCATTTCCAAGTCAAAGTCAGTAAAAATATAATCTGCATAAAAGCCATAGTAAGACTTCAATTCAAATATTCTGAGACACCTCCATGCTCACCCAACTCTACTGCGCCCTTCTCACCAGATGGCGACCCACAACCTCTCCTCTGTGGAAGTTCCACAACCACAGTACTACTTGTCTTCTTTCCCTGCATGATCTGCAGCCTATAGTGCAATCTCCAAGCTGTGAACCCGTCTAGTACCAATGCCTCAAGTGCTTCAATAATCAGAGTACTTTGAGAGCTTTAATTCTGAAAGGAGGCTACTAATGACGTGGATTTCCCTCTAAAAATCTCCATGTACTATGATTTCAAGTCTTTCTGTGTCTCTTTATCTTTTTCTGTTTCTGTCTCTGTCTCTTGCAAACACACATACACATACGTATCAATTACAGTAGTCCCCACCTTGTTCGTGGAAGATATGTTTCACGGACCCCCAGTAAATGCCTGAAACTGCAGATAGCGTTAAACCCTATACATACAGGTTGAGTATCCCTTATCCGAAACTCTTGGGACCAGAAGTGTTTAGGATTTCAGACTTTTTTGGATTTTGGAATATTTGCACTGCTTGAGCATCCCAAATCCAAAAATCCAGAATCTAAAATGCTCCAATGTATATCATGTTGACACTCAAACAGTTTCAAATTTTAGAGCATTTCAGATTTTGGATTTTCAGATTTGGAATTCTGAACCTTGTACTCTTGTTTCTTTTTCTATACCTATGTACCTATGATAAGGTTTAATTTATAAATTAGGCACAGTAAGAAGTCAACATTAATAACTAATGATAAAATAGAACAATTATAACAATATGCCATAATAAAGGTAATGTGAATATGTGCTTGCACTCTCACTCTTGCGCTGTCTCTCTAAATATCTTAATATTTTTGGATTGTAGTTGTCCATGGGCAACCAAAACCATGGAAAACAAAATCACGGATGTGCACTACTGTATAGGGTATTTTTCTATGGCCTCAGTGAGCACATCATTCATTTCTGGTGGTTATAGATGAATTTGGATTAATTATCTACATGGATGTAAAATACTGTTTATGCAACTGTGGATTGGAATTATACAAGCTTTATTTTTCTTTTTCAAGTAAAGTGTACAAAGATACAGTTTATTCCATCTTCCCTCTGGGGAATCTACATATTCATGTTGTATGTGATGAGTGTGTTGCTATGGAAATAATTATGGCTTTACATTAAGTAGCCAGAAAGCCAGCAACAAGAAAATTGGTTTTATTTACCATTCAGTCATGTATTTCCACCCCCACCCTGTCCCAGCAGACTCTATGCCCTGAAGTTTTCCAGAATTCCTTGCTACAAGAGCAATTCAGATATGACCACTGGATGACCACTTTGGGCAACGGTGACTGGTGCAAAATTTTAAAAAATCTGTTGTTGTTGTTTCTTTGAAAAAATAAAAAGACATCCATCACTTTAAACTAAATTAAGGACAGGAATATACATTCCAATGGATCTCACCTTGAAAACGTGCTTCAGTTGTTTTTTTTTTTTTTTTTTTTTTTTTTTTGAGACTGAGTCTCGCTCTGTCGCCCAGGCTGGAGTGCAGTGGCGGGATCTCGGCTCACTGCAAGCTCCGCCTCCCGGGTTCACGCCATTCTCCTGCCTCAGCCTCCCAAGTAGCTGGGACTACAGGCGCCCGCCACTACGCCCGGCTAATTTTTTGTATTTTTAGTAGAGACGGGGTTTCACCGTTTTAGCCGGGATGGTCTCGATCTCCTGACCTCGTGATCCGCCCGCCTCGGCCTCCCAAAGTGCTGGGATTACAGGCGTGAGCCACCGCGCCCGGCCAGTTGTTGTTTATCACCAAACCTTTGACTTCTTATGAGGACACTCGTCCTGCACCCCAGTTAGCTCCATGCTTTTCCACCCTGGGTGGTCATTAGAATCCCCTGGAGAAACTTTAAAAACCTATAGATATCTTGTCCCTGTATAAACCAGGCTCCATGGGGTTGGGACCAGACATCATAATTTTTCAGAAGTTCCCCAGGTGATTTTAACATTCAGTGCAGGGTTGAGAAACGTGGAACTAGTTGGTGGGCAGAAGCCTCCCCTACCATCAAGTCAGCTTTCCATTTGACTTTCCTGCTATTTTTATGAAAGTAGTTGGAATCCTGGCCCAATAAATAGCTCTTATTACTGAGTGCTCACTGCAGCCAGAGACTTTGCATACCTCATCTCTACAAAATCGTTATTGTTCCCCTTTTATACAAAAAGAAATTGAGGCTCAAAAGGGATTAAGAAGCAGCAGCAATGAAAAAAAATCTGTTAAGTCACTGCTGCTACTCTTTACTAGAGGATTAAAATGACATATGATAATAGAAAAAACAAAGTCAAGAGAGATACAGATTCTATCTGCGCTCTCCTATGGATGTTCTATGTGAATGTGTATGTTTTGTTTTGTTTGGTTTTTGTTTGGTTTGGTTTGGTTTTGTTAACCATGAGCCTCAGCTTCCTTCTAGCAAGATGACAGAATTAGATCAAATGCCTTCCAGTTTCCCCCGAGCCTTAGCATTCTGTATGCTATGGTTGAAACTGCACAGCCCATAGAAACAGATAGACTAGCTTTTTAATACTGGATAGGTTAAATAGCTCATTTATGAGCTCTGTAATCTCCGATAAGTACACTTCTTTGAGCTCCAGTTTTCTTTATCTTTAAAATTAAAAAATAAATCCGAGTTGTCTTCCAGATTGTGGTGAGGTCTGGGATAATGCACATAAATTGCTTGGTTCACATTAGATATTCAATAAAAAGCATCATTTGATATGTGTTTATTCCGTCACTCTTCATTCAATAAATATCATGGAAGGTCTTTGAGATTCTGGGCTATAATGATGAGCAAAAACCAGTGCTAAGTTTTCCCTCACAGAGCTTACAATCTAGTGAGGGAAGAGAAATTAACTGAGACAAATGCAAAATTGCAACTGCAACAAGCACGAACATGGAGCTAAGAGATGTTATAGTAGGAGAATTTGACCTGGTCAGGGAAGTTAGAAGAGGCTTCCTGAGGAAGTGAACCTTTAACTGAGATGAGATGTAGGAATATATGCTAACAAAATCATGACAATAGGGCAGAGGGGACAGTAGGGACAACCTCTATTGCAGATTTCACTGTGGCTGGAGCAGAGATGAATGCGGCTGAGAGTGGTTATTGACCAGGCACTGAATAGGGCTTGCAGGCTGTATTAAGGAATTCTGTCTGAAGCTTACGAGCAAAGAAAGTTGTTACAAGATGTTAAACAGGATTGAAATATGATTAAGTTTGCATTTTTTTGTTCTCTTTTGTTTGAGACAGGGTCTTGTTCTGTCACCCAATCTGGAGTGCAATGGTGCAATCATAGCTCACTGCAGCCTCAATCTCCTGGGCTCAAGAGATTCTCCTGTCTCAGCCTCCAAGTAGCTGGGACTAAAGGTGCACACTATCATGCCCTGCTATTTTTTATTTTTTTATTTTTGTAGAGATTAGGTCTTTCTATATTTCCCAGGCTGGTCTCAAACTCCTGGCCTCAAGCGATTCTCCCAGCTATGGCCTCCTGAAGTGCTGGGATTAAAGGTGTGAGCCACAGCACTCAGCTTGCATTTTGAAAAGAACACTCTGGTGCAAAGATCAGACTGGCAGGGAGTCGGCAGAGTGAGGACAATGAAGTGAATGAGGAAGAAGTCGACCCCTGGGCAAGAGAGATGATGGTGGCTCTGTCAGAAGATGGTTACAGACATGGAGAGATATGATGGATTTGAGGATGTAAGGGGGATTAAATAGACAATTTTGGCAAAGGATTTGGAGTGAGAGCTGGTGAGGGAGACAAAGAGAAAGGAAGACATATGAGGATTCTGGATTACGAAACCTAATGAAAATTGGCACTATTTGCCAAGACATGTGACCCAGGTTGGGAGTTTTATGGGGCGAAAGGGCATTGAAAAAGATGATGAGATAGGTTTTAGACATGTCGAGTTTTAAGGGCATCCAAATCGTCTAAGAGGCACATTTATCAAAGGCAAGTACCATTATAGGTACCCAAGAAAGGAAGTTTCCCAGTGATGATTCAACACCGTACGAATACAATCTAAGAGTCTAGTGCACACGTTCTTGTCTCTCCCCAATCCATTATGCACATGGAAGCTAGAATGGCCTTTACCAATGCAAACCCATTTAGGTTGCCATTGTCTGAAATCTTGTTATTACCACCCACTGCTTGCAGCATTATGTCTAAAGTTCTTCATGCGGCTCACAAGACTCTCCCTCATCATTGGCTGCACCTCCATCCTTGAGTGAGCTCATCTCACTTTCCTTCTACTCATTGCTGCCTCCATGTTGTCATCCTTTCATTTCTCAGATATGCCAAACTGCTTCCTGTAACTACCATATCTATGATCAAACTCCACCATACCACCATACAACCTTCACATCACCAGACTAGTCCTGCTACTCCTCCAAGATTCTATTTAAACACTACAGTCTCAGGGACACCTTCTCTATTCCCTGCTCCACCATCGACTAGGTTAGATCCCCTTGATGTACATTCCCCCAGCACTCTCCTTTTCACTGCCTATCACAACAGGAAATATAGAATTATTTGTATAATTTTGGCTTATTATTAGTCACTCTTACTAGAACAAGGTCTATGTATTTATTTCTTATTGATGTAGTCTTAGCATGGAGGTGACCAAGGAAAATTTCATGGCAGAAGACAATAAAGCTATAACTTTGTCTTCAATGTGTTCCAGGAAGAAACAATGGCAGGACAAAGGTATGGAGTTGAAGCTAACATATATTCAAAAACATACTTGATAGTTTAGCCCTAGGCCCGGGAAGAACTTTAAGGAGAAGAATGCTGTTTCTGTGAAGAGTAGCAGTCTGTTTTGCTGAAGATAACCCAGGAAGTCTCCCAGTTCTGCAAAGAATATGCGTTAGGTGGCCATTGAAGGAAAGTGCTTCAAAGAGATAGATAAGGCAAGGATAGAGAAGACCCTTCACCTCACAGGCAGACAAAAGTCCACTGACTCAACCTTGTCTTTGGGGCACTTGGTATATTCAATGAAAAAATAATTAAAGACATAATGGTGGACTAAACCACTCTTTTTTAGTTTACAGTGTACACAAGTAGTATCAGTTGTCAAAGATTTTAGAAAACTTTTTTGGGCTAAAAGCATGTAGTTTATCAAATTCTATCCACTAGGTTATGTCATTTTTTATGAATTGGAAAATATTAATTATGTCATTTGATTGAATTTTTATGAGTAAACATGTTGGTTGAACTCATAAGGCACTCATTCTCCTACTTCTCCTTCAGGGTGGGAAAAAAACTAAGTGAACCTACAAGGTTGGGTCATGTTATACCACAATAGGTATTTGCTAGCCTATTGCAACACAGAAGAATAAAGAATCTAAGTTGAGGTTGAAGATGCACTAGACACTTTTTATTTTTGCCTTCCCAATATCAATCTCCCATTCAGCAAGTGTTTTGTGGGCACATTTGATTCAGATTTAGCTGACTTCCTTCCAAATCTCCAGGGCAGGACACATGACCCAGTTGGAATCAATTAAAATAGTATGTTCCCTCAGTTTTCATTACTGGTAAATAGGCAGACTGTGGTCTCCCAACTCCTATTGGGACTATCAAGAGAAAGACGTCCTACTAGTCAATCTGCTGGTCAGACCTCAGCCTGGCACTTCAGGTAGCCACCTTGTACCAGACAGGAGAGCCTGATGGGGGTTTGGGACAGTGATAAGGAAGGCAAACCCATGGGATAAAGGAAACATTGTCTTAGCGACAATGTCTGAGTTTTTATCACCAACTCTTCTTGAAGTGAGACTATCTCTGCATTTTATACTTCTAAGCTAATAAATCCTCCATATTTAAGTTTCTATCCCTTGCAATGGGAATAATTTGAAACTGGCTATATCAAATAGTAAAGGATATCAAAATCCAAAGAATGATGAGGCCAGAAGAGGTAATAAGTCAATAAGCCAGAAGCAAAGTAGAAATCAGAAAATGAGGAAGGAAGATTTTTAAGCCAAAGGTGAATGGTTGTCGTGAACCAAGCTAGGAAAAGTGGGACTGCAGGAGTTTAGGCTTTTGTGGTGCTTGAAGCATGGGACAGGTAGCAGTTCAACATGCATGAAAGGGCTAAAGAATACTGTGTTTGCTGCCATAATGAAGTCCCATGAACTGGTGGCTTGGGATGGCAGGCATTTATTGTCTCACACTTCTGGAGGCTGGAAATCTGAAATCGAGGTGCTGGTGGGTCATGCTCCCTCTGAAGTCTCTAAGGGAGGATCCCTCCTTGCCTCTTCAAGCTTCTGGCAGCCCCAGACTACTTAGCTTGTGGCAGCATCACTCCAAGCTCTACCTTCAACTTCCCATAATTGTCTTCCCTCTGTGTCTCCGCATCTGTGTCCAAATTTCCCTCTTCTTATAAGGCCATAATCGTATTGGATTTAGGGCCCACCCTATTCTAGAATGACCTTATCTTAACTCATTACATCTGCAATAACCCTATTCTCAGATAAGGTCACATTCTGAGGTACCTGGGGCTGGACTTCAACATATCTTTTTGAGGAACACAACTCAACCTATTACAAATACTGACTTGCCTAAACCCTTAGAATTACCACCTGGGAAATTTATTCTTTTGCATCCCTCTGCCCCCCTCCTCTTTTTCACATCCCCTCCACCATTCAATAGAACTCTTTCTAATTACTTTCTTATCCAAGATCCAAGCTGTCTGTCTATCAGGTTAACTTTCCAGTCCTCCCCTATTTTCAGAAAACTCTACCCATACACCATCCACACCATTATGTGCATGGGGCTCCCAAAGGGCATGTTCCTATACACACACACAAGCGATGGACCGCAGGTGAAAAGCTGATCCTTCCTAAGCTAAAATCCCCTTCTAGGAACTTGGAATTGAGACTGGGAAAGACATGTGGGCTCTTTCCTGGTGGCTAGATCTTTTCCACTTAGGAGTTGCAGGCTGTAGCCATTTTTTCTCACATGGACTGAGAGGCAGAGAAAGCCAGTTTTGACACAGGGAGGGGAACAACACACACTGAGGCCTGTTGGGGGTGGAGCAGGGAGAGGGAGAGCATCAGGAAAAGTAGGTAATGCATGCTGGGCTTAATACCTAGGTGATGAGTTGATAGGTGCAGCAAATCACTGTGGCACATGTCTACCTATGTAACAAGCCTTCACATCCTGCACATGTACCTCAGAACTTAAAATTTAAAAAAATAATAATTTTTAAAAGAGAGAGAACAAAACTGACTCCAAAAGCAGAGTAGATACAAGAGGAAAGTAGGGGTGCTGTGGGCATTCTAGGCTCTAGTTTCAGTCAGCTCCTGAGACTCAGGGGCTTCCTCCTTATGCTTGTGTTTCGTGAGATACACCTCTTTCATTATTCTAATTCACCTACATTTTTGTAAGTCAGTCTTCAGACATAAATAAGTTATAAATATGTTATAAATATACTCTATCAAAATCTGCTATTAAGGAAGTTTCTGATATGATTGTACACACTGATATGTGAAGGATTTGAAGGCTCAACATGTTTTATAGTCCAGGATAATCTAGAGCTAGAAGTCTTAATCCAAGGATATGAAACTAAGGAACGGCAAAAAAAGGCAGGAGGCAAGGTCTTTCAGCGGGGGATGAGAATATTCCAATTGCTTCTAAATAACATTGTGCAAAGAGAATTCAAAATTAATAAGTGGTTCTCAAACTTGAGCATGCGTGAGAGTCACCTAGAAGGCTTGCAAAATACAGAGATCTAGGAACACCTCTGAATGTATGAATTGGTAGATCTGCACACAAGGGTTTGCCTTTCTAACAATTCCCAGGGTGATTTGATGCTGTTGGTCTAGGGAACATACTTTGAAAACCACTAATTTTGAAGTCTGGCATTGGGTGAGGAAACTGTGCCAGGCAGTGCATGCAAACACTTACAAACTTTTCTTTGTGTGGGAGGATACTTCCCTTATTTGGACCAGCACTGTGGATAAATTGTTCATTTTTGAAAAGCCTTTAGAGAAATTCAGAGGAAGTATGTAGAAGGCATAATTTAAGTTTCTTTGCAGATTGTTCCTTCAAAAGTATAAATTTTGGAGGTTACTTGTTGTATTCAGAAAAGATGCTGGATTCCAAGCCTGAGAACTTTGCTTCTGTATCTATACTTGCTGTGGAACGTCTATTGGGTCTCAAGTTTCTTATCTCTCAAATAAAATAATTGAATTATTTTATCTCTTAGATCACTCTTGGCTCTAATATCCTCACATCTATGATGTTGCTCAAATATTGCTCCTGCAACTCCCCTGAGTGATATTTCCTAAGCGAACACATTCAAAGACCATCTCTAACCACCTCAGTCCACACCCCTCTGAAGGACAGAGTGGCGGTGAGTGTGAAGCATTCAGTACTTTGCAGTGTTCCCAGGGAACATATGACAAAAGTTGAACCAAGAGGAAACTGCCCCAGAGGAGAAGGATGGTCTCTTTAAACTCTTAAACCATTTACACTGAATTGTGCTGAAGTTTTTGCAACCATTTAGAGCCCCAAAAGCCCTCAACTTAGCTTGGGGTGCTGATCAAAAAAATGGGATGTTGTAAATCATACTCCAATGTCCAGGGCCTAGCAGAACACAGGCAATATTTGATATTCAGCAAAATTGTTTTAGCCCATCGAACATATTGATCAAGGGAATATTCCTTTGTGCCCAGAAGGCTCAGACAAGACACAATTTGATAGACACATGTGTCAGCCATAGCATTAGGGATTACATGCAGCAGCTCTCAAAGGCCTAGGGGCATAATACATTGCATGAATTTGGAAAACACACTCAGGTTGAAGCCATCGATGCTCTTTCAACCAAATATTCAGGCATTCTTGCCTTTGTAAGAACTGCAAGCAAAGAAAGAACACCACCAATGAGTTTGCAGGTGAGAGACTTTAAAAACTGGGAGTAGAGGTGAAAGGAGAGAAGAACAATTTGCTATCTGTGTTCTTCATTCCAAGCCTTCCTGGAGCAGAAATTTCTCTTCTTCTTTTCCCCCTTCAAACGTCCTGAGGCAGTAGCCATTTTAGAAGAAGGATGTATCTGGACATTAAAATAGTAAAAATAATAATAGCATGATACTTTGTGCAATCAGCATTCTAGGTACTAAGGAATACAGATAATTGAGACACAGAGCTTGCCCTCAAGGATCTCATATCCTCACCTGAGAGTGAGCTTTCAAAATATACTTCCAACGGCGTAGTGACAGAACTATTGTGGTGTGCAGAAAGGAGAGACAGAAACTCAAGCTTGCTTGGGTGTTTCTGTTTTTGTTTTTTGTTGTTGTTGTTGTTTGTTTGTTTGTTTGAGATGGAGTCTCGTTCTGTCGCCCAGGCTGGAGTGCAGTGGTGCAATCTCGGCTCGCTGCAAGCTCTGCCTCCCGGGTTCATGCCATTCTCTTGCCTCAGCCTCCAAGTAGCTGGGACTACAGGTGCCCACCACCACGCCCAGCTAATTTTTTGTTAGTGGAGACGGGGTTTCACTGTTTTAGCCAGGATGATCTCGATATCCTGACCTCGAGATCTGCCTGCCTTGGCCTCCCAAAGTGCTGGGATTACAGGTGTGAGCCACCACGTCCAGCCGGGTGTTTCTGTTTTGATGGCAAAATGTCTGTTTGGCCGGGCGTGGTGACTGGTAGCCTAATCGTATCTGGGACTCTAGTGCAAAGGAATTTGGGAAATACAGGGTTTAGGTAGTAAACTTGACGTTGGAACAGATATTGAGTGAGACAATCTATTATATACACCACAGGCATGCCTGGTACACAACATTTTCTGAAGTTATTTAAGGACACAAAACCCTTTTTTTAAAGAAGCCTCTTGAAAAGCAAGTGTTTCAGGTAACACCCTTTCGCAAATACTAACCCAGGTCTGTCTCCTCATTGGCAAGGAAGGAAGCTGATGCCCAAAGCGGTTGGCTATTTGGCTGATGCTACCCAGTGAATTAGCCGCAGAACAGGGAGGGCATGGAGCCAGGTGTGACCCTCCTCAGTTGTCCAGCCTTGCTTCTTGCACCACAAAGTGGTGCCTTTGCTTCACTTTTAAGGAAGTTTGAACTGAACTCCTGAATTATGCAACAACAGAGCAAGCTAATAAGCTCTCCTGAACCTCCAATTAAGTACAAGGATAATTATACCCTGGAGTTAGGAGAGCAGCTGAGACTGGGAGTATTACAAGAACTGTCAGCTACCGAGTCGCTTTTTAAACCTGGCATTTCACCCTTGCTGCTTTTGGAGGGAAAGTGGGAGGAGAAGAAGAAAAGCTCTCCGGTCTCAGCCCACTTTGGACAGCCCGTAATCGATTGAATGGGCTCTTCTCCTATTTGGGCAAAAGGGAAGAAGGCTGCTGCCCCTGCCCTGCAAACCTGGCAGGAAGAGAAGGCGCCGACAGCTGGCAAGAGGGTTTTCTGTTAGGAACAAATCTGCCTTTGTATCAGTTTTGACCTCATGTTTTCAGCCACCCCTCTGAAATCTAATTTTTCTCCTGCAGGACTATTATACTGCTGCCTCACAGCAGCCGGCCTGACACCACTTCATGTGCTCCCAGGCATGTCTAAGCCTTCTCCCAGAAATCTGATTTCATCATGGCAACCTCCATCTCCCCTAACCCCTCAACTAAAAAGATTCATTTTTCTGTGTATTTCTCTGCTCAGCACTTACAAATGTGTTTGTTTTGCACTGTTTTAATTATTCTGATTTATTAATGTCACGTGTTTTTCTACAGTGTAATTGCAGTCCTAAGATACCTCAGATTATTAAAAAATAAAAGCAGTTGTTCCAGTGGTGGAAAGGAAACCATCTTTCAGATTCACAAAAACGATGTTATTTTTCCTGTCAGAATGTGGAATTTTACCAACCAATTTTCATTTTTAAGGTGACAGGTACACTTTTTGTGTAGCAAGCAGAAAATGATAAAGTAGTTGATCAAAACTGGCAAAACCTAAAGCTAAAAGAAAAAAAAATCGCTGACTAGCCAGAAAATCACACCCAAATCAACATGTTCCTAGTCCATCAACAAAAATTGCAGTGCAGTTAAAAATTGTCAGAGGTAAACAGAAAAACAAAACAGATAACAATGTGGCAGTCAGTCATTCAGCCACAGCAGCAGAACTTTCTACTCTACGGTTTTCAAACCACCTCCCCCTACCCCGCAGCACAGTCAAATCTCCTGGGAGCTTGGAAAAATCTCCCTGATGCCCAGGTTTTTTAGCCCAGACTGATTAAGTGGCGATCTCTGGGGATGGAACCCAGACATTAGTATTTTTAAAGCTTTCCAGGGGGTTCATATTGTACAAGGTTGATTGCTCATTACAAATTCTCATCAACAGAATTCAAGTAATATAAATTCTTACATTTAATTCAACATGCTGCCGCTATTTGGTGTCATAAAAACACAGACGATAGGAGACATGCCTGAAATGCTTTGCAAATATAAAACAATTTGCAAAATAAAAAAGCAATTTCACATCTCATTTCATCTTTCCATTTGCCCCATGACTCATGGCCCTTTTTTAAAAATGAGAAAGCTGAAGCTCAGAAAAGCTGAATGCATTGTCTGATACCTATAACCAAACATGGAAACACAAGCCACCATCTGTGGATTCTGGTCTCAGTGACAACAGCACCTCAAACATAGAAAGTTCTTTTACAAGCTTGTAGAGGGTGTGTGTGTGTGTGTGTGTGTGTGTGTGTGTTTAAATTATTATCCAAACTGTATAGATGAAGTAGTTGAGGCTCAGAGGTGGTAAAAGATTGGTCAAGATCACACAGTTTAGGCTGGGAATAGTGGCTCAAGCTTATAATCCCAGCACTTCAGAAGGCCAAGGCAGGTGGATCACCTGAGGTGAGGAGTTTGAGATCAGCCTGAAGTCAGGAGTTTGAAACCCCATCTCTACTAAAAATACAAAAATTAGCTGGGTGTGGTGGCATTCACCTGTAGTCCCAGCTACTCAAGAAGCTGAGACAGAATTGCTTGAACTGGGGAGGCAGAGGTTGCAGTGAGCCGAGATCGCACCATTGCACTCCAGCCTGGGTGACAGAGCAAGGCTCCACCTCAACAAAAACAAACAAACAAACAAAAATCACACAGTTTAGACTTTAACACCTATAACTCTTCTACCAAACTGATTCACTAGGTGAAGTGTAAGTATGTCTTTATTTTTTTTTTTTTTCACATATTGGCCTTTGAAGCTCCTTTCTGCACCTCTTGATCATATCTTGGGCAAATCTCAACCTGTATATCCACTCAGGTTTCACAAAGTCTGGCTTAACTATCAATCTCATCTTGAACTCAGCCCCACTGTCTCCTCTTCTCTCTCTGGTGCTAGCTTTCCCCATGGCTGTGGTCCTCAGTGATGATTATTACAGGTGTCTGCTCCTTTGTTCCTGGGACACTTTCTCCTTCTGCATCTCTTCCGTTTTTAACATGTAGGGGGGACTGGGAAGAAGCCCTTGAGGGAAAGGAGCAAGAAGCTCTTTTTCCTGACTGGGGCCATATCCGGCACTCCCTTGGCTGTTATGCCCATTGGGAAGCAGAAGTCCAAATATCGGTTTCCTTAAAGTGATTCGTGCCCACTTTTCAGTAGGCCCGCCACTGCTGCACGCTCTCATCTTGCCCCCTCCCCCATCTTCTGCTATTGTCTACAGCTCTTACTACTGGGCTCCATCACCCAGAAGCCAGCCCTTTTGGGCACTGTTTTGGGTTAAATTGCTTCCCACCCTCCCCCGCACAAAGACACATTGAAGTCCTAATCTCCATACCTGTGAATGTGACTTTACCTGGAAACAGAGTTTTTCTAGATGTCATCAAGTTAAGATGAGGTCATTAGAGTGGGTCCTAATCCAATGACTGGTGTCATAAAAAGAGGAGATTTGGAAATAGACATACAAAGAGAAGAGAATGCCATGTGAAAGCACAGAACAGAGGGGGAAGACAGCCATATTAAGATGAAGGCAGAGGTTGGAGTGATGCTGCCACAAGCCGGGAACGTCTGTGCAGGCAGAAACTGGAAGAGGCAGGCAAGGGTCCTCTGCTGAAGGATTCAGTGGGAATACAGCCCTGCTGACACCTCGGTTTCAGATGCCCAGCCCCCAAAACTGTGAGAGAACACATTGTTGTTGTTTTAAGCCACCCAATTTGTAGTACTTTGTTACAGCAGCCCTAGGAGGCTAATACAGACACTGTTCTGCCAAAATGTTCCAATCCAATTACCTATTCCTTTCTCACGTAGGAAACTTACAGCTCCTTGCTTCTCCAATTAGTTATAGAAGGGTTTAGCATACCAATTTTCTGTTCCTTTGCTTCCCACCCCAGAGTGCCCCTAGAAAGTTTCCTGCCTTCAAAATTTTCCAAGTGAGAAGCAGTACCAGGCACTATATTAATATACACCCTTGAACGCAAATAGCATAAAATTCAGCTCTATCAAAAACTACTCCATCATGCTTGCTTTGCTGGGAGTAACAGTGGTTTTACAGGACCTGCATCCTAATAAGCTTCTCGTCAGGGAGGGATAAGCTAAGCCCCAATTCCTGCAGGTCCTCTCTCTGACTCCCACCGATTTCTACAAGTGGTTTTCTCAGCGCTTCCCTTAATTAGCCTGGACTTTCACTGAAAAAAGAAAACACCTGTAATCTTTTCCCAGAGAGGCAGAATGGAGTAAGTTCTTACCAGGAACATGGGATGCTCTAACCCCTCTAACCCCTGATCCCAGTGATGTCTCCTCTAACGGGGAATGTTCCAATTTTGGAGACTGTGGTAGGTTGATAACAACAAAACAAGTTCTGCTAGCCTCTTAGTAAGTCCTGCTGGGTTATGAGCAGTAGGTCTTTTTAAAATATAGGTGTTTCAGCTAACGCTGTGTAACAAGCTTCCCCAAAATCCAGTAGCGTAAATAATAAGTATTAAAACACACCATGCCATCAGCTGAGCATTCTTGTTTCTGTGGGCCAGGCTTAACTGAATTTAGCTGAGCTTACTTATGCTTCAGTGGTCAGCTGTGGTCAGTGGCAGGAGGCTGGCTGAACATTGAACTAGGATGGCATTAGCTGGTGGTTGGCTGGGGTGTCTTGACCTCATGTCCCTCCTTATCCAGCAGGTCAAGGCTTGTTGTCACTGGGGCTGAGCAGGATTCTAAATGAGTGGCAGAAGCATGCAAAGCCTCTGGAGACCTAGACTCCTAAGTGGCACACGGCTACTACTTGCATGAAAGAAGTCACAGGTTAGCTCAGACTCAAAGTGCAGGGAAATAGACTTTGCCTCCCTAGTGAGACAAAGTGCAAAGTCAAATTGCAACGAGCTTGGATACAAGGAGCAATAAAGAATTCTGGCCATTTTTTTTTTTTTTTTGGCTGTTTACCACAGTAGGTATCTTTTGTATCTGTTGTTGTATATTAACAGGTTAAATTACATGAAATGCTATAATAAACAACAAACAAAAAATCTTAGTGGCATTTTTCTTATTCACAACCCAGTCCAATGAGGGGCTGGTGTGTGTTGGAGAGAGAAGAGTGTTTGCACCAAGTAATTTTTCAAGGCTCCAAATTGGATTCAGAATTACCCTATGAATACTCCACATGTAGCCCTCAGGGGAAAGAAGAAAGAGCATGTGAAGGATCACGTAGGATGTCTCAGAGCCCAAACCTAGACAGGCTTACATCGTTTCCATTGGCCGGAACTTGGCCAAGATTTCATGAGCCATCTAACTGCAAAGGCATCTGGGAAGGTTCTTTGATGCCAATGAAGAAAACTAAATACGCTTTGCCTCATGTCTTTAGCGTTATGGCTGTAGCCCAAATCCCAAGGCAACAGAAATCCCGAACTATATCCTTTTCACCAACTTCAGTGTTCTTTCCTCCATATACCTAAGGGGACTGCTGGTGCCAGGCTTAGATCAGATCACCTTCTTTTTTTTTTTTTTCTTATCTTTTTAATCCTTCGGAGATGGATACTCTCATGAAGCATGGCGTTTCTTCAGATGAGGGAAGGGGATGAAATTAGCACCCTAGAGTTACCATCTGTTTCTGGCAACCCTGCTCTAGATATGGATTTGCTTGTGCGTCCAAAACCTGCTAAGCCTTTACACTCAAGTACTTCTGTACCTTCCCAGCTTTTCTGTACCTGCTCCAGAGGAGGCCACATGAGGATGTTCTTGAACTCTGCCCTTTGATGAGCAGAGAACATTTCCCACTGTTCCACATTCAGTGTTCCTCTCCAACATCCTACCACTGTGCTTACCAAGCCACAAAAAAACTCCTCAGATGATGAGACCAGGTACACTGGGTTCAAATTCCAGCTTTGCTACTTACACTTAACTGTGTGATCTCTGGCCAATTACCTAATTTTTCTGATTCTTGATTTTCTCATCTTTCACACTGGAATGATGCCGATTTCTGGGATGATAGTGAGGGCAACTATGATTGTAAAGCATCTACACAAGGTAAGCACAGTATCATCTTCTTTGCTTCTTCCTCTTCCCCACCTCCAGTGACCACATGAGTGCAGTGAAAATGAGGAGAAATGGGATTGGAATTAGCGCAGTCAGAATGAGGAGGAATGGGATTGGAGCTCTATTAAGTGATGTGTAGAGACAGGGTTTGGAGGCAGATGCAATGGAGAGGTGGCATATAACTTGCCTGTGAATGTTTAAATATGCGTTAAGGATCCTGGAGTCATGGAGTTAAGAGAAACCTGTTTTCATTGTTGCAAGGAAGATTTTTTTAAAGAAATATTATGGGCAGAGAGGCTTAGGATTTAATACGAATACATGCATTTTTCTCACAGTTGTGGGACCTTTTCACCATAGTACCATCCTCTGGTAATTTGGAAGTTTACTCAGATGTCACCTTTTTCCCAAACCTGCAAGTCTGTGATAGGCCCTAAGGCGATGCCTATGTAGCAAAAAGATGACTCTACCTTCCCCTGGCAGCCAGGTGTTAAATCATCACTAGATGGCAGTAACATCTAACGCTTAATTTGGTGAATGATCAAAACATTTTACCTTTGTTTTTCTTTTGCTTCTCTATTTCAAGCAAGCATTCACTCAACACAAAACTGAGACAGCCTTGAGTTTTTCTCAATCCTTATTTTGAAGTTGACTTAGAGACTCACAAAATTTTAAAGGGAAAAGAATGGTCCATGTCTCAAGCTACAAACAACTAACTTCTCACTGGGCTCTCAGAGCTCGGATTAAAAGACTTCAGCCATGCCCTCGACATAGAAGAAAAGATCAAGTATCTAATACTCTCCATATTGGACAAAGGGTCATTAATTTGGACAAATTACTTTTTTTCTTAAACAAGAAAAGACATTAAAAAAATTTGTGCACCTGGTGGGGATGAGCCCACTCTTCTTAACGTAAGAGCCATTTAGTTCCCCAAACAAGTTTATTTGAACTTCACTTTTATTTTTTCTCCCAGATCCCTCTCTCTTACTCCCAAATTCATTTGTATACTCAATGCTGTTTTTTCTCAAGGCACCATTAGAATAAAGATGAAAGAAAAAGATTGAAACATTAAAAAGGACTGGCAGTGTTATAAAGTCTATACCGTGCTTTGGGTGTACCAAGGAATCTGTGGCTATGGATCCTAAGATGTTCCAAGAGGGAGTTTAGTGAGGCTTTGAATTAGTCCCAGAGAACTTCCAGGCCATTCCTGGGCCCAAAGCCTTGGTCTTCTCCAAGGCTAAATTTGTTCTGCAAGGAGACTAAATATGAAACCCAGGTCCACTTATCTCTGTGTTCAGGGACCGAGTGACCTACTAAAGGTCCAGCAGGCCTAATAAATGTTGATAACAAAAGCTTCTCTCCCACCATGAAGTAGTTCCAATTACAATTTATCATTGTTTGAGACTTTGATGTTAGATACTTTGCATTGTTGCCTATAGTATTATCAGGCAAGCTGTAAAATGGAGCAGGAATTAATTTGAGACATGCACTAATTAATTTGAGACATGCACTGAGATGGAACAAGGAATAACTCTAAAGGTACAGGAGGTCAGGTCATGCCTACTGTCTTTGGGGCTGTACCTGTTTCCATCTTCATTTTAGAAATGGCTATACCAAAAATTTGCATCTAGTTAGTGGCACCTACACTTAGATTGGTGGAAATTAACCAGTTTAACAGGCAGGTGGGTACACTCTCGGAGGTCTTTGTAAGCAAGAAGACCCAGGTCAGTAACTGGGTCACTGAAACTAGGATCTCCAGAATTGGGACTAGTGCATTAGACAAGTTGATTGGTTGGATTAAAAAGAGAACATCAAGTTTGCAGTTCTATTCTATGGACTGAGTGAATGTATGGGAAGAAGGTAAAAGAAGGGAGCTACCACCCGAACTTAGTCCCCTATGGTCATGAATACCACCAGTAGATCTGAGATCTAATTGGCAGCAAGGAGTGTGGGAGTCCCTCAGACATCTGGGGCCATTAAGTCTCAAGTCTAGACAGTAGACCTAATGTGAAACCAGTCTGCAATAGGGAGTTATGCAGCACTATTCATCTCCATCAGGAATAGCTCAGGCGGAGCTGTGCCTGAAGCTGTGGAGCATCAGCAGAGCTAGCTGTGACCAGCTAGGGATACAGAAGCAGTGAAAGCCAGGCTGGGGCTGATGCAGTGTTGAAAAAGTTGTGTCTCTGGACATGTCCAAAACAGTTGCCACATAGGAGCTCTCTTGACAATTGCCTGGACTACAGTCCACTGAAAATAACATTTCCTATCACAAGGAATTGATATACAAGATTGACATGCAGAAGGGGACACTAGGAGCCATCGTTTTGCCTTGAAGTGAAAACCCAAGACTGCTGTTTACTTCTCTTGCCAGTTTCTAATTTATATATTTACTTTCCAATTTTGCTTCTTCAGTGAATAAAAAAAGATCTGCTGATGAGAAGACAGGGAGAAGAAAGGAGAGCTCTGAGGCGGAAGCTTTGCTGCCATTTTAATATCAGCACTTCCCAGTCGCTACTTTTTAGTCATTTGAAAAAAATGTTTTAAAGGATGAACTTAATTGTGTTTTCTTCTTAGAAATTTTAACTTTGGGTGTAGAATATTCTGTCAATGGTAAGACAACATATCCCATCTGGAATGACACTGAAGGCCATTTTTAAATTTATCAGCAAAATAGAATAAATATTTGTAATACTAGGGTAAAAATTCTGACAAAGCATTGTAGCTACTTACAGGAGAAAAATTTAAATTCTACTGCTCTTTGACCAGCTAGGCAACTGACCTCTAAAAATTTTGATAAGCATATCCTCCAAGTGACAATGGCATTTTATTCATTAGAATGCGAGCTCCAAGAGGGCAGGTAATTTTGTCCATTTTATTCACTGCTATCTTTCCAGTACATAGATGATAGTGAACACATCTGTGAATAATATGTGAATTTCACATCTGCGAAAATACTGTGAATAAATGAATTAATTCAGGGCTTATGAGAAAAAACAATGAGATAAGAAATGATACCTGCACCCATTTCAGTGTTTCAACAAAGACTCAGCTTCTTTTCTCATGTCTTTATCTTTATGTCCTTCCTCTTCCTTCCACTCAATCTATTGCAGAATGTTTGGGTTTGCCAAAAACTTGATGAGGTCTCTCTGATTCTGAGCTTCCCGCTTGGTTCTGCTCTGATTCTAAAGAATCAAATGGAAAGAGCAAAGGATGAGAGTAAGTACAGCCACAAAAATTCCTGGGGATACTTCAGGATGCACAGAATAAGGGGTTTGGATAGTCATGGAAGGATGCAATTCTACTTCTAGCCTCTGGATCACGAGGAATAGAATGAAAGAGTATATTCTTAAATTGTGTTATGTGAGCTGATTTTTATCCTCTTTCTCAAAAACCCTGCAAGAATAGCCATATGCATATTTAATCCCCCCACTGAAATATTCCAACTGACAAAGGGTACCATTGTGCCATTTCCCACAAAAGGGTAACCATGCCTGTGGCTTCTTTCAGGTTTGGATTATTGTAGGCTCTTCGGTCATCTTTTGTCCAAGAAGAGAAGGCCACAGTCAAGGTACTGATTCTGCCAAACTCAGTCAAACATCCTGAAATGTGTTCCAACATTTGGAATTTGACAAAATCCCAGCACATTTGGCTTGAGTCCCCCTTTCCCCTTAATTACTGAGCCCAAACAGAAAATGTAATCCATCTGCTTCACAGTCATTTTCCCAAAACTCATCCAAATGTTCCTTGGTGAGAACTATTTGACGTCTTTGTTTTGTGGGCTTAACACCTTCCTTCTCACGTTTTGTTTCTTGGAACTAGGAAGCAGACAGAGCCAACAGTAACAGGACTCACTTTCAAACGCAAGACATAATCTGTAAAATCAGGTGCTGGGGGTGGAGGGTCAAGAGTCTCACCTCCAGAATGACAGCTGTGACATATCTGAGGGAGAATTAAGGAATTAATTCAGTTCACTGAGGATAGATTCCTTGCCACCCCATATCCACAGCGCCTGGGAGCCAACACCTCACCCCAGTTCCAGGGTGAGAAAGTCAGAGGCAGAGATTTCACTAATTTCTACTGTTTCGTGTTGGTCACTATTGTGAACACCCCAGCCTTGTACACAAGGATGCTCACAAGATCCATCTAATGGCATTTTGTAAGACCCTGAAACTCAAAATGAGACAAAAATGAGTTAAAATCCTAACTAGTATGGTAATTACTAGTTTTGTGACCTTGGGCAATTTCCTTATCTCTGAACTCATGTTTTCCCTTTGTAAATAAAACTAAAAGTTTCCTGGCATATTTATTATGAGACTTAGGTAAGATTACATAGTTTAGCACAGTACCTAGCATTTAGAAAGTGCTAAATTAACAATAGCTATTTGTATTGTTGGTTTTTATGACAGCTTTATTGAGATATAATTCACATGCCATGCAATGAACCAATTTATGTGTACAATTTAATGGTTTTTAGTAAATAACAGAGTTGTACAACCATCATTACAATAAATTTTAGAACATTTTATCACCCCCAAAAGAAGCTCCATATCCATTAGCATCACTTCCCATTTCTTCTTAATCCCAAGCAACTGCTAATTTACTCTTTGTATGGATTTGCCTATCCTGAACATTTCACGTACATGAAATGATATATGATCCTTTGTGAATGACTTCTTTCATTTGACATAATGTTTTCAAAGTTCCTCCATGTTGTACCATGTATCAGTACTTCATTGCCAAATAATATTTCATTGTACAGATATATTATGTTTTATTCAATCATCAGTCATTGGAAATTTGGACTATTTCCATTATTTGCCTATTATGAAAAATGCTCCTATGGACATTTACGTACAAGTTTGTGTGTTGACCTGTGTTTTTATTTCTTCTGTATCTATACTTAGGAGTAGAATTTCAAAGTCAAATGTTAACCTTTTGAACATTAAACCTCTGTGTTCAACATTTTAAAAAACTGCCTTGTATTTTCCAAAGTGGCTGCACTGCCTAACATTCCTTTTAGCAGTGTATGAGAACTCCAACTTCTTCATATCCTTGCCAACACTTGTTATTATTCATCTTTTTCATTATAGCCATCCTAATGGGTGTGAAGTGGCATCTCACTGCAGTTTTAGTTTGCACATCCCTGATTGCTAATTATGTTGAACATACTGTATGCACTTATTGGCCATTTGTATATCTTCTTTGGAGAAATGTCTATTCAGATTATTTTCCATTTTTTAATTAAGTTTTTGTCTCTTGTTGTATCATTTCTTTATGTATTTTAGATACAAGCCCTGCTGTAGCCTGAATGTGTTTCCTCAAAATTCATATGTTAAAGTCTAATCACCAATGTGATAGTATTAAGATGTAGGGCCTTTAGGGGTGATTAAGTTATGAGAGTAGAATCCTCGTGAATGAGATTAATGACCTCATGAAAGAGGTTCGAGGGAGCTATTCATCCCCTTGGCCCTTTCATCCCTTCTATCATGTGAGGACCTAATAACAAGGCACTATTTTGGAAGCCCAGAGCAGCTCTCACCAGCCCCTAGATTTGCTAGTGCCTTGATATTGAATGTCCCAGCCTCCAGAACTATGAGAAATAGATTTCTATTACTTATATAAATTACCTGCTCTTCAGTATTTTGTTATAGCAACAGGAATGCCCCTTATCAGATATATGATTTGCAGAAATTTTCTCCCATTCTGTGCATTGTCTTGTCACTTTCTTTATGGTTTCTTTTGAAGCACAAAAGTTATTAATTTTAATAAAGTTACATTTATCTATTTTGTTTATTTTTTTGCTTATGCTTTTGGTGCTAGATCTAAGACATTATTGGCAAATCCATAAAAAAATTTGCCCCTATGTTTTCTTCTAAGAATTTTATAGCTTTAGCTCCTACATTTAAGGTCTTTGATCTATTTTGAGTTAATTTTTATATACGGTGGCAGGTGATCTAATTTCATTCTTTTGCATATGGATATCCGGTTGTCTCAGTACCATTTGTTGAAAAAGATTATTCTTCCCCCATTGAATTTTCTTGATACTCCTTCATGGAAAATCAATTTATTGTAATTGAGAGGGTTTATTTCTGGATCCTCAATTCTATTCTATTGATTTATATATCAATCCTCATGCCAGTACAACACCATCTTGATTACTGTAGATTTGTAGCAAGTTATTTGTAGTAAGCTATTTTTTTAGGCAGGGTCTCACTCTGTTAGTGCAGTGGAATGATCACAGCTCACTGCAGCCTCAACCTTCTGGGCTCAAGCAATCCTACCACCTCAGCCTCCCAAGTAGCCAGGACAACAGATGCACACTACCATGGTTGGCTAATTTTTTGTTTATTTATTTTGTGGATTTGGGATTCCCTATATTTCCTAGGCTGGTCTTGAACTCCTGAACTAAAATGATCCTCCCACTCTCCTACCTCAGCCTCCCAAATTGCTAGGATTACAGGCATGAGCCTCTGCACCCGGCCTGTAGTAAATTTTTATATCAGGAACTGCAAATCTTCCAATTTTGTTCTTCTTTTTCAATATTGTTTTTCTATATATAAAATTATGTATCCTCAGATAGTTTTGCTTTTTCCTTTCCAATCTTAATGTCTTTTATTTCTTTTTCTTGCCTAATTACCCTGGCTAAAGCCTCCAGCACAATTTTGAAAAGGAGTGTTAAGAGCAGACACCTTGGTCTTATTTCTGATCTTAGGGGGAAAGCTTTTAGCCTTTCACAATTAAGTATGTTAGCTGTGGTTTGTTCATAAACACCCTTTAGCAGGTTGGGGAAGTTCCCTTCTATTTCTAGTTTGTTATGTGTTTTCTATCATGAAGGGGTGTCGCTGTTATTAAACAACAATGCCGCTGTTTTCTTTTTCCCGTTTTTCCTCTCTTCTTTCCTTTTCTTTTTTTTTTTTTTTTTTTTTTTTTTTGATTTCTTTCCAGAGCCTGGTAGGACACCAGGACAACATCAGGAAAGAGGAAGCCACAGGCTGCCATGCATTCACTCCCTGAAGTGCCCTGTGAGCCAGCATCTGCCACCTCCTCCCTCCTGGCCACCCTTCTGACCGTGCCCTTGCTGTTCTGGCACAAGATGCACCCCTCCCACTTTGATCTGCTTCACTGGCTTACCATCTTCTAGTTTTGGGGTCTGTGGCTTCCTGTCACTCTTCTTCATGGTTCGGATCTCTTTTCTACCTCTTTCCAGGTGTCCTACACTGCTTTGGCAGCTACTGGTGTTTGGAAAGCTAAAGGCTATTTTCCAGACAGAAGAATTTCCTTTTCACTCCTGTACCCAATTTAATTCCACAAATATTTCATGACCACTTTTTTCTCATGCCAGTCATTGTTCTTGTTTGATCCTAGTAATACTCACAATAACCCTATGAAGTTGTTTTTTGTTTGACCCATTTTACAGAAGAGAAAACAGAGCCTCCACATAGCTAAGTAGTTTGTCCAAGATTACATACATAGTAAGTGGAAAAACCAGAATTTTTTACAGATCTGCAAGATCTATCTGCTTAGAGCAAAAAAGAGTGATACTCACACAGTGACAAATGCTGAGATAGAACTCAGGGCACCAGTTGCCATGTTGGAATAGCCAGGAGGAGCTAGGAAAGTGGTCTTGTTTAAAACCCAAGGCTGCTATTGATCTGGCCTCTGCCAACTTCTCTGACCTCATCTTTCAAAAAATACATGCCTACCCACCCAAGACATGCTGAATCACATCATGCGATCTCCGTTTCTGTGCTTTTTCCCTCTATCTCAGCCAACTGCCTCCCCCATGCAACTGTGAACTTCCAGATGCCTGGCTAACTTCTATTCTTACTTTGAGACCCAACCTTGGATTCGTTTCTCATGAAAAGTCTTTCTGACCCACCCCAAGCTGTGCTGCATCATATCCTGTACATACCTGTATCATGGTACTCACCAAACTTAGGTCTTACTCCCTCTCCCTCTCCCCTATGACCAATCACCAATAAACTGTGAGCCCTTCAAGGTAGAGTCATGGTTAGTTTTCCTCTGTAACCCCTAGGACCCAGGAGAGTTCCTGGCTCATAGTGTGTTCTTAGCCATGGTTTCTTGAATAACTAATTGAAATCTTTGGGATGAGCTCTTGTAGACAGATACCCTCTCTGACTAGATTTAAATTTTCTTTCTGCCCAAATAGATTAAAAGGTGCGACATTTTCTTGTTCTCTTTCAAACTGAGGAATCTGAATTCTAAACCAAGGAGTGCAAGCCTGTGAAATTTGAGCTTCAGACAATAAAGCTACTTTTCCACTTTGTACATGACAACTCACAGTCATCAGTTCTCCATAAGGCAAACCTCACCAAAGATGATAATCCAAAGGAGGAAACCAAGGACCTCACTTTAAATGCACAGCAGGAGCACCCTCCCATTCTACCGGAAGAACTGACCTTCTTAGGTGCTTCCCCACATCCAGGGATCTGCAGTCAAGGCCACCTTTAGGTTAAAAAGCACAAGATGGTCATTTCTTCAGCTATTAAACAAAATAATAACTTGACTTCTGGCTCAATGCCAGCTCAGTGAAAATAAGCCAACTGCAAGAAGAGGAACTTTCTGGACTCTGTGGCAACTCTTAGAGCAAAGTTTTAGCACAGCTACTTTTTGCCTTCTCCTCCAAGAGAGAAAGCTGTGAGGTCAGGTCCAGGATGACAATACCCAACAACCCCCAAAAGACTCTTGGTTTTAATCCTTGCCAATTTCCCTCCAAGCCCTGGCACAACTTGAGCTGAAAACACACATGCTATTTTCATTTAAGCGAGAATGCTGAACCACTGGGTATTTTTTTCCTGGGTTTTCTGTTAACTCTGTCTACAAAATGTGGTTTTAAGAAATATTACTCCTGGTCATTTATCTAACAGACCATACTGTGATCTGTAAGCTCCATCTTTCTTGCAGCTTTCACATTCTATTAAAATGGGATCTTTTACCAGGAAATTTACTCAGACGGGGGAGTTCATTTGAGGTTAAAACTGTAAAGTGGCCAATTATCTCTCAGTCATTGGTTGCATATGATCTTTACCCCAAGCTTTGGAAATAAAGACAACATTTAGCAAACGTTCTGCTCCAAAGCTAATGTTTTGGAAAGAATAACAGCATGTTGGGAATAAATTACATGGTCTTTAGTGCATTTTAGTGTTATTGCCTGTTAACACACACCGTGGTGTGCCAACTTATAAGAGAACTCCAGTCTTCTAGGGAATCGATTTCTGATTTGTTGAGCTGATGGCGTCCGTGTTATATCATTGAACAGACAAGTAGTACAGGGGGCCATGTCTGTGGGACCTCACCTAGGGGAAGCTATGACTCATAGGCTGTCTTTTCATTCTGATACTGTCCAGACCATTAACACGCCATGGGTAATGGCATATGAGGTCTTTCATCTAGGACTATCCAGTTACCCACTCATGAGCTATATTGATCCTAAAAGAGTCATTTAATATACCTAAATCAAGTAACTAATATAGCCTTGCTAAAAGGCCTACTAGGTACCAGGTTTTTGGCCAGGCTCTGTAGAAGAATAGTAGGATGCTTAAAGAGAGCCTTGATTCCATTTGTATGAAATATCCAGAATATTTCATAGAGAAATATCCAGACAATTTCATAGAGTCAAAAATTACATTAGTGGTTTCCTAGACCTGGGAAGACAGGAGGATTGGAGAATGTTGGCTAAAACATTTGGGATTTCTTTGGGGGTGATCATGAAAATGTTATAAAATTGATTAAGATGATGGCTGCCCAAGTCTGTGAATATAATAAAAGCCATTGAAGCATATACTTTAAATGGGTGAATCGTATGTGAGATATGTGAATGATATCTCAATAAAGCTGTTAAAAAATTAAAGAAGAAGAACCTTGTCCTCATGAAGAGAGGAAATGTTAGTAATTTCAGGTAGACAGCACTAAGGACTAGAGACAGGTACCACGAAATGCCAAGGGAAATCCAAAACTGTGTAACTTCCATTAGACTTTGTAGGATTTCCTTTCTTTGGGGACTGTTTCACTCTGTCTTTGGTTTCAAAAGATGAGAGGTCTTGTTTAGGTCTCTGAGGGTAGGAGCAGAAAGACAGCTCCTAATAACTGAATAAATAAAAAACTCATGATAAGACAGCAAAAGATGTCCTGGGAGTAGGAACATCAGACTTGAACCTGTTGGCAGGTTCCCGATGCAAGCCAACCTCAAACCTCTCTTATAGCTGGTTGCAAGCAAGGTGTTTTATTTAAAGGGGAAAGGAGTCAGGGATTTTTTTCCTTTAGACTAACAAGAAGCTGCCTGTTACTGTACCTTCTCCAGTCTAAAGACAATTTTACCGAAGAGCACCATCCCCACACCTACTCAATCTCCCACATTCCAGGGACAAAGGTATCTAGGATCAGAGCAGCCCACGAAATAAATAAGCAACAATTAGCCCTGTGGTAACTTGTAAGCCAAAATGTTACTCCATGCACAAACAGCTCAGGTGTGCACTGTTGTTCAGGCCACACCTGCTGCCATAGAAATTCTTTAGGCAGATAAATTGTATTTCAGGCTTAAGTGATCTATCTTTTAGCGGAGTGGGCTTGATTAATTTTAAAAGATGTATTTCCACATTTACCTTTGCTGAACTCCCTCTCTACTATCATTTTTTGGATTATTTCCCCAAATTTCCAATATTTAGCCAAAAGCAAAATTATCAAGTGTATTTACTATAAATAATTCCCAATAATTTCAAATATAATCATGCTTTTTAAACTCTTAAACTAATTTAAATATCTTAAATATTATAGTAAATTGCTTTTGTGCATAACATTGAACTTCCAAGCAGCAATGCACATAAGCATTTTAGAGAAGTTTACAAAGAGATTATTCTACTGGGCTGTAGACCTGAATTCCAGGCTTAGTTTACTCAGTAAGTGTGGGCCTCTTTTCTTCCTGAGGATCTGCCACAATTTTTCACTGTTCTTGGTTTCTGAGTTTCTCAAAGCTGAAACAGAGGCTGAGCTGAGGGTTCAGTAAAAAAGATGGTAGAGCATGCATCAGAGAGCCCCAAACTCCGCTTGTCTTCTAGAGTTGTCTATGACACAATCCTGTCCCCTGGATGACAGTTCTGCTAGTTCCACACAGGAGTACTTTGAAGCTTATGGGTCAAAGTAAACTGAGTGGTGTTGTGTCTGTCTTGCCCCTGTGAGCCCCATTTCCCTGGGACATGCAGAGAGAGCATTCCTTTCTCCAGTGTTCACCACCACCTGCCTTCCATGACAGTGCAAGCATTGGCTTCGGGAAGCTGCCAACTTTCTAGTGTGGTTCTTGAACCCTTGACCTTCCAGGCAAACGCAATGATGCTACCAGCTGAGCGACACAGACCTATTTCCTGCGTCAATGACTAAACAAATCCAAAGGTATGTGAAGCATTTCTTTCCCCCCGACCTTGTTCAGCCTTGGCACAGCTGCTGGCACAGCCAGAGGTGCCTGGCCCCAGGAGCAGCTGCTCAGTGTCTGCCAAGCCTCCGGAGGGCAGAGCTGTTTGTCAGCTGGTTAGTGCATTTTTTCACCTTGGTTCTCCTAAAATTGAAAATAACTAGAATACAACTCATTTTAGTGAACACTTTTGATCTTTTTTTCTTCTGTTTCTCCTCTTATCTAATCCTCATCTATTTTGTTATTAATGGGAACCATTAACACATGACAGGGTAGACAAATGTGCATGTCCCTTCATTTTCAAACCTCCTCCTTCCTCTAGAATGGATATGAATAAGCTCACACTCTAGAATGGAGATTAAAATATCAGAGTGTCAGCAAAATTAAGAAAGGAAAGAAGCAATAGGCTTTGTAATCGACGCATTGAATTCTCTTTTGAAACAATTTTTCTTTTTTTTTTTTTTGACACAGGGTCTTCCTTCCTCTGTCACCCAGGCTGGAGTGCAGTGACACGATCTCTCAATCTCTCATAACTGCAGCCTTGACTTCCCAGGCTCAAGTGATCCTCCCACCTCAGCCACTTGAGTAGCTGGAACCACAGGCATGTGCCACTATGGCCGGCTATGTTTTTATTTTTAGTAAAAACAAGGTCTCACTATATTGTCCAGGCTGGTCTTGAACTCCTGGGCTCAAGAGATCCTCTGGCCTCAGCCTCCCAAAGTTCTAGGATTACAGGCGTGAGCCACCATGCCCAGCAAGGAATATTTTTAAGGAATATGGGACAACATGGAAAAATGCTCACTCTATTGTCTGATTACAGTTACATAAGAATAGATGATGCACGAGCAAAGACTATGCTGTATTCTACAAGTGGAATGTGAATATTTTCTTTATTAAACTTCTGGCCAGGCACGGTGGCTCACAGCTGTAATCCCAGCACCTTGGGAGGCCAAGGCAGGCAAATCACCTGAGATCAGGAGTTCGAGACAAGCCTGGCCAACATGATGAAACCCTGTCTCTACTGAAAACACAAAAATTAGCTGTCTCTACTGAAACACAAAAAAACCTGTCTCTACTGAAAACACAAAAATGTTGGTGCACACCTGTAATCCCAACTACTCGGGAGGCTGAAGCAGGAGAATCACTTGAACATGGGAGGCAGAGGTTGCAGTGAGCCGAGATCGCACCACCGCAGCACCCCAGCCTGGATAACAGAGCAAGGTGCTGTCTCAAAATAAATAAATAAATAACGTACTTCTTTTAATGTCATTATAATATTGTTTAAATAGCATTTTTTAAATAAGAGAGGAAAGGAAAACAGTGTAACAAATCACAAGCACACACAAAACTGCCCTGCTCATTTTTAATTTGGTGTGTTGATTACTGGATATAAAACGAAACCTCATTCTACTCTTCTTTTCATTCTTGCTCTCCCTTTGCAAGGCACAACCCAACCCCTTTGGTACCAAGAAGTGAGGAACTGAGTTCAGTTCTGTTCTCAATCACTCTGGGAGCAGCTCCCATTTCCAGGATTCACCGTGACTGCCCACTCTCCCCGTGGGGAGGAGTGATAACTCTCATGACTGCGGAAAGGCACATCACTGATTATCTTCCAGAAGGGGTGACTGAGAACTTTTTCTAACTAAAGGATCCTTCTCATCTCTGAGTGACAGGGCTGTGAATTCCCAAAGCCTTGGCAAAGCACCCGAATTTTCTTTCCAGCTTACTCCCAATAAGATGGGGTGAAAAGGACTAAATGACACAGATTTAGCCTGGACATCCTGGCTCCAAGCCAGGTGAGGCTCCATCTCAACAAATCCATCATCTTCCTCAGAGTCTGTGAGTGTAACGTTCCTAAGTCAGCCTTGCAACATGGAGGTTAACGTTGAAAATGGTGACTTTGGCTGAATGGGCTCCACTGGAAATGTTGACAGTCTGATTAATTTTTTCAAATCATTGACCTCACACTTTCTCTTGGTGCTTTCTTTGAAGATATGGGGCAGGTGAGGAATCTAATCTGGCACTCCCACATTGCATGTTTTCATACAGCTGTTGTAGCAAGCCTTGGCAACAGAATGTCTGGGCTTAAAACTTGGCACATCATTTGCTAACCTGCTTAACGTCTCTAAGCATCATTTTCCTTCTTTGTACCATGGGGGAAATACTAGTGCCTACTACCTCTTATGGGTGTTGTGAGGGTAAAATGAAGTGATGCCTGTAAGGTATTCCCATAGTGCTTGGCACACAGTGCAGACTTAAGAAATGTTGGTAGTGATGTTTGTAATTATTATTATTATCATCTCTATTATATTACCCCTCCATTCTTTACTTTATTCACCTCAAAGTGAACTAGAAGCACCTTGATATGGAGATGAGGGCAGGAAACCTGGAATCAGATCTCTTTAGTTCTACTCACTGAATGGCCTTTGGCAAGTTACTTTCACATCTGAATCTACTTCCACATCTGTAAAATACAGATCACAACACCCACCTCAGAGCGCTACCAGGAAGATTCAATGTAATAAAATACAGGAAAATGCTTGATACATACTGAGTGCTCAGTAAATAATGGTTGAATCAGGACTCAGGTTTGGGTCACTCACCCAGATTGTCCCATTTTAACTTGGGTTTCAACTAAAGGAGAAGGCATCCCACGCTCCTCTAGGTCACTTCCAGCAAAAACCAGCAGGACAAGGGAGCCAAAACATTAGCAAGCTTTTGGCAGATGCCTGACAAGGAGTGTGATCACAAGACCTCCGTGCAGAATTTTCACAACTGAATGTGCAAATGACACTTATTCAAGCTGAAATATCACCCAAGTGTGTTTTGGAACCACAGTGACGACATCCCAGCTGGACTGTGGAAGTGAAGCTGTCCAGCCAAGGGTTTTATTATTTTTATTTAAAAGTGTGAATCATCAGACAGGCAATGCTCTCCAGCCAGGTGCTGTATTCAGATTCCACGTCAATATCTACTTTTTTGGCAGCCGAGCAAAGTGAAGGTGCCAATGAGAAATTGTTCTGGGTGAGAGATCTCTGTTTTAAGCAGAGTAACCTTGGGACTATCTCTTACACTGCCTAGGACTCAGTTTCCTCATATGTAAAATAAAATGACAATAGGAAATACTGCATAGTTGGTTGTCAGGATTAAATGAGATAATATGTGAAAAGTGCTTGGAAGAGAACATAGTAAGTGCTAGATATGTGTTTGCTATAATGATAATAATTGATTTGCTAAGGCCTTTAGGATTTTCGAAAGGCATCATGTTTTTGCCTCTCTATAACTGGTTTATATTCTATTTGGAGGAAAGACTTTGTATGTAACAAAGGAAATGGTGACACAGAACTGTTTGAAATATATGACAACTGAGCATGATTCCTATAGTCTGAGTGGCTAAGAACAATTCTCTGCAGAAGAAAATATTAGAGGTAGGCCATGCAGAAAATGTAGAAATCGAAGTAATTAATAGGGAGAGAAGGGCATTCTATAGATGGGTAATAGCTTGGAACAACTATCCGGCCTCCCCTGATGTCTTTAAAGAACTCTGGCAGCTTGGGTGTAACTCTGCAATAAAAGAAAAATCCAAGGTTTTAAGATGGCTTAAACTGCCTAATTTCTCCTGCTCCATACAGCAATTCTTGCTTTTATTCTCCTGGTCATTAAGCCACTAACTCTCACTGCCCAGCTATTGTTTTATCCTAGTGTTGCCCCATTAGCTCAACACATAGTTCTGCGTTTAAATTTTAAACCCCAATTTCCCTCCTGACTATGGTTTCCTCTAGTGGACTCTTAGGGAAGCATCCCAACAGGTTGACACAGTTATCCAAAATCTTTTTTCCAAATACTACATCCACAGGGAGCTCCTACAAGTCTCATGAACTGGATATGGGTAAACAGTGAGAGGCTCTGTTATGTTTTAGGGACAACGAGTAGATGAGGTTCACTCCTGTGATAAAGGCAGTAGAGGATAATAAAAGCACATTAGGCTCACATACAATGAAGGAGCTTCCTAGAAGCACAGACAATTCAGTGGGACAAGCCCCCTACCCCTGGAGTCTCAGTAGATGGGAAAGCCCGGGCTCTAGATTTTATAGGTAGGTGGATATTCAGCTAGGCCCAGAAACCTCCCCAGTGACTCTCATCCAAATTTTACCATTGGTTTGCTCGGCCTTCCCAGTACTTAACTACATTGACTTTGCTCGGCCAGGCACCATGGCTCAAGCCTATAATCCCAATGCTTTGGGAAGCCAAGGCAGGAGGATCACTTGAGGCCAGGAGTTTGCGACCAGCCTGGGCAACATAGTGAGACCCTGTCTCTACAAAAAATAAAGATTAGCCAACATAGTGGTGCATGCCTGTGGTCCCAGCTACTATGGAGGCTGAGGCAGGAGAATCATTTGAGCCTGGGAGTTTAATGTTGCAGTGAGTGATGATCCCACCACTGCACTCCAGCCTGGGTGAAAGAGTGAGACCCTGTCTCTTAAAAATAATAGTAATACTGACTTTGCTTCCTGCTTTGAACAGTGTTATGTATCTACCAACTAGAAGGTAAATTTCTAATAGTAACAGCTTTAGTCCTTTCTGCTGTTTTGTTTTCAATGTTTTTACAGAGCTAAACTCTGTACTTGGTGTGTATAGAGAAAACACACACACAAAATGCAAAAACAGTAACAACAAAAGCAAAATAAGAACACTCTGGCCAGATGTGGTGGCTCATGCCTGTAATCCCAGCATTTTGGGACGCCGAGGCGGGCGAGTCATGAGGTCAGGAGATCAAGACCATCTGGGCCAACATGGTGAAACCCCATCTCTACTAAAAATACAAAAATTAGCTGGGCATGGTGGCCCACACCTGTAATCCCAGCTACTCAGGAGGCTGAGGCAGGATAATCGCTTGAACCCGGGAAGCGGAGGTTGCAGTGAGTTGAGATCGCGCCATTGCACTCCAGCCTGGGTGACAGAGCAAGACTTCGTCTCCAAAAAAAAAAAAAAAAGACTCTGAGAATGCTCTGATTTTGGAAACAATCTCAAACAATCTCAAGTCAGAAGCTGTAGGTTCCAGTCCTGGTTCCACAATTTACTAGCTGAGATATCAATATGTTACAAAGTTTTCTAAGCATCCCTCCCTATCCACAAAATAGAGATTATGACATCTGCTTACCTTAAGGGGTATAGTATACAGAGAGATAATAGATGTAATATCATATATAAAGAAACTTTTCAAATAAAGGAAAAATAAGTCAACTCAATCTAAATTTATAAAGAGTTTGTGTTTTGTTTTTTGTTTGAGAGAAGGAGAGACAATGAGGACAACCACTATTTTGAAGACTATAAAGGGAAAATTCTAAATATTATTTTTTCATGTCAGAATTTTATTATATCATTTGGACACAGAGAAGAAGTAAGCTAATAAAGAGCATTACTTCATAGTCTTTGGCCAAAAATGTCTTTTTTACCCCAAGGTTGGAGAAGACTACTGATGTAGGATTTAGGATTAGCTGGTTTTTGCTCACTTTGCATTGTGTAGATGTTTCTTGAACACCATTGCCTCACCAGATATTGAGGAGAAATACTTTAGAGTAGCTGGCCAATACGGGATTGGCTCAAGCCCATTATTCTTAGCTGACCTCTTAGAAACTATACATAAAATATGCTGGGTGGGGTTGAGGGGGAAGGAAATTCCTTTGTTTTTTGAGGAAGTGTTAGCTTTGGCTCATTCCAGGATGGACCTTCCAGGGTTCTTCAGTTTTCCTTTCTCTTAAAGATTTTTCTTTAAGACGTATTACTGCCCCTTAGTTACAGCAGGATTAAGGTCCAGTGTAATGCTGCTAAGCTTTGGACAGAGAGAAAAGAGTACGACTTGCTTGCTAATCTGAGTGATTAGGAATAACGTGCGAACATCCAAACTCTGTGTGCTTTGGGTTGATGTGACCCTTGTTTTGCCACATGTGCTTCTCATAATTGCAATAAAGCATAAGAAGGCCAGTGGCCAGTGTGGAAAGGTGAACCACAACCTAATAAATGCATATTATTTGCCAGACTTTTCTAGCCTTTTGGTTAAGTTATTGGATCTTTGCAGCAAAGACTGAGCCAACATGGATGAGTTACCTCCTTTTTATGGATGAGTAAACTCATGTCAAATAATTTGCTTAAAATCAGATGGCTGATAAGTGGTAGAGAATGCTTCTCAGAGAATGTGAAGTTAATCCAAGTTCTGAGGGAGGTGAGGTGCGTCAACCATCCTATGGAGTTGTAAAGGCATTTTATGCATTGCATTTGGCAATTCATAGATTACAAATAACTTGGCCCAGAAGACTTGAAGACTTGGGTTCCAAACCTTGGTCTAATATTTATAAGCTATGTGACCTTTGACAAATCACTTCATATATTTGAGTTGAGGTACTCTACCTCAGGTTGTTGTTCAGAGGATTAAATGATATAATATATATAAAGCTATCACAAGACTTGGGACCTAGGAGGCATTTAAATTGTAGTCACCACCATCATTATCATCATTATTAAAAGCATTATTTTCACCAACGCAGTAATTATCATTATCGCTAATATCTACTTTATTTGCCCTTAGAATTTTAGAGGGTTATAATAAGATAATGAATGTGAAAATGCTTTGTACCAAAAAAATTAGAAGCATTTATATCTGGGGGAGATTCAAATATAATTTTCAAATGTAATAGATTGAATTCAAGAGAATTATTGTGAATTCCATGGTAGTCTCGACTCAAGTTGCTCTAGAGTCTTAACCCTGAAAATGCTGAAAGTTGACTTAAAGTGAAAAAGCAAACATATTTCACCAATCTTCAGACCATGGTGTTGGCACTTATAAAGGCCAACTATATATTGATTACTTGATTAATTATTGACTTCATATTAAAGCTTTAACAAGAAGGTCTATCAAATATTCTACAGCACAATTCATCAAAAAGAGTGGGGTATCAGTCAGAGATTTACTGTTTTATATAAGGCAATGTTCTCTTAAACCTATGAATAGGGAGAAAAATAAGGATCTAAAAATTCTCTTTGTGCCCAAAGGAGATGGGAAGGACGGAAGGAGAGTCCATGTTTAACTAAAATTGTACATATGATTCTGATACATATGTCAGTCTTGCCAAGCCGCATGTGAAAAAGGAATAGCAACTAAGACATAGAATGCCAATGACTAGCTTCTGCCAGTAGAAATCTATGGGTTGTTTAGTTTTATAAACACTTCTGAGAACTCAGCCTTTAATGAACACAGCTGCTGCCAACTCAGTGGTTTCCAAGAAGCAGTCATGGTGATGATAAAGAAAGAAATCCCATAACCTATCAACATGGTTTTACTGCTGTAAAGACTAGACTATCATTAATAGTTCATTTCTGAAGACTATTATGGCCTAACTTCTGCATCAAAGGAGAATTCTGGAAATCAGAAGGAAACTTCCACCATCACCATCACTGTCTCCCTCATTCTTCACATGTTCTGATTTACTTTGTTTTTCTATACATCTATATAAGTTTCATTTTTGATACAGGGAACATTGCATCAAATGCAGTCTGAGTCATTAGCAGATTAGCACTCATCCATGACCTGTGTGAAACTTAGCAATATAAAAGTCAAGTCTTCTCAGGTCTCAATTGAGAAATCTCTGTCTCTTCCAAAAACCTCTTTTTCATGATGAAGCTGACAACATTTTCCTGTTCTGTAATATATATGAAATGGAAGACACAATCTTGTATAAATACTTACACAAACACAAACACTGTAATAGTGATGTCTACACTCCCATCTAAAACTCAGCAGGTATTAGCATGTTCCTGTCCAGTACCGAGGTTTAACTGGGAGACTTCCTTCCTTAATTCCTCACACTGCCCTCATTAGTTGTACAGATGTTCACTTGAAACTTGAGAGAATTCTCAAGTTATCAAGGAGGGTCATCATCCTAGGGTAGGATGTTGTTTCCTACCTGGCAGTCTTATTCTAGTCCTATATTCAGATGGTATTTTCAGAGGGTAAATTCAGTGGTAATTTTCTGGCTATGAATTCATAAATGTTTAAAAACTAGCTTCCCCAACACACAGTCTTGTTTTGTACCATTTGCCAATTTCTCTGATATAAATACTTCTACCACATTATATACATTTAAGCCACCAACGTAATGGTACTGAACTTGGATTTGGGAAGATATACACACAACAGTTTCTTGCAAGCCAGTAAGAACCAGTACCTCCAGCACACCACTGTCATAAAGTCCTTCTCCTGGTTTATTGCTCTGGCACTCTCTGTAGAGGATCACTCTCAAATATGAAACCCAGATCTCCAAATTTTGAGTCTAGATCCCCTCTCTTTCTGTTTTTCTTGCTTGCCTATACTTCTATTTTCTAATAATAGGACTCTGTGATCCATGGCCCATTTTAAAGGACTTAAGACCCTTTGGAAAATAACTTAAGCACTTGGCAAGTTATTTATCTTTCTAAGGAGGTAAGGAGAACCCACCCTGTATTAGCCTGTTTCCCATCACTTGGAGAAGAATAAAAATGTTTTCATTCTTTAGGATGTATCACTCTCACCAAAAATGAGGCCAAAGAGATTTCTCTAAAGTCAAACACACACACACACACACACACACACACACATACAGATTGAGAGAGAGAGACCATAACTGGAGTTCTCATACCCTACTTCAAAAGCAGGGCCAAATAAAACAAAATTCTCTTCCAAAAGATTTAATAGGTACAATATGAGGAACTACTCCCAGCAATGGGAAGAGAGTCAAATCTGGTGCCAAATGGATACACATTTTTAAATGGTATTGTGTAGATCTGTATTCTTACTAAATGTGTGTTTTGTCTTCTTGTTTTTCACCTTCTGTCAGAGGTACATTAAAATCTCCTATCATATATATGTGTGTGTATATATATGTATATATATACATATATGTGTGTGTGTCTACACACACGGAATACTATGCAGCCATAAAAAGAATGACATCATGTCCTTTGCAGCAACATGGATGGTGCTGGAAGACATTATCCTACATGAACTAACTCAGAGACATCAAATACTGAATGTTCTCACTTATAAGTGGGAAGTAAACAATGGGTACACATGGACATAAAGATGGAAAAATAGACACTGGGGACTACAAAATGGGGGAAGGTGGGAAGGAGGACAAGGTTGAAAAATTGCCTACTGGGTACAGTGTTCACTATTGGGTAATGGGTATATTAGAAGCCCATTCCTCACCCATTATGCAATATACTCATGTAAGAAAAAAACACATAAACCCCTGAATCTAAAATAAAATAGTTTAAAAAGAAACGAGGAAAATAGTTTGATAATGAGGAGATGTATACTTCTGTTTATCTATTGATGTAAAACAACCCATCCCCAAATTCAGTTGCTTAAAGCAAAACAAAACAAGAAGTTCCCCACAATAATTCTGGGCTTGTCTATTTCACCTGATTCTATCAATTTTTGCTTTACAAATTTAAAGTGATCTTACTGGGTGCATACAAATGCATGGTTGTTCTACCTTTCTGGTGAATTGACCCCTTTACTGCTATAAAATGTTTTTTTAAAAAAACCCATATTAATAATTTCACCTTAAATCTATTTTGTATGATATTACTGTAGTTATGCCATCTTTTCAATTTTTTTTATTAAATTTTAAGTTCTGGGATACATGGGCAGAACGTGTGGTATGTTACATAAGTATACACATGCCATGGTGGTTTGCTGCACCCATCAACCCGTCATCTACATTAACTATTTCTCCTAATGCTATCCCTCCCCTAGTCCCCCACCCTGTGACAGGCTCCAGTGTGTGACGTTCCTCTCCCTATGCCCATGTGTTCTCATTGTTCAACTCCCACTTATAAGTGAGAAGACGTGGTGCTTGGTTTTCTGTTCTTGTGTTAATTTGCTAAGAATGATGGTTTCCAGCTTCATCCATTTCCCTGCAAAGGACAGGAACTCATCCTTTTTATGGCTGCATAGTATTCCATGGTGTGTATGTGTCACATTTTCTTTATCCAGTCTATCATTTATGGGCATTTGGATTGGTCCCAAGTCTTTGCTATTGTGGATAGTGCTGCAATAAATATACATGCGCATGTGTCTTTATAGTAGAATGATTTATAATCCTTTGGGCATATACCCAGTAATGGGATTGCTGGATCAAATGGCATTTCTGGTTCTAGATCTTTGAGGAATTGCCACACTGTCTTCCACAATTGTTGAACTAATTTACACTCCCATCAACAGTGTAAAAGCATTCCTATTTCTCCACATCCCCTCCAGCATCTGTTGTTTCCTGACTTTTTAATGATCGCCATTCTATCTGGAGTGAGATGGTTTTGATAATTGTGGTTTCTGATTTGCATTTCTCTAATGACCAGTGATGATGATCTTTTTTTCATATGTTTGTTGGCTGCATAAATGTCTTCTTTTGAGAAGTGTCTGTTCATATACTTTGCTGACTTTTTGATGGGGTTGTTTTTTTCTTGTAAATTTGTTTAAGTTCCTTGTAGATTCTGGATATTAGACCTTTGTCAGATGGGTAGATTGCAAAAATTTTCTCCCATTCTGTCGGTTGCCTGTTTACTCTGATCCTGGTTTTTTTTTTTTTGCTCTGCAGAAGCTCTTTAGTTTAATTAGATCCATTTGTCAATTTTGGCTTTTGTTGCAATTGCTTTTGGTGTTTTAGTCATGAAGCCTTTGCCCATGCCTATGTCCTGAATGATATTGCCTAGGTATTCTTCCAGGGTTTTTATGGTTTTGGGTTTTACATGTAAGTCTTTAATCCATGTTGAGTTAATTTTTGTATACGGTATAAGGAAGGGGTCTACTTTCAGTTTTCTGCATATGGCTAGCCAGTTTTCCCAGCACCATTTACTAAATAGGGAATCCTTTCCCCATTGCTTGTTTTTCTCAGGTTTGTCAAAGATCAGATGGTTGTAGATGTGTGGCACTATTTCTGAGGCCTCTGTTCTGTTCCATTGGTCTAAATATCTGTTTTGGTACCAGGACCATGCTGTTTTGGTTACTGTAGTCTTGTAGTATAGTTTGAAGTCAAGTAGTGTGATGCCTTCAGCTTCGTTCTTTTGGCTTACGATTGTCTTGGCTATATGGGCTCTTTTTTGTTTCCATATGAAACTTAAAGTAGTTTTTTCTAATTTTGTAGAGAAAGTCAATGGTAGCTTGATGGAGATAGCATTACCTCTATAAATTCCTTTGGGCAGTATGGCCATTTTCACAATATTGATTCTTCTTATCCATGACCATGGAATGTTTTTCCATTTGTTTATGTCCTCTCTTATTTCCTTGAGCAGTGGTTTGTAGTTCTCCTTGATGTGGTCCTTCAAATCCCTTGTAAGTTGTATTCCTCAGTATTTTATTCTCTTTGTAGCAATTGTGAATGGGAATTCACTCATGATTTGGCTCTCTGTTTGTCTATTATTGTTGTACAGGAATGCTTGTGATTTTTGCCCATTGATTTTGTATCCTGAGACTTTGCTGAAGTTGCTTATCAGCTTAAGGAGATTTGGGGCTGAGACGATGGGGTTTGCTTAATATACAATCATGCTATCTGCAAATAGAGACAATTTGACTTCCTATTTGAATACCTTTTATGTCTTTCTCTTGCCTGATTGCCCTGGTCAGAACTTCCAATACTATGTTGAATAGGAGTGGTGAGAGAGGGCATCCTTGTCTTGTGCCAGTTTTCAAAGGGAATGCTTCCAGTTTTTGCCCATTCAGTATGATATTGGCTGTGGGTTTGTCATAAATAGCTCTTATTATGTTGAGAAACATTTCATCAAAACCTAGTTTATTGAGAGTTTTTAGCATGAAAGGGTGTTGAATGTTATCAAAGTCCTATTACACATCTGTTGACATTATCATGTGGTTTTTGTCATTGGTTTTATGTGATGGATTACATTTATTGATTTGCATATGTTGAACCAGCCTTGCATCCCAGGGATAAAGCCGACTTGACCATGGTGGATAAGCCTTTTGATGTGCTGCTGGATTTGGTTTGCCAGTATTTTATTGAGGATTTTCACATCTATGTTCATTAGAGATATTGGCTTGAAAGTTTTTTGTTGTTGTTGTTCTGTCTCTGCGAGGTTTTGGTATCAGGATGATGCTGGCCTCATAAAATGAGTTAGGGAGGAGTCCCTCTTTTTGTATTGTTTGGAATAGTTTCAGAAGAAATGGTACCAGCTCCTCTTTATGCCTCTGGTAGGATTTGGCTGTTAATCCATCTGGTCCTGAGCTTTTTTTGGTTGGTAGGCTATTACTTACTACCTCAATTTCAGAACTTGTTATTGGTCTATTCAGGGATTTAACATTTTCCTGGTTTAGTCTTGGGAGTGTGTATGTGTCCAGGAATTCATCCATTTCTTCTAGATTTTCTAGTTTATTTGTGTAGAGGTGTTTATAGTATTCTGTAATGGTAGTTTGTATTTCTGTGGGATCAGTGGTGATATCCCCTTTATCATTTTTTATTGTGTCTATTTGATTCTTCTCTCTTTTATTCCTTATTAGTCTGGCTAGCCATCTATCTATTTTGTTAATCTTTTCAAAAAACCAGCTCCTGGATTCACTGATTTTTTTGAAGGGTTTTTCATGTCTCTATCTCCCTCAGTTCTGCTCTGATCTTAGTTATTTCTTGTCTTCTGCTAGCTTTTGAATTTGTTTGCTCTTGCTTCTCTTGTTCTTTCAATTGTGATGTCAGGGTGTCAATCTTAGATCTTGCCCACTTTCTCCTGTGGGCATTTAGTGCTATAAATTTCCCTTTAAACACTGCTTTAGCTGTGTCCCAGAGATTCTGGTACATTGTGTCTTTGTTCTCATTGGTTTCAAGTAACTTATTTATTTCTGACTTAATATCGTTATTTACCTAGAAGTCATTCAGGAGCAGGTTGTTCAGTTTCCATGTAGTTCTGTGCTTTTGAGTGAGTTTCTTAATCCTGAGTTCTAATTTGATTGCACTGTGGTCTGAGAGACTGTTTGTTATGATTTCCGTTCTTTTACATTTGCTGAGGAGTGTTTTACTTCCAATTATGCGGTCAGTTTTAGAATAAGTGTGATGTGGTGCTGAGAAGAATGTATATTCTGTTGATTTGGAGTGGAGAGTTTTGTAGATGTCTATTAGGTCCACTTGGTCCAGAGCTGAGTTCAAGTCCTGGATATCATTATTAATTTTCTGCCACACTGATCTGTCTAATATTGACAGTGGGGTATTACAGTCTCCCACTGTCATTGTGTGGGAGTCTAAGTCTCTTTGCAGTTCTCTAAGAATTTGCTTTATACATCTGGGTGCTCCTGTATTGGGTGCATATATATTTAGGTTAGTTAGCTCTTCTTGTTGCTTTGATCCTTTTACCATTATGTAATGCATCAAGTAGGTCCCTGATCCCTGTGCCTCCAGACTGGGAGACACCTCCCAGCAGGGGTCAACAGACACTTCATACAGGAGAGTTCCAGCTGGTATCTGGTGGGTGCCCCTCTGGGACGAAGCTTCCAGAGGAAGGAACAGGCAGTAATCTTTGCTATTCTGCAGACTCCACTGGTGATACCCAGGCAAACAGGGTCTGGAGTGGATCTCCAGCAAACTCCAGCAGACCTGCAGCAGAGGGCCCAGACTGTTAGAAGGAAAACTAACAAACGGAAAGGAATAGCATCAACATAAAAAAAAAGATGTCCACACAGAAATCCTATTGAAGGTCACCAACTTCAAAGACCAAAAGTAGATAAATCCACAAAGATGAGGAAAAAAACAGTGCAAAAAGGCTGAACATTCCATAAACTAGGTTTTGATGAAATGTTTCTCAACATAATAAGAGCTATTTATTACAAAGAATGCCTCTTCTCCTCCAAAGGATCACAACTCCTCACCAGCAAGGGAACAAAACTGGATGGAGAATGAGTTTGATGAATTTACAGAAGTAGGCTTCAGAAGGTGGGTAATAACAAACTCCTCTGAGCTAAAGGAGCATGTTCTAACCCAATGCAAGGAAGCTAGGAATCTTGAAAAAAGATTAGAGGAATTGCTAACTAGAATAACCAGTTTAGAGAAGAACTTAAATGACCTGATGCAGATGAAAAACACAGCACAAGAACTCCATGAAGCACACACAAGTATCAATAGCTGAATCGATCAAGCAGAAGAAAGGATACCAGAGATTGAAGATCAGCTTAATGAAATAAAGTTTGAAACCAAGATTACAGAAAAAAGAATGAAAAGGAACAAACAAAACCTCTGAGAAATATGGGACTATGTGAAAAGACCAAACCCCCATTTGATTGGTGTACCTGAAAGTGATGGGGAGAATGGAACCAAGTTGGAAAACACTCTGCAGGATATTATCCAGGAGAACTTCCCCAGTCTAGCAAGACAGGCCAATATTCAAATTCAGGAAATACAGAGAACACCGCAAAGATACTCCTCGAGAAAAGCAACCCCAAGACATATAATCATCAGATTCACCAAGGTTGAAATGAAGGAAAAAATGTTAAGGGCAGCCAGAGAGAAAGTTTAGGTTACCCACAAAGGGAAGCCCATCAGACTAACAGCAGATCTCTCAGCAGAAACCCTACAAGCCAGAAGAGAATGGAAGCCAATATTCAAGATTCTTAAACAAAGGAATTTTCAAACCAGAATTTCATATCCAGCCAAACTAAGCTTCATAAGTGAAGGAGAAATAAAATCCTTTACAGACAAGCAAATGCTGAGAGATTTTGTCACCACCAGGCCTGCTTTACAAGAGCTCCTGAAGGAAGCACTAAATATGGAAAGGAAAAACTGGTACCAGCCACTGCAAAACATACCAAATTGTAAAGACCATCAACACTATGAAGAAACTGCATCAACTAATGTGCAAAATAACTAGCTAGCATCATAATGACAGGATCAAATTCACACATAACAATATTAACCTTAAATGTAAATAGGCTAAATGCCCCAATTAAAAGACACAGACTGGCAAATTGCATAAAGAGTCAAGACCCATTGGTGTGCTGTATTCAGGAGACCCATCTCATGTGCAAACACACACATAGGCTCAAAACAAAGGGATGGAGGAATATTTACCAAGCAAATGGAAAGCGAAAAAAAAAAAAAGAAAGAAAAAGAAAAAAAAGCAGGGACTGCAATCCTAGCCTCTGATAAAGCAAACTTTAAACCAACAAAGATGAAAAAGGTTATGCTATCTTTCTGTACATTTTTACTTTTAACCTTTTTGCATTTAAATTATGTCTCTTTTAAGCAGCAAATAGTTGTGCTTCTCTTTTCATCTAAAAATCTTTGTCTGTTTGAATAGTTAACACACTTACATTTCAGGATATTATTGATATATTTGGCATTAAATCAATTTCTATGTCCTTTTTCTCTCCTCTCTAGCTGCTGTTGCATTAGTCCAGCATTCTTTATTATTGCATTCCCCCCCCATTAGCTTACTAATCCTTTTACAAATTCTTTAATGTATATCCTTGAGATTCAAACATAAATATTTTATTAATATTTAACATAAATATATATTTTTATTACTTGCAAGACAATGCAAACAATTAAAAAATATTTACCCTTGCTGTCTTTTATGCTAGGGTTTTCACTTATTTTAATGACACAGATATTGTAAACCTTATATAACATTACTGTTGTTGTTTTATACAGTCAATACTCATTTACATTTAAGCACAAATGTAATCTTTATGTTGTTCTTCATTATTTTCTGCATTTTTCTTTTTTCATCTGGAATCATTGTTCTTCTATACAAATATCTTCTTTTAGTATTTTATGTACTATAACTCTGTTGCTAATAAATTCCCTCAGTTTGCATTTTCTAAATATGTCTTTATTATGCCAATATTTTTGAAGAATATTTTTCTGGGTATAGAAGTCTAGGCTGGTAGTTTTTTATTCTTTCAGTATTTTGAAAATGTCATTCAATTGTCTCCTGGTTTTTATAATTTCTTATAAGTTAGCTGTAACTTTTAGGATTCTTTCGTTAATGCTAACATATCTTTTTTTCCTTTGGTTGCCCTTCATATTTTCTTTCATTTCATCAGTAATTACTGTGATGAATTTAAATATGAGTTTCTTTATGGTTTTTTGGAAGGATTTTTGTTTGTTTGTTTTGCTTGGTGTTTGTAACACTTTTTGAAGCTGTAACTAATGTCCTTCAACGATTGTATAAGCTGTTCAGCCACAATCTTTTCAAACATTGCTTCTGCTATATTATCCCTCTTCACTCTTATGAGATTGCAGTTTAGACATTTTTATGTTGTCCCATATATCTCTTAGACCCTTTTCTACATTTTCTATTCTTCTTTTTATTATTCTATCTGTATATTTCCAACTGACATTTTTACATTCAGTAAGTCTCACTTCACTTGTGTTTAATCTGTTAGGCTCATATAATGAGTTCTTAACTTCAGTTTTATTTTTTCAGGTCTATGAGTTTATTTGTTTTTTTAATACAGTCTGATTCCCAGCTAAAGTTTTCCATCTTTTTATTTAATATTTTGGACATATGAATCCCAGTTTTTTAAAAGTTTGTGTCTTATAAATTTAGTATCTGGATCTCCTACCAGTCTGGCACTCTTGTCTGCTTTTATTCTTCTTTTATTTTTGCTTTTTAATAACTAGACCTCATATCCTTGCATGCCTGGTAAATTTTTATTGAAGGCATTGTGTCAAAAAAGAAGTGTAGCAATAATTTGAGTTTCTGGATAACATTTTCTTCCTCCAGAGAGGACTCAGTTTTGTTTCTCTCAGGCAGTTATACTAGAGGCAGGTCTCAATACAATTCTGACTCCATCTCTTTTAGCGCTAGTCTTTATAAAGAGTGATCTATTTCCAGTTTTTCTGTAGTTGTAGACAACCTTCCAGGTATCCCAGTGTGAGTCAGGACTAACATGAGGCAAGTAAGCCACCTAGGGCACATGATTTAATGAGTAAGTGCCTCCTAAAATTTTGTGCCATACATGCCTCATTTGCCTCTTACCAGTATTAACCCTGGTACCAACAGAAATCCTGTGGTATTTACCAGACATTTATCTTTGGCAGGTTCTAAATTCCACATTTTCCTTCATAGCCCCATGAGAATGTATGAGCTCTGCTTTCTCTTGGCTTTTTTGCCTTCACTTATAAATTCACAAAAATCTCAAGAGGAAATACAAAGCCTTAACACTAGGTTCATATCTCTGCACCTCTCCTTTTAGCCCCTCAAGTTATCGCTTTCTTTGTAAATCTCCCAAACTTTAAAGCACATTTTTAAAAATTGAATCTAGCTTTTCCAGTTATTCTCTGCAGGATAGCTGCTCAGATGCTAGCTAGTTATCATAGTCAGGAATGGAAATCCCTTTTGTTTTTCTGTGTGATAATGAAAGGTAGAGGGTCGAATTTTACGTTTTTCTCAAATTGGAAATATTCTTTCTGGAAATGTGAAGTCATCTGCATGGATCTTCCTTTTCTACTATCCATTATTTGAATGCTGGTGTTCCATTGGACTTCTCCTTCAGTAATATTATCCTTGAACTATGAGACATGTTGCCTATATTCAGATAAATCCCAGGTTTAAATCTTCATTTCAGAGCATTCTCTGGGATTCAAACTCATGCTACAAACATTTTGTGACATTTTTACACTCATTATGTGTAAAAATCATACAGAAATAATCTTTTTTTCCTCTTTACCACTGTTGATTTACTTTTCCCCATCTTAATTAATTATGGTTGCTTTTCTCAAGATCTGTCTTAAACTACAAGCTTCAGAAAGTCATCCTCTATTCTATTTTAAACTGCACATAATTCATCAAGTCATATGTGCACAGGAGATCATAATCATATATAAACCTACACCTATCATCTCCCATACATTGAAGTTGTCCTAATTAAAGACTAATGATATCTCATCTAGACCTTCCCAATGTCCTGCTAATCCAGGGATGGCAAATGCTTAGCTATGTCTGCTGACGCTTTCCCTGCTTTCCTTCTTACACTCATGGTAGGCATCATTTCTTTAGATTGAAGCCTTTCCCAATGAGTCCAGATGAAGTTTTAAAATCGTTCTCAAAACAGTACTCCAAAGAGACACTACCAGACATAAACAAATTTACACCAACTTGTCATCTCCTCTCTTTCATCTCCACCAGATGGTAAATAGTATAGACTGTGCTACCAGAGATATATCCCTATGAGAAATCCAACCATGTAATGTCCATGTTTAAAAATTTATGAGAGTCTCTTCTTGCTTACAAAATAAACTAATAGCTCACTAGTTGAGTGTATTATGCCTTTCACAATCCAGTTCTAAGAGAAATTTTCAGATTTATTTATTATTACTGACACAGTACTCTAATCTCTGATGGCAACATATTTATCTCATTCCTGCAATCCAAAGGTCTTTCATGCTGCCTTAATTCGTACTATTACTTCTCCCAAAAATTCCCATCCTCATTCACTTTCTGTTTAACTCCTACTTACACTTATCCTTTCCTAGACGCCTCTGTGCAGAATTAGTTGATCCTTCATCTCTATCACCAGAACACTTTTTTGAACCTTTAATAGAGCATATATTTCATTAACATGTTTTAAAGTTTTCACACATATGTATAGGGATCATCCCAGGTAATAACTGTGACTTTATTCAATGCAAAATGCCTAATGGATGCTCAATTAATATTTACTGACAGAATAAACAAAGTGGGCAATCAGTCTTTCTCTTTGAGAATAGTAATATTTCTATTATGATTGTTTATTTCCCTTTAGTCACTAATTCAACAAGTACATTTTTTAATATCTACTATGTGTTAGTCAATGAGCAACATCTATGAGTGAAATCTGCAATTTCTTGCAAGGCATCACGCCACATTTAAAGCAACAGGAATCAAGTGAGAACCTCTTTAAGTAGCTTTTATGCAAACATTTCAATCTGTCACGCTCCCTTCCATGGGTGAAGAAACTGTAAATGAAGTATTTGGCTCTCAGAGAGTTACGGCACAATTCTTGGCTCACCTTGATAAATATTGATCTTGTATAAATTACCCAGGAAAGGCAGACGATGGTTCTCTGGGCAACACATGCAACCCCCACTCCCCTTTATGCAAAGACATAAATCATTTATGAATAGAGCCCCACATGCTCTATGAATAAGTCCCTTGGATTCCAAGATGACTGATACTCAAGTATTTTTCTCGTTTGAGTGCAGACCTAAATTTAAGCAAGCAGTCAGACTACGTGAAGTTACAATGCCCTTTTGTTCACTGTAAGGTGAGAGATGCATAATAGGCTTTCAAGGGTAAACATCACATGTTTCAAAATAAACACCATTAAATGCGACTGCACATTTATGCCTTTAATAAAACTGATGGCAGGGGGATAGCTCTTTAGAAACATCTCATGTCATGTTCATTCAATTTTAAGTTTTAGGCACTGGTGAAAAGAGGAGGGTTAGTGTGTGTATGTGTGTGGAATTGGGTAGAATTCATTTTCTTTGACTACAGTTGAATCAAGCCTTTGGTTTCATCTGGAAAGTTGTGAATAGCACAATAAGGGGTCTGTGTGTGGTGAGGAGTCATTAAAATAAAGAACCAAAGGGCAGCAAACATTGGTTTTCTGGGATTCTTGTGGTAAGATTAATAATGAGAGTGTTTAACCTCTGGGGACTTCATCACTGAAGGGACAAGAAGGAGAATAAAAAGACAAACTGACAAATAGCTTGTGGTCTCTTGGCAGGAGCTGGAATTTGTCGTTAGAGCTCACACAAAGGGTCAAAATGCGGAAACTTCTTGGGAAAAATAAAAGAATGTGACTTATGCTTTTAGGTGCCTTTATTTATGTGACTTGTTCCACCTTGAATGTTTTTGCCCTCTAATTTCAAGTTTTTCACATTCTGTGCAATTCTGTCAGCTTCTTTTATAATTTAAATTGCATATAACCCATAACTTAAGAATTCCTATTTTAGGAATTGATGGACAGAAAATCTTTAATGAGGACTCAGAGATGTATATACAAGGAGAATTCTTATAGAATTATTTATAAGGGAGAAAATTTAAAAAAAAACACCCAAATGCCCATAACAAGAGACGGGTTAAACAAATTTTAGAACATTCTTACAAAGGAATGAAATGTAGCAGCTAAAAATCAGGAGGTAAATATAAATATACTCCATATAAGGTTGTCCAAGTTATACTGACTTAAAAAAAAAGAAGAAGACTATTGGACATTTAGAGTATGATTTCATTTAAATAACATAAAACCACCATATCATGTATATAGATAGGCTTTATGATGGTTATGTCTTGGGAATGTAATTAGAGCAAGAGGGGAATGAGCTTTCACTTCTTACATTAAATATGGCTGTATTGGTTTAATTTATTATGATGCAAAAAAGGAGGTTGGTTTTGTTCTGGCAATTGAAAATATTTTTTAAAACAAGTTACTGTCTTTCAGATCTAAGCTTAAATGTCATCTAGGAGTAACTCTCTCATTTCTGCAATGCAGCCAACTTTTGTACCAATTTTGCAACAGTCATTGCATATTGTTGCAATATTATGGAGAGAACACTTAACTTCTACTGTGAAGGCGGGCATTCAAATTCAATTCCGCTACTTTCTAGCTGTAAAATAACTTGATGATTGATATAACTTCTAAGGCTACATTTTTCTTTCTGCAAAATGGTAGAAACAATGCTATCTCCACAGGATCCTTGGGAGTTGTAAAATGAGAGGCATCAATATATTGGTTATTTGTGTGCTTATCTTGTGCATTCTATAGTATTTTAATTTCTTTAATGAGAGCAGCGACTACCGCCTTTATTAATTTATTCAATAGAGACAAGTTAAGCAACTATCGTGTTTCAGGTACTGTGTGCTAAGCTCTAGGGCTACAATAATGAACAAGAATGATGGCATCCATTAAATGAAGAAATCATGTAAATAATCAGACAATCACCAAACAGTTTAGTAAGAGTTGTAGTAGGAGAATCAGAAAACTCTCTCTGTAGGAAGTGGTTTTCAATTGAGCCTCAGATGATGAATCAGCTTTATCAGGCAAAAAAGGTAGAGAAGATTTGAAGAGTGTGTTAAGTGGAGGGAAACGGGGTGAGTGAGAGTGCAGAGAATTCGGAACATTAAGTATGTTCAGCATTGTTGAAATTTAAAGGGTTAGGAAACAGGGGTGAAAATGTGAGGTCCTGCACCTCCCTAACATGCCCCCTCATCCTCCCCAAGTGTTTCTGACTGTCCAGAATAATCAGATGAGGCTCACAAATATGGAAGGTTAGAATCAAATATCTTCCAGCAACTCAAACTCAGCATATGCTGAAGGATAAAAGGGTCTAAGACTCAGAGGCCAGCATCTTCTTAATATTAATCTAGACACCCACCAGACTCCAGGATATGTGAATCTACTCAGCCTTTTTCAGAGAGTTGGGACACAGGACAGAAGAGATGTTCTAAAATAGGTGATCTGCAAAATGGAGGGGATGGCAGGGTGAGGTTGAAGGGCATGGGGAGATGCGTTTTTGTTTGTTTGGACTGGAGTATATGTTGGGGAACTATGATTTGTTGGGGAACTCATCCATACCCTTGGTGCAAAGCCATTGAGAAAATCAGAGCAAAGAGTCAGAGAGGGAATGTATGAGCATCCATCTCTATTGCTTAAAAATTAAGAACCTCCAGATCCATACATAAAGCTCTGACATTAAGACAAATACTTGAAATGAAAAAGGTATACTGCATGTGAGTGAGTAACATAATAGAAAGGCTAAGAATCATAAAATTTCACTGCTTACTTACATAGGCTTTTGAAGTCACCTGGTGACCTATTTTATTTCCTGGAGGAAGAAACTGAGGCCCAGGGATAATTAACTCTAATCACTCACCTCCCCAGGTATCCACGAATTATCTCTAAGAAGTACCTGCTGACTGCTTCTAGTCCCATACACTAGGGATAGAAAGGTTAAAAAGTTCTTTTTTCTGGCCGCACAGTTCTTACTATCTAATGGTAAGTTATGTGAGATATTTTATTTTATTTTATTTTATTTTTCTGTGGAGAATTTATTTTGTATCAAAAGATGTAGTGTGAATCCTTCTTACTTTTAATATTTCAGTAGCTACATTCCCTCCTTTTCAAACTTTGAGAAAGTGTTTAGAAATATGAGTATGTGTGGTTTTTTCTTTTTTTTTTCTTTTTTTTATTTATTATTATTATACTTTAAGTTTTAGGGTACATGTGCACAATGTGCAGGTTAGTTACATATGTATACATGTGCCATGCTGGTGTGCTGCACCCACTAACTCGTCATCTAGCATTAGGTATATCTCCCAATGCTAACCCTCCCCCCTCCCCCCACCCCACAACAGTCCCCAGAGTGTGAGGTTCCCCTTCCTGTGTCCATGTGTTCTCATTGCTCAATTCCCACCTATGAGTGAGAATATGCGGTGTTTGGTTTTTTGTTCTTGTGATAGTTTACTGAGAATGATGATTTCCAATTTCATCCATGTCCCTACAAAGGACATGAACTCATCATTTTTTATGGCTGCATAGTATTCCATGGTGTATATGTGCCACATTTTCCTAAGCCAGTCTATCACTGTTGGACATTTGGGTTGGTTCCAAGTCTTTGCTATTGTGAATAATGCCACAATAAACATATGTGTGCATGTGTCTTTATAGCAGCATGATTTATAGTCCTTTGGGTATATACCCAGTAATGGGATGGCTGGGTCAAATGGTATTTCTAGTTCTAGATTTCTGAGGAATCGCCACACTGACTTCCACAATGGTTGAACTAGTTTACAATCCCACCAACAGTGTAAAAGTGTTCCTATTTCTTCACATCCTCTCCAGCACCTGTTGTTTCCTGACTTTTTAATGATTGCCATTCTAACTGGTGTGAGATGGTATCTCATTGTGGTTTTGATTTGCATTTCTCTGATGGCCAGTGATGGTGAGCATTTTTTCATGTGTTTTTTGGCTGCATAAATGTCTTCTTTTGAGAAGTGTCTGTTCATGTCCTTTGCCCACTTTTTGATGGGGTTGTTTGTTTTTTTCTTGTAAATTTGTTGGAGTTCATTGTAGATTCTGGATATTAGCCCTTTGTCAGATGAGTAGGTTGCGAAAATTTTCTCCCATTTTGTAGGTTGCCTGTTCACTCTGATGGTAGTTTCTTTTGCTGTGCAGAAGCTCTTTAGTTTAATTAGATCCCATTTGTCAATTTTGGCTTTTGTTGCCATTGCTGTTGGTGTTTTAGACATGAAGTCCTTGCCCATGCCTGTGTCCTGAATGGTAATGCCTAGGTTTTCTTCTAGGGTTTTTATGGTTTTAGGTCTAACGTTTACGTCTTTAATCCATCTTGAATTGATTTTTGTATAAGGTGTAAGGAAGGGATCCAGTTTCAGCTTTCTACATATGGCTAGTCAGTTTTCCCAGCACCATTTATTAAATAGGGAATCCTTTCCCCATTGCTTGTTTTTCTCAGGTTTGTCAAAGATCAGATAGTTGTAGATATGCGGCGTTATTTCTGAGGGCTCTGTTCTGTTCCGTTGATCTATATCTCTGTTTTGGTACCAGTATCATGCTGTTTTGGTTACTGTAGCCTTGTAGTACAGTTTGAAGTCAGGTAGCGTGATGCCTCCAGCTTTGTTCTTTTGGCTTAGGATTGACTTGGTGATGCGGGCCCTTTTTTGGTTCCATATGAACTTTAAAGTAGTTTTTTCCAATTCTGTGAAGAAAGTCATTGGTAGCTTGATGGGGATGGCATTGAATCTGTAAATTACCTTGGGCAGTATGGCCATTTTCACGATATTGATTCTTCCTACCCATGTGCATGGAATGTTCTTCCATTTGTTTGTATCCTCTTTTATTTCCTCGAGCAGTGGTTTGTAGTTCTCCTTGAAGAGGTCCTTCACATCCCTTGTAAGTTGGATTCCTAGGTATTTTATTCTCTTTGAAGCAATTGTGAATGGGAGTTCACTCATGATTTGGCTCTCTGTTTGTCTGTTGTTGGTGTATAAGAATGCTTGTGATTTTTGTACATTGATTTTGTATCCTGAGACTTTGCTGAAGTTGCTTATCAGCTTAAGGAGATTTTGGGCTGAGACAATGGGGTTTTCTAGATATACAATCATGTCGTTTGCAAACAGGGACAATTTGACTTCTGCTTTTCCTAATTGAATACCCTTTATTTCCTTCTCCTGCCTAATTGCCCTGGCCAGAACTTCCAACACTATGTTGAATAGGAGTGGTGAGAGAGGGCATTCCTGTCTTGTGCCAGTTTTCAAAGGGAATGCTTCCAGTTTTTGCCCATTCAGTATGATATTGGCTGTGGGTTTGTCACAGATAGCTCTTATTATTTTGAGATACATGCCATCAATACCTAATTTATTGAGAGTTTTTAGCATGAAGGGTTGCTGAATTTTGTCCAAGGCCTTTTCTGCATCTATTGAGATAATCATGTGGTTTTTGTCTTTGGTTCTGTTTATATGCTGGATTACATTTATTGATTTTCATATATTGAACCAGGCTTGCATCCCAGGGATGAAGCCCACTTGATCATGGTGGATAAGCTTTTTGATGTGCTGCTGGATTCGGTTTGCCAGTATTTTATTGAGGATTTTTGCATCAATGTTCATCAAGGATATTGGTCTAAAATTCTCTTTTTTGGTTGTGTCTCTGCCCGGTTTTGGTATCAGGATGATGCTGGCATCATAAAATGAGTTAGGGAGGATTCCCTCTTTTTCTACTGATTGGAACAGTTTCAGAAGGAATGGTACCAGTTCCTCCTTGTACCTCTGGTAGAATTCGGCTGTGAATCCATCTGGTCCTTATGTGAGATATTTTAAGACATAACACGGTGCAGTGAGAATATTTTGAGTAAGACCTGAAGGAAGGGATTTAGGAAGCCTTCACAGGAGGATAGAGCATTGAACTTGTTCTCAAAGGATGCACAGGATTTTCGCAAAAATGGAAGAAAGGAGATAACATTGCAGACACAGCAATTAGGACACAGACCACATAAACCTACTAAATCAAGACAGGAATTGGCAATAAAGCGTTTACAACTTAACAGCAATTACTGATCACTTAGTCAGGATATTAATGGTACTTTCCTAACATTAATCCTGTATCTGAACAAAAAGGAAACTTGAAGGTTATGGATGAATTCATATCTTCTGATACCATATTTGCTAAACAAAACTATCCAATAACACATTAAGGATCTGAGTTTCTGAGAATTTTATTTTTCAAAGAGGAAAGAGAAAAGCATAAATGGGTACTCACCACTTAATTCTGATTTGTAAGAAAGGAAATAATGGTGATGTGTGAGGTAGATAGATGGATAAAGTCATGGAAGTGGGGAAGGGTGCATTTTAAATATGCCAAGTGATTACATACATAATTTTACTTAATTTTCACAACAAAGTGTGAATATAATTACTCCATTTTAGGAATAAGAAAAATCGAGGCTCAAATACATTAAATGACTTATCCAGAGGCAGGAAGCCAGTAGGTGCCAGGCTCAAAATTTGAGTCCTAGCTCATCTCCAATGTCTGTATTCTTTCTACTATGTCACAATTTCTTCCAGGAACCCTGGGAGAAAAAGGTGAGGGTATCCTGAAGTTCATAAAAAGCAAGTAAAACAATCCAAAGAGTTTAAAAGAAAGACAAGTACCATTGCATAGCTGAGGACTATAAAAGAAATATAGCTCATGAGGGACAGGCAAATTTCCCCCGAACATTTTAGCATGAAAAATTTCAGATATACAGAAAAGTTGACAGAATCATACAGTGAACACCTGGATACCCCATCACCTTAATTCAGTAATGAACATTTTGCTATATTTGCTTTATCGAGATTGGCAATTTTTTTCAGTAAAATTCTGACTATATAATCACTAGCAATCATAAGTATAATAAGTCTATACATAATTATAAATATGTAAATACTGGATCATAAGTTCCATGAGGTCAAAGATGATGTTTATTTATCTCTGAATAGCCAATGCCCAACTTGGTTCATGGCACAGAGTTAGCCCTTGATAAATCTTTGTTGAGTAAATAAATAACATAATCCCCATAAGTAAATATGGGGTTTGGCTAAAGAAGCCAATAATATGGTCTCTAATCAGTTAGTAACATAGGAGAAGGTGTTCCATAGAAGGAAGGAACCACAATTCACCAGAGATCAATATATCAGAGGCTTGTCAGTTTGTTAAAGACAAGAATAAACTGAAACTTGCCTTGATGCATATTCTGACACACACTACAAAAGGATGTGGAGAGGTTAAAGTTAGCATGGTACAAATCATTAAGAACTAGTGTGAAGTCCTTCATTTTGGTTGGTAATCAATTACACAAGTACAGAATAAGGAACCTGTTGCTTGGCAGAGTTTAGATATATAAAATTCGGAAGAGAGGTAGAAAGGAAATTGGTTATTACAATCCAGTAGTATAAATATGTGGTTTTAAAAGGATAAACCAGACTTAGACAGCATTGATAGAAAAATAGAGAGAGAGTACAAGCAGTAACAGTCCCATTGTACTCTGAGTGTCCCTCTCAACTCTGAGGGCCATATTATATGACAGTGCTGTTGAATAAATGCTATGTGCCGAGAAGAATAGAGAAGGGAATTTTAGGGGATAAGGGGTCAGAAAATTATTGTACATTATGATCATTAAAGGAACTGAGGATGTTTAGACTGAGGAGGAAACAACAATGGAGAATGTGGTAATTATCTTTAAATATCTGACGTGCTGACTGATCGAAAAGACAGTGGAGATAATGGCTTCAAGATGGTAGATAAGATGACCTATAAAAACATACACATATTGATATAAAACAGAAATATATTCACGGCCGGGTGTGGTGGCTCATGCCTGTAATCCCAGCACTTTGAGAGGCCGAGGCCAGTGGATTGCTTGAGGTCAGGAGCTCAAGGCCAGCCTGGAAAACATGGTGAAACCCAGTATTTACTAAAAATACAAAAATTCACCGGGTATGGTGGCGTGTGCCTGTAATCCCAGCTACTCAGGAGGCTGAGGCAGGGATAATTGCTTGAACCCAGGAGGTGAAGTTTGCAGTGAGCTGATTTCATGCCACCGCACTCCAGCCTGGGTGACAGAGCAAGACTCCATCTCAAAAAATATATATATATATTCATATTTTATATACTTAAAAAATATAAAATATTACTACACACACAAACGCATGTATAAATACATTCATAAGAATTAAAACACAAGGATTGGAACATAAGAGTTTTCACATTTTGTGGTCCAGAAACAAGCAGAAAACGCATGAGATAAAATTGCAGAAAAAGCTATAGCTTAGGACATTGGTGGAAAGTGCAGCTCTTAAAGATGAGAAAAACAATGAAGACGATCGATGTTCGGAGGTAGTCTACCTCTGGGGTCTCTGATGAGAGCAGTAAGGTAGCCAGGTTAACTAACCAGTCTACCACACACACACACACACACACACATGCTCACACATGCATATGCACAAGCACACACATACACACATATGCCAGAAACAGATGAATCTGCCTTGAGATGTATTTTCTCATGAATGTGGGAGCTTGAGACAGAAAGATGGGGTAATTCCTAGGTACAGGTGATGCAGGATCCTATCCCTGGAAGCATGGCTGATGGTACCAGGAGCCCCATTGCTCTCATTGGAAACGGTGGAGAGGGAGCCACAGTGATAGCTCTCAGATCTGCTCTCAAATAAGCAGAAAGTTAAACTTGCAATCTTAACTGCACAAGATGACCACAAAATGAAGACACACTAAACATCCAAGAAAAGCCTATTGCACAAAAGAGGTAATAAACTTGATAAATAGAACTTACACCCAAAGAGATAGAGTTAACAGAACAATTTTAACTGGATTTGAGAAAAAGAATAGACACTTTCTATATTATTTCTGACAGTAAATCTGAGGTCAATAGATGAAAGTAACAGATAGGCAGATGTCAGCATAGCATAAAGTGAGAACTTTTCTTTTTTTTTAATTATACTTTAAGTTCTAGGGTACATGTGCACAACGTGCAAGTTTGTTACATATGTATACATGTGCCATGTTGGTGTGCTGCACCCATTAACTCATCATTTACATTAGGTATCTTTTCAAATAATTATGTTCATTCAACAATGGACTTCAACAGAGTATACACAAGCTCTACTCTTGACTCTATCACACATGGCTATTTTATTCTATTTTATTTTGGGGACAGAGTCTTGCTCTGTCGCCTAGGCTGGAGTGCAGTGGTGATCTTGGCTCACTGCAACCTCCACTACCTCCCGGGTTCAAGTTATTTTCGTGCCTCAGCTCCCGAGTAGCTGGGATTACAGGCCTGCGCCACCACGCCTAGCTAATTTTTGTACTTTTTGGTAGAGAAGGGGTTTTGCCATGTTGGCCAGGCTGGTCTTGAACTCTTGGCCTCAAGTGATCTGCCTGCCTCGGCCCCCCAAAGTGTTGGGATTACAGGCATGAGCCACCGTGCCCAGCCCACATATGGCATTTTAATCAAACACTCACTGAAAGATACAGAAAGGTGCATTATCAAAGAGCAGCTGAGCTAAATTTAAAACAAAACAGCTGAACCAATATACTAAAATTAATTAGCCTAGATACAACAGAACCAAGAACAAATAACCTATAAATATGGAGCCTGGTACAAAGTAGCCCTATAATCAATATTTGTCAAATAAACTGAAGCATCATCAGGGCAAATGCATGTCCATCTTGTTCACCAGCAAAAGGACAGATATTTTGTTCACTGAATTTTCATTCTAATAGGGAAGATAGCTAACAAATAAATCTGTGATATAAATGTAGGTAGTGATAATTGCTATGAAGAAAAAACAAAACTGGGTAAGGTGTGAGAGAATAATGTGTGATCATTTTGTTTGGTTTGGTTTGTTTTAGAGAGAGACGACTTTGGAGAGGAAAACATTTGAGCAAGATCTAAATAAATGAGGCATTGCTTCAGTTATCTATCACTACATAGATCTTACTGGCTTAAAACAGTATTATCTTGCAGTTCCAGTGTGTCTTGGCTTAGCTAAGTCCTCTGGCTTAGCCTGTCTCACAGGGCAGCAATCAAGAGGTCTTCTGAAGCTGCAGTCACTGCCAAGCTCTATTGAGAAGGATCTTCTTCTAATCTCACTCAGGAGGCTGTTGGAAGGATTTAGTTCCTCCCAAACTGCTGAACTGAGGGTCTCAGCTACTAGTTGGCTCTTGGCCAGAGGCCTTGTCACATTGACCTTCCATAGGACACTCATAATTAGCAACTTGCTTCATGAGAGAAAGCAAGTGAGACAATCCAGACAGAGAAAGTGAGCAAGAATGGACGAAGGCAGAGTATTTTACAATTTAATCTTGGATGTAACATCCCATCACTCTTGCTCTATTCTTTAGAGGCAAGTCACCAGGTCCACTCCACATACAGAGGAGGGCATTACACAAAGAAGTGAATATACAGATGTGGGGATTATTGGGAGCCGTGTCAGAAAGCTGCATACCATAGGCAGTGTGCTATATACAGATGTGGGGAAGAGCATTCCAGATGTTGGGGACAGTAAATGCAAAGACCACTGTATGTTTGAGGAACAGATAAAAGACTAGAGAGGAATAAGTCAAGGAGGAAGTGGAGCTTGAAGAGCAGGCATGGGCCAGATCGTAAGTAATATGGAATTTTTTAGGTCTCAGTAGTTTGGATTTGATTATAAGTATAAAGAAAAGACTTTGGATGCATTACAGCAGAAGAGGTTAAACCTTTCTTTTATGAAATCATAGTGATGGTAAATGGTATATTGGATTTACTTTTTATTTGTCTTATTTTTAATGACCTTTCTATGGGGAAGCTGACAATTACATGTCAGCTGCTCCCTGTATTATGAAAAATATTTTATTTTACTGGTTCTTAATACCCCAAGTCTGACAAGCTAGTGATCTATAAGGAGATTATTTGAAATCAGATTGTTTAGAATTTGACTTCCTCAATGTTGTTTAGGGAAGAATAATTCATTGATATTATTATTATTATGGTTGTTATTATTATTACACTGCAATTGGTTGAGCTTGTGCCATGTCAACCTTATGCAAAAGCCAGGGACAACAAAAAGTTGGGATGGGAAGAAATATGGTGGACGCAATCCTGACTGTGTATGTGGAGCCATTGGGGGAAGGTCTCCTACAGCCACAGATATTTAGGGAGTAGAAAGGAGGCCGTCTACTTCCTGCTGGAGAACAAACACTTAGATTGCCAATTCCTTCTCCCTAGTTATCTGGGTCAGTTAATCCCAGCTCACAGCTGCCAGCTGAGCTCTTCCCTGGCCAAGCTGCTCTGCTTTGAAATTCTCCCCCAGGCCACCTCGCCCAATGATGTCAGACGGGGTGAGTGGCCCGCCAGCCCTCCCCTCTCACAAGATGATGTGCAAGAGGAAACGCATGCTGTCTTTGCTCAGGAAACATCTGGTTGATCCGCTAGTCCTCAAGCGGGTCACTGGCTGTTTTATAAGTTAGTGGAACAGAATAGGATGGGAAGACATGGAGCTTCAGCGATTACTCAACCTCGCCATCAAGTTACAAACTAAAATGAGAGGTGAGGAAACGGCCTCCCTGGCAGGCGCTCTCCAGGGACTCGGCACCGTCGCTGAAGTCACATTTCCTAGCTTGTAATGGAAAACGAATGCTGTTTACAACAGCTTAAAGTAGCCGAAATGGGAACATGAGCCAAACTGTGTAGTGAAGGGCGAACTCCTACTTGGAAGCTTTCAGCAGTCCAGTAATTATTCAATACCAGGCCTAAAATATAGGCTCCCCATGAAGAATATCATTCACTCTCCCTTGGAAAATGAACCACCACATTCACTGGTAAGCAGAATCCATGACCACTTAAAAGCAGATCCAGCCCCTCATAAGCTGTTTGACATAAAACAAAAGTTGCTGTATGCCCTGCATGGAGTTCTAAGTGCTGTTTTTGTCCTGATTGGTTTCCATTGACTTTTTCTCAGTTTATGAACCACTAGAGAGGAATTGGATAAGATAGATTAGAGAAAATGAATTCGGCGTGCTGTCCTTCCACCCACAGTCCCCTCCCCATATCTGTCCATGGGGGATACAGGTTTTCTTCTTTCAGGATTCTGGCCTGCAAATGAAAAGATCTTCTCTTCTAGCCCTGTTTTGCCTCCAGCCTCTCTCCCTTCCCTAAGTTACATCAGTAATATCATTCTGTTGAGTAGACTTTTACGGGGCTAGTATGAGCTCTCCAACGGTGTTAAATCAGAATGAAAAATCAAAAAAATTAATAAAGAACAAAACCCTGGAAAACAAAGCAATTCTAGCTTTAAAAAAAAGAACTAAAAATTTGTCCTCAGTGTTCCCTCTTTGGTAAAAATTAGGTGGAACACAAGATTGAGAATACATTTTTTTTTGGACCTATCTTTCAGGCATTATTGGTCAAATTGAGATCATGGGACTTTGAGCTTGTTGCCCCACCATTGATTCATTTATTCCTTCAGCAGATACTTTAGAATATTTTTGTGCTCTATCTATTGAGTATATAATTTGGGAATGAGACAAAGTTCTGTACCCTTTTGGAGCTGAAATAAATGAACAGAAAATAAATACATTTAATAGAAAGTATTACATGCTATGCAGACAAGGTAAGGAATAGGGATTGACTTCAACTGCAAAACTTCTCAGAGGAGGGGACATTTAAACAACGACTTGCATGATTTAAAGATTTCAGGCTTGTGTGGATCAGGGAGCAGGGCACTCTGGGCAGAGAGGACAACTGGTACAATGACTGATGTAAAAACAAGCTTGGCACATTGATGGAACAGAAGGAAGATTAAAAGTGTTGGAATGTGAGGGGGAATGTGGAAGCATGGGATCTAGGATCAAAGAAGCCTAGCTTTGAGTTCCCAGTCTACCACCTAACTAGCCAAGTTACCTTAAGCACATTATTTAGCCTCTCTGAGCCTATATTCATCATCAGTAAGTTGGAGATAGTATTTCCTATCTCATCAAAGACTAAGCTGTAAGTAAAGCATCCAATCTAGTGCCTCGCACACAATAAGAGCTTCAAAATGTTAAATCTTTTTCCTTATCTGAGAACACTGGGCTCTCACCAAGTATAATGTTTAATCTTATGTGTCAACTTGACTAGGCTATGGGCTGTCCAGATATTTGGTAAAACATTATTCTGAGTGTGACTGTAGGGGTGTTTGAGGATAAGATTAATGTTTGAATTGAGTAGCTGATGGCTGTCCCCAATATAGGAGGTTCTCATCCAGTCAGCTGAAAGCCTGAATCGAACAAAAAGGCTGACCCTCTTCTGAGGAAGGGGCAATGCCTCCTGCCTGACTGCTTTGAGCTGAGATACTGGTGTTTCTGGCCTTCAGACTTGAACTGAAACATAATTTATTTGACTTTCCAGCTTGCCAGCTTTTGGACTGGAACTATATCATGAGGTCTCCTGGGTCTCCAGCTTGCCAACTGAAGGTTTTGGGACTTCTCGGCCTCCATAATTGTATGAGCCAATTCCATAATTCCACACATACATGTACACACACACACACACACACACAATCAGGTGCTGTTTAACAACAGAATACATACTGAGAAATGTGTCAGGTGATTTGGTCATTGTGCAAACATCATAGTGTATACTTACACAAACCTAGATGGTATAGCCTACTACAAAAATAGGCTATATGGAGTAACCCGTTTTCCTAGGCTACAAACCTGTACATGTTTTAATTGCCTACAGTATTCAGTACTCAATGGTATGTATTAGTGTAGCTTAAAAAGGTGCATTAAAAATATAGGATTATAATCTTATGGCACCACTGCCATACATATTGTTGGGGTTTTTAGTTTATTTTGTTTATTTGTTTTTAGTTAGTGGTATGAATTGGAATGCAGTCTGTTGTTGACTGAAACATCATGATGTGGTGCATGACAAGGTGTATATCCTGATGGTTTTGTTTATCTGGAGAACCTGGACTAATACAGTGTCTATCAAAGGTGATTCATAGAAGTAGCTCCAATCTGAAGGTGCTGGATTTCATTTATTCAGCACCATCATAGATTAAGTTTTTTCTAAATCCAAGGAATATCTTAGAGGGAATAGATTTATAGTAAGCCTTCAATTTTGACAGAAATTTCACAAAAGTTGGGGAAGATTTCCAACATAGACAAAAAGAGTAGCCTGAGGCAAAGCATGGGGCAGGAGAACGGGAGGCAGATAGAGATGTACAATTGGGAGTAACAGCTAATAACAGCCAACATTTATTGATCACATTAAATGAAACTGGAACAAGTCAGAAATTTGCAGATCACTTATTGTTTGGCACAGGCCAGGAGATCCAAAGTCTATAGATGAGGAGGATTTGAGCTGGTTCCTGATCTCCTGGTCCAAAGGGACACTCTTTTTGAGCTATTCATGAGTTGGTATAGGCAAAGCTGCTATTTTTTTTTTTTTTTTTACATGCTGTGGCTTAAATAAGAAAGAAGTCTATTTCTCTCTCTTGTAACAGTCCAAGGGAGGCAGAGTTATTTTGTCATCCTTAATCCTAGGCTTTCATCCTTGATTCCAGGGCATTTGTTCCAGTTCTCATCATTTCCCAGACATGGTGAAGGAGGCAAGAACAAGCTGAGTTCATACCTTTTCCTTTTAAGATCCTGAGCTGGAAGTGGCACATATTATTTATGCTCATATGATATTGGCCAGAATTACATACCATGGCCACACTTTACTGCAAGGGTGGCTGGGTGGCTGTGCACTCAGCTAAAATGCACTGACTTTGCAATCATAAGATACAATAACACAACAACTAAGCAGTATGCTATATGAGTGACTCCAAGTTTTCTACATGTCATGCCAGGTCCATTGCTAAGCAGTGGACTACATGAATGTGGGGCAGATTCTTCCATTCAGGAATTATAGCAGTCTGCAGAGGACATGGAATATGTGCACAAGTGTTTATAATAATCAGAAAGGATGCAACCACCATCGGATGGAAGGAAAATGTAATACTTTAAGAGCTTGTAGCAAACTGCTCATTGTCCTACAGGATCTGTTGTCTACTAATTCTAAAGTCACTGCATCCCACCTTTATGTACTCCACTGCCTGGCAGTGGGCCTGGCATATCACACAGGAAACTTAGAAAGTTTACATAGTGTACTTACATAGTGTACTGTTTAATTGTTGTTCCATTATTATATCTTATGAAATGCAGCATCTATTATGTGTATCCAAAGAGACACACATGGACATACACATATATAAATAGATGAGCAATGTAAATAATTTTTCTGAAGTCCTCCCATTTTGTTGGTTCTAAACTCTGCAACCTAAACAAACAATATGTTATGCTTCTGTCTTCTCAAGCAAAAAAAAAAAAAAAAGTTCTTCCTTGCAGTTAAGGATGAATATAAAAAAAAGGAACTTGGGGAAAGTGGACCTGCTTACATTTTTTTGCCTTTCATTTTTTCTCTCCCACTTCTGGCCCCTTAAATGGCTCTGCTCTGATGGGCTGCATGATGCAGATGTGTGGGAGGGTATGCTGCGCCCCAACATGGGCCAATAGAGACAGAGGGGATGTGCATGGGTGGTCCCCTCCCTCCAGCCTTTTGTTTTTCAGTTAAACTTCAGAAGCTGATGTTCCACTTTGGAAACTTGATTTAAGTATGGGCTACTCTGCATGCTGCCTCACAATGGAGAGGATTCAAAGTAATAGGGCTTAAAGCACCTTGAGTAGCCCCACACAATGCTACTGGAGAGGCTGTCAGAGATGCTGGGGAATCATGGAGAAAAATGAATGGTGTTAAGAATAATACATATTTTTAGGTCACTCCTCAATCTCAAATCTTTCAAAGCTTATTGAGACTCTTGGGATAAAGTCCCAAATCCTTGCCATTGCTCTCAGGACCCTACATGGCTTGTCTACTTCTCCAGCCACATACAAGATGCCTCTCCTTCATGTCAGCGCTCCAGCCACACTGGCCTTCTGTCATTCTTCACATGTGACTGACTCTCCTGCTGAGTCCTTCCTCCTTAGAGGTTTTGTGCAAATGGTTCTTCTGTCATGAACAGCTTTCTTCTGCAACCTTCATCCAGCCACAATTCCAACATGTTCTCCTCTGCTCCTCAAACTTGGTTACTGCCCTTTTTTTGACAGCACCTTTTATTTTCCTTTTCTGAGCACTTATCATCCTTCAGCAGCTTATTCACTGAGTTTTCATTAGACCATAAGCACCTTAAGGGCAGGCACCATATCTTTCTCATTCATCCCACAAATGCCATGCCTATCCCAATGCTGATGGACTCCAGCCTCTTGAGAAATATCTGTTAAAGAACTAAATGTCTCGATGCATTTAAAGATAATTCTCTGAGGTGACTGGGTGGTGCCACTAGAAATGTGAGAACTGAATGGGGCTCTTCCTGCCTCATCTCTTGCAAGTCCAGCTAGGAAGTGGGAGGTTGGAAGGGCAGGCATTATAGATGGGGATTCTGGGTGAGGAATCTCAGCCAGGGAGTCAGGCCAGGACTCTTGCTGTGAAATAGGAACATTTTCAAGGGAAGTGACCCTCTGCTGGAACTCCTCGGTTCCAAGGTGGTCATTAACTTTGAATTGTTATGCAGTGTGAATAATTTGCCTGTGGAAAAAATTTACCACCAACAGTAGTGCTACTTTTGCCATTAAATTTCAACTGGAATCCTGACTAATCTCAGCCGGACTCAATTCAAACTGTGCCATTTCTCTAACATTATACTATAACCCATAGCCACACCAGCAAAGCCACCCCTTAACAGAGAGAGGACCTTGGTACTTCAAGGAAGGACCAATGGGAACCTGGGAAATCTAGAAACCGCCCACCCCGCACCCCACAAAACGCTGACTTGGGGAATAATTTGGCTTGAATCCATGGGGATTGAGCCTCTATAGCTGAATGGATTTAGTCTTCCAGGTTCATGCCATTTGGTCAATCTTCTCTAAATCATTCATTCACTCATTTAGTCACCATTCGAGTGCCTACTATATACTACCCCAAGGACCAGTAATCAAAGTGATATAACTGCTTCTATCCACAAATGCTGGTTGTCTACTTGGAAACACAGATATGGGAAAAATAAGTAAAACAAAGTGCTAGAGGAATGACAATATAACTTACAAATTCCAAGTGATACATCCAGCTGCTGCAGAAAAACACACCCTGAGAACTCAGGTGCAAGTCCCTCTAAGTAAAGGCCTAAACCACCAGTTCTATTTTTTTTTTTTTTTTTTGACTTTGGCACTTACTATAGCTCAAGAGTTTTCAGTTTCCTACATAACCTCAGCTCGTGAGGACTGTCCACTACTCTAAATTAGCAAGTAAAAATGCTAAAAAGTCTTAACTCCATTCATTACAGCAAACACTGTAACCTTTTAAAATAAGTACCTTACCTAGAAACTCAGCATTCTTAGTATTTTCAGAGTTCTTAGCAAATTATTTAATGTTATTTAAAGAAATGGTTTACATGACACCATTTCATGCCAATTCTCTTTCAGTGACTATAATCTCAGTGCTTTTATTTCAAATAATCTATTCATAAGATTTCAACTTGACTTCTATTAACAGGAAGTATTCAGATTTAGTTTATCTAGAATAGATTTCAGCTACATTATTGATAATGATATTTTAATGATAATTTTATGAGGCATTCACTTACTTGTATAATTCTATCCAGATGACCATAATGAGCAGGGCATAGATAAGCATATGTTTTAGAGGTGCTCTAAGTTATGGAAAGTGCAGGTCCTACTAGAAAGAAACATTGTCTTTTTTGTTTTGCTTGGCATGAGCCTAGGAAGATGCAAACCTACCTATTGCTGTTAGCGACAATGCTACCAGGAAATGCAGACCAATACTAAACGATCTGAATTCTAATCTCAGTTTGAGCACCTGTATTGATCCCTACATGAAGATACCTACACCTGATCATGCATATAAGTAAGCCCAAAATTATGTTTTATGTTTAAGTCTACAAATTAGGCTGAATATCACTTGCAAATAAAGGAGATCTAACTGATGCACACTCACAAAAGGAAGAAGGTAGGAAGGAAGTGGTACACAGGACAAGTAAAAACCACTCTATATTTATTCATTATAGAACACACTTTTCTTCCCAGAAAGAAAACAAACAGTCTGAGGTATCCCACATTAATAAATCCCATTCTGTGGCTTTACATCCTGAATTTCTGTTATTAATCAAGGTTCAGTATCATTATACACAGTGATTAAAATTTTTCCCTGAGATCATCAAGGCTGTGCCTTTGACATAGAAATACCTTACCCTACCAAAATTCAGGAGAAAGCATAGAAAACTAAAAGTCTTTTTGGTGGTAGAAAAGGCAGACAACTTAGGCAGAATTCCTGAGAAAAAGGTGCAGAGTCATTAAGCCACCAGTTAAATTTTACCTGGCTGTGAACTGTTATCCCTTCTACATTTCTAAATATTCTGGGAGGAAAATTCATCTTATTGCATAGAAAGATACTTTTTCACAAGGCTATGCACAAAGCATCTTTGCTTTTGCTAGCTGCCACAGCCATCTTGACGCCTCAGTTTCCAGTAAAATGCAAAGCTTGAGAGGTACAGGCAGCCTTTCCCCCAGTGACATATGGAAAAGAGAAATCATCCATTTCCTCATGGATGATGAGGAAAAATGTGGTTGTCATATTATGTGTCCGGTCAGGCCTCTGATACTTCTCCAAATGGTCTGGCATCATAACAGCTACTGATCCTCCACAAGTAGGAACGAGGAAAGACTTACTGGATTATCACCTCAAATCCCAGCCTAATCAGCTCCACAAAGCATAAGGCAAATGGACATTGGCACGTCATCCAGTTTGGGTGCACTGAAAGTCAGCTCTGAACGAAATGCCACTTCCAGCAGCCCCTCCCAAGCTGGAAGAAATCACAAGCTGCAAAAGAGCCAGCCCGCCCAAATAGTCATTCTTAAATTTTGTTGTGTCCCTCCGCCCACCCATCCCCGTAAAATTGCACAATGGAATGATCGTGTTCCCTACTGAAGACTTCCCCTCCTAATAGTAAGCAAGCAAAGGTTTCCCTAGTCTGCCCCATATTGAACTGTAGAAGAAGGCAGCCCAGCCCAGGATGGGGGGAGCGAGAAAGGAAGCAGACGAGTGAGCTGGATGTCAGGCAAACATGCTTAGAAAGGATGTGGTAGTGTGTAGGCCTCTGAAGACAGAAACAGCAGGGGAAGGCTGAACAGTGGTGGGTGCTCTTCCAGAGACACTTCCAGGTGGCACTTCCAGGTGGCACTTCCAGAGACATTGGGTGGTTGCACTTCCAGAGACATCAACCCATGGATGCAATGTTCCCAGTTCTCTTTCTTAGGTTTTCTTGAGGTAGTTCTGACAGGCTCTTGCCATGTCTTTCAAGAAGTTAGGAACTCCATTCTGCAAAGGAAATGAGACTGTCATTTCTATGTCTTCACAGTGGTCACTCTTGATTCTTTGGGATGTGGCAGAAGGTAAACAATGTTGGCTTTAGGACGAACAAAAATGAATAGGCTCCCTAACTGGATTTCAACAGAATGTTGTTGCAGATGATGACAAAAAGTAGGACTGAGGACAAAAGTAAGACCAGTCAACAGGAACTTCTGTTGCAAAAAGGCCTTATATGTTAGCTTTTTCTAGGAAAAAGCGAAGATGTTTCTGAAACAGTGTTTCTGGAAAAAAGAAAACACAAGAAATGGGCTTGGGCTGGATTGTTACATTCTTCCAAAGAAATGAAAGCACTTGCTTTACTGAATTAGAAAATGGTAAGGATTGGGGATCAAGGAGCAGGATATATTATTATTTAGTTAATGTTGAGCACTGGGCAAGACTTTTCCTAAATATTGTCTTATTTACTCCCCCTCTATGCAGTAGAAGACATCTATCTTCATTTTTAAAAAGGAAGAAATGCATGGCTTCCTTAAATAAAACAAGACAGTCAGTAGCAGAGCCAGGATTTGAAATTGCGTCTGTTTGACTCCAAAGTTGATGTGCTTTTTCACTCTTCCAAGGAATCTGTTGAGCTCTCTAGTAGTAGATCTTGTGCAAAGCAGGCTGATGGTCCCCATAATGCCAGGCTCCTGGGCAGTCTCTAGTGATACAAACTACCACTGCAGTTCCCTCCCTTATAGAGAAAAAGAAAAAAAAAAAAGGGCAACAACAACAAAAGTGGAAGCTTTCCTCAGGCTTGGACACATCTGGTTGTCTCCAAGCCAGGTCAGTCTGTCTTATTCCCCAGTAAGCAGAGGAATATAGGCTCCAAAGGCACTATTGTTCCTACTAAGAGCAGACTATTGTCCAGAAGTTCCAGAGAGTGATTCTGGCGGGGTCCTGGGGCACAAGCAGGGAGAGGCTGGCATTCCAAGCTGACAATTCTTTGTCTCTTGTCCCAGCCTCCGTCTTGGATGTTGGCAGCCCCAGCCCTAACCAGAGTCACTCAACCAAACTCTTCATAAAAGAGCCTCATTACGCCTGAGACAATGTGTCTCTTCAGCCTGACAGCCCCGCGGGCTAAGTCAACATTTGTCAAACACACTCCCCCATCCCTCCCCCCGCCCCACCTCCTGGGATCTCACCTTGGCGGCCCAGTTAATGAGCCAGGACGGAATTTGGCCACCCGGGTTATCGAAGTAATACATGAAAACTAGAGAGGGAAAGAAAGGACAATTCAGAAAAAGGAAAAATACCAGAAAAATATAGCAACAAAACTGTGCAAACTTTATATCTTCATATTCAAGCTCAGAAACTGCAGAGGGAGGTAGCATATAATTCAGATGGACTTCTCTCCATTGACTGCCCTTATGGCATACTTAAATATAGGCACTTTTGAAAACAGCCATAGACACATTTTGCTGCTATTTATTAAATACCTGGCAAGTGCTGGACACTTGAATATAGCCTCTCATTCAATTATTCTAGCAATCCTAAGGAGATGGTAAAATTAATCCCATTTTATAACTGATGAAACAGATACTCATAAAAATTAGGTGACATATTCAAGGTGACCATCTAACTATAGTTCAGATTTTTGCCTAGGACTCAAGGCCACACTCATTCTGGTAGAGCAGGTGGCCTCGCACCCCACTCTCTGTCTGCAGCTTTCCTCCCTGGGGGCTGAAACTCAAGCTGGGCAGGTCTTGAGTAGCTCTGAGTTGGTACTGAGCCAGAGCTGAGACCTCCAAGACAAACCTGCCAGCTTTCTTGCCTACCCTTAGGCCCAGCGTATGTATCCACAGGACCAGCTGGAAGTGACTTTCTAAACTCTCTGGCTTACTTATAATGGTCTGGTTTCATCTGGACAATCCATGAGTCTGGAGAAAATAGACTGGGTCAGAGTTAAACATCAACCTCATACTCTACTCAAGTTTGTTGGGGTGGAATGAGGCTCTCTCTAGGTGCTGATCCTGGTTTGCTCTGCAGCTTTGCCTGTCCTCTGACCTTCAGGGATACGCTTCATGTACTCGACATGTCCCCCCATCAGCCTGGCCCTCCCGTGGGGGACCCCTGGCTGGGTGCACTGACAGGCACCATGGGTTTTACCTTTGCTCCCCTTCTTGCCGTCACTCTCGATCGCCAGGCTCTGCTTGTATTGCTTCACCCGGATCACCCCAGACCTCTCGCCAAGCTGAGGCATGGAGGTGCTCCGGGCCAGGATCACATGGATCTTCCTCCCTTCCATGTCCAGGTCTCGCCGCTGCCGAAGGTAGACATACTGCATAGCCAGTTAAGGCAAGACACCAACGCCAGCATTGTAGACAGACAGAAGGAAAGCGCCACAAGCTGGAAGCAAAGGGAGGTGATTCTGTGCCTCCCACTTGGCATTTGCTCCTTTCTACCACTAGTTCACTGACGTGCCCTGTCTCCATACCTGCACTGCAAGACTGTGCCTCACACCACCTAGTATTCTCACCAAAGAGCATGTATTACTTACCTGTGAGTGATCCCTTCATGCTTTTAATTATGTGAGGAAACCACATTTCCTTTCTCCAAGAAGGCACTGGGAGATGACAGAGGAATGGTCACTTAACAGCTGTGTGGTCCTAGGTAAGCTACTCAGCCTTGCTGAGACTCAGATTCCCTATGTAGGAAAGGGAGTAACACTGCCTTGCAGACAGGCTTGGTGGGGGCATTAGAGAAAGACCTGGGCAGAGTAAGCACTCGACAGACAATGGTGTCATTCCTCTTTGTTCTGGCCTCACCCAATGCTCTAATTACTGACCTTTATGCATAGTAAATGGTCAAGCAATGTTACAGCTGATGACCATAGGAAGACATGGGACTACATGAATATTTCGTAGGCAGATGTCCTCTCTGGGCTAACACTAGTTTACCAAGAATAACAAAACCATTTCATGTCCATCAGCCTTGACAGAAGAACCCTTAAGTTTACGGCACTATTCTAGGGAGGATAATGAAAGTCTATGAAACAACAGGAATCACTACTTATCGAGCCTTTATCATGTAACATCATGCACTTGACATACAGCTTAAATTTGGATCCTTACAAAGACCCTGTGAGTTTGGTATGAGTATCCCCATACTACAGATGACAAAAGTGAGGCTCAGAGAGGAAAAGAACCTTGCCAAAAATCCCACATCCCAGCTGAAGTGATGAAACATGAATTTTTATCCCAGATCTGGCTCCAAAACCTACTTAGAATTTCATAGTTGGATGGAGCTCAGATATTTAGTTTGTTAGTTACACTTTCATAAAACAGAATTTTGGGTTTCCCACTCAAAGGAATCAAAAACCTAAAATAATCAAAAAGTCACTACGCACAACACAATTACACTTACTATAACATGGCAGCCGTCTCAGCCTCCACCCACCTCAGTGTCTTTTTTTTTTTTTTTTTTGAGACAGAGTCTCACCCAGACTGGAGTAGAGTGTCACGATCTCGGCTCACTGCAACCTCCACCTCCTGGGTTCAAGTGATCCTCCCACCTCAGCCTCCGGAGTAGCTGGGATTGCAGGCGCCCACCACACCCAGCTAAATTTTTTTGTATTTTTAATAGAGACAGGGTTTCTCCATGTTGGCCAGGCTGATCTCGAACTCTGACATCAAGTGATCTGCCCACTTTGGACTCCCAAAGTGTTGGGATTACAGGCGTGAGCCACCCGCGTTCAGTCCCACCTCAGTGTCTTGACAGCGCCCCCTGTTGCCCCACCCTCACATTGGACAGTCTATTGCTCCATGCTCTTATACACTAATAAGTAAAGTTCTTAAATGTTTCAGGAAAGAGATGTTGATTTGTCACTGGGTTCCTTTCTCCTACACCTTTTACTTTTTCCTTTTAGCAAATATTGTTCCACTCTCTCCCCCAACTTTCTCAGCTCATGTGATAGATATCATCTGATACTCCACGGAGGAAGAATTATCTTGATATAGTGATTAAAATTTGGCAGAACACCTTTGAAGTGTTGGCAGTTCATCTAATTCAGTGGCTTCCAAACTTTTTTTTGACTCCAAGAGACCCTTTGCTAAAAGGATCTTACATGGAAATTGAACCTGTAAAACACTCCGCTGCTGGGATTGAAGAGCATGGTGAAGGAGTCAAAATCTTACCTAGGAGTCATCCTACTTCCATCCTACCCACCCCCAAAATTCCATCCTAGCCCCCCAGCTTAGTCCTAAGGGGGCTTCTGAAGACCTTACAGTGCCAGCCAAGCCTCCCTACATTTCATTCAACTGCTTCATTTCATAAACAAGGACATTGAGGGGAAGAAGCTTACAGTCAGTGTCCAGAGCCAACAATCAAGGAGGGATTTCTGTGGGGTCTACTGAGATGGGGGAGGCGGAGAGAGCTGGAAATGCAGAGGCCTGAGTTCCAGCACCTGCTCTGCCACTAACCACCTATGTGCCTCTGTCCTATCACCTCTTTGGGAGCCCTTTTTCCTTCTGTAGACTGAGGGAGCTGTAACAAGCACTTTTTATAAGAAGTTCCTTCCAGATCCCCAATTCTGTGGCCTGACAATTTCAAGGCCTAGGAAACTTCTTAGGAAAGTAAGAGCTGCTCTCCAGTGACCAAAATTACAGACACTTCATGTGGTTGGGCCCAGAAATCACACTCTGAGCTCTCCAAACACCATACAAGAAGCAATATCTTTAGCAAATGCTGCTGCAAGAATCAGAGACAATGTTATCTGTGCCTGCTGAGAAACCAGCTCTACCTCTCTGCAATAGACTGCAGCTGAGGAACACAGAAACACTTAGAGGGCCAGGGAATGAGTACCTTGTGGAAAGGATACGTCTCTGTTGGACATGGGAAAAGGGTACTTCACTTCCCAGTAGACCACAGTCTCTCCGTTGCATTCTTGTTCATAGAGTTCTAAAGGAAAGCAAAAGAAGTTAATGCATCTGGAAGCCTTTTTAGCTACAACTAATAAGGGTATGACCTCTTAGGCCAAGCATGGTGGCTCATGCCTGTAATCCCAGCACTTTTTGAGGCCAAGGTGAGTCAATTGCTCAAGTCCAGGAGTTCAAGACCAGCCTGGGAAATATGGTGAAACCCCATCTCTATATATAAAAAAAAAAAAAAGCAAAAAAATCAGCCAGGTATGGTGGTGCATGTCTGTAGTCCCAGCTACTCTGGAGGCTGAGGTAGGAGGATCATCCAAGCCTAGCAGGTCAAGGCTGCAGTGAGCCAAGCCATGATTGCACCACTGCACTCCAGCCTGGGTGACAGAATGACACCATGTCTCAAGAAAAAAAAAAAAAAAGATGACCTCTTAGGTTATGATAAACCACTAACTCATAAGGTATAAAATTCTAGAAAAAAGTCAAACCGATTAATTTCCACTGAAAGCTTATTGCCCAGGGACAGAGTCTAGTGGATAGAAAAACACAGCACAAATAAAAGAAGCCAACAAATCTTGGCCATTCTATAGCATAATCAATATTCTTGATAGAATGCAATGAAACAAAATCAGACATCAAAAAAATAGTCAGAGGTTTTAAATTCAGGATAACCACCAGATGTCACTAGAGTACCAATAGTTTTGCTTCTGAGCCCTTTAATTCCCCTTTAGGATTCCTTGATCCATTACAGCTAACCTGGAACGGAGTCACCCAGTCTAGCACATTCATAGGTCGGATATGAAGGTTCCAGAATGAGCAACGTCCTTCTTGAATAGTTAGAGATCAGCAGAACTATGGCTTACCCCAAGTTTCTTTCTTCTCTCCCATGTTTCTTTGCACTATGCCACAGCTAGGGTGACCAAATTTCCCTAATAATCCTTCCGTCTTACTATTATGTGCAAACAGCAGCCAACTCTTGGAGGGAGATAGCAAAGAAATTTAATGGCATGCACACCCTCTGTCCCCAGACTGTGCTGTGCAGTAAACTTCTTTCTACCTCCAGTTAAAGGAGCCCAAAGTCCCTGGAGGAGATGGTAAGGAGGGATAATTTAGGTTTTGAAAGAAAATCTATTAGAAGCACACTGTAGATTAAGGAGTGTGCCAGCCCATTAAGGTCACAGGAGGCTGATGAGAGTCCTTAAAAGAAAGGGAGAGGTGGACATCTGTTGCTTTTACATGCTCAGCATTGATCGCCCCTTGAGCATCTCAATTTTCCTTCAGGGCATCACCCTTCCCCTACTTCTCAGCTGCATGGTTTCGCAAGACTGACTCTGCAGTAATTTCAGGGCTGGGAAAATGAGCAAGACACGGCCATGGTGACGAATTCAGGGATGGCAGATCTGTCCAGAGTCGTAGTTAGTCACTCTAGCAAGTTGAGAGCAAAAAGTGATTTAGTAAAGCTCTCGGATGGACCAGAGTGAGATTTCCAACCTCAAGATTGTTCCAGCAAAGCCTAACTGCTGCTTCCACTGGATGAGAACCCAGAGTGAAAGCTGTTGATGTTGGGGAGCAAACATCAGAGACTCAGCAGTTGTTTTCCCTAAAGTCAGATGCCATCACTGGTCACTGAAAAATGGATCTTCCATGCTGCCTGCTTCCTCACATGGCTCTTTTCCAAATTGAAGCCACATGTGGGTCTTATTGGCAGAGTCTATGTCACATGACTGTATCTTGGCTGCAAGGGAGGCCTGGACAGACAGTGTCTGGCTGTTCCCTTGGATAGGTAAGCATCCCACTGCCCCCTAAATAGGAAGAGTATTTGAGAACACTAAGTTGCCCAAAACCATGATGAATGTCCACAGAAAATAAGCACAAACTCCAAGCTGAGCTGACAAGAGCCAATCCTGGCATCTGGCTGTCATCCCTAGAAAAGTAGAATTCTCCTTCCTCTGGGGTTATTCATATGGTTAGAATATAAATCTGGATCTTCTGGCAGACATCTTGGCCATGACATAAGAATCTGCCTAGGAATTAGGTCAACACAGAAGAAAACAGAGTCTACAGATGGAGAAAGAAACAATCCTGATGAAATTATTTAAGTTCCCTGTTGCAGCTGTCCTCAAAGTTAGAAACCCCTGGACTTTTTTCAATGCCATGAACTAATAAACTCCTTTTTCTCTTCTTACACTGTCTTTAGTTGGCTTTCTGTTACTTGCAACCAAGAGTCTTGACTAAAGGCTTTATGTGCCTTTGGCTAGTTTCATAGTTCCATTCCACTATGACTGGGTTGGCAGAGGCTACTCCAGCTCTAAGTGGCAGGAGAAGTCCCTGTGTGATGTCTTTCATAACACATAACTTACAGGGAAAAATCTAAGACCGATAGCCTGGTCGCCATGCTAGGCCCTGGAGGATCTGGACCCAACAGCTGCCCTAGTTCGCCTAGTAGTAGAAGAACCTACCCTAGCTCTTCGACTACTACTAGTACTAGTTCTATTAGCTAGTTCTACTAGTACTAGCAGTACTAACAATAGTAGTAGTAGAACTAGTACTAACAGTAGTCGAAGACCTAGGATAGGTTCTCTTACTCCAACCAACCCAACAACACCAAACTGCTGGCGGCTATTGAACATATTGCTTCACGCTTTCCTGACCTTACTAATGCTGATCCCTGAGCCTAGAATGCTCTTAACCAGTCATCCTGTCCCTCTCTTACCTCCTCACATACATGTATTCTTCTCTGTTTGGAAAATTTTGATTCAACTCTCAAACCAAAACTTGGACCGCACCTCCTCCCCTTTCATGACAACCTAGATACATGGGAGGATCACACAACTTAAAAGTGGCAGCAAAGGAGCCCCAAGAGCAAACTGTGGAGAGGATCTAAAACTAGGTAAGGAGCAAGTCCTAGCAATAGCAAAAGTGCATTTCAGTCCAACATTTAAAATGCTTTTGTGCCAAAATTTAATAGGAAGCACTATGTAGTAGAAGTTAATTTTATTTTTTTCTACTGGCAAGAATAAATAAAAATAGATTAGACTTTTTTTTTTTTTTGAGACAGGGTCTCCCTCTGTTGTCCCTGCTGAAGTACAGTCTTGGCTCACTGCAACCTCTGCTTCTTGGGTTCAAGCAATTCTTAGTGCCTCAGCCTCCTAAGTAGTTGGGACTATAGGCATGCGCCACCATGCCCAGCTAAGTTTTGTATTTTTAGTAGAGACGGGATTTCACCATGTTGGCCAGGCTGGTCTCAAACTCCTGGCCTCAAGTGATCTGTCCGCCTCAGCCTCCCCACGTGCTGGGATTACAGGCGTGAGTCACTGCATCTGGTCAGAATAGATCTACTTTTTAATGATCAAAAAAAAAAAAAAAAAAAAGCACTGGGTGCAGCGGCTCATGCCTGTAATCCTAGCACTTTGGGAGGCCAAGGCAAGCGGATCACCTGAGGTCAGAAGTTCAAGACCAGCCTGACTAACATGGAGAAACCCTGTCTCTACTAAAGATACAAAAATTAGCCAGGTGTGGTGGCGGGCGCCTGTAGTCCCAGCTACTCAGGAGGCTGAGGCAGGAGAATCGCTTGAACCCAGGAGGCGGAGATTGCGGTGAGCTGAGATCCTACCTTTGCACTTCACCCTGGGCTACAAAAGTGAAAGTACGTCTAAAAAAAAAAGAAAAGCAAGCATCACTCACCTTTAACATACTGGTCCCATTGTTTTCTGTAATCTGAGTCCATATAGATGTCTGCCAGTAGAGTTGGTGAGCAGTCCTCCAGAACACCAAAGACTTTATACTCATAAAGTCCAGTCTTCTATAAAAACAGAACAGGTAGAAATGTCTATTGGTTCCCAAGTTGAGAGAAAGCTGCATTCCACATAATTAAACTAAAGAGCTTCTGCACAGCAAAAGAAACTACCATCAGAGTGAACAGGCAACCTACAAAATGGGAGAAAATTTTCACAACCTACTCATCTGACAAAGGGCTAATATCCAGAATCTACAATGAACTCCAACAAATTTACAAGAAAAAAACAAACAACCCCATCAAAAAGTGGGTGAAGGACAAGAACAGATACTTCTCAAAAGAAGACATTTATGCAGCCAAAAAACACATGAAAAAATGCTCACCATCACTGGCCATCAGAGAAATGCAAATCAAAACCACAATGAGATACCATCTCACACCAGTTAGAATGGCAATCATTAAAAAGTCAGGAAAAAACAGGTGCTGGAGAGGATGTGGAGAAATAAGAATACTTTTACACTGTTGGTGGGATTGTAAACTAGTTCAACCATTGTGGAAGTCAGTGTGGCGATTCCTCAGGGATCTAGAACTAGAAATACCATTTGACCCAGCCATCCCATTACTGGGTATATACCCAAAGGACTATAAATCATGCTGCTATAAAGACACATGCACACATATGTTTACTGCGGCTCTATTCACAATAGCAAAGACTTGGAACCAACCCAAATGTCCAACAATGATAGACTGGATTAAGAAAATGTGACACATATACACCATGGAATACTATGCAGCCATAAAAAATGACGAGTTCATGTCCTTTGTAGGGACATGGATGAAATTGGAAATCATCATTCTCAGTAAACTATCACAAGAACAAAAAACCAAACACCACATATTCTCACTCATAGGTGGGAATTGAACAATGAGAACACATGGACACAGGAAGGGGAACATTACACTCTGGGGACTGTTGTGGGGTGGGGGGAGGGGGGAGGGATAGCATTAGGAGATATATCTAATGCTAAATGACGAGTTAATGGGTGCAGCACACCAGCATGGCACATGTATACATATGTAACTAACCTGCACATTGTGCACATGTACCCTAAAACTTAAAGTATAATAAAAAAAAAAAAAAAGAAAAGCAGCTGATGACGACGTTCATGCCACACCAAACACTGACCTCCTCTGTGGTCTTGGTGACACAATGATAAAAAAGCAGGTGCAGGCCCTGCTCTCAGAGATCTTAAATTCAGGTAGGCAGCAGTGCTAGAGATAGCTATAAGTGCCATCTAGGTAATTTAAATAGGGTAAGAAGAGTTGTGTGATAAATGATGCCTTGCAAGGGCGGGGATGGGGAGGACATCTATGTAATCAGGTGATCAGGAAAGGCCTCTATGAGAGTTAACATTTATCAGAGCATCTTGTTCCAAATGTTGGAAGAAGCCAGCCATAGGAAGATAGGAAAAGCCCGTTCCTGGTAGAAGGAAGGTCCTCAGATTGGTGGGCTGGCATCTTTAAAGAACCTGGGGTCTGGAGAACTCTGGATAAAAGAGAGAGTGGCAGGAGCTGAGGTTAGAGAGTTTGTCAGGGCTGGACCCCAAGGACTTTGTAAACCAGGGTAAGAGGTAAAGATTTTATTCTCATTGCTATGGAAAACTAATGGATGGCTTTAAACAGAGGGATGACCAGATCTGATTCGTAATTCAGTTTAAGAATGACGCAATCAAATTAATTTTTTAAAGGTGATTCTTGCTGCTTGGTAGAAAATAGATCATCAGAGAACAAGGAGATGGGTGAGAAGACCAGTGCAATAGTTCAGATAAGAAATGATGGTGATTTGAACAGGGAAGTAACAACAGTGATGGCGAGGAGTCAGTGATTTAAGGATATATTTTGGAGGTAAAGTAAAAAGGAATTCCTGATAGATCCTGGGGAAAGGGAAAGCAAAGAATCAAGGATAACTTTCATAACCCAAGTTGGGCAGATGGGAATGCCATCTTCTAAGACAGAAAAAAAACTTGGAGAAGAGGTGATTGGTGGGCTTTTGGGGTAATTAAGAGTTCTCTTTTGAACAAGTTGAGTTTAAGATGTTTATTAAGCATCCAAGTAAGGGTGTCACATAGGCAGCTACAGTTCTCGAGAGAGGTTATATTTTAAATAGCCATGTGGCATAGTGAAACCCAACACATTGTTTTATCAATTCCAAGACAGAATTTTTCAACAACTGCTTCTTTTTGATTCTGTATAAAAGACTGAAAATGAAAAACAAAAGAAATCTGCTTCAAATCATATAAGTTCCTTTGATTTGGGAAAAGGCCTTTCTAGATTCCAAAGTACAAGAGAGTTCCCTTGTTTCCTTGGTAAGCCATATTCTTGTCCATGAGGGTCCTGGCCTAGAGTTGCCCCATCACACATTTCACTCTCTGTACGGTGGCAATTTACAATTCCTGACCCTCAGCTTTGCCTAAAGGCTCTATTATTAAAATTAAAGCAATGGCTATTAGATTAATTTCAACACAAAGGCAAAGAAACAAATGAACGAACATAAACTTTTGGATGAACTCTTGCATCCATGTGCTAAGGCCGTGTTACTGGTTAATCATGCATGAATGAAGCCCTCTCTGTAAACACTGTGCCATGGCCTGAGGGGAAGTCAAGGAATAAACATGCTGAATCTTTCTAGAGATCCTGAAGCTTTAAGGGTCTTCTAGCTTGGGTGGTATAACCTAGGGATAAATACATCCCGGTTTAGGAATCTCAGATGTATGTGAAAGTACCTGGCAAAAAATGAATGTAAAATTGAAAATGAATCCATAAGAATCTTCCAGCTCTAAAAGCATGTGATTTTATACCAAGAATTTCCAACCAGCAAATATCAAACTAGTCTATCTGAACCCCTTATGTGCCATGCCATGGATGCCCCAGTAGAAGGGCAGACCTCAGGGTCTGATGAGAGATGTCAGGAAGATAAACATCTTCTCTCTCTTGCCCCCTCCCCTCACACACACAATTGAACTTAGTAAGGATTTATACATACCCACACATTTACACTCATACACACTTGTTTTCATCATAGGCTTTGGAAGGGAGACAAATAGCAATTATTCAAGAAAACTGAGGCCTTGTTTTCCACACATTCTAAGCAACAAGAATTCTTATGTGTTAAGATAATGACCTCCCCAACCTTTAAATAAGTTAGCATTGGATATCTGCATAAATTAAAACACACTGTTCCCTTACACTGGTTCTCTTCTTCTCCTGAATGTAGTTACAACCCATAGTGACTTCCATCCTGTTATATGGCACAGACAATGAGAACAGGAAGTTCTCAAGGAAGAGAAAAATAGAACAACCATAATTTGCGTGAGTACAGAAGAATGAACGATTGCGACAACTTCCTTTAAACATTCCCTTCGAGGCAGAACTGAGCAATGCCAGAGCTCCAGAGGAACCAAATGCTCCATAACACGGCAACACCTTTCCTACTTCATCAATACAATGTCCAAGCGCTGAACAGCCTGGTCCACATTCTTGAATCAAAGCATTTTCTCACCCATTATTTCTTTTTAAAAAGGATCTCAGCAACCACACTCATTTTTACTTCATATTTTAAAAAATAGTTTTTTATAATTAAAAAGTTTATAAAAATGACAAAAAGAATTTTTAAAAGGTGACATGTAACCCCATAATCCAAAAATATCTACTGATAATATTTGACATATTTCCTTTAAGTAAATAAATACATCTGTACATTATCAAACGGGAATCACATGGTATAAATAGTTTGTATTCTTATTTTTAACTAAATATTATACTGAGGTTATGAAGACTCCATACCTAACTCAATTATTCTCCAAAAAAATTTGTTTCCAAATATTTTTATGAAAAAAAATTTCCAGAATATTTATGTTTGTATAGAATAATTGGTCCATAATTCTATTTTTTTTTTTACTACAAATGTTTTCTTACAGATAAATTTTAGGATAAGTAGATTAACATTTTAAGGCTCTTTATACTTTTTACAAACCTTGCAGAACGTGTGCACCAAGTGTGTACTCTCACCAGTTCCTCTCACCAGTTCCAAAGGAGCATCTCACCAGCGTTGGGCACCATTGTTTATACAAACAATTTGATATGAAAAAGCAAAACTTATTTGGCAAAACTTTTATTGCTACTATAATAAGATCTGATGTGTAAGATCTCTTAAAATTAGAGATATAAATCTTTTGCAATATCGGTTTTATTTTTCCAAGCTTACTAACATTTGAATAAATGACTCCAAAGAAGCTTACTCAAGAGATTCTTGGCTTTTCCTGAAGCTCCTCCAGAAAACCACCTCTAACAGTGGCTCAATTTCCTTATCTAGACTAAAATATAATGGATACTTTTCTAATGCTCCAGTTATAAGACATTTAGTTTCCTACAATTCAAATAGTAAAAGGATTATGTTGGAAGTAGAGAATTAGCCAGTATCATGTACAGAATGCAACTGCCAGAAGAAACATAAGACTTGATGTGGTAAACACTCCTTCTCCTTATTAAGAGAACCCCGTGGCAATGTAAACAGCCAATAACTTCCCTGGTCTCCTCTGCAGGGAGAGGTAGCCGTGTGACTTATCCCTGTTTTAAATGTGGACATGATGGTTGGAACTGCTGCAACTATCCTATGACCAAGAGGCAATCAACATGAGAAACAGAGTAGAAAGACTCAGAGGGTTGCTGGCATCACTGAATGCTAAATCAATGACAGCAAACTCTACCAATAGGTAGAACTCTGACCTATTTATTAGGTGAGATAAACATGCCTCTGTTTGTCATTGATTGTCCAATTTTCTATTACTTGTAGCTAAAAACAATCCTAATTGACATAGTGGTCCTTATCAACAATGCTGAATTTTATTTGAACCCTGTCATCCTAGATTACAGTGAAGGTTAAGAAATCCCCTACCTTTTGTGTTTCATAAAGTTTACTGTGAAGATCCACTACCCTTCCCCATATGACTTAGATAAGACTCACGGATGCCCCCGTTTACCTATGACAAGGCCAGACACAGACCCTCCAGATTTCCCTTTCTTTGTCTTATAAATGATTAGCTAAGCTGCCCACCCCCACTGATCAACCAGAACAAAATGCTTGTTAACCCAACTGGTTGAACTTTTCTCCTTCCTCCAGGCCCCTGAACTTTGGCCCATCCTAAACCTGAGCCAGCATACAGTCCCTCCTGAAAACAGGCTGGGCTCAGGGAAAAGTATTCTCTGATCTGCTATCCGATCATGCCATCCTTTCATCCCACATCCCCGCATATGGTTCTTTCTAACGTTCTTTGCTCCTCTTTATAAAAGAACGGCTCTGCAACTCCCAAGATGCCTGCAGAGCTTATCGGCAAAGCACTTTTCCTACTGTAATACTTCTTTCCCTAACTCCTTGAAATAATCCATTTGAATACAAGTCTCTCCTTACCAAGTCCAGATTTATTTTTAAAAATCTGACATCAAGGTAAAAAAGTAGACTGACAGAATAGTGCTGGTAAGACTTATGAATATTTACAAGAAATATAATTATACATAAATTCATTAAAACAGTACAGAAGTACATAAATGTTGCTAAAATGTACTGTCAAGGAAGAGATAATGGACACTTTAATGGATATTAAATTGAGATACAACATTTAGTTTTGCACAAATGCGTACAAGACCCTACATGCCATGTTATAAAAAGTACTGTCTCCTTTGAATAACTAACTCAGAAAAAATATATATAAATATATATAGAAATATTATTCTACATAAATATAATGTTATATATAGAATATATATTACATATATTTATATATTATATATTTTATATATAATACCAGCAGATATATATGTGTATATATAATGCCAGTAGGTATATATATTTTTATATATACCTGCTATAGTACATATAGTGAATACCAGCTGGTATTCACTATATCTTGATCCCAAGAAGAAACCAGGCAGAGGCTTCTACTTGACTGCAGACTGGATTCTGTTTCCCTTGATGATTTATTAACAATACAACAAAAGTCATGTATTTTGTATTTGAAGGAGTTTTCTAATCCCTTTGACCTGCTACAAATTCTTTCAATAATACTAGTCATTGTTTTTCTAAGCATGGTCCACTTTCCAACGTTTTATATTCATTCTCTCATGTAACAGCTAAGATAGCCCTGTGATGTAGATAGGGAAGTTGGTGTTATCTCTACCTTTACAGAAGGAAATGATGCTTAGAAAGGCCAACTTACTTGCCTAAGTCCTACAGCTAGTAACAGGACAGACAGAAAGAAATGGTGTGTCTTTGCACACTGGCCCCTTCTATTCCCTACAATGTCTCCTTATTTAGCTGTATTTTCTCTGCATGTCATTCCCAAATCATTGTTCCAGACCACAAACTAATGATAAAGATAAAGAAGACCCATCACACAGGATCTTAGAGCAGGAAGGGGTCTTAGCTTAGCTGTGTAATGTGAGTGACTTGCCAAGAGTCAGCTGATGACGCTGTTGGTGGCAAAGCCTGGATGGGAACCCTTTCCTTCCCTAAGCCAGTACTCCTGCTCCAGGCCACCCAGAACGGACCTCCCACTGAGATGCTCCCCTGAGTCCCTAAGCCTGGTGTGTTTGCCCAACAGGCCTCCAAAGGGCCAGAAGAAGTATTTTTTTTTAGATGCTGCTTCTGAAGGGTTCAGAAAGGAACCAGGAGAAAGGCAGGTATAGAGAAAGATGAATATTATCACTTTCAACAGATGAGGTACTGTGCCAAGTTTTTCCATATACTATTCCAAAGTGCTGTCTCATAAATCAGAAAAGCTAGTCAGAAAAGACAGTGTGGTGGTAATAGCATGGGCTCAGATTCACCGTCTGGGTAGAATCTAACCTCTTCCACTACTAACCTGCAAAATGGGTCTAATAAGTTTCTACTTCATGGAATGATTATGAGGATTAAACTAGATAATCCATCTAAAGTTCTATTATGTGGTGCACATAATAAGTACTTAGTAAATATTAGATATCATTCCCATTAATAAGGTAGGTTACTATTTCATTAACAAGGTAGGTACGATAATCTCCTTTTTCCAGATTAAAGAACTGGGATTCAGAACTGTAATGTACATTTTCAGGAAAACCAATATCTACAGTGAACCTGCTCTAAGCCAGGCTGGGCTTAATCATGAATACTTGCAATAATCCTGTGATGTAAGCATCATTAACTCCACTTTATAAGTGAAGAAATGGAGGCTGGAGACAGGGGAATGCATGGCCAGGAAATCTGTTACTGTTATCACTAATTTTTGAGATGCTATCGTGCTGGCTAACTTGTCGAAACATTAAACTGGTATATTTCTCAGCAATGGTGATTCAAATGCGTGAAAAAAAACATCTGTGCAATTTGTTTTCAATTATATTTACAAGGTTAAAGTATTCTGAGAAATATTATTGTCAACAGTACACTTATTTGTCCCAAACAGAATAAACTCTGAAAGAGATGCTATGCATTTACATATGAGATGTGTCAAAATGTCGTAATGTTTGCAAATGACACTTGCAATCCCCACACAGGAGTAATCTCCTGTAGATGTCCCATCACCCATCCAGGCCTGGAGAAAGGCACCACTCATTACCTCCAATTTATGGTGTTTATCTGAATTTACACCACTAACTACAAGGTGGTCTTGATAAATCACATATTCTCAAATCCTGTGAATGCACTCATGAGTGTGCATTGAGTTCTCTTTGCCTCTCACAGAAGCGCTCATTTCCATTCCTCAGAGGGACAGGAAACACCCCCAATCTATTTATCTAAAAGCTGTCCAAGTCCATCCACTTTGGGGCAAGTAATAGACTCAGATGGTATGAAAAATAAGTATTTTTCATCAAAGTAAAGCAGTTCTAATGGCAGAAGTCAAAGCTGCAGCTGCTGCTGGGAAGTATGTGCCAAGACTCTACAAAGACAGATAGTTGGCTAAATCTGATTTAATATTTAAGACCTCTCTAAGAAAATGTGATAGGTCTAATCCTTCAGGGTTGCACACAGCTAGGTAAAACAATACTCATAGCTGATGTTTACTGAGTATTAACTGAACAGCAGGCACTGATCCAAGTGCTTTTACATGGATTATCCCACTTAATCCAAATAATGATACGAGGTATGGACCATCAGTAAACCCACTTTTCAAACAGGAAAACTGAGGCTTAAAGATGTTCTGCAAAATGTCCAGAAAAGGCACATGTATAGAGACAAGAACCTCTATTCAGCATTGCCCCAGATTCACCTGCTGGTTCACTCCAGATGTTGGTATGGTATTATGTCCAAGCATTCAGAATGCCTATACCCTTCCCTACAAGTCATCTCTCTTCTCAAGGGATTCCCAAGGCTGAATGAAATATCAGTGTTTTGTTTTATTAATAGCCACCTCCTGTAATCGCCATACAGCAATCTGGTGAAAGACAGAGTGAGAGCATAAAGCTTGGCTTATACCTGGAGACAGAAGGGAGGCATCTTACTCCTTCCTCTCCCCTCCTTCCACCAAATCTGAACCTTGAGACCAGCATTCTCGCATGGCCTCATACCCACAGGCTTATCCTAAGACAGATGCGAGGAGAGGGAAAAACTGAGACTCTAACTTATCTACCCAGTTGCACACTCAAGGGAGACAGAAAAGAAGGAGCTGGCCTTGGTCTATGGTGGGAAGTAGAATGCCACAGACGGGTGTCCTGGAGACATGGTGGCTCTGCCCACAAGTAAATTTCAGCTCCATAAGTGACCAGGGCTCAAGAATGATTCTATCAATCACGCTGGTAATCAGAAGGATGACAGAAAGGAGCAGAACAGTTTTACAATCCTGAAGTAATGGGGCTCATGATGCTAATTGGCTTATTATCCCATCTGGGGAAATAGGAGTAGGGATTTCACATCTATAGAGTGAAATCTCTTCTCCTGTGAGATGGATCTGTGTTTCTCTCTAAAGGCCAAACTTTCTCTCAGCCCAGCCTGCCCAAATGCAGTTTTTCCAGTCATGCTGGTCTTTGAGAATTTTAGTAGGTCAAGAGCACAGGGAAGAACAGTCCCTGGGAAAGTACTGTCTGCTCCTCACCAAACTCTTTGATTAGAAGCCCTATTCAAGGACAAAAACACAATTTAGGCTGCCCCTTCTCACAGTGCCAGATATTTAGATTTAAAAACTTAATAAGTCAAGCCATCAGCCAGAGCTTTTCAGTCCAACATTTATTTTCTCTAAATTGAAGCTGTGAGCCTCTGCGCACTGGTTCCACACTCTATGGGCAGTGGTTAATGGCATGGTAACGAAGCCTGAAGTTCCTGCAAGGGCCTGACTTGCAGATCACTGGAAGAGCTTTTCTAAGTGACCCATGGCCCTTCTCTCAGGGAAACTTCTCAGCACTGCTCAGGGGACCACATTTACTCCCAAGTGACCACTAACTTAAACATCAGGGAGAGGGAGCCCTAAAATGGATGTTGCTTTTGTCTTAAGACATTTTTTGGTCTCACTTTCATCTTTCAATTTCCATTGCATCTCATCTCTAGGGTATTCTCCTGCCTCTGACTTTAGCTCTCAATGTCAGAACTGCCTCAGCACCATGCTAGATGCTCCCCATCCACCAGTGGTTCTCAAAGTGTGATTCCCGGACCAGTAGCCTCAGCATCATTCAGCAGCTGGTTAGAAATATAATGCATAAAAAAGAAGAGTATCTATCTATCTATCTATACACATACATACATGAACATAGAACTTATTCATTGATGAGAACGTGGATCACATTCATTGATGAGTGTGATTAGTATATATACACACACACATATACATGTGTATATATTCATATATACTATATGTGTGTGTATATATATACACATATAGTATTTTCCACATATATATATACATACGTGTGTGTGTGTGTGTGTGTGTGTGTGTCTCAGTTTCCTCATTTGCAAAACCAGGATACTACTTACCTTTCAGAGTTGTTGAGACGATTGAATGAAATGATACATGGCAGAATGGTTCTCAAACTTCAGTGTGTATTAGAATCTCAAACTTGAGCATGCATTGAGTGTGCATTAGAATATATATGCACACACACACATGCTTGTGTATATACACATATATGTGTATATATGTATACATGTATATATGTGTATATATATACATATATACACACACAAGCATGTGTGTGTATATATATTCTAATGCACACTCAATGCATGCTTTTGTGTGTGTACATATATATATCCAAATGCACACTCAATGCATGCTCAAATTTGAGATTCCAATACACACTCAAGTTTGAGAACAATTCTGCCATGTTATCATTTCGTTCAATCCTCTCAACAACCCTGAAAGGTAAGTATTATCCAGGTTTTGCAAATGAGGAAACTGAGATTTCAAAATGAAAAAGTAACTGATCAATATCACCTGGCCAGTAAGTAGGGCCTGGCCCCTGGCCACTCTTCAATCTCATATCCACTCCAGTCCTGTGGGCCTCCTGGCTCCTCCTGGAAAATGAGGCAAGCTCAGCCTGGCTGAGGGACTAGAACCCAGTGTTCCCTCTATCTCAGTGGCTTAAAAGCCAGCATGTTCATATGAATCTCCTGAGAAGCCTAAATATATATATACATATATACACACACACACACACACACACACACATTCATAATACACACACACACACGTGTATAAAACGGTTTTATTATGAAAGATTTCAAACATACACGAAAGTAGAGAGGACAAAATAATTAACCCCTATGTGAAGGGGGAGCCTCTCAAAAGGACCACCAAAGCCCCACCCTAGACCAGTTAAACCTGAATCCCTAAGGTAGGGCTTGGTATGGTTTGTAAAGCTGTCTCGAGTGATTCCAATGTGCTTGAACTTTGAGAAACACTCTCAGATTCATTTCTCCTCCAGATATTTGCATTATTCAAATCGGCCAAATGTTACTTCCACAGAGGGCCTTTCTGGACTCCCTTATCTGAAACACATCACATCACCCCTGGCTACCCTGCCATGCCATCTCTCTATCCTTTTATCTCGCTTTATTTTCTTTATAACATTTTCTTTAAAGTACTTTATAGCATTTTCCACTGGACATTTCATCATATACTATGGGCTTATTCTCATCAATGAATATGATCCATGTTCAAGAAGCTCATTCATTGAAGCAGCAGCACCATGTTCCTTCTTCACCACTTATCCCCAGGGTCTATGAAGACAGTAGCACATGGGAGGCAGTTGATGAATATCTCCCAAATGCTTAAATGAATGATAGAGGAACAGAGCTGAGACTCTCACACAGGACTATCTGACTCCAAAATCCATGCTTTTCCCACAATACCCATGGCAGCCCTGGTCTAGTTTTGCTTTAGCCTCCGGAAACAGAATGTAGTTCTTGTATGGAAGCAAGTTGTGTATTTGGTACTGAGTTTATCATAGTAGACTGTTCACATTAGTTATTAGTTATGAGGTCTCATGTGGCTCGCTCAACAACTCTGGATCTTATTTCCATTTGTAAAGTAAGCCCATTTTTGCCTATCTTCCACATCTCTTTAGAAGGATAAGTGAAAACTTATATGACAGCATTTATAATTTGCAGCATCAAATAAAGTTATTATCATTACAACATGGAGAAGAAATAAGAGAGGAAGGAAATAGAGTAGGCAAAGAAAGAAGAAGTAGAGGAAAAAGATAATGGTGTTGGACAGCATGGCTTAGAAGAAACTTTCCAGTCCAGAATTTTGTGATTTAAGAGAAAAATAGAAAACAAAAAAAAATTATCAAAAGCTGTACATCAAAATTGCCCACTTGTCCAAGAACAGGATTCAGAATAATTTGTGTCTACTAAAAAAAAGGACACAATTCTATTATTTTTATTTCAAAATACAATTTGCTACATTGAAATCTCTTTCAAGAGCCTCTACTCTTCTTTCAGTCTTTTAAAAACATGTAACAGTAACTTTGTTACAGCATCATTTAAATCATGGTCACAATTTTCTTTTTCTCTATTCTTGTTTCAAATCTTGCTCAAGAGCCCCAAGAAGCCACATAGCTTTGGCCTTAGGTTGGCCACCTCTATGCTGAGTGTGGGAAGCAAAGTGAAGGGTCGTCACAACCAGCTCGTACCACACAGTGGCAAGCATGCTATGCACAATCGGGTCCTTAAAGGACCATCAGTCCAACCGACGCCCATAACTTCATAACTAAGCCACTAGAATCTTCAGGGGAGCAACTCTATCTCAGATCCATTTCCATAGATGGAAATCTGACCCATTGCAGATCCTCAATAAAGGCTCAATGAAGTATATAAACAAATTGTCTCTGGTCTCCTTTCTGAATACAGTACTTGTGATATTATGAGCTATATATACAAAATGTATACATATACATACATATGTATATGTGTGTATATAAATATATAATTTACATATGTGTGTATACATATGTGTGGCGGCGTGTGTGTATTGGACATAGAGTATACACACACACCCACATACATACTCCAGTACTGTACATCCAATACACACACGCGCGCACACAGGTTTCTATCCACTGTTCCTGGTTCATAACTCTCATAGCCCTCGTTACAGTCTTTTGTACGTTGGTGCACTTTAGGCCTCAGGAGTTGAGCCAAGAGTTGCAAGAACTTCATTCCAGGGAGGGTCCTGCCTCATACCCTGGAAGAAGGAATGTCGCATGGAGAGGCCAGAAGAATCTGGACAGGCCTTCTTGGGTTTCCCCAATCAGTCTATTAATATGAGATCAGACCCTTTCTGTCCAGTCATATTTCAACACTGTTGTCCATGCTTCAATCATGCCTAGCCAATGAAGTTTCCATAAAGGACCCAAGAGGAGGGGGTTCAGAGAGTTTCTGGATAGCTGAACTCATAGAGGTTCCTGGAGGGTGATGCATCCAAGGAGGGCATGGAAGTTCCAAGATCCTTCCCCCATATCTCATCTTATGCATCTGTATACTTTGTAGTATCCTTTATAATAAACCAGTAAATGAAAGCAAGTGTTTCCCTGAGTTCTGTCAGCCTCTCTAGTAAATTAATTGAATCCAAGGAGGGGGTCATGGGATCCCCTATTTACAGCCAGTTGGTCAGAAGCACAGGTAAAACAACCTGGGGCTTTCAACTGGCATTACAAGTGGCAGGGAAGAGGGGGTTAATCTTGTGGGACTGGGACCTCAACCTACGGGATCTGACACTATTTCCAGGTAGGTAGTGTCAACACTGAACAGGAGGACACCTAGCTGACGTCCACCGCAAAACTGACTGCTTACTTGGTGTTTGGAGAGAAATCCTCAGACATTTGGTCACAGGAGTCTTCTGTGCTTCTGTGTTGTTGGTGATGTTGAGATAATGAAAAAAACAGTTTGAGTTTTTTCTCCAACACAGTACTGTACTTCCAATAATGAGGACTCACCCTCCTAAGACGGTCCATCCCACATGCTGGAAGCTTTATTAGAAAAAGAGTGTGTGTGGCTTGGGGAAAGAGTAGGGGCTTCATGGGCAGATGGACTTGGATCTAAATCCCAGTTTTATTCACCACTTCTTAGCCGTGTGCTTTGTATATGCCACTGACTTTCCCTGGACCTCAACTGCCTCGTCTGTATACAGGGAAGATGGCACAGCGGTCTGGGCTCGCTAGAGGAGAAGATGTCAGGTCTATGGTAATGGGAGAGAATGATGGAAATGTGAGTTGAGACCAAATTAGTTCAGTGTACCCACCAGGCAGCATTTGCCTTCTGTTTGGAGAGGCAATGCAGGAGCATGTTGAAGACACAGGACTGGAGGCAGACAGCTGGGTTTGGATCCTAGCTGGAATCTTGAGAAACCAACTTAACCTTTCTATGCATTCATTTATATATAGGTAAAAAGGTGATCATCATAGTACCTTATCATAGGGTTGATGCAAGGATTGAGTAAATCAATACTTCCAAAACACTTAGCACCTGAATTATAAGAAATCATGCAATAAATGTTAGCTATTACAGTGATGATTATTATTATTTCTGCAATCAATAGGCCACTGAAAAGGTAGTGATAAGATCACTGCTTCTCAGATGTTTGACTGCACTGGAAGGTGTAGGATAGACAGGAGCAGAGAGCTGGTAGGCCAAAAACTAGTTAAGAGGTCACTGCAATTCTAAGTGAGGGGTGCTGAGTACCCAAAGTAGCAAAGATAAAGGAAAGAAAATGGGAGGAAATAAGCCAGATGCTAGACACGTCTGAGCAGTTGAATCAACAAAACTTGGCCAAAGCCTTGATGTGGCTGGTAAGAAAAATGGAATAGCAGAGAAGATAAAAGAATTTTGCCTGGCTGGGTGTGGTGGCTCATCCCTGTAATCCCAGCACTTTGGGAGGCTGAGGGCTGAGGCAGGAGGACTGCTTGAGCCCAGGAGTTCCAAGACCAACCTGGGCAACATAGCAAGGCCTCATCTCTAAAAAATAAAAATTAAAAGAAAGACTTTTTCTGAAAATGTATCAATTTTCAAACTAAGGTACCTTTTAAAGTTACCCTAAGAAATTAATTCTGCCTGTTCTAGACTGTGAACTTCTTGATCATCTTGTTAAACCCAATGGTCCTAGTACACAGCAAGCATTCAGAGTTTGTTGAGTGAGTAATCCATCAAGATATAACATCTGTATACAGAAAAAAAGTAAATATGGCAGCTTAGCCACTTGCAGTATCTGCTGTGTTCTGGATTATGTAAAGGCCAGCCCTACTAATTTGTAAGTATTCCAAATAGCATGTTTTACAGTCCCACTAACTGGAGAGGGACGGACTGCATCCAAAGCAAATATATATGTATTTAGACAGGAAATTTCTTCATAATACCTATATTCTCCATTTATTTAGAGTAGGGTTTCTTGACCTTGGCAATATTACAATTTGGGACTGGATAATTCTTCCCCGGGAGAGGTATGGGGTCACTGTCCTGTGCATTGTAGAGTTATTTACAGCTATCAAATTTTCACACATATCTGACAGATTGGATTTGAACCCCCTAACAACCCTGCAATGAGACAGGCAGAGTTTTCATTCCTGCAATGAGACAGGCAGAGTTTTCATTCCTGTTTAACAGGTGAGCAACTTCTAAATATTGCAAACGTTTGTTTTCTGTTTTAAAATATAAAAACACTATATTTGATGTAAACAAAAATGCAAGTGCCTAAAAAGGCAACCACATGTTTGACATTCACAAGATCATGAACCCTCCAATCCCACCTCTGCTATTCACTTATCTGGGCCATTTCAGGAGTGACTTCACCCTTGAGGCCTGTTGCTTTCACCTATGAAACCTGGGGTTTAACCAGGTGAGCATGAGGTATCCTCCTAACTCTAACACTATAATATCCTGGTCCTGTATTAGGAAACTTCAGTTTCACCCACATTACCTGCAGGCGACTTTTAACCTACTTGCCATGCTGCGACTATTACACAAAGCAACTGATGACAAGCCTTGGATGACAGGCCTCAGGGGCAATGCCTTCCACCTGGATGGCTACCTGATTCCAAAGACTTCAACAACCAATCCCATTCCTCCTACATCTTTACTCCTGCCTGAAGATTCGGACTCAACTTATTAAGAGCAACTTGGAAGGAAGGGGCAACAACCAAAAGAAACGAGTCACTAAAACAGTAGGGCCCTTCTCGGCAACCCCTGACACCACCCTGCACATCCAGTCCTTGAAAAGTTCTGTTTCTTTTCCTCCTATATCCAAGCCCTAAGATACCGCCCCTCCCCCACCCCAGCCCCCATATGCCACTGACACGCATTGGAGAGTGAGGATCAACGTCCCTTGCAGACGTGTGCACGGGCCTAGGAACCAGCTGACCCACGTTTCAACTGTCATTAACTTCTAACTACATGCCCCGTCGGGCCTGACCTGAGGCTGAACTCCTGTGACCTTCCAACTCCCCTGGATCTGCACGGCAGTCACTTGGAGGCACCGCCCCTGCGCTAGCTCCAGAGCTTGAGACAGGGTCCGGGCGGAGCTCCTTCCTGAGCCGGAGAAGACGCGCCCCTGTCCCTTCCGCGACTGCCGCCCCGCACTCCCTGCGGGGAGGTCGACCCCGGCGCATTCTAGGCCCCGCGGTCCTCCAGCGGGTTGGCCGCTACCTTGTCCAGCAGCCGGTAGATGCTGATGCCCGAGGTCTCCACTAGGAGCTGCCAGTCGGCCCCGGCCAGAGCGGGCTGCTGGAGCTCGGCGCAGGCCTCCCAGAACTGCTCCTCCGAGAAGCTTCCGGCGGCCAGCTCCATCCTTCCGCAGTCCGGGCTCCTCCGCCTGGAGGGCAGGCCGCGGACACCCTTAGTGTGGGCCTGGGGGCGGGGTGACCGGGCTGCCCCGGCTGCCCCGGCTGCCCCAGCGTCATTGGCAGGAAACTGAGGAGAAGGCGGGGCCTAGACTGGAGGAGCGGCCTGAGGGTGGGGCCCTGGAGGGGCGGGCCTAGAAAAGCGGGCGGGGCTGAGCAAGGAGTGAGGAGGATAGACAAGAAGTAAAAGGAGAAAAATTGGACTTGATGTGGGGAAGGAAGGAAGAGCTGGAGAAGTAAGGAGGCTTCCAGAGGGAAGGGAAAAAGGAAGGGAGACAGTGATGTCACCTCAAAAACAGCTCCTCAGTAGCCTATCCCATACTCCCTGCTACTCCCATAACCTACAGACCTGTTTGAGTGTCTCTCATTTACCTTTCTGAATAAAGTAGAGAAAGTCTCTTTGGTAGACATGAGAGGAGAGGTGGGCAGAGTAGAAATGCTGGAAAAATCCTAAGGGGTCAAATGCCAGAAGTGTATTTCAATATAATTTCTCTTCTTTCTGCTATACATTGTAAAACATTATTCTGAGACGAGGTCCATTGGATTCCCCAGAAGACTCTAGGGGTTCATAACACCAAAACAGTTTAGAAACCTAATCCATAATGGATCTACAAGGTTGTTGCCACCCTTGAGGGTAGAAACTGATCTGAAAGGTGTCGTACTATCCACCTAGGATTTCTGCAACTTGCATAATTTAGCTCACTGTGCAACTCAAACATCTTCTTGTTCCTTTGAAGTCCCTTGAGTAATACTGTATTTCCCACCAGCAGACTGTACTACCTGACTTTGAATAAAGTAGGTCGTTTGAACATCAAAACGATGTAACAGCCACGTGAGTGCCAATAAACTCTGGAAACTCATGTTTCCTAATCTGTAAAATGGGTCAAGAATTGTGCTACCAGTTACAGCTGAGGAGGTGGTTGGACAAGGAATAATTTTCCACAGTGCCCGTCCAAGTAAATGTTCAATAACAATTTCCACTTGTTTTGCATTACTATATTGAAATGCTTTTCTTTCCTTACTTGAAAGAAAGTTGATGGCAAAGTCTTAATTTATGTGATTTTCCAATCAGGCAAATGATCACATTTGGCAGCTTGCTTAGTTAGACACAGCAGAGATAAATAATTGCTTTCCTCAAGTCAGTCCTGGTTCTGTTTGGCTTTATAGGTGTGGAAAGAGGGATGTGAAATTTTCCTAGACTAAATGCACAAAAGTTTAGGCTAGACATACTTTCCCACTGTTTTATAACTCCTTGTAAATTTTCTATGTATTGTAAATCCATATTTTATTTAAATGGAAATTCATTGCTTGAAAAACCAATTGTGTAAAAACTATTGGCTATGAAGTATTTTCAAGTATCTTCAAGGAATCCATTATAAAGGTTTGATTTGATAAAGCTTTATTACTATATGGCAATAGACTAATGGAGACAAGCATAAGAACACAAACGACATCATGCAAGATATAAAGCACGCACTTCAAATTGTATTTATTGTATGTGTTTAAAAGTGTGTTGCCTAATAAACTCAGGAGAAAAATAAATATATCCTTGAATATGCTGAGATTTACACTCAGTTATTTTATTACAGTTAATGAAAGAATAATGTTAGGAAATATTTTATGGTATCTCTAAAGTCTAAAAACAGCTAGGAAAGGGATCCAGGAAGGCCTGTTCTTGAGAAGTTGCCTTAATAGCCTGTTTCCTTTGTGAAAAAAAACTCTCTGAAACAACTTCTGGCAAAATGGCAACTAAAGCTCCTGGCTTCAAACATGGAAATGTTGGTTAAAACGTGTTGAAAATAGTTGTAAATACATGGTTTAGCTGAAAAGTGAAAAAGGATACTTCCAGGTTTCAGAAAGGGAAGAGAGAATGAAAGCCAGCAACACCAGCTCCTGAATATTCTTAGAATGGATGATTGGTCCTCTCCCCACCTCCCCATGCAGTGTTTCCCAGTGGAGGAACTTCCATTAGGGAAATGTTTGACCTCACTCATTTGCTCAACTCCTACTCTGGAGAAGATGGGTGATTTAAATGCAGCCATGCATTGCTTAATGACAGGGATATATTCTGAGAAATGTGTCATCGGGCAATTGCATCCTAAAGCATACATCATAGAGTGCACTTAAACCAACCTAGATGGTAGATTCTACTACATATGTAGGCTGTATTGTAGAGCCTATTGTTCCTGGGCCACAAACCTGTACAGCATGTTACTGTACTGAATACTGAATGCAATTGTGACACAATGGTATTTGTGTATCTAAGCCTAATTAACATAGAAAAGGTAAAATAAAAATATGGTGCTATAATCATATGGGACCATCATCATACAGGCAATCCAACATTGACCAAAATGTTATTATGATGTGCATGACTGTAGTTGATGAGTTTAGGAGAAGGAACTACTGGTCAGGTCTAGATCAACCCTTCTGGCTCTTCCTTTTTGGCAACTGTCTACTCATAGAAAATATGCATTCTCATCTGCCTTAGGTTTTATAGTAGACTCAAGAGGACAGGCTCTGACACCAGAATCTAGGTTTCCTAATGATGCCTGTGCCTGGATGGCAAGTTTGATTATAGGCAGAGTGTTATAATTCTATTGTTGCCACAAACCCAAGCCCTGTTCTCCAAGCAGCTTTATTTGTAATAAAGGTGAAATGCTGATCCATTGTCTGATTAGCATCTACCTTTAATGTGATTCAGAATGCAGATGGGGAAGAGAAGAGCATTGACTTTGAAAAATAACCAAGTAGACCCTCCATAAATACAAAATATAGTTATTAAAATTAAAAATTTAAAAGAAAGGTAAAATGGTTGCCCTACCACAGTTCAAGAGAGATCAGGGAATAAGAAAGTAGCTGTGATGAGTAAATTCCCAGGAAGCAGAACAGAGGTATAAAGAAATGGAAAACATGAAAGAGTAATTAAGAAACACGAAGGACACATTGAAAAGGCTAAACACTTCTTACTGAAGCCCAATAATCAGAGAATAAAGAGGCCAGGGGATGGGATGGGTGGGTGGGGAGAATACAGAAAAAAAAGGCACATATAAAAATAAAGTGGAACAAAAGTTCTAACCTACAGAAACCTGGAACAAGGGAGGGCAAGATCAGAGTTGTGTTAAGGAGGCAGATGCAAGATATTAACTTTAGTGTTTTTTAGTTTACTTTAACTGTGCATATTAAACTTTGAGGATATGAACTCTCACAAATCAATGATAAAAAAAAACCTACCCAATAAAAATAGGTAAAAAAAAAAATTTAAACAGACACTTCACCAAAAAATATATACTGGTGGCAAATAAGAATATGAAAAGATGCTCAACAACATTAGTCAATAGGGTCATGTAAATTAAAATCACAATTAAGTGCCACTATGGCTATTTTAGAATAGCTAAAATTAAAAAGATTAATCAAAGCAAGTGTTGGCAAGGATGCTGAGGAACTAGAACTCTGATACATTGCTGGTAGAAATGAAAACAGTACAAATGCTTTGGAAAACTGACAATTTTTTTAAAAAGTTAAACGTACACTTAACATACAATCCAATCATCATACTCCTAGGTATTCACCCAAGAGAAAAAAATAAAGCATTGTTCAAACATTGACTTGTACACAAATGTTCATGGAAGCTTTATTTGTATTAGCCCCAAACTGGAAACAACCCAAATGACCTTTAATGGGTGAATGGATAAAACGAGTTGTGATATATTCAGCAATGCAGTACAATTCAGTGTGTGTGTGTGTGTGTGTGTGTTCCTTGATCTGTCCATTAAAATGATCTGGAAGCCTAGAAGCATTGGCATGCCATTAGCATTGAGCGCACCTGTGGCCAGTTCTTGGCTTCTGTATATCATTGTCTACTAAAAGATTCTTGGAAAAAAGACTGATTCTAGAACTGGGGCAGGGAACTTCTAAAGTAAGCCTAAAACATGTTGTGCCTGAGAATAAGGAGAGACGTTCAAAGACAATTAGAGTTATGTCTAAAAGATATGGGAGTTGGCTTGAAAGAGTTCCCAGTCTCCAAATTTTGGGAAATTTGAGATCACAAAGAATAGTTATAGTAATAGATTATAAAATATTGGATTTAAAAAGAAATCTGTGTGTCCACAGTGTTACTCAATTAAAAAAAAAGTAGGGAAGAAAAATAGGGAAGACAGAGAGGAGAAAATTTCTTCTTTAGAAAAGAATGCCAAAAAATTCAGGTAGAAAGAATGTCAACATTTGAAAACTTGCATTCTTTGACCCCCTATTAATAATTAATAGATTTAGGCAAGGATCATAAATGGATGCTGCAACCACTGGGTGAAAGGGTATGCAGATTAGACTTTTCATTTGATTGCAAAGAATCACCCATTGATTACTTACTACGTACAGTCAGGAAAGTGTAACTTTATAATGGGAAGATCTAGTGGTTGCCACCTTAACCAAGCTATCAATTGCATCACAAATAGTGGGACAACTGACATCACAGCCTCCATGACATGATGCAATAAGTTTATAATATCACCTAAACATTTTTGCCAAAATATCTAACTTGTAACTAGTCATAAGACCCCAATCAGACAAATCCAGTAAGTGGAAAATTCCTCAGAATAACTACTAAAACAATTCAATATGAAAGAAACTATTCTAAAAGTCAAGGGAAATAACAATTATGTGTCATGCATAAATCTTGAGTCGTGGATTAGGAAAAAGCCATTAAAAGGCATTTCTGGGATAATTGGGGGTATTTGTTTATGCACCACTTTTAGAAAATATTATAAAACTATTGTTAACTTTGTAGGTGTAAAAAATGTTATTGTGGTTGAGTGGAATAATATTCTTATTCTTGAGAAATGAATGCTGAATTATTTAGGGGTGAAGCAGCATGATACTTGCATCTTATGTTCAGATGGTTCCATTAAAAAAAGTGTGATTGATATATAGATAGAGAAGCAAAAGTGACAAAATAAATAATTGATAAATTTAGATGAAAGGTAGCCAGGATTTTATTTTCTATTTCTTCAACTTTTCTGCATATTTGAAATTATTCAAAATAAAAATTTAGGAAAAACCCAGATATATGTATTTATAAGAGACAATAACTAAAACATAATTACACAGAAATGTGAAGTTAAAGGTATGGAAAATATATACAAGTAAATCTGAAACAAAAGAAAGCTTGTGTGACTCCTAAAATATCAGACTAAATGGACTTTAAAAGAAAAAAGTTAATAGAAGTTTCTGAGTTAATGGTAAAAGGATAACTCTTCAGGTACTCGGAATGCTTAAATTTGTATGTATTCATTTTACAACTTAATCTCAAATATGTAAGGCAAAAATTATCATCAGTATAAGGAGAAATCAGCAAATTCATCATTACAGTGGAACATTTTAAGGCTCTTTTTTAGGAAATTGACCAAGCAGACAGAAAAACTGGTAGATAGGGAAGATTTAAGCATAAAACTCATACGCTTGATCTAAAGGTCATATATAGAACCTCATACTCAATAAGTAGAACACACCAACATTTGCAAATCCTCATAAAACATTCATTAAAATTGGCAATCTTGTAAGCCACAAAGGATGTTTTCAACAAATACAGAAGAATCAATACTGTTCTCCAATGACAATGCAAAAAAAGAAAAAAGAAAAAGAAGAAGGAGCAAATGAACAAAAATAGCCAGTTTCTGCCCCCTATACATCTGGAAACAACAAAAAAAAAACAAATACATACTTATTCCAGGAGCTAGCCCACAACTAATTCCTTGTATTAAATTCATTTCTGCTTAGATACCTAGAGAGTGTTTGTTTTCTGCACTGACCTCTCACTGATACTATACATATGGCTTAAGATATTTAATATTTTAAACACCATTTCTATCTATACAAACTATAAATCCAATGGTATTTAAATAGATTTCCATAAAGGGTGTTCAAGGAACTTGACACACCAATTCTAAAATTCATAAGGAAGTGTTAAAGGTCATGCAATTTGAAAACATAGGAAAGCAATTTTTTAAAGTAGGAGGGAAAAAATAAAAATATTCCCTGTAAGATATTAGGATTTATCATAAAGAAAATAATATCATATTGACCTAGGGCTAGGGAAAAAGTGATTTAAAAAAAACTCATGTAACAGCTTTCTATCCATCATCAAGTCCATGTACATTTCGAAACACAGTACATAAGCACGGATGGACAATTTTAAAACTGCTGTTGGAACAACTGGCTATTGTTATTTTTAAAATTATATTCCTGTATCATATCATACAATAATGGAAATTGCAGACATGTAAAGAACCAACTGCATAAGGCAAAATGTGGAAACTTTTAAATTATAATATAGGAGTAAATCTTTATGACCTAAAAGTTAAAAAAAAATTCTTAAAGACACAATACAGAACAAACCATAAAAGATTAATTATTGCCTACTTTAAAAAGCAAGAGTTCCTGTTCAGTCATACACTATAAACAAATTAAAATCCATCACATAGATTGGTAGAAGACATTTGTTACTCACATAGCCAACAAAGGATCAATATTGAAAATATACAACAAAATTTCAGAAATCAATAAGAAAGCCCAAATAATGCAACTGAGAATATGAACAGTGGAAAATCCCAAACAGCATATATACAAGGAAAAGCTGTTCTACTTACATAGTAATTGGAAAAATGCAAAATCAGTTGTACCATTTCATTTACAGAAAATTGGCAAAAACTTTAAAATCTGACTTTAGGTGTTGGTGAATTTTCAGGGAAATGGAAGTTCCAACATAAAACATTCTGGTTAAAGTGCAAATAGTAGTTTTAAAAACAACTCAACAAGACCTATTAAATGTGAGAATACACACAGTCTGACCCAGCAGTTCCACTTTTGAGTATACCTGAGAGAACTGATAATACTGCATAAGGATGCACATTATTTTAGTGGAAAGAACTTGGAAACAACATAAATATCCACCAACCACAGAGTAAATAAATAAATAAATATGTTCATCTGATAGTTTTTTAAATAAACAATATATATACTTGCATATCATGAATAAATCTTGAAAACTGTTAAATGAAAAAGGCAAGTCACAGAAGGATGTACAGGGCAAGAAACTTCATAGTGTTTATAAACTATACATATGCCCTGAAGTGTTTAAAATGTAAATAGGAGGGATTCAGATTAACTTCAGTGGTAGCTGTAATATTTTATTTTTTAAATAAAGTATAAAGTAAATAAGGCATGATATTAATGTATATGCTGGGTGGTGGGTTCATGAATGTTCTATTACTATCTGCCCCTTTTGGTGTTTTTGAATTACACATAATTTAAATTTAAAAATTCTAATAAAGGTATAATTGTAATGAAAAAATAGCAGAAAAAAAACACCATTTTGGAATGCTATTAAAAATAAATGAATGAATGTTCACAGATGTCTAACTGCATAGAGAACACACATGCATTACCTGTTGATCAACTTTTTTCAAGAAATTGAGATACTAAAAGTATACAGTATACATCCCCTTATCCTCAGGGGATGTGTTTCTAGACCCCCAGGGGGTACCTGAAACCACGGATAGTATTGAACCCTGCAAACACTATGATTTTTCTTTACTGAACCCTACATACACTATGATTTTCCCTGCCTATACATACCTGTGATAAAATTTAGTTCATAAATTATGCACAGTAAGATATTAACAACAATAACTATTCATTACATAGGATAATTAAGTAAAATAAGGGCTACTTGAAGAAAGGCACTGAATTATCAAGACAATCTGATAACTGAGCTGGCTGCCTTCCAGCAGGTGAGTCACTCAACGTAGACAGAGTGGATACACTGGACAAAGGAATAATTCATGTCCCAGGTGGAAGGGGTTGAGATGGTGCAACATTTCACCACGCTGTTCAGAATGGCACACAATTTAAAACTTATGAATTCTTTTATTTCTGGAATTTTCCCTTTGAATATTTTCAGACCTCAGTTGACAAGTAACCGAAACCTGAAAAAATGAAACCATGGCTAAGGAGAGGCTACTGTATCTGTTCTTATTTACTAGTAAAAGCTATTATGCACCGAGCAATTGAGAAGTGAATGAAATACGTGGTATCATAGAGAAAACATCTGGGTAAGACCAGAACTTCTCACTTCCCCTAAAGATATTTTTCACATTGTAGAATTAATTTTGTATGTGGATTCCCAAGACAAGAGTCAAGGACAAGTTCTAGTCACTTTAAGAACCAGACAAGTCACTTTAATTTTTTAAACCTGTTTACTTAACAGTGATGTAAAAATAATAATGCCGATCTCAAGGATTTGCTGACATGATTAAACAGATAATATGAGCAAAAGCACTCCGAAAAGTGAAAGTGAACACTTGATAGGCATTTCTAAATTCTGCAGCAGAGTCGATTTTAATGTTTCAATTGCCATCCAAATCAGTTTAGTTCTAGTCTATTCAACTTTTACTATTGCATGTCTACTCCTATTAAAGTACAGTAGCACGCCTGTAATCCCAGCTACTCGGGAGGCCGAGGCAGGAGAATCACTGGAACCTAGGAGGCAGAGGTTACAGTGAGCCAAGATCGCGCCACTGCACTCCCACCTGCGGGACAAAGTGAGAATACATCTCACACACACACACACACACACAAAAGCACTAGAGTTTTATCATGGTAGGGCAATGAAGAAGCAAAAAAAAAAAAATGTCATTTTATAAGCTTTAGAGACCACTGTTCCTGGCCTCTAAAGCTTATAAAATAACTTGCAACAGTCAGTTAATAATAGTTTAAGCCTGCCGAGTACTCATTATGGACCAGGAACTATGCTAAGTGTTTTCATTTAATTCCAACAATTTCACCGTGAAGTCAGTTCTATTATAATCTCCAGGTTGCACAGGAAGAAACTGAAGTTTAGAGAAGTGAAGTAAGTTGTCCAAGGTCTCATGGGCAGGTCAAAGGCAGAGCTGGAGTTTAGAGTCAGTTCTGTGAGATTTCAGAGCCCCCTTTCTCATGTTTTGGGCATCTATTATGGATGTCAAATCTGCAGGCATGAAGCAGTGAACACAGCTTCTAACCTCATTACATTTATAAAGGTCTTCATTACCAAAAGGCTTTTTATGAACCATTATAGCCATAAATGTCATATAATGTCATGCTGAAAAATAATTTAGATATCACCTTTAATGTATTCTCTTTCTTATTTATGTATTCATTCATTTGACAATTGTGTATTTATCATTAATAAATATTTGTCAAATGAGTGAGTACACTAATAGATAAAAGAATACATTAAAGGCTACATCTGAAAGCTCCTTCAGTATAAATTTTTATGGTTTCATGGCCGTAATGGCTGCTGTAGAGTACAAAGATGTATCAGATGCCAAATCTCATCCTTAACCAGTAGTCCATGTAAACACATGAACACAAACAACGAATTGCAGAAATCATTTTATGTACATGTTATGTGTTATCGAGTCTACCACTTTCATTTTACAGATGAGGGAATTGAGGCACAAGGATTGGATAATAACTTTGTTATTCAGTTAGTCAAACCATGTTGTCATACATCCATAAAGACTGAGAGTCCATGGTATATTTAGCCTGCTAACGTAAGTAAAATAAGAACATGAAAATCAGATGTTAGGAAAGATGAGTTTACAGTTTTACCTGTTAATACAGATACTTTATGTGAAACTCACTAAACAAAATGACAGTTCAGAACACTAGGTTTGTTTGAATCCTGGAAGGGATCAGAGAATAAAGTCATCATTCACCTTTCTTCCAGTAACGGGATTCCACAGACAAGCTGGATGTATTGTATTACGAAGTCCCTTCCGTTCCCTGATTCATTATGGCAGGAGATCCAAGTTCAACACCAGGATATTTCAGCCCGAAAGTCTAGAGTTACACTTGGGCTGTGATCCCCAGACTACAGAACTGCACCCTCATACTAATCTGCATAAATATCGATGTCTTTTTTCCTGCACCTGAAATCTTCACTTTATAGTGGAGGTCTCAAGTTTGAATCAGAGTCCTGGCTGTCTTTCTCTGGGAAAGTAGACTATGCTTGGGTGACTTCAGCAGACTTAATATAGACCACTTCCGCCAGGGAAGAAAACTTATTTAGGCGCCTCCTGCTTGCTTTTTCACTAAGGTTGTGTGTCCATGAGGACAAATCAGATTTGTTTGGAAGTTTGAAAACCTTACAACTATATTTTTCTGCTTTCTTCAAACCCTATATCTGATTTGTCAACAATTTTTCCATTTCTACTTCCCACATAGCTAAAATCTGTTCATTTCTTTCTATCTGGACTGCCCACCCAGCTGACGCCACTATCAATGTTGCCCTGATGATTCAGTGACCTTCTGACATCTCCCTGCTGGATCCACTCCCTACACAGAGACAGAGAGAGCTGTGTTAAAATGCTAAGGAGATCATGCCACGCCCTCCCTAAAATCCTCCCATGACATCACAGAGCATTAAATATAATTCAAACTCCTTGCCTACAAAGTCCTGTGTTCTCTTCTCAACCCCCGCACCCCCATGCTGTCCTCTCCACTTCACCTGTCCTCCTCAGCACTTCAGCCATCCTTACCTTTTGGGTATCAGCTTGAGCACTCCTTCCATAGACTCTCCTCCCCTAACCCCAACCCTCCCTCAACTCTTCTTTTTTTTTATTTCAGCCTTTTCTTTTCTTCTTGCATGAAATTTATTGCATTTATTATTGGATTTGTACCCCAGTGGGGGTAGGAGGAAAACAATAAAAAGTAAATAAGTAAATAAATATTAATTGCTTTCCAACACTAATCTCAGTTAGTTAGTAATTAGTTAAGTGTCTGTCTCCCACATCAGAGCATAAGCTGGACAGTGAGACCTGCTACCCTACTTACCACTGCCTCCCCAGTCGCTAGCACACACCTGGCACATAATAAGTATGCAAATATCTATTGGGTGAAATAATATAAGAATTCTGGATATATATCTAGAATATATATATATATGTACATACAGAGGGAGAGAGATTTGGATCTAGGGCTATAGATATATGTGTATGTATATATATATGTGTGTTTATAAATGATAAATGAATTAGTCACCAAACTAAATTCTTTTGTTAGTTCTATTAGTTTTTAAGTTGTTCTCTTCAGTTTTCTAAATAGACAATCATATTGTTAAGGGGAAAAAAGGAGATAACTTTACCATAGCTTTTCTAATAGCTGTACCAATCATTTTTCTTTCCCATGATATTAAATGAGCTGGGCTGAAACAATGGTTTTCATAATGTCTCAGCAGATGCTCCTGGTGTCTTTGCAGGAAGTAGGGTAAACTAGCAGGTACAGAGCTCTAGGCTCTGTCATCTTTGCTTTACAAATAAAAGCTAAGTTGTTGGTTTTCTGCATTCAGACTCTGAAGAAGTGTTTATGAGAAGCAAAGGTTTTTATTTATTTATTTTTGGAGAGACGAGGATCTCACTGTGTTGCCTAGGCTGGTCTCAAACTTCGGGCCTCAAGCCATCCTCCCATCTTGGCTTTCCAAAGTGCTGGCATTACAGGCATTGCACCTGGCCAGAGAGGCAAAGGGTTCTACTGATAAAAACAAACTTGACAATCACTGGGCTGGAACTCCCAAGCAATGTAAACAGTAGTATTGCAGTCTTTCTTGTCTTTTTAAAAACTACCATTTAGGCCAGGAATGGTGGCTCACGCCTGTAATCCCAGCACTTTGGGAGGCCGAGGTGGGCGGATCACGAGGTCAGAAGTTTGAGACCAGCTAGGCCAACATGGTGAAACCTCGTCTCTACTAAAGATACAAAAAATTAGCCGGGCGTGGTGATGCGCGCCTGTAGTCCCAGCTACTCAGGGCGCTGAGGCAGGAGAATCGCTTGAATCCAGGAGACGGAAGTTGCAGTGAGCCGAGATCGTGCCATTGCACTCCAGCCTGGGTGCCAGGGCGAGACTCCATCTCAAAAAAAAAAAAAAAAAAAACACCAAGAAACAAAAAATACCGTTTATTGACAGTATAATATGTGTCAGTGACCATGCGCAGTACTTAAAAGTATATTATCTCACTACAAACCCAGTGAATTAAGTATCAATATTTCCATTTAACAGATGGTTTAAGAAGACTAAAGGACATTTTTACAGATATACAGAAAGTAAATATTACAAATGGGATTCAAATCCAGATCCCTTTATTCCAAGGCATTTCTCATAACCACCAAGCCAAATAAGGGCATCTATTTGGGGATTTTAAAAATACTTTTTTGTGCCAGGCATGGTGGCTCAGGTCTATAGTCCCAGCTATTTGGGAGGCTGAGGCAGGAGGATCACTTGAGCCCAGGAATTGGAGGTTATAATGAGTTATGCTTGTGCCAGCGTGGGTGACAGAGTGAAACCCATCTCTAAAAATATAAAATTAAATTTAAAATTTAAACAAAGCCTTTTTTTTCCTTTAGCATTTTGAAGATAGACTCATTGTATTTTTCAAAAATGGCCACAACAGTATTTCTCTTCCCACATAATCTCTTATATGACTTTAACACTTCTCTCACCAAGAGGTAGAGCCTGTGTTCCTTCACCTTAAGTTGGAGCAGACTTCTGACTACATCAGAAGTGATGTTCTGTGACCTCCAAGACTTGGTCATAAAAGATAAACAGCTTCCTGTTTCTTTTGGAGCTCTCTCAGAACCCAGAGATCATGACACTCCCTCCCTAAAATGCTCCAATGACTTGACAGTGCATTATATACAATTCAAACTTCTTGCCTACAAAGTCAGAACTTGGACATCATTTTAGAACCCAAAACCCAGACACCATCCCAGGAGGAAGCCCAAGCATCTTATGAAGACTATGTCTTGGAGGACATCTAAAGCGCCTGACCAACAGCCTGGCCTCAACAGCTCTGGAGCCTGAGCTCCCCAGTCGCAGTTAGCACCAACTTGCCAGCCATATCAAGGCGTCCTCTTGAAAGCAGATCCTCCCACCCACCCGTCCAATCCTGTTGGACTGCCCCAGCTAACACTATCTGGAGCAGACAGAGATGAGCTCTCACCACTGAGCCTGGGCTAAATTACAGATTCACAGGCAAAATAAATAACTCTTGTTCTTTTAAGCCACTGATATTTGGGGTTGTTTATTATGCAGGAATAGACAACTAAAATAGACATCCATCCTATATGACTGTCTTTTAAAAGAAGGAACATTAGAAATGAAGAAGTGAAATTATTTAAAAAAAAGAGACAATCTTATTTATAGTTACCTTTAGGTTTTGAATAGATATATCATGTATGTTAGTATAAAGAAAAAAATTATTTCTGACTCTCTCTGTGTAAAATAAATATATTAAGTTTATACTTCCTCTCACTAACATCTGCCGTTTCCTGGATTTGCTTATACCTCGGAATAAAAATCTGGATTAGTATTATTGTGGTTTAAGACATGCCTGTTCTCTGTAAAGAATTATAGTTTTACTTTTGTAAAATGTTTTTAAAGTATGACCTTATTGCTTACTTTGAGTACTTGTAAACTACATCTTCACTATTCATGAGTTCCTAATTTGATTTCACGCTCAAAATTCTGTAAACAGTGACTGCTTGGCATTCAGCTTTGGGGAAAATGGCTTGACTTCTATTCCCTTATAGAATACATGAGGCTTTTAAAGCCTTGATTCTTTTTATTTTTTATATTTATTTATTTTTGAGACGGAGTCTCGCTCTGTCGCCCAGGCTAGAGTGCAGTGGCGCGATCTCAGATCACTGCAAGCTCCGCCTCCGGGGTTCATGCCATTCTCCTGCCTCAGCCTCCCGAGGAGCTGGGATTACAGCCGCGCACCACCTCGCCTGGCTAATTTTTTGTATTTTTAGTAGAAACGGGGTTTCACTGTGTTAGCTAGGATGGTCTCGATCTCCTGACCTTGTGATCCGCCCGCCTCGACCTCCCAAAAAGCTAGGATTACAGGTGTAAAGCCTTGATTCTCATAGAAAGTTTTGTCTTTTATATTCAAGAATTTTGCCTGGATATATCTAGAAACATGGGGATATTTTTTCCATTTCTTTTCAGTTAATCTTTTTAAGTATCAAATTTAAATATTTCTTTGGCTCAAAATGTTCTCCTTCTATTGTTTTCACCTTTGCTTGTGTTCTTTCAGTTCCATTATATTCTCTGGAATTTCTACTTTGCATAGACTAAATCCCTTGTATTAGGAGCCCTTATTTCTTATCTTTTTCTCTCATTATTTTTATGTATTTAGATTTTACCTTCTTCATGAAAGCCAACTCTCATTTTTGGAGGTGAAAATTCTTGAATTTTATTGAGAAAAAAATTTACATCTTTACAAAATGTTCACTATTGTGTGCACACTAAATGTGAACTAATACTGCATATTTAGATGCAATTTAGTAGGAAAGAATAAGCAGTATAGGAAATGGAATGAGGCAGAAGTATTTAACAAAAGAGTGTGTATATTGAGATACCTGTCATTTGTAGCCCCTGAGATTAATTATTATCACTATTGGCCCTAGTTTCTATCATATATTCATGGAGAAGATGAGACATGAGAGGAAATTTTTTAAAAAAAGCAACAAGAAAAGCTGGAAGCAGACTTAATGTGTGCCCACAAAGATATTGTGGGACATCCTTGCAATGGAACACGATGTAGCCATTTCTGATTATCCGTTTATTGACATGAAAAGAGTTTGCCATGGATGGTTAATACAAAAAGAGAAAGTTTATACAAATTATATACAAAATATATAATCCCATTTTTATAAGAAAAATAACGTACATATTATGTAGAGAAGGCAGAGTGAAGATACAAAAAATATTGGTAGTTCTGTTGAAGGTGGAGTTGATGTGATTTTTATTTTTTACTTAGGTTTATCTATATTGTCTCATTTTTTACATTATAGCTAGGTTTTCCTGGTGCCACTAAAAAAAGAAAAAAGACAACATGATTCTTTAAAGCAATCATTTGTGTTTTAATGACTTTCAGGCATAGGCTGGGGAAAATTGCTTTTTTGTTGTTCAAAACAGTTAAATTTGCTAATTTAATACAGACTTGCAGTTGGTAGTCGGTAGAGGGCGCAGAAGAGAGAAGGAAGTGAGTGGGTAAAGCTGGTGTGTAGCTGGATTGAAAGGTTTCCTAACACTTAAAGGTTATTTTTATTTCCTTTTCACTCATTTATCCAAGAACATTTCTGAAAGATCATAGAAGCATAATTTCAGTTTGGCTATCACATCGTGAAATGTTTGGCATTATTTTATAGGGAAAGTCAAAACATATACTTTTAGTGGGTATAGGGAACTAAAAATAAATGAGTGTCTAGTTTATGCCAGGCACTGACATATAATTTATACACTGTAGTCTCCTATTGAAAATTTATTTTGAAAACTTTAATCGTAGGTTATAAACAGATTAACACAGCCTTGAGAAGGATTTTTTTCAAAGGATAGCAAATGATGTATTAAGGTTAATGAGTACTATGAGTTGGCCATGTCCCCACCCAAATTTCATCTTGAATTGTGGTTCCCATAATCCCCACATGTCCTGGGAGGAACCAGGTGGAGATAATTGAATCATGGGGGCAGTTTTCCCCATCCTGTTCTCATAATAGTGAGTTAGTTCTCATGAGATCTGATGGTTTTATAGGTAGCTTCCCCCTTCGCTGAGCATTCATTCTTCTCCTTGATGCTGCCGTGTGAAAAAAGACACGTTTGCTTTCCCTTCTGCCATGATTGTAAGTTTCCTGAGGCCTCCCCAGTCATGCTGAACTGTGAGTCAATAAAACCTCTTTCCTTTATAAATTGCCCAGTCTTGGACATGTCTTTATTAGCAGCGTGAGAACAGACTAATACAATGAGCTAAAAAGGAAATATTTAAATAAGAATTTCCATGCCTTTAGGAAAAATATAGTAAAATGCACATTGAAAAATTTTTTCAAAGTGAACATACTTTACTGGATAATATGGAAAACTGACTCAATTCTGATATAGCCAACAATAATTAAGTAGTTCTCATGTTAAGTGTTCTTACCACAATAAAATTTTAAAATAAATAAATAGATGTACCATAGTAAATCTAAACATGGATATATATTCTCCCATAGCTAAATATATGCAAAAAATAAAAACTTGTTAATTACCCTAAACCTTGTGCTACTTGTAAAAACAGATACATAGAACTCAGTGTTTTAAAAACAACATCTATCACCTCTTTCAGATGAAACATCTCCAAAGCCTATACTAAAAGGAACTTACTATTTCAAGCTTAAAAGAGGGGACCATGAAGTATAGGAAAGATTGGAAAATAAAGATTAGTCATGATACACTAAAAAGATTACAGAATGATTCAGATTGCCTTTTGAGATGATTAGAAATGCAAAGAAAATGGTAACGAGTGAGTCACTTAACCTCTTCAGGTTTCAATATGCCCAAATCTAAAGTGAAAGAGCTAGATTAGATAATTTCCAAGCCTTCTTGTTGCACTGTCAGTATATGTGTTTAGGACTTTTTGACACGTTTGTAGAGAATGTTACAGTTTTTAAGTGCTTTTGTACTCTAAGTGTTTGGGGCATGAAATGGTTAACAAGAAAGCCTGGCCAGCTGCAGCTGGTGGGGGGTGGGGGTTGATGGTGGTGAAGGGAGAAGCACAGTCCACATTTCCATGCAACAGGGGTGCTTCTTAGCTGAACACAATCTGGAAGCTAATTATTTCTGTAAAAGTAGGGAGAGTGATACTGTATATAAATCAGCTTACCACAGTGCTTGGATAGCACGGAGGCAACAGTAGTGGAATGGACAAAGTATAAAAGGAAGTCATAAAATAATCAGAGAGAGAGAGAGAGACAGAGAGTCAGAGAGAGAACGAGAGAGAGAGATGAGAGAGAGAGAGAGAGAGAGAGAGAGAGAGATACAGAGAGACTGAGAGAGACAGAGAAAGAGACAATGAAAGAGAGACAAAGCTCTTCTTGAAGGTAATAAATAATAGGAGAGGCATCCCAATGCAAAACCTGCTAATTTCCTATAACTGATATTAAGAGTCAGGAAGCAAGGAAGCAGCTGGCTGTCCTAGCACAGAGCAGAAAGGAAGAAGGACAGAAGAGGGTGCAAAGAATGGGATTTGCAGTTCCTCAAGAACAGAAAATCAGACAGGTCTGTAGCAGAGAAGGCTCCTTTAGGCCTGGTTGAGTCTTTAGCAGGAGGCATAACAGATACGGATGAGAGCGTTTGACCTTTAGGATATTCATAGTGTGCTGTACAGCATTATGTTAAGAGAATTCTTTTAACAATTATGTTGGTCTCATTCCATACTGGAGGTTCAATCATTTTCCATAAGATTTCTCACATTTATAATGTTCTGCATTAATGAAATCCTCCAGCTATTGTTAAAGTGGATGATATTGTGTGGGTGGCCCTGAACTTTCAATGTTTCCAGAGAAGGCAAATATGAGAGCAGCAACCTTTAGGTCACATTACTATAACCAGGGTTCTTCCTGCACTTTATACTTTCCCATACCTGCATAATGACCCAAATATGCAAGGAGGGCACTATTACCCCCATTTTCCAAATAAGGGAAACTGAGGCACGGAGCTGTTGACTTATTTGTCCACAGTCACAACGTTGCAAGCAGTAGAGCCAACCAAGATTGGCTAGGGTTTCTGACATCTAGTCCATCAATAACGCTTTGCTCAAGAAATGTGTATTTTATGTCTAACTATGCATTAGATGTTGTGCTTTAGTGTAGGGGACACAAAGGTTAATTCTGTACACTCGTTACTCTTAAGAAACTCTCAGTCTTTTAGATTAGAGAAGATAAACAAGCAAACAGCCACTTTCCACACTATTTTTTGAGGGCTATGATACATGTAAGCACAGAGCAGTATTTTCAGCCAGGAACATTTTCACGCCAGGGTGATTTGGCAATGTCTGAAGACATTCGTGGTTGTCACAACTGTGCAGGAGAGGAGGGGTTGCTACTGGCATAGAGTGGGTATAGGCCAGAGATGCTGCTAAACATTCTGCAACGAACAGGACAGCTCTTCACAATAAATAATTATCCAGCCCCAAATGTCAAAAGTACTCAGATTGAGAAACACTGGCATAAACATTACGGGAACATGGGGGAAGGGACCTCATGCTGCCTAGTCTGAAAATAGAGGAGGACTTACCAGGGAAGGTTTCTAGAAGCAGGTGATGCTTGAGGTAGTCATGAAAAGATGAGTAGACATCATCTTGAGCCTCCAAGAGTAGGAACCAACAAAGCATGACAAACATAAAATAATGTGTTGTTTGTGATTTGTAATTTGATCCAAGCTGGAGCTGAGACTGGAAAGAAAGGGAGAGGCCAGCTCATGGGAAGACTTGTGTGTCATGTAGAGATTCTAGACCTCAGATGAGGGGGAATCATGGATGGGTTTTAAAGAGGGGTGAGGCCGGATTTGCAAACTTGATAGCTTTCTGTATTAGCATTAAGCAGAGGATCTCAAACTTCATATGGATGCAGATAAAAAACACAAGTTTCTGACCTTTCAACACACACACACACACACACACACACACACACACACACACACACACACTATCCTGATGCAGTAATGTAGTAGGTCTGGGGTGGAGCCCAGAAACCTGTATTTTTTGCAAGCACCCTGTGTGATTCTGAGGCAGGTAGCACAAATCCTCCCTGGTGTACAGGACATATTTGACAGTGGTAAGATTGTAACCTTACCAAAAAGAAAATAAGAAAATTTGGAGAAGAGAGGAATATACAGTGTTACGTTTTTCTCTGCTTATGAGAACTGTGTGCTTATAAAGGAATCCACTGCACTGATGGAGGTCACACAGCAGCACAGCAGCTTCTTTCTGGATTCCGTGGGCTGGGAAGGGAGGTGCTCTAAGGAAATGCACAGTCCATGTGATCAGAGCACACCCTCTTGGCAGCCTCAGGGGAGCCCAGTTGCTTCTACAAAACCCGTGAAAGTTCTCTGTCCAAAAGCCTTGTTGGTCCCGCGGTACATGCTTCCTGTTCCCAGAGAGATTCACCCTTGGGCTTTCCTATCAGTCTTCCCTAAAGTTGGCTGCTCCTGTGTCCTGTCACATAAAACTGTGAACCGAGGTCTCCGACTTACGTCATGTCAGTCACAGCAGGGTGAGGCTCCACAAGTGTGAGTTCTGGCCCCTGCTGCTTTCCTTTCAAATGCAGTTTACAGTTTATTATGGTATTGGACACCCCATGCTCCTTACTGCATTGGCTTTGGGTAAGAAGGAGTGAAAATTAGTGTGCGAACCTGAAAACCTAGAATTTCTGATTGGGACTGAAGAAAACCTTTGTGCTGCAGTCAGTCCCCGAGCCAGACGCCTGTGACTCTCTTCACATGGAAATAGATGACTATCCACAGTAAAAGGTCAGTGGCTTTGCTGACAGATGTTGCATCAGGGAATATTTTTTTAAAAAAGAGGCTTCCTACAGCTGTTCTGGTAGCTTGTGTAGTAGTGTTAGCTATTTCCCCAAGTTGTCTTGTCTCAGTTCTCTGATATTCTGAGCCCAGATAGGATTTTTTTTTCTAAGAAAAGAATAATGAAGTATCTACAGATGGAATCCTGAGATCTGACAATAGAGCACTCAGAAGTTGGGTGACTTGCCCAAGCCACAAAGAGGAAAAGAATCAAACTCAAGTTTCTCGACTTTCAGTTAATGGCTAATTTTAATTGCATAATATTGGAGAGTCAGAAATGTTCATTTTATTGTGGAAGCGATCCAAAACCTCATGCTATAACCTAGATTCTAGAAAAAGGATGATCAAGCCCTATTAGCGCTGTAAAAATAAGGTAATCAAGCCCTATCAGTGCTGTAAAGAAAGTTTTGCAAACTAAGTTAAACTTAGAAAATAAATAGCAAGAAATAAATCAGGGAAGCAAGGTTTCCCTGAGACTACTGAGTCCATCATACTGGAAGTCATCCAAAGTTATCAACAGCAGATTCATTAACTGGGTACAAATGTACAGCTGGAATTCAAAGTAGACTCGGTGCCCTTCTGTGTGCCCTGATGGAAGAAACATCGTGTTCTCATTCTGTGGCTGTGTACTCTCTGGGGATCATTGGTTTTACCAAGTTTTTACATTGCTTTTTCAAAGACAATAATGCCTGTTTCCTGTATAGTTTATTTAAGTAAACAAGAAGGAGACAGCAAAGTTCTGTCTCCTTTACAAAACGAGACTTTAAAAATTTTATCTAAAGAAAGAGAGCAAGAGATCTGTTCTCTGCATTGTTCCATAAGATAAGTTCATTAGATAAACAGTTCTATTTTGAACTCAGTTCAGCTGGGCAAAGTGTTCTGTTTCCTACTACCCACACACATCGTGAATATCAAAGACTTTTTAAGAGGATAAAAATGCTCCCAAAAGATTTGTTGAGCTAGTTCTATCCTCAATTAATATAACACTACAGAGGTTCTGTGGGAAGGCAATGGCATTTTTTTTTCTGGTGAAGCAATCATTTTAAAACCCAAGAGATTATTTGAAGGCAAGTTTACTCCTTATGAGCTACAGAAAGCATGCCATCATTTGAACACAGAAACAATATTCCACAGGGATTAGGAAGACATGCTTTGGCATCAATCAGACTTTGGTTCTAGTCCTAGGCACCATTTTCCAAATGTAATTGAATAATTACTATAATTACTATTCATTTATAAATTACTATTTATCATTATAATGATAAGGAATAATTAATGTACTTAGCACTAAATATCTGGGTACTTTAAAATAATCCATTTAAATAATTATCTAAGTTTTAAATTTACATCCGATTTCAATGTAGAGTCATTATTTTATTTATTCATTGACTTATTTGGCAATGACTTTCTAAGCATGCAAAATTGTTGATAATGTCCTTGAGGAACTGACAGATGATTTCCCAACCAACATGTTCATGGTAAACCCCTCAACATAAAGGCTTGCTTCCATTGCATGAGGCCCAAAACAGGACATTCCAAAATAAATCTGTAGTGGATTTGGATTGCTATTTTTTTAAAGTATTCACTCATGGGGGCAACATAAAATTAGTTCTTAGTAAGGCAAAAGCGTTTCTCCATATGTGAAGTGGCAAGACAAGAACCTTCTATATATTCCTTCCTCATGAGTAGTACCTTAGAGTAGTAACCACTGGAGAAAATATTTTCATTACCAGAAGATATCTATGTAGTGCTTATTTTAAAATAATGTCTAACACTGTAAAAAAGAATTGCATAGTTATGTTCTTATTTTCAAGCAATTTAAAATTGAATGTATCATCAATAAATTCTTTGCATATGGTCAGTAAAAATAAAGTCTCAAATTGGAATACTTAAATTTTTTTTATTCTATGCAAAACATTAGCAATCTCACAGCTGGTGTGTATATATTGTATGTGTGTCAGCAAAATTGTGTGTGTGTGCATATGCATATGGAATGAAGTGAATTATAAAATTATTCATAATTTTACTCGAAATTTTATTTGTGAGCCTATGACAGAATTTTTTGACAATTCACACAATGCATCATAACTTACTAGTTAGGCAGTAATGCCAACCTTCTCTAGCATTTGCCTCTCCACCGGAGAAGTGAATAGCTACGCTAACAAAATTATCACATATTCCTCGCCCCACATCTACTCCTTGTCCTGACCTATTTCTGCTCACAGCAACCTCAAGCTATTAATTACTTAGTTTAAAACCTTACAAACTCCTCTCCCTTGATAACTTTCCCCACTTGAAATTCATTGCTGAGTTTTGCTGATTCTACCATTGCAGTGATTTCCTACCTGTCCGCGTTTGCCAATATCAGGTGCCCATTGCCTCTTACCTGGACAATCACAGAGGCATCCCAACTGGTGTCTCAACCTGCTTTCCCTCTTCCCCATATTGACTTTCCCTAGGACATGCCAACACTCTATAAAGTCAGGCTACTGTTTATAATGCACAGAGCTCACTGTGCAATCCTGTTCAAAACCACATTGCTCTCAAAAGAAAGTCCAAACTCGCCATCGAGGCGATAATCCGACCATAAACTATTTCCGGTCTTATTTTGACTGCTCTCTGCCTGCCCTGTGCTCTTTAAAATTCTGCCAAACAGGCTACTCAGTGCTCTTTGTAGAAGACTTGCACTTTTCAAAGCTATGCTTGAATACAGGCTGTTTCTTCCACCTAGAATCATGTTCTTTCCTTTTCTATTTATAATGTTAAATGCCTGTGTGCCATGAAGATTCCAACCTCCACCACCCCCTACCCCCTACACACACACACCCCTGGGCCTGAATTGATTTCATCTTCCCTGGGCCTTCCACAGCCGTTTGTTATTCCTTCAAGAAAAGGATTACCCACGTTGGTGTCCCTGTGACTTTCCTGTTCTGGATGGTAAACTCCATGAAAGCAGAGACCATGCTTTGCCCACTGTTTTGCATCTGCTCAGCTAGAGCATTTAGCAAGTTCCTGGCACCCAAAGGAGCACAGGAACTAAAATGCTTCTGAAGGCAGAGGAATGGCCTGGGTGACTTTTGAAGTGGCCTGACTGCTATGGCATCTTCCACGGATTCCGCAGGTACCAGGCCTATGTCTGTCCCGGCCTCAAACCTACCCAAATCTGCTTAGTAATGCAGCTCTATTTTAATGCTCAGATGTATACAAGGCAAAATACATGGCTTAATCATTCTAGAAGCAGTAGGCACCCCTTTTCAGAGCACTTTTCCCAAACTAAATCTAGTTAGAGGATATCACCCTGAACCCAAGAAAATGAGACTTAAGCTAAACTTAGGAAAATGTACATAATATAATTTTAAAAATGAATTCCTCACAACACAACATAGAAGAAGAAAGAGGTACCTAGATTTGAAACCTGGCTCTGCCACTTTAAATAAAATACAAATACCTGAGAGATGACTGTGTTATGGGTAGTACATGTTAGATGCTTGTGTTAATGTGTCCCTTTCCTCTTCAAACTGAGCACATTGTGTGCGTCAGTTCAGAAGGAAGGAGCCCAGGTTCTGGAGTTAAACCCAGAAACAGGGCCAGTCTCTGAACCTCCATTTCTTTTTTTCCCTCCCCATTTCTTTCTCAGCAAAATTAAAAAGTGACTTGTGAAAAATATCCTCCATGCTCCTCTTACCAAGCCTGCAACTTAAAACCTATGGTTTAAACTGTGCTTTCAATTATCTGGAGGAGGCCAGCACTGATGAGCCCATCCTGAGCCAGTCATTTTAAGGCCAGTGCTACCTAACTGAGACAAGGCTAATCTGGTCGGTAAGTATATTCTGCTCTGTGACTATGGAATGGGGAAAAGCTAACTGACCCTTACAGAGATACCATTGATTATCCGTTTTTAGGACACTTTACATGTTGCGAGGTGATTTCCAATTTCCAGTATCAGATTGGTGTCAAAGCCTAGAAATTGTACAGCGATTAGGAGTCGACTGGGTGCCACACAATGTTTATGTACATAATTTTATGACCAAGACAAGTGATATTTGGCACCTGAGACTAGGGGGAGATTTCTCCTGTAAACGAGCACCAAAGGGCTCCATGCTATCAGGTATAGGGAGGAGTGGCAAAGGGGTGAGGTCATTGTGATCCCTTCCCTTCTCCTCCCTGAAAAAAAAACAAGTATGGTGTGTTTCCTGCAAGCCCCAGAATATGTGAGCCTTAGCTCACTCACTAAGGGAGGCTGACCCTAGGAGTGTGCATTTGTCTTAGGAAAGAAAGTGTCAGCCCATTTTGAGGTAACTCTCGAACTTCGGGCTTCCTCATCTTTGGCCTCCAAAGAATAACGTACATAAACATAAAATGCGATGCAAAATGTATGGGGTTGTATCAGGATGGCAGGAGTTTCGGTGTATATTCTGATTTTGAGACAAGAAAATCAATTCTTCTCATCTGAGGCCAGAATGGTAATTAGTTCTTGTTGAAGTGAGAGATTATTTACTCAGCTCTATTTTTTTATGTTTATGTGACCTTTCATAGTTACTCAGAACAAAATGGGGTAAGAGAATGGGGATTGTAATGTGAATCTAAAAGATGTATGTTTCCCTTTCTATATTCAAATGGATCTTATGAGATTCCCATACCTAGAAATTGACCACCAATTAGTAAAATACAGATTTATATCTAAGGCACATTCATTGTTCCTCTTGGTACTATCAGATCTCTCTATTTAATGTCCTAGACCTCAAAGAAAAGTGTTTTGGAGGAGAAAAAAAGAAAAGGAGGAATAATAACATGACCTGCTATCCAAAATGAACACAGAAGCACAGATCACTTTCCAAAATGTCCATGATTTCAGAACATAAATGCAGGCACACCCTTAAAAGAAGCATTAGAGAGGAGAAAACCTGGCCAGCTTCCCAAATCTCCCTGCATCCAATTGGACTGGGTGATGACTGAGATCAAAGGCATGTGGTGATTGGACAGAAGGCCAAGAGGAACTGGCATCCTCAAGGCTGCTGGAAATTAGCCAGCTCAAACACACCAAGCAAAAGCAAATTGGAAATAAAGACAGGCGAGTAATCAAATGCACATGGGGGCATGCTTCACAAAATGCGAACTTCATGTGTTCCCAGAGGAGAAATTGCCAGGTCTTCAACAGCACAAACTCAATAGGAAAATCAAAACATCCCCTTTTGCAACCTTAGAGCCTGAATCTTTGGCTTCCACTTTAGGGAAATGGGCAAAATGACCTCTTTGTCATAGTACACACCATGCTCCCTGCCCTCCTCCACTCCCAGACCCCTCTCCCCTAAGTAACTTTGTCTTTCATTTTGTTTCTAAAGAAAAAAAAATGAGATTTTTGCAATTTGGGGCATTCTCTCTGGAACAGCAAATGTTCCCAGCTCTGCCGTTTACAATGCCTTTGGTGGAAGGTCACCTCGGAGGTGTGATTTTTCAGTATAACATAATTTCTATGGTGCCTTGACATCCTCCAATGAAGAGCACCAATAGGACCACTCCTCTGACATTAGGGAGAGGGTCCACTCAGGCACCAAATGCCATTCTCACCACTAATCCTAATCTTCCTTGTACTCCTTTTATTACCTGCATGTTATTGGGAAAGAGGATGGTTTATGGTCCCATTCCCCTACATACACACTTTCCAACCCCATACTCCCTTAGAAATGTAGAGCAAAGATTACGAATTCTTTTCTGCAGGTTCTGATTCACAGAGGGAGAGCATCAGAATGGGGGCTTTGGATAGGAAAAACCTTGCAAATTAGTGCCTGAATAAAGATATAAAAAGAGAAAAGTGAAGGAAGATATTCTTCTCAAACTTGATGCCCTTTCTCTCTGTCTCTGTCTGTATACACACACACACACACACACACACACACACACACACACACACACACACATATATATGGGTTACATTTTCATGGAGGACAACAGAGTAAAATCCAGCAGCATTTAAGGGATTTCCTCTTGCCAAATTGTCTCCGGTCCCTTAATTGTGTTTAAGCCTTGCTGAGTACTTTGTTTACGGTCCCTAATGTGGTGATTTGCATCCCCCTGTCTGGGTTGCTCTTGGCAGGGCAGGCAGCTGTCTCAGTCTAACTCTGGCTGGGAAAGGTAAGGATCTTTGCTTTGCTTTTTGAAAGATCTGGGAAGGAAATGTTGAATGTCTATGGGGGTTAGGGGCATAGATATAATTCATGCATTGGAGGCTTTGAGAAAAGTTCTCCAAACTTAAAGGAGTCTCCTAAAGCCATGTGCTTTAGAAAGAACTAGAGAGATTTCCTCTTCTTTGTGAAAATAGAGGGCTCGCAGAAATAAGGCTGGTTGCATTGTGGATGAAATTTTGCATTTGGGGGCAGGTGTCCCCAAAGGATGCCCAGGGGTGTTTAATACTTTGTAGACACAGAGTGGAAGGAGGAATAAACATTCAGAAACAACAGGCATAGATCACTAGGAATTCTCTTTGAATTTCAATTTGAAGAGGTAAAGTCAGTTAAAGCTGCATGTGTCAGTGGTTAGGATGACAGGCTTCTATTCTTCTGATACAATGTCTGCTTTATACCAAAACTTTCTACCTCTTTGAATTTAAAATACAAATCATTGGTTGTCTACTCAGAGTCTAGAGATGTGTACCTGTGTATCAAGGCAGGTGCACACACCCTGTGGAGGAGCATTGGTGTGAATGAGGCACCTGAGCCTGACAAGGTTGAAGAAAGCTTTGGTATTGGAAGTGATGACAGATTTGTGCTCCTAGGACACAGACACACTCACTGCGCCTCATTATAGACTCAGTCAAGGGCTTACTATGAAAAAAGCTGCCATTGTCCTCTCTCTAGACGTTCAATGTTTGCACCTTTAGCTTTGGTAACAGGAAAGCATGCTTTTCAACAGAATAAGGTGATATTCAGAGCTTCAGTGCAGTTATTGGGCTATCTTGCAGGCAAAGTGGTACTAGAAAATAGAGGGGAATTGCCCTCAAGGGCCAGAGTTTGCAGGTGAGAAGACAGCTCTGTTAAGGAGCTTCTCAAGAACCTCCATTGTACGTAGCCAGCGGCCCCCATCTTACCATCTTCCGGGGGCAACTTTGGCAAGTTCTGAAATGCCCTGGTTCTAAGTATTCCTGACCCTCAACACCAAGTGACGGTACTCCTCAGATATGAAAGCTGTCTCTTTAGGTCTGACATTTTTAAAGTGTGAGGATCATGGTGACCAAGGCCTCCAGGTACTTGCCATGACTCCCCCAACCTCAGGGACTTTTCAACTTTATTTTTTATAAGGACATAACCCTCTCTCTGGCTTTCATTCCAGAATAAACAACTTCTGGTCCCTCTCTTTTTGTGACAAGTCATCAGGGTATTGCTACAAGGCAAGGCTGGAGAGAGTGTGCTGTGGTAGAGGAGAGGCGAGATGTTTGAGAACATCCAAGCCCTTTGCCAGCTATTAGAGAAATCTAACAATTTGAGAGAAAGATGGAAAACAAATCTCTTCCAAGAGTTAATTTGGATTTGTGGTTCACAGTATTAATTAGAAGAGGTTATTAACACTTGTGCAGATGAAAAAATGGAGGATGTAAACTTTTAACTACAGAGTGTAGGATGAGCTCCCAGTATTATCTTTTCTCCTCAAAAAGACAATCTTGGGCTTTATATGTTTCAAGGTTTTAAAAATTTCACAGTTTGTCTGTAAGAAAGCATAAACCTATAAAGTCACTTACAGGTTTATGGGGTGGGAAATAGATGTTTAACTTTATTGTTTAAGTATGATGTGTCAAGTTGTATATGTTTGAATGTTTAAAATACCTTGATCCTTAAAGTGGGCCAAGGAACAGAGGTCTCAACATAGGTAGGGAGCTTGTTACAGACTTACTGAATCAGAATCTAAATTTAACAATCTCCCCAAATGATATATATATCCATTAAAGATTAGGGTTCAAACCAAGGGTGTCTCTGTTACTGGGTGATCTTTGTTAAATTACTTAACCTCTCTGAGCCTGTTTCCTCATTTATGAACTAGTGAGAATTAACATTAATATGTGACATTTCTTAATATTGTGCCATGTCCACAGTAGGTGCTCTATAAATGGTAGCAATTATCATGATGATGATAATCTTGGTGCTGCTAAAGTTACCTCCTTGCAAAAGCAGTAAACAATCATGTTTAAATCAATATAACTGGCTTTCCCCCTTAACCACAAACATTTGTGCCTCCCACCCTCATTCCTAAATGAATTAACACTCAACAAGTGGGGTTTTAAGCTTCAGATGACTATCACGCACATATAAAGAATAATGGAAAACCTAGGAACATGGATTTTTGCTGGCTTAGAGACTGAATTCAGCTGCCTGATGACTTCACAGCTGTTTCTGCCACCCTAGAGTATCTGTCCCCTCGGCTCTGTCCCCTCAGCCGGGTCTGCAACGCTGACTCTGGGATTTTCTTATAAAAATGCCTGATGGACGGGAGGAAGATCTGGAGGTCGGCGGGGGAAAAAATGAGTCATTCAAATTCACAAAGCAGTCCGCTTAGTAAATGCTGCAAGAGAAAAAGTAAAAGCTGGCTCCTGTCTCTGGGGAATCTGTAGAAATGATTCGGACTCATCATGTCACTGAGCAAAGCTGGGGGAAGCCAAAACTCAGAATCTGCTGGCAAGGAAAAGAACGAAGGAAAAAAAAAAATGTTAGGGAGGGGCAAACCCGAGGGGGAGGGAATAAAAAGAGAGAGGGAGGGAAAGACAAGCGTCATTTAGGAACAGAGGTAGCCTGAAAGAAGCAGGAACTCCAGGATCCCAAACCAGAGCAGACCCTATAGTAAAGTATTTTTACATCTTTTCCTTTCCCCAGAAGAGATCCCTAACCTATTGTTTTATTGACAGCCTTGCTGTTAGAGGCTCTTTCCCAGAAGTTGGACGAAGAGGCTCAGGCGTTGCTGTTTCTTGTCTTCCAAGTCAAGTGGTTACTCTGGTAATGGATTGCCTCTCTCCGAGGTGAGTGTAAGTAATTTGGGGACAGATCTTGATTTTCAGGTTAGCTCAATCTCAGCTTTGGGGTGAAGTTATTTTTTTCAGACATAATCTCAAATATCTTTTAACTGGCCTCACCAGAAGTTAGGGTGTCATTGGACAACAGTGATTAATTAGTTTGGTGATTAAAAATGACATGTGAGTAGGCAGCTCTAAGATTTAGTTTCATTGCTCAGGGAGTGATATTTTGACTTTCCAGAGCAGGGAAGAACCAGTGAGGTTTGATTTGGAGTTGAATTTGTTTTCAGTGGATGCTTAATATATTTAAAGTATGAATCTCATTGAAATGGTCTCAAGTATCTTTCTTTAAACTTGTTCGGTAACTACAACTGCTCAACTGTGTAGCAGCTAGACAGCTTTTTGAGAATGGAAGACAGTGACTCAACCATGTCTGAGCAGCAGACAAGTTTTCACTGATTTCTCATAGACAGCATTTCAACCAGATACTTTTGATCAAAAGTCTCAAGCTTTGTCCTGAAATGTTCAGGTACGAAATACTTAGAAAGGGTCATTGCAGCAAGTTTTATACACAAAGGCATGGAGGAAAATGAAGGTTGTGAAAGTTTCCTGAAAACCTAGCATGCTTATTTGTTTCTGCATGTTGTAGTATACATAATATCGAAATTTTGTGTTGAGCTTAATAGAAAATTTGTGAATTGACAGCTAATTACTCAAATAATTGATTTTATTTTGCCAAGAGAAAGCACAAAATTATATCCTATGAAGGGGTTGAATTTTTTTTTCTTATTTTTTCTCTTTTATAGCAGATTGGAAGATATTGTTACACTTCAGACCACAAATCCCCACCTCATTTTCAATGAATTTTTTGCTGAACTGTCCACCTAAAGTGGGTAATAAAAAGATCCCAGGGAGCAGGTTGCACTGTGTTTAATAGTAACACAATAAAGATTTGTTGGCTGTCATTCAATGGAGAAGAACATCATTTGTTGCTGGCCACTTGCCTTGACATTGATTTTGTGGGCAGCCAATGGGTGATAGTTTGCAAAGAATGCATGTTATGCCCAGCAAGATTGGCGGAGTCTGAGTTGCTGTAAGTTCTGGGATTAATGGTACGAAATATTGTTTGTAATGTATTCTCCTCTTGAATGAGACCATCTTTGGATTAGGATTCAGGCATTTCTGTGTATTCAGAGGAAGGAGAAGCAATAGACAAAGCAGAAAAGCTTGTAAAACTTTTGTAGACCGCCAGGGTATATTAAACACTGTAAGTGCTTCCTGCTTTTTCTGTCTTCCCTTCATATGCATCTGCTTCATCTTATTTTTTGCCTAAATGCAAAGAGAATGCAACCAATTCAAAAAAAGAGTAAAGTTGCTTTTCACATGGATCTGTGCCTCCTAGAAAGGAGGTGCCTCCCCAGCTTTTCATTTCTGCTTACAGGGTGTACATTCTGATACATGTAGCTGACATCTCCTGTTATCTTCACAGCTTTCACCCTGGTGAGACTGTCCAGATCTAGTCTGTAAACCCAGCTTAGAAGCACTGTTGTAAAAATGACTGAAGAGCCCATCAAGGAGATCCTGGGAGCCCCAAAGGCTCACATGGCAGCGACGATGGAGAAGAGCCCCAAGAGTGAAGTTGTGATCACCACAGTCCCTCTGGTCAGTGAGATTCAGTTGATGGCTGCTACAGGGGGTACCGAGCTCTCCTGCTACCGCTGCATCATCCCCTTTGCTGTGGTTGTCTTCATCGCCGGCATCGTGGTCACCGCGGTGGCTTACAGCTTCAATTCCCATGGGTCTATTATCTCCATCTTTGGCCTGGTTGTTCTGTCATCTGGACTTTTTTTACTAGCCTCCAGTGCCTTGTGCTGGAAAGTGAGACAAAGGAGCAAGAAAGCCAAGAGACGGGAGAGTCAAACAGCTCTCGTGGCAAATCAGAGAAGCTTGTTTGCTTGAGACTGAATACGACCAAATGGGCCATTGGGCCTGGAAAACGTGCTCTGACTTTGTCACCCAATTCACCCAGAACCATGGTGGGAGAGAACAGACTTGGCGTTGGAGCAGACTGGAAGAATGGGGGTGGGAGGGTGGAGGGGCTTCTCCTTTGTGAGGAATGACTCATGTCTTCTTTAACGACAAACTTAACCCTAAGGGCTACTTCTGAGACTGAAAAATCAGCTTTCTATTTACATGAAACACTTTGGGGGTCATGGGAGTGCACAGCATTAGACAGTATTTGGTTCACCCTGTAAAGTAGCCAAGAAAAGATGAGAAAAATCAAGATAGGCCTGGCACACTAGACATTTGCCTCCAAAAGAAATAACCTACAGTCTTAAGATGTATCATAAAAATGTTCTGCCAAGGATCTAAATTACCTTGGGTTTCGCATATGTCTATGAAATTCTGTGATAATTTTTTTCAATACATTGATTCACTGGCGTCTGTTTTCATTTTATACTTTTAATAACTCATCACTGGTGGTACTTTATCTTGAAAAGTAATATTTTTTATATTTTAACATTGGACAGTGTTAGCCAGTTGTAATGATGTATCAGAAGTAAAGAAAAACCCATTAAAGTTATAGCTAATAGATGCTGTTGGGGGTTAAATTAATAGTAAAATAATCCAATATAGCACTTTTGATGATTTTTATATAAAAGTCAACTGTACATTTCATTCAGAATAATAAATACTTATTGCTGCTAAAACTTCTTAAATGGTTGTTTCTGCTATAGTTATTTCTATTGCAGTTCCAAATTGCCATCTTCCCTTGTCTCATTTGCAAGTTCTCAATTGTATTTCTCTCAAATGGACAGGTTCCTTCTTTACTGGAGGATTTTTGTTTTTATCATATTGGTTTTTCATTACTTCTGAATAGTCTTAATTACGTTTACTAAATTCTAAAGGATTTCTGTGCTATTATAATTAGGAAATCAACGTCTTTGGTCAGGAACTTTATAATGTGCTATTAAATGTATATTACATTTTTGTGGAATCAGTTGTTAATTATTTGCTTAACACGTATGCCAGCACCAACTATATGCCAGGCATAATGTAGATTCTCAGGTTTCTTACTCAGTTAGATCTAATACAATGCAAATAAAGTTACTGCTTGAATTCTTCAGTGGACATTGAGCTAGTCCACAGCTAGGACTCTACCCTGTAACTCCAGCCAGAAATACAGCTCATTCATGTAGTTTAAACCACCTTAAGCTAGAATCGAAAGATAGGCATGAAGGTTTCTTAAAACTTGGAAAACAAAATCAGCCTAGCATAGCACACTCATTGAAAGTCTTTCTGTCCAGAAATTTAATTAAACATGACAGGAGCCCTGGGGCCCTTACTACTCCCTCATGCTCAGGTAGTTTTGGTAAGTGGAAACACCCTAAAAATGACTTTGCAGGTCAGATGGTGTCACGTACAGATCAACATTCCTCCCAACCAAATGCAAGTTTAGGGGGCTGTGCTCATTTCAATGCAAGTGAGTCTGTGCCTTCACATGCCTCTTCTCCGTGCAAAGATACTCAAAGCCCACCCCCCACCCCGCCACCGCATTGCTGTATTAAGAAATTACTCAGACAAGGTTCAAGATTCTCCAGTCTGATCCAAAAGGACGTATCCAGTTTTCATACTCACTCTAATCCCCAAACCTCCTTATGAGTTAGCCAGAATAGACTATTCACCATTCTTGCACCCGACTTTGGTTTTCCTGCCTCCATGTCTGTCCAAACTTGTGTTTTCCCTCGCTTATAGTGCCATTGTTTCCTTGATTTTAATCTCCCCAAATCCTGCTTCTCATCAGCACTCAGCTCAAATGCTACCTCTTCCCGGAAGTCTTCCCTTTTATCTGAAAGTAAATGCCCTTTCGTGAGTTCATCTTTTATTCTCTGATGGCATCTTTTATTTTCTGTCGTGTTGGTGGCATAAGTTTTATCCTTATTCCAAAGCTCCTTAGAAGTGTGTGATAGATCCTCTTTTTAACCCTAGTGAAATGCCTAACATAATGGCTTACGGAGATTAAGTACTCAATAAGTACCTAATTAAGGTGCTAAATGAGCCAAAAAATAAAAAATCAGAAAGTGAATGGTTTATCCAGAATTATAGTCCATTCTAATCTCGTTAAAGAAAAAAGTTTAGTTCTCATTTTTCCCCCAAAGAGGCCATCTCACTCTCTATTACACCTCCACTGTAAGCAGCAGTTGGAGGCGAATATTTACTCTCTATTCTTCTCTAGCCTGACCTGGCCTTCAAAATGCTTGAAAAGCAAACTCATGAATTATTTCCGGCCACCAGGGGGCCCCATGCAGCTACTTGAGTCCCAGAAGAAACAGTTCTATGGAAAGACCTAAATTGTAATAACCAAAATGGGATCAAATCTCTCCTAAACGTGAGGAGTTGGTGGAGATTCTCCATTTATCCCACCCTTACACACTTCCCTAAGCCACTTCACAGTGGCTATCTTGGGGTTCTGTTAGTACGGGAAAGACTTGCTCCATTTAGGGAGCTTCTAGTCACATTAAAAGGTATATACTGTTACATAGCTGCACGGCGCAGAGATAGTTCTACACACTGTGAACCCCAACTCCCACGAGGAGAATAAACTCAAATTGGGATTACAAATTATCACAATTATCTCATAAAATGTTTTTATTGGGTAAGGTCTATCTTTACAAATGGTTGTATTATATACAAATATGCAGGTGCGACAGAAAATAAATGAATGCATATAAAATGCATGCATAAATGTATTAAAAAGATAATCTGACTCCTCCCTAGAATATCAGAAACCAGCTATATCACCTAGTGGAATTCCCCCTAAACACAGACATCCCAGAGTGCACAGAAACAACTTTTAACCTTGTTCTGTGCAGCTGGTCTCTGGCCCAGGTGAGAATCATAGCTGTATGGTGGCTCTGCTCCCCATCTTACTCTCTTGGTTAATCTAGGGAATCCTGCCTGGAGAAACTGCACAAGGAGATCACGTGATAGCACAGAAGTTTGAGGCCAAAGGATGAACCCCAGAGAGCCAGATCACAAAGCCTCAAACCTACTTTCCATCACCCGCTCCCCCCCACCATCCCTAAAGAGAAAGAGAGGAATACAGGTGAGAGAGATGTTAAATAGGCGATACATATTCTGGTCTCCAGGCAAGTATTACGGTTCTGAACTTGGAAGATCTTGATATTATAGTGCTCGATAGTGTAACAGCACTCAACTGTACCTGATATTCTTCACCACACTCTGAGGCTGGGAGTATAAGTGTTCACTCCACTTTACAATTGAGGAAACTATAGTTCAGAGAGGTTAAGGGACTGTTCAGCTAAGATCTCACAGCAGGCGAGGCCTAGCACCAGGAACAATAGGTTGACCACACATTGTAGTTGCCCCAGTGTCTTAAACCTCTGGGCTGCTATAACAAAAGTACCATAGACTGGGTGGCTTATAAACAACAGAAATGTTTCTCTCTCACAGTTCTGAAGGCTGCGAAGTCCAATATCAAGGTGCCAGTATATTCCATGTCTGCGGAAGGCCCACTCTCTGGTTCATAAGTGAAGCCTTCTTGCTGTGCCCTCAGATGGTAGAAGGGGCAAAGGAGTTCTCTGTGGCCTGTTTTACAAGGGTGGTAATCCCATTCACGAGAATTTCACCTTCATAACCGAATAAACTCCCAAAAGCCCCACCTCCAAATACCACATTGAAGATGAGATTTCAACATATAAATTGGGGGGTGGAAGGGAACAGACATTCAGTCTATAGCACCCAGTTGTTTTGTTTGTTTGTTTCTTTTTTGAGACGGAGTCTCACTCTATCGCCCAGGCTGGAGTGCAAAGGTGCGATCTCGGCTCACTGCAACCTCTGCCTCCCCGGTTCAAGTGATTCTTCTGCCTCAGCCTCCTGAGTAGCTGGGACTACAGGTGCCCGCCACCACGCCTGGCTAATTTTTGGTGTGTGTTTTTAGTAGAGACAGGGTTTCACCATATTGGTCAGGCTGGTCCCCAACTCTTTACCTCGTGATCCGCCCGCCTTGGCATGCCAAAGTGCTGGGATTACCGGTGTGAGCCACCACGCCCAGCCTATAGCACCCAGTTTTATGCTTAGCCATAACCAAAATCATTTCCAGAATGTCTCTTTAGCAAAAGGAGACAATACAGGTATTACAACATCTACTTTTGAAAAACTCTTGTTAAAGTATAATTTACACAGAGAAAGTTGTACAGCTCAATGAATTTTTATAAACTTGTGGAATTAACATCCAGACAAAGATACTGAATATTGCCAGCACCCAAAAGCTCCCTTTGTATCTACTTTCCATCAGTATCTCTCCAGGCGAAACCACTATGTGGCCTCTAACACCCAGAGTTGTGTTGCCTGTTTTTTAACTTTGCATCAGTGGAATCGTATCAAGTATACTATTTGTTCCTGGCTTCTTCTTGCAACATTATGTTTATGAGCTACAATCTATATGGTTGTACGTAGTTATAAATGGTTCATTCTTATTGCTGTGTAGAATTCCATTGTACAAATACAGTATCATTTATTTAGTCTTTCTACTGTTGATAGACATTTGGATAGTTTCTAGTTTTTAATGACTGAAGATAGTATTTTTGGTAGCCAGCCTCTAACGGTATCACATGATCCCGGACTCCTGGTATTCACAGATTCTGTGGCCTCCTCCCACATTGTCCCAGAGTTGGTTTGTGTAAACAATAGAATATGGCAGAAGGGGTAGTAGTTGACTTCCAAGATTAGGTTATAAAGACATCTTGTTTTTTCTCTCTTTTGATTGCTCCCACTCTCCCTCACTCCCTCTTTCTCTGAGGGAAGCCATCTACCATGTCCTGAGGTCACTCAGGCAGCCATGCAGGGGCCCATGTGGTGAGAAACTGAGGTCTCCAGCCAACAACTAGAGAAGAACTAAGAACTGCCAGCCACTACCTGAGTGAGCATAGAAGTGGATCTTTTCCCAGGGGAGGCTTCCAAGGACTGTGTTCCCGGATGACAGCTTGACAGACCTCATGAGAAACCCATCCAGCCAGGGCTGCACGGTGACTTTATGGGACCTATGCACTTTTGTCTTTGTGGGCCCCTTCCTCCATTACAACAAAAAGGAAGTATCTCACTCACTGGAAGGAGGAAATTGTACTAACAAGCATCGTGGTCCCTAGGCCTGGTGCCTGCCGTACCTAATGGGTACCTTGGCCCTGAACCCAGCTAAGTTATTCCCAGATTCCTCACCCACAGAAACTGTGAGATAATAAATGTCTGTTGTTTTAAGTTGCTAAGTTTGGGGGTAATATGTTTTGCAGCAGTAGGTAGCTAATATTGTGCTATGATGAAATTTGTTCTACATGATTTTTGATGTACGTATGTGCATGTTTCTGCTGAGGGTAGACCTAGGTGTGGAATTCCTGGATTAAAGGACAGTATGTGTTCAGCCTTATTGCCAGAAAGTTTTCCAAAGTGATTGAGTCAGTGTACTCTCCTGCCAGCACTCTTCAGAGTCTGGATGCACTACATCTTCAGCCATTTTTTAGTATTTTTCATCTTTTTTCATTTTAGCCATTTTTATGGGTGTAACATCTGCTTTTAAAGTTTTAAGAAAGGAGACGTAGCACAAGAATGTGGGCTTGATACAGCATAGCAAGTTAGAGATAGGAGAAGGATTTGGAATGGGAAAGTAGGATTTAGATTTGGACTTTGGAGGAGCAAAGCAGCGAAAGAGAAATTCTCGGGAAGTGCTCTGGAGATCAGGAAACCAAACTAGAGACTGGAAGTTTAAGTCATCGCAGTCCCAGCTTCAGCATTTATCAAGCATCCATTATGCTCCAAAGGTCATATTCTGAGCTCCACATGGAATATCTCATTTGATCCTCACAGCAGCCTAGTGAAATAGATACCATTATTGCCTTCATTTCACGGATAAGGAAACTGAGACATAGATGAAGCCATTAAATGAGATCACATAGTGAGCACACTTAGGGCCTGAGTTCAAAATCCAGAACCCACTCACTTAGCCACACTGCCTATCCTGCCTGGTACACAGTAAACTGTCAGTACCTGGTTCTTGAAGGAATGTCTCAAGTAGAAGCTGAGCAACACAGTCTCAGGTGTCTAAGCTAAAGAGTGGGGCCAGGTGGAGTGGCTCACGCCTGTAATCCCAGCACTTTGGGAGACTTTGGGAGACCGAGGCAGGTGGATTATGAGGTCAGGAGTTCGAGACCAGCCTGGCAAACATGGTGAAACACAGTCTGTACTAAAAATACAAGAAAATTAGCCGGGTGTGGTGGCGGGTGCCTGTAGTCCCAGCTACTCAGGAGGCTGAGGCAGGAGAATCGCTTGAAATCAGAAGGCAGAGGTTGCAGTGAGCCGAGATCGCACTGCTGCACTCCAGCCTGGATGAAAGAACAAAAAACTCTGTCTCAAAAAAAAAAAAAAAAAAAAAAAAGAGTAAGGTCAGCAACAGTTTTGAGAAACCCGGACTAAAATTAGAGATTATTATGGAATGATTTGCCATCTGAAGCCAGGATTTTTTCTGACAACCTCCATATATTTGCAGCATTTAACAAATATCAAAACACTCTCTCCTGAGTCTTGTGAGGCTCAGGACCCTAGCCACATCTTCTGCCACCAAACATATGGCTGATGCTTTCATTCTCATCCTCCTTGAGTTTCCCTTGTGGAAAATTCAAGATTCAGATTATAAGCCAGCCTCAGCCTGCCACTAGATGCACAGTGCGAAGGAAGTGCATATTTGGAAACCGTAACACATGTCAGGGGAAATCAAAGAAGGCTTCCTGCAGGTGGTGACTTGATAAGCCCAGGACAGACAAAGGAGTTAACCAGGTGATGGGAATTGAGGAGGAGCAATCAGGAGCACTCACAGATGGAACACCATAAGTGAACATCAAAAGGTGATGGTGAGAGCTAGCCTTCAGCCTCTCCACCTTACTGGGTGAAAATTAAAGAATTTGTTAAGGATATCTATCAACCGCAAAATTCTGTCCAAGCAAAGGGGTTAAATAACTCCAATATCCATAGAGCTCAAACCTATAATCAGATAATGAAATGTTCAGGTTTTTTTTTTTTTTTTTTTTTTTTTTTTGAGACAGAGTCTTACTCTGTCACCCAGGCTGGAGTGCAATGGTGCTATCTCAGCTCACTGCAATCTCTGCCTCCCAGGTTCAAGTGATTCTCCTGCCTCAGCCTCCCAAGTAGCTGGGATTATAGGCACCCACCACCACACCACCACACGAGGCTAATTTTTGTATTTTTAGTAGACACGGGATTTCGCTATGTTGGCCGGCTGGCCTCGAGTTCCTGACCTCAAGTGATCTGACCACCTCGGCCTCCCAAAGTGCTGGGATTATAGGCGTGAGCCACTGTGTCCAGCCAAATATTCAGGTTCTTATATTGCACAAGCACTTGGGGATCATTAATAAAAAAAATTATAACTAAAATCTTTCTCCTCATCATCATATCACATACTATCTTCCTAAAGACACCATAGCACTGTGGTTAAAGTACCTGGGCTTGGAATCCAGCTTTATCACTTACTACCTGTGTATCTCTGCACAAGTCAGTTTCTCTCTGCCTCAGTTTCCTCATTAACAAAATGGGAATAATGTTGGTTCATAATACGGTTGTAGTAATTACTAATTGAGTTAATAGATATAAAGTGCTTATGGCAATGCCTGCTACTCAATACATTAGGTAGGATTACTGTCTGTCTCAAAGTTGACATATGCTTTGAGTGAATCTGTGTGACATATAAAACTACGGAAGCTACAAGAAAATCAGTCAAATAGGACATTAATAGAAAAACAGCAGCTTATGTCACGTGCGAAATTGCAAATACTTAAGCTCATAGTAAAGTCTAGAAAAAAAGTAAATTGCAAATACTGAGAGAAAATTCAAATCCACGCATAGATCAATTTTTTTGGCCAAACTAAAGGTTCTTTGTGTTCGGCATATCTATATCCAAATTTATATAGCTAAAAAATAACTTTGATGCTATCAAACTACCTAGTAGAGGGCCAATTAGCATTTGCCTGGTGCTTTAAGGTGGACATAGCATTTTCACTTGCATTGCCTTGCTATTTCCTTCCAGACGCTCTATAAAATGTTATCCTCATTTTTTGATGCGGTAACTGAGACTTGAAGAGATTAAATGGCTTGCTCATGATCAAATAGTGCATATGTGATAGAAACAATTCACACCCAGATCTAGACCTCTTCTGGCTGCAAATTCTTCTTCTTTCCATTGCAATTTTGCCACTGTCTTGCTAATGCAGGCATTGTAGGTTCCCATGGAATGTCCTCCCTTGGGCCATGCAGTTAAGGATGGTTCATCAAGTCTTGAAACTGGTTGTGTCTACAGCTACATTCTTTCTGATGGTACCAGATGTGAAAAAAAAAAAAAGTTACAGTGGTGAATTAAAATTTGCATCAATATCTATAATACGTGTAGAAATCATGTAGAAAATATAACATGATCATGCAATGTGGTTTTTTACTAACAGGCTCTTGTTGCTTTTGAGGTTTCTGTTATTGTTGTTTGGGGCTTTTCATTTTTGTTGTTGTTAGTTTTTTGTTTTTTGTTTTTTGTTTTTTTTCTGAGACGACGTCTCTCTCTGTTGCCCAGGCTGGAGTGCAATGGTGCAATCTCGGCTCACTGCAACTTTCACCTCCGGGGTTCACACCATTCTCCTGCCTCAGCTTCCTGAGTAGCTGAGACTACAGGCACCCGCCACCACGCCTGGCTAATTTTTTTTTTGTATTTTTAGTAGAGACGGGGTTTCACCATGTTAGCCAGGATGGTCTCGATCTCCTGACCTCGTGATCCGCCTGCCTCAGCCTCTCAAAGTGCTGGGATTACAGGCATGAGCCACCGCGCCTGGCTGTTGTTGTTGTTTTTAATAATAGAAGCTTACATCTCAACAGAACTTAAGAGATGGTCTTGACTGGTCGTTTCCAAATGCCTGCCTGAGTAGTGACTGCATCAGAACTTAAGAGATGGTCTTGACTGGTGGTTTCCAAATGCCTGTCTGAGTACTGACTGCATCAGACTCAACTTAGGTGCTGACCCCAGAAATTCTGGTTCAGTAGGCTCAAAGTAGGATAAAAGTAATAATATTTTGAGCATAAAAGTAATGGGAGTAAAACCTACTTTCTGTTCATATCCCCTTCCTTTCCAAGTTAATCACAAATTTTCATGGGCCATAGCCTCATGTGTATTCTAGTCTTATGGCCTTAGTTGTGGTACAACATTGGTACCTAAATGAATCAGCGATAATAGAGACTATTCATGATCCAGCCACTCAGGAGATAGTCACATCTTAAAAATACCCTCTGCCTAAGGAATCCTGAAAAGTAGTGGGCACAGAGAAGAAAACCAAAACAAGAGGAGTTGAGAAAGCCCTCTGTGTTGTTTTAACATGGAGTGGATCATCCACTGTTGAGCAGCCGTGGATCTGACACCCATTACTCACAAGTTCTCAAGCGTTTTCAATGGGAAGTGTAGGCCATGTCCAAAAAAAATAGAATGACACTTTTGCTCCATCTCAGCCTCCTATCGAGAAAAGCAAACACAGAGGATTTTCCATTTCAAGTTCAAATACAGAATGGATTGCTTCTTGTTTTGCTTGACTAGAGTAGTTGATGAGGGTTCAGAGACTGGCAGCCTGCCAGTCATAAATCAGTTGTGATCACATTGTGGTATGAACTCAGAAAAACAAGTAGACAAGAGTAAAGGGGTAGAGCCAGAAAAATTGTAAGTATAGAGAAGATGTGACTGTGATTATGAGTATTTCAAGTGCCCAGCACGTGGATAGAGCATATTGCCTTTCTCTACCGAGTGGCTAATTCAGAGACAAAACAGGTATTTGGAGACAGAGTTTGTGTTGCTACACTTCTCCACAACTAGGCCCTATAATAAAAGTGCTTGCATCAGAGGAAGGCTGACTACACATTTTAGCACTTTCACAGCTCTAACTTAATCATGGCAGGAAGCTTTTCTGCTACTAGGAGAACAAGTTGCGTCACTAGGAACATCTGACTCCAGGATCTAGTGTCAATCACTTTCCCTAAGGTCATTAAAAAATATGAGGGTGTCCCCTTACAGCATAAAGGCTTTGCCCAAGTGACAATTAAGAGGAAACCCACAGCATGATAAATAATTGAACAGGTGGATTAAAGAAATGCCTTTCCTGTGTAAAATAAGAGGGATGATTGACAGTTGTAAATCCAGGCTCTTTGGTGCATCTTCTTCCACAGTTCAAGGTTCTAACCATTTGAACTGCTCTTTTTCCTTATTTTGCCTTTCTTGGCTGTTCAAGGAATACTCTTTGGCCTCATAGAGTCAGACAAACATTAGAGAAAGGCAAAACCTCAGAGGTTTCCAAGAGCAGCTTTCAAGGGATGCGTGCCAACGAGTGGTGTTGCAAAGAGCTGCCCACTGAATGGAATAATATTTTGGACTTGGTTTGTACAGAACAAGCTCTGCTGTGGATCAAATGGCAAGTCTGTCTGCTCATCTGATTTAATAAATGCCCTGTTTGACTTGCTGGTGCCAAAACACCTGCGAGGTACAACGTGTGTGTCACCTTTTTCCCTAGGGTCTTATGTTTGGTTTAGGAGCTTGTTCTCCTCCCAGACCAACAGTATGGTACACGTCTCCAAAATGAGGACAAAGGGTGGCAATTTACTATGTCATTCATAGCAGTCCAAAGAGCTTTGCTATTGAAGTCCTGGGAAATATTTAACACCAGAGAGTTCTTGTACCCCCGAATTGCTAATCGCTCTCCAATAGATGCTTTTCCAACAGAGGAAAAAAGAGAGAGAGAGAAGGAAAGAGAAAAGAGAAAAGGAACAAACACTGTGACTTTCGGAAACAAGCCACCATCCTAGTTTCTATTTGCAGCCCAGCGGCGGTATTTGAAGTTCCCAGTGAAAATAAAACCCTCGAGCTTGGAGCTCCTGCTACCATGGAATATTTTTAAATGGTTACGAAAGGAGTCTGAGCATTCAGTCTGGCAATATCCAAAGTTCTTGGGCCATTCTGTGGACAGTAATTGAGATTCACCAAGCAGGTAGAGCCCTGTTTCACCAAGTTAGGTAAAGAAAGGCAAGGATAGAAGTTGAGAAAATGAAGAAGGCAGAAGGGGCAGAGAACTCAACTAAGTGATTCCCATATTCCAAAACAGAAAAATTAACCACACTGCAATTTTGGTGACAGAATTTGAAAACAAAACCAATTTTTTTAAAGAAAAGAACTTATTAAGAAAAAGTTAAGAACCTATACTAAAGCAAGAGAGAATAGTGTAATGAACCCCAAGGAACTATCTTTGGTTTCAACAATTCTCAACTCCCACCTACCACCAGATTATTTTGTAGCATATCCCAGACAACATGCAACAGATGATTTACAATCAAACTTTTATAAGGCTTATGATTGGCTGTAGTTTAATTAGTGAAGTTAGATATTGTCTACAGGAGACCAATTAGGTATTTTTTAAGTATTTTTACTTTTTAAACAGTACTTTTTTAAAAAAATGTTTAAACAAATTTCCCCTGAATTTTCATAAACAAATTTCCCCTAAATTTTCATCGGGTTCATATCAGTTTTGTTAACCTCTTTTTGGTGGTACTCTGATGACTGGACAATGGGTTATACAAGAATAAACAGCAGATCTGTAGTCTTGCAGGAGGTGGAGCTTTGGAGAAGCAAGGGTGGAGTGGAGATGTGTAACTGAGATGAGTGCTGACCCCAGGAAAGGGTGCAAAATGCAGCGTGAGATTACAGGGGGTACCGAGGAGCACGGAGATCAGAGAGCCTCTGCCGGTTACTACGGTCACTGCGTGGTCTACAGCCAAGGTTTCTCTTTGATCTTCATCCTTCAGACCATATTATTAATCTCCCCAGAGAGCTGCTCTTTCCCTCCTCACACACTCAATCCAATCCGGAATCACAAAAGGGCAAGGAAGGTTGGGAGTGAGCATCCAAATACATTCACTTTCTAGGCAGCTCTGCAGCTCTGTCTCATCTATGTAATGGGGAGAAGTGAAAGCAAAACATTGAAAACACAGTGGCCATTTATTTCCAATTTTTTAATAAATGCAAATACAGATTTAGCAAAGATATAAATTATCATGTTTAAAGAGTTTTTTTGTTTTAATTCCATAAAGATGAATCACAGGGTTACTCATTTGCAGCACCTAACTTCCCCAGTGCATTCAATTATATTCTCATAAATGCAAACTAAGTTATACGTGTTTCAGTATTGCATACATTCAACCCAATAGGTATTTTTAAGCTCATAGTATATGCAAAGCACTGTTGTAAACCCTGGGGGAAATAAAAAGTTGAGTAATAAATGGTCACTGGTCAAAGCTAGACCATATGAATAAGAAAAGCAAAAAAAATAAAAAATAAAAATAAATGGTCACTGGGCTCAGGGAGTTTGCAACATAACAGACATCGTAAGGCAAATACAAACACGGCCATAATGCAACAACAACAACTAAATCCAAGAAAAGGAAACAAACTGAGTGACAAAAAAATGTTATCAGCAGAATGTGATGAAGATGCAAAGTGGAGAAATGTTTCTTATAGATGAGAGTGGAGGAATGAAAGACTTCTTGGAAGAAATAGCATCTGACATGGGCCTTGAAGCTGGGGCAGAATTTCAGTTGGTAAAATTGGGATTAAGAGAAAGAAAATTTCTTCAAGAAGAAGAAAAGGCTAAAGAAAAAGGAAGTATATAAGAACAGGTAGAACAGGTTCAGGGAAACACATGCAGTTCCTGTTAGAGAAAGAGTAGGTTATCTTTAGGGCAGAGGAGGAGAATAGGACTTAGAAGACAAGTTGATTGCATCAAGGCAAATAAAATAACCTCTGATGGGGTTAAATGCACAAAATCTGGAGCAAGATTATCAAGATCCTGGCTCTGACTCTGAGCTGAGTGACCCTGGAGGAGTCACTGAGACCTTAAACCTCAAGGTCTTTGTCTATAAAATCAGGATGTGAACAGTGCCCATCTCTGGCTGTTGTTATTTCATTACCTTATCAATGGGGCATAATGAGGTTTCCCCGCATTATGCAGGAGAGGTAAGGCCATTGCAGCTCACGGTGTGTTACAGTGGGGTGGGATGCAGCCACTGCAACTACCTACCCTGAGCTGAGCTGATCCCAGATGGGTCTGAAGCCCAGAATCCCTCATGATAAGGAGATTCCTCTGGAAGACCGTCTGCTGGCAGCACGGCAGAGCTGAGCTTAGAAAGCATGTTTGCAATTCCAGAGAGGCTCAGCCAGCAGCAGCATTTTGTGTTACTTTGCTGGAAGGGCCACCTGCAGTTAACGGCTGGAGAGGGACCCAAGTTCTGAGGAGCTATGACAAAAGTTTCCAGTTTTTATTTTGTTTACGTTATAACACGGTCAGCTCTGTCTTCATTACACACCTCAGCCCCTGAGCTGAGCACGATTTCCAGTTGAAAAGGTCTCCAATGTGGAAAGAAAAAAGGGTGGGGAGTGAGTACCTTGTGATGTGACCTGACAGCATTGGGAGAGATGGGTCACCTCTCGGCTCCCTCCCCTTCCCAAGGTTTTAAATCCTTTCCTACCGGAAGGGGTGGAGTAAGAGCTGATGCCAATTTATTGGGTCACAACTGGGTGTCTCTCCCTTCCTGAAAGACCTGGCAACATCTCTCCTGCCATTGTGATTATGAAGAAAGCATTCACGAGGATAATTATCTAATCAGGGAATTAGCCTTGGTTCATGTGGCAAGCATTAAAGGACTCTTAAAAATCTAATAGGAAAAAAAAAAGGCCCAAGTCAGGAAATAGCACTGGTAATTGCACCCTAAATGATTATTATACACAAACACTATTAAGATCTAGGATGAATATTTATAAATAATCAGCAAACAAAATTGGCAGATATTTATCATGAACACTTACCCCATGAAAGACACTGTCAACTTCTCCTACTTGATTTCCTCCATTTAAGTCATTGCACTGTCTAGTCTAATTTTCTCACATTGTGGTCTTAGTGGCCATCTGATTCTGAATTCCCTTGAGTGCTTGTTAAAAATCCGGATTTCTAAGCACTACCTTAGGTCTATGGTATCAGAATTTCTAGGAGATGAAACCAAAACATCGGAATTTAAAATACCTTTTTCTAGGAAAATTTGAAGCATATTCCAAAACAAAGAGAAAAATACAATGGACTACATGTATCTATCACCCATCTTTAATAACTATCAAATTATGCCCAATCTTATTTGATTAATATCCCATCCGTGATTATTCTGTGGCAAGTCCCAGATATCATTTCATCTGTAAATATTTCAGCATGTATTTCTGAATGATAAAAACTTAAAAATCTAAAAACCATGATCATACCTTAACAAATTAACAATATTCCCTTTATATCAAATATCTAGTCAGTGTTCAAATTTCTTATGTTGTCTCACCATTTTTTGCATCAAAAACCAAATAACTGTCCTGCATTGCAACTGCTGATGCATCTCTTGCCTCTTTTGTTTGCTCTTCTGTATTAGTCATCTTCACACTGCTATAAATAAACATACTACCTGAGACTGGGCAATTTATAAACAAAGAGGTTGAATTGACTCACAGTTCTGCATGGCTGGGGAAGCCTCAGGAAACTTACAACCATGGCTGAAGGCAAAGGGGAAGCAAGGACCTTCTTCAGATGGCAGCAGGAGAGAGAAGGAGTGCAAGCAAGGGAAATGCCAGATGCTTATAAAACCATCAGATCTCATGAGCACTCACTCACTATCATGAGAACAGCATAGCAGGAACCGTCCCCACGATCCAATCACCTCCCACCTGGTCCCTCCCTCGACATGTGGGGATTATGCACATTACAATTTGAGATGAGTTTTGGGTGGGAACACAGATCAAACCATATCACCCTCCATCACTCTTTTCTCCCCCTTGCTTCTTATTTGTTGCAGAAACTGGGTTGTTTGTCCCATAGAACTTCCTGCAGTTTGCATTTTGCTGGTTATATCCTTGTGGTATCATTTAACATGTCCTTTAACCCAATGTTTCCTTTAGTTTATATAATAATTTATAAAAAATTAACTTTGTATTCCGCTATATATTTTATTTTATTATAGTATATAATAGCTAATAACAATTTTCTTATTATTCATTAATTGTAAAGTTTTCATTAGATTCAGAGTTGATGTTTTTGGCAAGAATATAGGTGGTATGAAGTTTCAAATGCTTCCATCTGGGGGCACTACGCATCTGGTTGTCTTTTTGTAATATGAGTAGTTATTGATGATCATTCCTCAGTTCCACTAACTTATTGGGGACTATGGCTCTTTATTTTTAAAGCAATCTAGATTCACCTAATTTTACAAGAATTCTGCTCCAGTCCTTCCATGCTGCTGGCAGAGTTATCCTATAAAAATGCGAATAGACCATTGCCCTCCAATAAACTCTTCTAACACAACAGATTAAGGCTAAGCAAGACAATCCTTTTGAGTGTGGAAAGACTATATTAGCCTTTCATTTAGTGTTACTTTTCTACTTCAATATGAAATATTATTAATACATCATATATGGATCGATCATAGCACTATATAAAATTTATAAGTAAGCGTACATATATTTAGGGGGAAGCTCAAAGCACTTTGTTGATGGGATGCACCAGCAAAACATTTTGGTGTCTGTGGCTTAGAGGATGGGTCCACATCCTTCAATTTGTCACATAGGGAATCCACTTCCCCGGCTTTATCTCTCACTACCCTCCTTCCCCTCACACCTCATGTTGTAGTCACACTGAACCTCAGCCATTCCTCAGCATTGCCATGTCCTTTCCCACCTCTGTTAAATTAAGTTTATCCTAAAACTGCCTCCTTACATATTTTAAGTTCAGCTTAAAGGTTTGTCCATACACAGTGAATAGTCACCTAACTGGATGTGTAAACAGACTGTAACCTACTCTAGTATCAATCACCAAGTTTCGGCAGCCAACTGTTCAAACTATGTTGCAATAAGACAAATGATGAGCTGTAACCAATCTGGCTGTTTCTGTATCTCACTTCTGTTTTCTGTACATCATTTTCCTTTTTCTGCCATAAGCCTTCTTCCACCACTTTGGCTGTGTTGGAGTCTTTCTGAACCTATTCTGGTTTGGGAAGCTGATTCATGCAGTGTCCTTTGCTCAATTAACCTCTGTTAAATTTAATTTGTCTAAGGTTTTTTTTTTTTTTTTTTTTTTTGACACTTCATGGCTCATGCCTACCTTGTGCCTTCATTGCCCTTCCCTGAGTTCAATGCCTGGTAGGCTCCCTCTCTATGGAAGCTTACCAGAAGTAAGAAGTTTTGCTTCAGCACTGTAACGTGCCTAGTGCATACCTCCAAGCTGGCTCTTAACTCTTTGAAATGTGACTGTTCTTTACATGTGTGCCATTCACTATACATAACATCTTCATGAGTACAGTGGCTATATCTTTTTTGTCTCCTAGCCCAAGACCTGGTTCATAGAGTGGACTCAGAAAATGTTATGATGATCAAGAAAGATGAAATTTGAGCTGGATATGGAAAAACAGAGAAGTGAGAAGGGCGATCTAGATGCACCATTGGCATGGAAAAAGCACAGTGGTGGAAACAACAAGACATATTTGGAAATATACAAGTTAGGATTCCTGGGGTTGAAAGCAACAGAAACCATCTCCATCTGTAAGAAGAACAATGAGAATGTACTGGAATAATAGCAATGGCTTACAGAACCATCAGAAAGCTAGAGGACCAGGCTTAGAAGAAGTTGGAAGCAAAGGTATTTCCAAAGGCCCAGTGTCAGGAAGCACAACAGACTTGTAACCAAAAGAATCTAGCCAGATGCTACTGCTACTGCAACTGCCAGAGGACCCAGCCAGCCCCATGGCCACAGCTTTCAATGAATTCCAACTTTCATTTTGTCTTTGCATCATTCACTCAGTTTTCATAACACTGGGAAGAGAGCATCTGACTGGCTAAGCCTAAGTCAATGCTCCTACCATGGAAGCAGGGAGGGGAGAGATGGAGCATTTGACACCACCTCCCACCAAAAATAACATAACAGGGGGATTCTCCCCAAAATAGGAAGGTATGGTGATTGAATTGTTGCATAGCCAAAAGAGAGTATACTTTACTTAGACAGTAAATGAATTAGATTGACATTAGAGCAAAAATTCATTTGGAGTAATGGTCAAGGATTTTCTACCCAGACTCTCACAGTAAGAAAGGCTAACATTTCTATAAATTATTATTTACTAAATTTTTATACTTAACAGAAGGTAAAATTTTTAAGAAGGAAAAAGAAATTGTGAAATAAAGCAGTGGAATAAGAAGAGAGCATGTTCATTTCTTTAGGGAAAACATAATTTAGACTTTTGAAAAGTGTTGAGCATATACTGAATGAATAACATTGCTCCAGAGTATTCGTCAGATACAATGGCCATATTCTTCTCTTCTTACCCATACTGGCTTGACCCCTTGTAATCTGGCTATTGAAATGGCTCCCTCATCAGTCTGTAAAGCTCTTCTGGTTGCAAAATCCAGTGGCTTCCTCATTCTCTTATCTTCTCCCATGTCTTTGTAGACATATCAAATGAAAAGATTACAAGTATCTGGGAGGATAAAACCAATGGGGCTTTGAGACTGATTATTTGTGTGGGTGGGTGGGACATGAGGAAAAGGAACCAATCAAACATGGTACCCATGTTCCTGGCTTGGACTGGGTGGATGGGATTGTACCCCATTCTTAAACATAGGGGTACAATACACAAAGCAAATTGGGGCAAGGCAGGGTGGGCAAATGATCCCTTCAGTTAGAAAAGTTGATGACTGTATGCTTTATGCCTTTGAGTACATTAGAATTTCCTTAGGAGTTGCAGAGTCATGAGATTTTTTCTTTTTTCTCTTGTAATCCCTCCTGTATCCAAATATCCAATTCTTTTCAAACATGCTCTCCCTCTGTGTCCAGAATTCATTCCTTCCCGTGGGTTCTTGGTCTCACTTACTTCAAGAATCAATCTGCAGACCGTCGCGATGAGTGTTACAGTTCTTAAAGATGGTGTGCCCAGAGTTTGTTCCTTCACATGTTCAGATGTGTCCAGAGTTTCTTCTTCCCGGTGGGTTCCTGGTCTCGCTGACTTCAGGAATGAAGCCACAGACCTTTGCAGTGAGTGTTACACATCATAAACATAGTGCAGACTCAGAGAGCGAGCAGCAGCAAGATTTATTGTGAAGAGGGAATAAACAAACCTCCCACACCACAGAACAGAACCCAAGCGGGTTGCAGCTGCTGGCTCCGGTGGCCAGCTTTTGTTCCCTTATTTGGCCCTGCCCACATCCTGCTGATTGTTCCATTTTACAGAACACTCATTGGTCCATTTTACAGCGTGCCGATTGGTCCATTTTACAGAGTGCTGATTGGTCCATTTTACAGAGTGCTGATTGGTGTGTTTACAATCCTTTAGCTAGACACAGAATGCTGATTGGTGCATTTACAATCCTTTAGCTAGACACAGAAGTTCTCCAAGTCCCCACCTGAACCAGAAGCCCAGCTGGCTTCACCTCTCACCTCTGGTGTGTTTTTGGAAAAGATCTTTTGTTTCAGACTTACTCACATCAAGAATGCCTGGACTACTCTTCTTCTTAAGATGATGCTATTAAGAAAACAAGGATCTCAGTCAATGAAGAGAAACACAGAAAAGCTCTGATTCCTAAAATGCCATTCCCAAAAGTCTTTAAATTTTACCAAAGCATTTTTTTAATAAAAGGGGAATCACAAAGGAGAAATCAGCCTTATAATTCCCCTCATAATAAGACAGGACTTACAAAGGAGAAATAAATACGACTGTTTTGTAGAGCAAAGCAAGGGACCAAGATAATTTAAAACCATCACAGAGGAAGCCCCTTGTGGGCATAATCTCTACTCTCTAGCTAGCCTGACTCTTCTGTCCTAAGACTGGCCTTTCCTCTGAGTGATGCTTTTGGCTTTTGTATTAAATCTTTACATTGCAAATAACCTTAATCCTTTGGGATCTTTGATATGGTTTGGATTTCTGTCCCTGCCTAAATCTCATGTCAAATTGTAATCCCCAGTGTTGGAGGAGAGACCTGGTGGAAAGCCCCTCCCTGGGGGTGGACTTCCCACTTGCTGTTTTTGTAAAGTAAGTGAGTTCTCATGAGAGCTGGTTGTTTAAAAGTGTGTAGCACCTCCCCCTTTTCTGTCTTCCTCCTGCTCCAGCCATGTAGGACGTGCTTGCTTCCCCTTTGCCTTCTGCCATGATTTTAAGTTTCCTGAGGCCTCCCCAGCCATGCCTCCTGTATAACCTGTGGAATTGTGAACCAATTAAACCTCTTTTATTCATAAATTACTCAGCCTCCGGTAGTTCTTTCTAGCAATGCAAGAATGGACTAATACAATCTTCCACTCTCCTCAGAGATAGGATTCATTTTCATCTCCGTTCCAATCACAACAGCATAATTACTACAACACAATAACTTACAGTAATTTTACAAAGCCTCATCTATTCCTTTTGGAATAATACCTCAGGGAGGGAAAGGGAAAATAGGGGACATGACAGGGACCTTGGCAAGGCAGTCAAGGGTGGACTTTCAGATTTCAATAAGATCCAATAACATCCCAGGGTGGACTTTGGGACTCTGTTGTCCCTTTTGATAAATCCTTAGCAATGTGACATTCAGATATTCTTTATCTTTTTTCCTAGTTTCTAAGCAAATAAATATTGTTTCAAAGGTACACACAGGTGTATGCACATACATAAATACTCCCCTCCTTTCAAGAATAAACATCAATAGTTCAAAAATGTAATCTAGATCCTTGTTTAAAAGTGAAACATTTTCCTATATAAAACATAATCTTCAAGTACCTTATTACCAAGAGGCAGGTATTTTACATATGCACAGCTGAGTCAGTCCCTGTGCTCATCCTTTTAAATCTTGTCCAGAGAAAGTAAGAGAGTTTATTAGCCTTAAATCCAAGTTACCGCCCCATTTCCACCTGTGGATGGGGTGGAAGTGGTTTGGGGTGGAAGATGGTTGGCTCTTCTGGTTCATTCCTTTTCACTAATGCTATAGCATGGGGAGACATATTTGATATTTAACCATGGAGGTAACAACAAAAGTAAGCTATTTAGATACTAGCCGGGTCCTTGGAATACATACATCTATCCTAAATAACTTCCCCCCCAGATCTCTAAGATATCTGTGAAGTCTAAAACTAGCTCCCACAGGAGCCATTCTGATTCTTGGGAACTTTCTAAGGACTTCTGAAAATGCCTACTCAGTTAGTGCCTGAGCTCATAGTAGTAGGAGGTGGTAATTATTTAGTACCCAATGAGAGCCCAAGATAAATAGATGTTGACCCTAGCCCACAGGTTGTAGTTTTACCCAGTCACCTTTCTGACTGTCAGTTCCATTAGCAGGCTTACTACCTTAAAATCTGGGGTCAGACCCATCCTAATCTGGCATTGTTTACCCAGAATTGGAAAGAGAGCAACTGTCATTCCCTCAGCATAGGGAGTGGACAAGAAGCCTCTGCATGGTTATTTGCCCTATTAGCTCACAGTTTTACTTGAAAAAAAAAAAAAAGAGTCACAAGTATATTGGATGATCAGCCACTTTTACAATCTCCAAACTCTGTTCAAATGAGATAATTTACCTCTCTAAACGTAATCTGGCTCTCTAAATCTTTCTGGATTGCCAATTAAGAGTGCCAATTGTGACCTTTTTTATTATTTTATTTTTTGCTTTTTTCTATCTTCTCCTTCCACAATCAGATTATCAAATAACTCTGAGACTTTTCTTGCTAGAGCAGACTGAAGCCATCACAAACCCTCACCCCCACGCTCCACAATGGCACAGATTGTTTTCCCCTCCGGTTCTCAGTTGTGGGTCATTGGTTTGGAAATAAGAGCCATGAGTTAAGTGTCTTTGTTTCTTGCATAGGCCTTGGAAGCACTTAGAACCCTGGAGTCTGAGTAGGGAGTCGCTTATACCAGCTGGAACAATCACAGGATTTAGACTGGAGACAGAGGGTAAAAAAGCAAGGAAAAAAAAATCAATTCTGCACCATTCAGCTGCCTCCTCATTCAGCCTAGGGTGGTGGGAGTTGGCTTAGTTTGTGAATCCAGTTAGCAGCAGCATTCCTGGAAAAGTGGCCCATTGCAGTGCTTTCTCGTGAACTTCATCCACCTGTCATGTTTAGTCTTGGAGGGGAGCCAGGACAGGCAGGAAATAATAGGCTGCAGGATACTGGTGTGTGTCAGTGGCCCCGACCCTCCCATTCCTGAACACAGATGAGCTGGAAGCCTGCGAGGCGTTGCCATTGCATGGATGGGCTTGGGAGGCCACAGCAAGACAGGCTAAGGGAGGGGGAGACACAAAACGGATGACAAGAGGTTTAACTCATAGTGGGCCCATCTTTGGGACTGCGGAACCATTTCTGCAGGGAAATGGCCTTGGCTGTTGCTCAGACACATCCCTTTGTTCTCACTGACCTAATGTTGCACACATAAGGCTGAGCCTCAGATCTAAAGGAGAATGTCTGAGTCCTTCTCACCTTCACATCCTCCCTTCCCCTGGCCTCCCTGGCCAGAGAACTAGCTATAATGACATCAACTGGCTAGAATTACATAAAACTTCCCTTTTCAACTCCCAGACCCCTGGATTATTATTATGTTTTGTTTTTAATTTCCACATGATTTCTCTTTATGCAATTGGGCTTCCTCCTTGCCAACTCTTATCACCTTTATCCCTGTCAATTTGATTTTCTATTTCTTATTAGCAGGTTTTAGGCAACAAGGTGAAAGAAACATGGGTTCTCAAGGAGTTGTAACTATAGGCTGGTGCAAAAGTACCTGCCTAGGAGCAGTAGAAATGCCAATATGATTAAAAATATGATACCTGCCAGTGCTTCTCAGTGAGAGACCCAGGGAGAGACAGACACACACTCATATTAGAATAATTTACCCGTACATGTACCCCCTGAATCTAAAGTAAAAGTTAAAAAGAAAAAAATAGGATAATTTGAGGGTAGTCTATAAAGGAATTATCATCAAAGCTATCAGTGAGCTTCCTCAGGGATAATAACGGAAGACGAAGATGTGTTATCACTCAGGGCTCAAAGATATGAGGAAGGCGAATGATGTGGTTTGGCTGTGTCCCCACCCAAATCTCATCTTGAATTGTAGCTCCCATAATTTCCACGTGTTGTGGGAGGGACCCAGTAGGAGACAATTGAGTCATGGGGACGGTTCCCCCATACTGTTCTCATTGTAGTGAATAAGTCTCACGAGATCTGATAATTTTGTGAGGAGTTTCCCCTTTCACTTGGCTGTCATTCTCTTGTCTGCCACCGTGTAAGAGGTACCCTTCTGCCATGATTGTGAGGTCTCCCCAGCCACGTGGAACTGTGAGTCCATTAAACCTCTTTTTCTTTATAAACTGCCTAGTCTTGGGTATGTCTTTATCAGCAACATGAAAACAGACTAATACAGAGAGATTTAGGGAATCCTAATAGGAGATCAATCTGTAGAGGACCAACGTGAGAGGAGCAGCAGCCAGGGTAAAGCAACCTGCAAGGATGGAAGTGGGGAAATAAACACCTGGGCCTCATTCTCTTCCCTCCCTCTCATCTCCTGAGAGCATGCCCCGCTGACTATACCCATCAGGAGCCAGAGGGGTTCCTGCAAGCCAACGCCCTGGGACAGAGAAAAGGGTGAGTGGAGAGTGGAGAGAGGGTCTCAAGGAGCAAGTGGAAGGCATCTGGCACATTCATACAGTTTCTGGTGCACAAATAATCAATACCACAGGCAATTTTTTTCGTTTCATCTAAGTTTTGACTTCAAGTTGAACTCCTGAGGTCAGAAATATCTTCCAACTCTGGATCCCTTGTGAATTTGGGGGAACTAAAAAAAAAGCTTAGGCTGGGCATGATGGCTCATGCCTGTAATCCCAGCACTTTGAGAGGCCAAGGCGGGTGGATCACTTGAGGTAAGGAGTTCAAGACCAGCCTGACCAACATAAAGGAACCCTGTCTCTACTAAAAATACAAACAATTAGCGGGCATGGTGGCACATGCCTGTAATTCCAGCTACTCCAGAGGCTGAGGCAGGAGAATCACTTGAACCTGGGAGGCAGAGGTTGCAGTGTGCAGGGATCACGCCATTGCACTCCAGCCTGGGCAACAAGAGCAAAACTCCATCTCAAAAAAAAAAAAAAAAAAAGCTTAGTTATTGAAACTTAAATATAGTCCTTAATAGTTTTATGACAATGTTCACATCTATTCAATCATTCATCCTTGTCACTGTCATTAATAAATGACATATACATGCTAAATATAGCTTCTTAGTTAATATTGTCTTCTGATTGCCAAATTAGTCAAATTTCCACAAACATTTCTTACCAATGTCTTACAAGCTCATCCTACAAAATCTGCCTTTGTTTTGGTTTCTCCCATTTCTCTTCCTACTATGGTATTTATTACTTTACTTTCTGGAGTAATTTTTTTTCATAGTTATATTATAGGTCTCATTATTTCTGCCATGTTAGGTACAATATACCCTTTAAAAAATTTTTTTTCCTAAAATATTTATAACTATACTTTGTTATTATTTCTAAGCACAATCTTTTTTATGACCCAAGCAGAGAAGCAGCCCAGTATTAATTTACATAAGTAACCCTCTCTTGATTCACTTACGTATTCATTTAAGAATATTTATTCAGAATATTCTAGACACTATATAAGAACTAAAGATACAATGGTGAATAAAAATAGACCTGTTCTCTTATTTTATGGAGAAGTCAAAAAACAACCTGGAAAATTAATTTTTATTTCCTAGCCTTTTAGAGTTGTATATTGAAATATTTAAAAGTTCTATGATATAATACGATATTTAGAACTTGCTTCAAAATAATCTGAAGAGGAGAAAGCAAAGGGAAGTACAGGTGAAAGATTGGCCAAGAATAATGATTAAAACTAGGTTCAAGGAAGGTCATTATACTACTGTCTTTATTTTAATATATGTGTAAAATATTCAATAATAAAAAGTTTTTAAAAATTCATTCTTTAGAAGCAGGGTTGGCTTCGGAATTTCTATCTGGGGGTCCTTGGGGGCAGCAATCAGGTTGGTAGGGAGTGTTTGATCCTGAGTTTGCATAGCACCATCTCACAAATTTGAGATAATTCCTCAAAATGAAGAATCGGTTTCAGGTATATGAAGGGGGAGGGGATTGCTAATGGAAATTATAGAAGATAAAGCAATCCCCTCTAACCACAATTTTGAAGATGGTTATAAGTAATAAGTTAGTTTGACAGAGGTGTGGTATCTAAAAAGAAACAATGGTGGTATTGAATGAATCATCAGTAAAAATAATTCACACAATTCACTACAATGGCCCATCAATTGCCAAAGTGTCCCAGCAAATGCTCTTTAGAGGCTAGTAGGGTTAGAAAATTTAGTTTGGTAACTACTGAGGAGATTAATTTGTGGAAATAACCATATTTTTTAATTCTGTAAACTAGTTGGTGAGAACGTGGCTGTATGTTATGTTTGTATACCTGAAATATTTCTCTTTTTTTGAGAAAGCAAAAGAGAGAAAGACAGGTAGAGTGATATTATTTGTTGCCTAACATTTCAAAGCTATTGCACCTTCATTATCATCTTTGTCTAATATGTATATTTTTGATATTAAGAGTTATCCCTCTAATTAATGTTTGCTTACAATATCCTTTCACACCTTTAATGCATGACATTTCTGTTTTGCGTTGTTTTCCTTGTATTGCCTGAAGATGGCATAAAGTTTATTGTGATTTTTCAGCCCAATGCAAGGGTGTAAGATTTTAGTAAAAAAAAGATAATCCTGTCTACATTACTGTCATAATTGATTTATTTGATCTTATTCCTGTTACATTTGCTTATTTTTTTAGTTGTCTTGCTGTTTACCTAGTTTTCTGCCTCATAGTATGGCATATGTTTTCATTTTTCCCTTGTTATTTCTAAGGAAACCATCTACTGTTTTTGTAATTGAGAAGTAGGTTTGTAAACATTTTAATTGAATTACAACATACAATAAAGAGCACAAATCTTTTATATACAGTTTGATGAATTTTTACAAAGCATATATCTTAGTGCTGAATGTGTATCATTAATTCTGTTATTTTTGTTTGTTTGTTTGTTTGTTTGTTTTGGGTAACAAGGCAACAAGTTACATCCTTCATTGTCAGCAATAGAAAACAACGCTGGCCCAAAATGGAGATTTACTGGGAGATAATTGAGGAGTCAGAGAATCAGTGGAGAAGCTGGACAAATAGGCTTAAAATATGATAGGAACTATCAATCTTCGAAATGCTGCTGGAATGAACTCCAGCCATTTCCTTAGCCTATGTCTATCCACTTAATATTTAAAGTCCTAAGAGATGGAGTGTGATTGCCCAAGCCTAGGTATCAGGGAGATTTTAGAAAAGATCTGGTAGAAATAGCCTCCAGGCATCCCTTAAACTCCCATACAGAAAAGAAAGGGGCAGCCTTTTATATTTACAACCCCAACGAGATTAAACAAAATGGCTTGGGTGATTCTCCAACAGGAAATTGGAGTGCCGTCAGGAAGGGGAATGAACAGGAAGGGGACTGAATGCCGGTAAACATAAAAATGTAGGTGCCCAATATGAGATTTTAGTCTCCTGTCTTTCTTTTGCAAATCCAGGTAGACACGCTACACTCAGTTGGCCAGGCTTTACTACCTTAGTTCTTTTCATTTCCCTTTCTTGGACACTAGACACTGGTTGTGCTGCATCTGCTACTGTACTGGAAAGAATGGAGATTTGTGGCTCTATAGAAGTTGCTTAAGCCCTTTGAGCCTCATTTTTATCCCCCATAAAATTGTAACATGCTTCAAGAGTTTTTGTGAGGATTATTCGTGGTAAGATAGTACTTGGCACAGTAGTCACCCAACAAAATGTTAGTATTGCTCCTCCTCTTCTTAGGGCAACCTTTTGGGTGATTTTCACATTCGTGGAGGCTTATTCACAATCTCTTTTCACAGAAAACTCTGCCAAGGCCTTGTTCTTTGTGTCGGAAATGTTTTTGCATTCTTACACCCCCTATGCAGATTATTTACTTGGCATGCATTTGGCTGTCAGCTCTTCCAGCTAAAACTGTTCTCTGTTTCTAATGAAAATGACATGGCAGGTGCATCCTCTCCTTGTCACAGTGCTACCGCTCATTTGTTGTCCATCCAAATTTCAAATCTGTCTGCTAAATTTACTATGTGCATTCCTCACAATATCTCTTTAAGTGACCCATAGTCTTTCATAAAGTCAGATGATGTTGTCAGTGCCTTTACCCTCTTTTCTCCTAAAATGTGCTCCAAATTAAGTTCAGTTTCTTCTTTCTGGAGCTTTATATCAAACTCTTTACTTCTAGAAACTGGAACTGTTAAAGATATGGCCTCTAATTTTCTAAACTCAATTACTCACCAGTCAGTGGCATGTGTTCATTCTGTAGCTAGGCAATAGAGCAAGACATACAGACCTTGAGTATTAAGTGCTTACAGTGATAAATAGAATTTATTGTCCATTCATTGCCAGGGACACTGGGGCTATTACAGAAATGAGTAACATATGGTATCGTCTCTCCAATAGCCTATGGTATAGTGAGGTATGAGAGACATATGCAAACAGGTAAATTGTCTACCAGTGTGATAAGTGAGAATACAGGTTCAAGTGAGATTGGTGAAGGAAGTTCAAGTGGAATCACAAAATAACTGGAGGTTAACTGGACAACGAGTTAGGTGGAAGTTGACCTAGACTGAGGGAAGATTATGTGCAAAAGTACAATATTGAGAGAGAGCAGAGCATGGTTAGGGAATTGCAAGTCATTCCATGGGTCTTGGGTACAGGGATTTAAGGCATTGGGTGAGGGAGTTGATTTTGAGACTATGGGGCAGGAGTCAGTAAACTAAGGCCTGGGCCTGCAGGAGGGTCCCAGTTTTTGTAAGTAAAGTTTTGTTGGAACACAGCCATACTCATTCGTTTACATATTGCCTAAGCTGCTTTCTCGCTGTGACAGCAGAGTTGGGTAGTTGCCACACAGACCATTTGGCCTTCAGAGCAGAAAATGTTTACTGGTTGGGCTTTTACAGAAAACATTAGTCAACCACTGCTAGAGGGATATGACACAGTCAGATCATGATGGTCATTCAACTTTATTCTGAGGAGCACTGGGAAGGCTGACGAAGGAGTTTAAGCAAGAGAGTGATGTGGCCATCAGATTTGTGTGTTAGGACAATCACTTTAGCTGCATATGCAGAATGCCATGAAGGAGGCAAGATCAAAAGCAGAGGCAAAAATTAGGACTTTATTGCAATCATCCAGACAGGTGAAGACTGTGGCCAGAACTAGTGTATGTCCAGAACTATGATAAAAGATACTTATGGCAGATAATAGCAAGTCAAATTTTCTTTTTCTTAGAGTTGTCCTCTGCGACCTCACTTCTTTTGTTCCTCTCTTCTGGGATCTTTCCCTTCCCTGTTCTCCTCCACACTTTTTTTCAGTGTGCTTGTTCTTCTCTTTTCTTTAAACATTCTCTTTGACAATACACCCCTTGTCAACGTCAGACAAGAAGAAATTTCAGGAATCCATGGATGCGAACTTCTATAGTTGCACCACTGCTCTTGTGGCTTAGTTGTCTCTTTCCAAATCTTCACCACTGACTTATTGTTATAGAAGCCCTCAAGATCGTCCTCCTCCGTTTCCTCATCTTAGGGGATTGATTCGAGCCACTGCAACAATTTCTGGAATCTCTCAATATTCCTCGGCTCACCCCAAGCACCGTGTTGCTTCTATCTCAAGGTGCACCAGCACCTTAAAATTCAAACTTTGGAAGATGGAACAACCGTCTTAATTATTTCGACTTTTATATGATGAAACACGTTGAGAGAGGTTAAATGACTTTCCCAAAGTAACAGCAACTTAGTGGAAATCCAGGTTTCCTAAACCCTTACATCATGCTCTTGCTATTTCCCTACATCTAACAGTTCTAATCCCCTGTCTCCAGTTAGGGAACTAAAAGAGTAATCACCATTTCTGCCCTGAGACACTACACAACTTGATCACTAGAAGGAAGTTTGTAAATAGCCATGTGTCTGTCCCAACTACTTGACTATACACAAACAGTTTTCTTAAGAAATTCTACTGAGTAGATCAATTGCTTCCTGATGCAGGGACCTAACTGGTAGTGTCAGAAACCATCCAGAACTCAATTATGAAATAAAAGTGAGGTTAATATCCAGGTTGCAAGTAGGAAAATTATGGGTGATATTCCAGCTTTGAAAGGTAAAAGTGTTATGGGATTTTATACTTTTCATTTGGTTTTTATTTCCTATCCCTGTGCCTTTTAAATATTCACATTCTCTAGATAAATCATTCACCTCAAAAACTGATGGTCTCATAACCTTTTGTAACCCATAAAAATGTCACACATTTATTATCATCATTTCACAGTGACTTTGATATTTTACCTCTGTTCCAAGGGTTGCCCATGACACAGGGAAGCCAGATGCTGTCATGTTTATAGTGCTGAGTTTGAAGAAAGGTATGAATGTTGCTGAAAGGCTTGATCCCCTCTAGTCAGCTCCACAAGAAAGGGCTGTGGAGGACAGCCACTACTCCTGGAAAATATCAGGACTGTCAAGGGCAGAGTAGCTGGGAGCAGGCACCTAATGCCTGGCTTGCCCTGGCCAGGGCAGCATCTGGTTGTGGTCTTCTAAAGTGGCACTGTTCAACATGGCAGCTATTTGTCACATGTGACTATTCAATTTAAACCACTTACAATTAAACAAAATTAAAATGTAATTCCTTAGTTGCATTATTTATATTTCAAGTCCTCAATAACCACATGTGGCTAGTAGCTACTATATTTGAAGTGGGCAAATATAGAGCATTGCTCTCATGACAGAAAGTTCTATTTGACAGCACGGTTATGGAGAAAGGCAGAATAGAAGAATGAAATAAACAGCTGTGCAAAGAAGAAAATTGGTAGTTGGACTGGTCATAGCACAATGGATGAACCAAAACATTATGACACAGCAGCTAGAAAGACATGTGAATGCTACACGTTTTAGCCTGTTAGAAGCTGGTTGGTTTGAACAAGTTACTTAAACTCTCTTCCTGATTTTCCTTTACTACAAAAGGTGGGTACTGATTTGTGTTATTTTCCTATAGCCTTGTTGTCAGGAATTAAATGAGATCTTGTATGCAAAGGGCTTAGCATGATGCCTGGCACATTGTGTGTGCTCAAAAAACAATAGTGATTGTTCTGAGGACGAGGCCATCTCATCAAATATCTTCTGCAGACTGAGAACTACTAGTAAGTCTAGTAGCTTGAACTTGCTCCAATAATGATAGAGGAAGCCGTGCCTCAGGCCCCTACTCATCTTGGAATTTTAAAAAGTGGGATGATTATCAAAGGAGGAGGTGAAAATAAACTAACAGTTTGTGAATACAGTATCAGAAAGTATTTCAGTCAGCTACAAGCAACAGAAAACCTAAACTAATCTGTGGCTTAAATTAGTAAAAAGTTTTATTTGTTGAGTGAATTATTCTTCTAGCTTTCTGTTCCACATCTCTATTGCATGATTTTCATTCTCACAGTTGAAATATGTCAGTTGTTCCTCCAGGCATCATGTCCATATCCTGGAATGATAAAATGGGCTTCACTTTTTTATTTAGAAAAGGCCACCTCCATACATCCCCCCTCTAATACCTCATTGACCAGAAGAACCCTGTGCCACCATAAGCTGCAAGAAAGGCAAGAAAGAGATATTTGTTTGAGAATGAACCACTTGAAATAACCAATATTTGAGCATTTTTAACCAACAAAGAGGCAAACTCAAATTCAGAGTTGGGCCTATTAGGGTCCTGAAGAAAACTGGGGTTCTAATGGAAAAAAGAGGGGGGGCATAGACACTGGGCAGGCAACTAACTGTATCTGCCATGAGCTCCCTCCTTCACTGGGCATGTGTGAGTCTCAGAACCCCCTAAAGGCAATTGTTACCTCATTTCTGAAAGAATGGACTAAAATTGTTCAGTGGAAACCTGCAGAGCTGGGAGATAAAGCTAGACCTTTTGTCTCAAAATCCACGTGCATCCTACCATTTTTCTCAAGCAAAAGCAGAACTGAAAAAGCTCCCTTTTAAACAACACAAAATTCAAAGAAAACAAGAGTTTTCATCATAACAGAGTGTGTGTTGCATAACACTGTGTAAATCAGTCACAGATGCATGGCTGTTTTATCCGAGGCATCAGTCACAACTGGGATGAAACAGATTGCACATAAGTGGAGGGGAAATACATTGGCTTGTTTTGTTAGAATTTAATTTAATTTCCATGCTTGCCTTCTTCCCTTGGGGGAAATGATTATTTGACTTGATGCTGAAAGGACTCAGCAAGATAAGCTTGTTTAAAAGCAATATTATAAGGAAGGTAGTATCAGGTTTTTGTTTTTGTTTGCTTTGCTTTTTTTTCTGGTTGAATTTTTCCCCCAAGGGAAGAAACTTGAATGTTAAAGGCAAAAAAGAAAAAAAAGCCACAAAATGAAAAATGCCTTGCCTAAATAGCAAAAACTACTCCCTCTGTATAGATTACTGAATTCCATGGTACACTTCTCAAAAGACACGTTTTTCCAGCTTTGTGACTGTTATTATTTATTGACAATTTCCCGACATTTTCACTAAATCTCTTTTGAAATTCCATCCTGTATTCAGTTGCCTATTGAACATCGCTTGAATGTCTATAGACAGCTCTATCTCAACATATCTGAAACAGACGTCATGATCTTTTTCCTAAATGAGACAAAATAAAGCAAAAACAAAACATTTTGTTTCTTTTCCAGTGTATTTCCTCTTAGTAAATGGCACTGCCAATCACCCCATTGCTCAAACCCAAAGCCTGGAAATTATCCTTGACTCTTCCATTTCTTCATCCCCTTCATATCCATGCAATCACCAAAGACTGTCAATACCAATTCCTAAACATTTCCAAAACTCATGCAATAAATTTACAGTGTATCAGGAAGATTTTCTTCACTATAAGTGAATATTTGTCAAGCTTAACTAACTAAAGAAAACCACACTCACAAGCTGAACCAATGATGGCGTGGCTGGGAATGGTACCATTTGATTCCATCGCTGATGCTCTGCATCAAGTAGCATCTCCATAGAGACCTCTGGAGCAAGCTTATTCACAAATTCCTGGCTGACACCATACCACATTTCTGTTAAGAACCCAATTGCTATGAAGGAACTGAAAGTGGATGGTATAAGTGAAAGATTAAATGTACCCTCATTTCTTCAAAAGGAAACTTCCAGAGGACATTGTGTCTGTCTTGTCGCTACTATATCCCCAGAATCCAGCTGGTACCTGGCACATAGTAGGCTCTCAGTTGAATAAGGTGAGGAAGAATGCTCATTTTAATTCCTAATCCCTTGTTTATAATCATTTAAGTTTCTCACAAAACATCCTTCATCTTGCCAATATCTGGGACACTTTAGATTCAACCCAAAATAGAAGTAACTTGGATAATTCTAGACTTCCTGGCACCTGGACTGCAATTATTAGTTCACCTGTCTGCTATTATAATCTGGATAATATGTCTTAGTTCTCAAAATTGAAATATGCAATAGCGTGAAAACAGGCTTTGAAATCTCTGATTTGTCATTGACCAGTTTTGTAAGTTTTTGCAACTTACTTGACTCTCCTCTGTCTCAGTTATTTTATCTACAAAATGGGAAGATGCTTTGTGAGATTATTGAGATGCTTCAATGAGATAATCTGAGAGAAGCACTAAGCAGTGCTCCCAGCATAGAACTCTGTATGCCTCTGTACTGCCAAGTAGATAAATAGTATTGACATCCTTAAAAGCTATCAGTCTTATCCAGGGAGCCTTTAATTATCTGAAAGTCACCCCCTCCCATCCACTAATCAACCACAAAACTCTTAACATTCAATTCATTCTTCTTTTCAGGTTGCATGGCCAGGCAATTTGGAAATACCTGCATGGGTGGGTTTTTGAAACTATAGTGTATTAGTCCGTTTTCACAGTGCTGATAAAGACATACCTGAGACTGGGAAATTTACAAAAGAAAGAGATTTAATGGACTTACAGTTTCACGTGGCTGGGGAAGGCTCACAATCATGGTGGAAGGTGAAAGGCAAGTCTCACAAGGCAGCAGACAAAAGAAGCTTGTGCAGGGAGACTCCCATTTTTAAAACCATTGGATCTCATGACTCATTTACTATCAGGAGAACAGCACAGGAAAGACCCGCCCCTGTAATTTAATCACCTCCCACTGGGTTCCTCCCACAATGCCTGGGAATTGTGGGAGTCACAATACAAAATGACATTTGGGTGGGGACACAGCCAAACCATATCATTCTGCCCCTGGCCCCTCCTAAATCTCGTGTAATCACATTTCAAAACCAATCATGCCTTCTTAACAGTCACCCAAATTCTTAACTCATTTCAGCATTAACTCAAAAGTCCACAGTCTAGTGTCTCATCTGAGACAAGGCAAGTCCTTTCTGCCTGTGAGCCTATATAATCAAAATCAAGTAGTTACTTCCTAGATATAAGGGAGATACAGGTATTGGGTAAATACAGCCCTTCCAAATGGAAGAAATTGGCCCAAACAAAGGGGTTACAGGCCCCATGCAAGTCCAAAATCCAGTGGGGCAGTCAAATCTTAAAGCTCCAAAACAATCTCCTTTGACTCCATGTCTCACATCCAGATCATGCTGATGCAAAACATGGGTTCCCATGGTCTTGGGCAGCTCCTTCCCTGTGGCTTTGCAGGGTACAGCCTCCCTCCTGGTTGCTTTCATGGTCTGGTGCTGAGTGTCTGGAGCTTTTGCAGGCACACGGTATAAGCTGTCAGTTAATCTATAATTCTTTGATCTGGAGGACGGTGGCCCTCTTCTCACAGCTCCACTAGGCAGTGCCCCAGTAGAGACTCTGTGTGGGGCTTCCACCCCATATTTCCCTTCTGCATTGCATTAGCAGAGGTTCTCCGTGAGGATCTCACCTGTTCTGCAAACTTCTGCCTGGACATCCAGGCATTTCCATACATCTTCTGAAATCTGGGAAGAGGTTCTCAAACTTCAATTCTTGACTTCTGTGAACTTCCAGGCTCAACACCACATAGAAGCTGCCAACGTTTCAGGCTTGCACTCTCTGAAGCCATGGCCCAAGCTCTATATTGGCCTCTTTCAGCCACAGCTGAAGTGGCTGGGACACAGGGCACAAAGTCCCTAGCCTGCACACAGCACAGGAACCCTGGGCCTAGTCCATGAAACCACTTTTTCCTCCTAGGCCTCCAGGCCTGTGATGGGAGGGGCCGCTGTGAAGACCTCTGATATACCCTGGACACATTTTCCCCATTATCTTGGGGACTAACATTCAACTGCCAGTTACTTATGCAAATTTCTGCAGCTGGCTTGAATTTCTCCTCAGAAAATAGGATTTTCTTTTCTATCATGTTGTCAGGCTGCAAATTTCCTGAACTCTTATACTCTGCTTCCCTTATAAAACGGAATGCCTTTAACAGCACCCATCACCTCTTGAATGGTTTGCTGCTTAGAAACTTCTTCCACCAGGTACCCTAAACCATCTCTCTCAAGTTCAAAGTTCCACAAATCTCTAGGGCAGGGCAAAATGCTGCCAGTCTCTTTGCTAAAATATAATAAGAGTCACCTTTGCTCCAGTTTCCAACAAGTTCCTCATTTCCATCTGAGACCACCTCAGCCTGGACTTTACTGTCTATATCGCTATCAGCATTTTGGGCAAAGCCATTCTTCAACAAGTCTCTAGGAAGTTCCAAAGGTTTCCATATTTTCCTGTCTTCTTCTGAGCTCTCCAAACTGTTCCAAGCTCTGCCTGTTACCCAGTTCCAAAGTCACTTTCACATTTTTGGGTATCTTTTCAGCAGCACCCCACTCTACTGGTACCAATTTACTGTTTTAGTCCATTTTCACACCGCTGATAAAGATATACCTGAGACTGGGCAGTTTACAATAGAAAGAGATTTAATGGACTTACAGTTTCACATAGCTGAGGAGGACTCTCAATCATGGCAGAAGGTGAAAGGCACGTCTCATGTGGTGGCAGACAAAAGAAGAGAGCTTATGCAAGGAGACTCCCATTTTTAAAACCATCAGATCTCATGAGACTCATTCACTATCACAAGAACAGTGCAAGAAAGACCCACCCCCATAATTGAACCACCTCCCACTACGTTCCTCCCATGACATGTGGGAATTGTGGGAGTTACAATTCAAGATGAGATTTGGGTGGGGACACAGCCAAACCATATCATATGGTCACTAAAAGTACCCTGCTGTGAACATAATGAAAGTCATCACAAGCCTTTAGATTTGTTTACTACTATATCTCTATCACTGAAGACATTTATGCATTTCATCATTCACGTACCTACCAACCACCTTACTGTATACTAGCAGTGTTGAGGCCCCAGGGAAAGTAGTGAATAAGACAGATGGATGTCTGCTCTAAAATGAACAAGGTTTAAAACCATGATATGT